>NC_000023.11:105587542-106212542 GCF_000001405.40 Homo sapiens
CTTTTCTACTTTATTAGTTGAACTTTAATGTTCTTCCTTTATTATTTTTGTAATACAAGCACTTACACTATAAATTTAGATTGAAATAGAGCTTTTACTGAACCCCACAAATTTTGGTATGTGATGTTGTCATTATCACCCAATTTTTAGTATTTTTACAATTCCATTATAATTTCTAACTTGATCCTGAAAATATGTTTTTTAAAAATTTCCAGGCCAGACGTGGAGGCTCACACCTGTAATCCCAGCACTTTGGGAGGCTGAGGTGTGAGGATGGCTTGAGTCTAGGAGTTTGAGACCAGCCTAGGCAACAGAATGAGACTCTATCTCTACAAAAATTTTAAAAAATACCTGGGCACAGTGGCGCATGCCTGTAGTCTCAGCTGCTCAGGAGGCTAAGGCAAGAGGATTGCTTGAGCTCAGGAGGTTGAAGCTGCATTGGGCCGTCCTTACACCACTGCACTCCAGCCTGAGCAACAGAGTGAGACTGTCTCAAAATATTAATTAATTACAATTTTAAAAAAGAAAAATTCCATATATATGGATGATGTTATACTTATTTATTTTATATCTTATTTATTATTCTAATTAATTTATTTCTTCATTATTATTTTAATGTTCTGCATCTTGATTGTATCAATGTTAATATCCTTGTTGTAGTATTGTACTATAGTTTCTGCAAGATGTTACCATGGGAGGAAACTGTGTAGAAAGTATACAAGATCACCGTGTATTATTCCTTGCAATTGCATGTGAATCTATATCTCAAAATTAAAACTGTGATAAAAAACTTTAAAAGTTGATTCTTAGATAAAGACAAAATATATTTTAATTTTTAATTTTAATTTTTGAACTTTTATTTGAGGTTCAGGGATGGATGTGCAGGTTTGTTATCCAGGCAAATTGCACATCACCGGGGTTTGGTGTACTGATTATTTTATCACCCAGCTAATGAGAATAGTATCTGATATGCTGTTCTTTCATTTTCATCCTCCTCCCCAACCTGCACCCTAAAAAATGCCCAGTTTCTATTGTTCCCTTTTTGTGTCCATGTGTAGTCAATGTTTACCTCTTATATGTAAGTGAGAACATGCAGTATTTTGTTTTCTGTTCCTGTGTTAATTCATTTAGGATGATGGCATCTAGCTCCATCCATGTTGCTGCAAATGACATGATCTCATTTTTTCTTATGGCTGCATAATATTCCATGGTATATATGTACCACATTTTTTAAATCCAGTCTACTATTGATGAGCATTTAGGTTGATTCCATGTCTTTGCTATTGTGAATAGTGTTGCAATGAACATGCGTACATGTGTCTTTATAGTAGAACAATTTATATACCTTTGGGTATTAATACCCAATAATAGGATTGCTGTGTCAAATTGTAGTTCTGTTTTAAGTTCTTTGAGATATCACAAAACTGCTTTCCACAGAGATTGAATTTACATTCCCACCAGCAGTGCATAAGTGTTCTTTTTTCTCCACAACCTTGCCAACATCTGTTAATTTTTGACTTTTTGATAATAGCCATTCCAAGTGGAGTGAGATGATATCTCATTGTGGTTTTGATTTGCATTTCTCTAATTATTAGTGATGTTGAGCATTTTTTCATATATTTGTTGGCCATATGTATGTTTTCTTTTGAAAAGTATCTGTTCATGTCCTTTGCTCACTTTTTAATGGGGTAATTTTTTTTCTTGTAAATTTGTTTAAGTTCCTTATAGATGTTAGATATTAGACCTTTGTCAGTTTCTTAGTTGGCAAAAATTTTCTCCTATCCTGTAGGTTGTCTGTTTATTCTATTGATGGTTTCTTTTGCTGTGCAGAAGCTCCTTAGTTTAATTAGGCACCACTTGTCAATTTTTGTTTTTGTTGCAATTGCTTTTGTCATGAAATTGTTGCCAGGGCCTACATTCAGAATGGTATTTTTTAGGTTTTATCCTAGGGTTTTTCGTAGTTTTGGGTTTTATATTTAAGTCTTTAATCCATTTTTAGTTGAAATTTTTTATATGGTGAAAAGAAGGGGTCCAGTTTCAATCTTTTCTATATGGCTAGCTAAGTTATCCCAGCAGCATTTTTTGAATAGGGAGTTTTTCCCTATTGCCTGTTGTTGTGAACTTTGTCAAAGATCAGAGAGTTGTAGGTATGCAGCTTTATTTCTGGGACCTCTATTCTGTTCCTTTGGTCTATATGTCTGTTTTTGCACCTGTACCATGCTCTGTTGGTTATTGTAGCCTTGGAGTATAGTTTGAAGATGGGTAATATTATGCCTTCAGCTTTGCTCTGTTTGCTTAGGATTGCTTTAGCTATTTAAGCTCTTTTTGGTTTCATGAATTTTAGAATACTTTTTTTCTGATTTTGTAAAAAGTGTTCTTGGTAGTTTGATAAGAATAGCAGTGAATCTATAAATTGCTTTGAGCAATATGGCCACTTTAACAATATTGATTATTCCTATCCATGAGCGTGGGATGTTTTTCCATTTGTCTGTGTCATGTATGATTTCTTTGAGCAGTGTTTTATAATTCTCATTGTAGATATATTTTGACTCTCTAGTTAGCTGTATTACTAGGTATTTTATTCTTTTGTGGCTATTGTGAATGGGATTGTGTTTTGATTTTGATCTCACCTTGGATGTTTTTGGTTTACAGAAATGCCACTGATTTTGTACATTGATTTAGTATCCTGAAACTTTGTTGTTGTTGTTTTTTTATGAAATCTAGGATATTTTGGGCAGAGACCATGTGGTTTTCTAAGTATAAAATCATATTATCTGCAAACAGAGATAGTTTGATTTCCTCTTTTCCTATTTGGATGCATTTTTTTTTGTCTGATTGCTCTAAATAGGATTTCCAGTACTATATTGAATATGAGTGCTTAGAGAGGGCATCCTTGTCTTGTTCCAGTTCTCAAGGGGAATGATTCTAGCTTTTGCCCATTCAATATGATGTTGGCTATGAATTTGTCATAGATTACATTTATTATTTGGAGGTTTATTCATTCAATGCCTAGTTTTTAAGATGAAGCAATATTCATTTTTTCAAAAGCTTTTTCTGCATCTATTGAGATGACCATGTGGTTTTTTATTTTAGTTATTTTTATGTGATGAATCACCTTTATTGATTGTGCAGGCTGACCCAATCTTGCATCCCAGGTATAAAGCCTACTTGATTGTGGTGGATTAGATTTTTCATGTGCTATACTGGATTCAGTTTCCTTGTTGAAAATGTTTGCATCTGTTTTTCTCAAGGAAACAGATTGGCCTGAATTTGTGTGTGTGTGTGTGTGTGTGTGTGTGTGTGTGTTTGTGTGTGTTTGTGTGTGTGTGTGTGTGTGTGTGTGTATCTCTGCTAGATTTTGGTGTCAGAATGAGATTGGCCTCATAGAATGAGTTAGGAGGAGTCCCTGATCTTGAATTTTTTGGAGTAGTTTCTGTAGGAATTGTACTAGGTCTTCTTTACACATCTGGTAGAATTTGGCTGTGAATTCCTCTGGTCCAGGACTTTCTCTGGTTGTTAGGCTTTTTATTACTGATTCAATTTTGAAACTTGTTACTGATCTTTTCAGGGTTTCAATTTCTTCCTGGTTCAATCTTGAGAGACTTCAAGTTTCCAGGAATTTATCCATTTCCTGTAGATTTTCCACTTTATGTGCATAGAGGTGTTTGTGATAGTCTCCAAGGTTTTTTTTTTTTAATTTCTGTAGGGTTGGTGGTAATGTTTCCTTTGTCATTTCTGATTATGTTTATTTGGATGTTCTCTCTTTTTTTCTTCATTAGTCTAGCTCGGGATCTATCAATCTTATTTACTTTTTTGAAGAGCCTACTTCTGGTGTCTTCGATTTTTTGTGTGGCTATTGACCTCTTAATGTCATTAAGTTCAGGTCTCATTATGGTTGTTTTTTATCTTCTGCTAGCTGTGGGGTTGGTTTCCTCTTGTTTCTCTATTTCCTGCTGGTGTGATACTGGTCGTTAGCTTAAGATCTTTCTAACTTTTTTATGTGGGTGTTTAGTGCTATAAACTTTCCTCTTAACGCTGCTTTAGCTGTGTCCCAGAGATTCTGGTATGTTGTAAATTTATTTTCATTAGTTTCAAATAATTTCTTGATTTCTGCCTTAATTTCATTGTTAACTCAAAAGTCATTCAGGAGAAGGTTGTTTAATTT
Source organism: Homo sapiens (assembly GCF_000001405.40). Taxonomy (NCBI): domain Eukaryota; kingdom Metazoa; phylum Chordata; class Mammalia; order Primates; family Hominidae; genus Homo; species Homo sapiens. The sequence goes on from NC_000023.11 coordinate 105,591,708, forward strand.
TCATGTAAATTGTATGATTTTGAGCAATCTTCTTTGTACTGATTTCTATTTTTACTGCACTGTGGTCTGAGATTGTAGGTGGTATGATATCATTTTTTAAAATTTGCTGAGAATTTTTTATGGCCATTTGTGTGGTTGATTTTAGAGTGTGTGCCATGTGCAGATGAGAAGAGTGAATATTTTGTTGTTTTGGGTGGAGAGTTCTGTAGATGTCTGTTATGTCTCTTTAGTCAAGGGTCGAGTTCAGGTACCAAATATCTTTGTTAGTTTTCTGCCTTGATGATCTATATAATACTGTCAGTGGGGTGTTGAAGTCTCCCACTGTTATTGTGTGGTTATTTAAGTCTCTTAATTGGTCTCTAAGAACTTCTTTTATCAGTCTGGGTGCTCCTGTGTTGGATGGAAACAAATTTAGGATCTTTATGTCTTCTTGTTGAATTGAATCCTTTACCATTATGTAATGCCTTTCTTTAATTTTTTTGATCATTTTTGGTTTAAGGTCTGTTTTGTGTGAAGTTACAATAGCAACCGTCAATTTTTTGTTGTTGTTGTTTTGTTGTCCATTTACTTTGTAGATTTCTCTCCATCCTTTTACTTTGAGTCTATGGGTGTCATTGCCTGTGAGATACATGTCTTGAAGATAGCATAAGCTAGGTCTTGCTTTTTTATCCAACTTGCCACTCTGTGCCTTTTGTTGTGGGGCATTTATCTCATTCTTGTTCAAGGTTAATATTGATATGTGTGGTTTTGGTCCTGTCATCATGTTGTTAGCTGGTTATTATGCAGACTTGATTGTGTAGTTGCTTAATACTGTGTCGATGGTTTATGTACTTAAAAGTGTTTTTATGGTGGCTGGTAATGATCTATCCTTTCCATATCTAGCACTCCCTTAAAGATCTCTTGTAAGGCAGGTCTGGTGGTAACAAATTTCCTTACCATTTGCTTGCCTGAAAAGGATCTTATTTCTTCTTCACTTATGAAGTTTAGTTTGGCTGGATGTGGAATTCTTGTTTGGCATGTCTTTTCTTTAAGAATGTTGAATATAGAACCTCAATCTCTTCTGGCTAATAGGGTTTGTGCTGAAAGTTCTACTGTTAGCCTGATGGGGTTCCCTTTGTAAGTGAATTGCCCCATCTCTCTAGCTGCCTTTAACATTTTTCTTTCATGTTGACCTTGGAGAATCTGATGACTATTTGTCCTGGGGATGGTCCTCTTGTATAGTATCTCACAAGGATTCTCTGCATTTCTTGAATTTAAATCTTGGCCTCTCTAATGAGGTTGGGGAAATTTTATTGGATGATTTCCTCAAATATATTTTCTAGGTTACTTGCTTTGTCTCCTTCTCTTTCAGGGATGCCAACAATTCGTAGATTTGGCCTCTTTATATAATCTGATGTTTATTGGAAGTCTTGTTCGTTCTTTTTTTGTTCTTTTCTCTTTATTTTTTTCTGACCGAGTTGATTCGAAGAACCAGTCTTTGAGCTCTGAGATTCTTTCCTCATCTTGGTCTCTTCTGCTGTTAATATTTGTGACTGTATTATGAAATTATTGTAGTGAGTTTTTCTATCAAATCAGTTTGGTTCTTTTTTAAAATGGCTATTTTGTCTTTCCACTAGTATCATTTTATTGGATTCATTCCTTAGATTGCTTGAATTGGATTTTGACTTTCTCCAGAATTTTGATAATTTTCATTCCTATCCAGATCCTGAATTCCATGTCTGTCTTTCCAGCCATTTCAGCCTGGTTATGAAGCATTGCTGAGGAAGTTGGGAACAAAGAAGACATTCTGGCTTTCTGAGTTGCCAGAGTTCTTATAATGGTTCTGTCTCATCTGCCTGGGCTGATATTCCTTTAATCTTTGAAGTTGCTGTCCTTTGGATGGATTTTTTTTTCGCTTTTATATTCTTTGATACCATTGTGGGTTTGATATAAGGTGGGTTCATTTGACTGGCTTCATTTCTGGAAAATTTCAGGGGTCCAAGGCTCAACTCATCACTCCTGGGCTATGGGGTCTATCTTTGGGGTTCTGGTATTGGGTCCCCAGCTTTGTTCTCTGGCCCCTTATGGTTAGGAACCTGCTGCACTGGCAGGACTGAGGTGTTCCCAGTCTCCTGGCAACAATCCTCTGATGAGGGGTCTAGCCAAAGTACTTTCTTGGGGCAGTGGCTGTGCTTGTGTGCACATACAAGCAGCAGCCTGTTATATTTGTATTTATTTTATTTGTATTACTAACATCTACCTTAATTGTACTATGGACAGAGAATATTGTCAGTACGATACCTACTCTTTAAAATTTGTTACATCTTGCTTTATGGTCTGGCATATGATCAATATTTTAATATAATCTGTGCCTGAGAAAAATTTAGGTTTTTTGATTGCACAGTGAGATTTTTACTATTGATAGTTCTAAAGAGAGCATAAAATATATTTACCTCTTTGTTGTTTCCCCATTTTCTATGCTCAGAACATTTGCTTTTTATCATAATTTGATAATATTCACCTTTATCTTTTCTAGATTTCTGTGATTTCCTACCTTCATTTAGCATTTCCAAGCCATCTGGAATTTATTTTGTTATAAAGCATAGGTTTGGTTTAGAATCTAACTTTTTGATTTATGTATATCTAAATGGCATAACTCCATAACCATTAGCAGAATAATTGGCATGACTGTGTCTTAGTATTTTATCATGTAACCTATAAAATAATCCAGTTGTTAAATATGTTTTGGTAGGTTTCTGGGTTATCTGTCTCAGCTATTGATACTTCTCATACTAATACCACACTCTTCTCTTTGTTTTACCTTAATAGTTAATTTTAGCATCTGGTAGGACAAGTATTATTATTCTTATTTTTTTAATGGTGTGAACTATTCCTTGTAGTTTATTCCTATAAATGAAATATAGAATGATTTTCAAGTTAAAAAAATTTATGCTTAACTATTCATAATAGCAAAGACATGGAATCAGGGTAGGTGTCCATTGACAGTGAATTGGATAAAGGAAATCCATGAAATCATGTTCTTTGCAGCAACATGGATGCAGCTGAAGGCCATTATCCTAAGTGAATTAACACTGGAGCAGAAAATCAGGTATCACACATTTTCACTTATAAATGGGAACTAAGCATTGGGTACACATGGATGTAAAAATGGGAACAGTAGACACAGCAGAATACAAGAGGGGAGAGAGAAGGTGGGGAGTATGGGCTGAAACACTACCTAAAGGGTACTATGCTCACTACCTGCGTGACAGGATCATTTACACCCCAAACCTTAGCATCACACAATATACCCATGTAACACACTCATTCTGAGATTGATAATTAATTGGGTAAAATTAGGTGAATAATTCTTCTTCATATCATGTTACTTCTTTACCATTTTAACACCATTTTAACAATAGCACAGAGTTTTTGATTACCTTGTAGAAGAAAGGACTTTTTTGATCACTGAAAACTTCAAATTATATCCCAGATTTTATCTTCCTTTCCATTTCCCCTACAACTATTTTAATTTCCCGTTATCTTCAAAGTTTTGTAGGATGTATTTAGTTGAAACACTAATGTAGACGGAAGTTTATTAATAAAAAATATTTCTTCCACCAAACAAGTTTGTAAGAGTCTGGGTTAAACAATATTAAATAAGAATTTTACCACTGGAATTTCTCTGAAACTTTAATATACTAATGATCATATTATTGAGGCTGCCCAATATAGGAATAAAGTCAGCAGCCCTTCCCAAATTTTTGCCCTGACAACCAGGGTTTTCCATGGCCTTAACATAATGTCATAGAGTTGCTTTGAAAAATAAGTGAGTTAAAACCCATAAAATATTTTATTGAGGATTTTTACGTCTATTTTCATCGGAGGTATTGGCCTGTAGTGTTTTTTGTTGTTGTTGTTTGTTTGTTTGTTTGTTTGTTTTTCTTGCAGTGTCTTTTTCTAGCTTTGCTAAGAGGGTGATGCTGTCCTTATAAAATGAGTTTGGAAGTGTTCCCTCTAGTTGTATCTTCTCAAAGAGTTTAGGGAGAATTGGTATTAATTCTTTGAATGCTTGATAAAATTCAGCCATAAAGCCATCTTAGTCCTGGGATTTTCTTTGTTGGGATATTTTTAATTACTACTTCAATCTCCTTATATATTATTGGTCTGTTAAGGATTTCTATTTCTTCTTGATGCAATTTTGGTAGGTTGTATGTTTCTAGGAATTTATCCATTTCCTCTAGCTCACTCAATTTGTTTATGATAGTCTTTCCGATCCTTTTTCTTTTCATACGCAACCATTTTAATATCTCCACTTTCATCTCTTTATTTATTTGAGTCTTCTCTTTTTTAGTTAGTCTAGCTAAGGGCCTGTTGATTTTATATTTTAAAAAACTCGGTTTTCTTGATTTGTTTGTATTGTTTTTGTATTTTTCGTTGGTTTATTTCTTCTCTGATTTTTAATATTGCCTTCCTTCTGCTAACTTTGGGTGTAGTTGGTTCTTTTACTTTTGCTATTCTTTTTCTAGTTCCTTGAGGGGTAATATTTGTTTTTTTATTTGAAATATTTGTTTTTTTAATGTAGGTATGCATCACTATAAAATGCTTTCTTAAAACTGGGTCTGCTGTATCCCAAACATGTTGGTACGTTATTTTTTTTTGTCTTGTCTCAAGATTTTTGTTTGTCTCAAGATATTTTTTAATTTCCCTTTTGATTTCTTTTTTGACCATTGGTTGTTCAGAAGCATTTTGTTTAATTTACATGTAATTGTGAATTTTCCAGTTTTCCTCTTGTTATTGATTTCTAGTTTCATACCACAGTGGTCAGAAAAGATACTTGATACTATTTCAATCTTCTTAAATTAGTTAAGACATGTTTTGTGGCCTAAAATGTGATCTGTTCTGGAGAATGCTCCACATGTGCTTGAGAAGAATGTTCATTCTACTGCTGCTGGATGGAATGTTATGTATATGCCTGTTAGGTTCATTTGGCATAACTACATAACTAATGTAGCTCAAGTTGAATGTTCAAGTCCAGAGAATGGATATTCTGTCTGGATGATCCACCCATTGTTGAAGGGAGGTATTAATGAACTGGACCCTTATCTTACACCATACACAAAAATAAACTCAAAATGCATTAAAGACCTAAAAGTAAGTCCTGAGATTATAAAATTCCTGGAAGAAAACATAAGAGAAAAGCCCTTTGACATTGATCTTGGCAATGATTTTTTGGATAGGACACCAAAAGCACAGGCAATAAAAGCAAAAGTAAGCAAGTGGAACTACATCAAACTAAAAAGCTTCTGCACAAAAAAGGGACAAATCAACAAAATGCAAAAGTAGCCTATGGATTAAGAGCACAGATTTGTGAATTATATATCTGATAAGAGGTTGATATCAAAAATATATTAGTAACTAACACAATGGCAAAAACACAAATAATCAGAATAAAAATGGGCAGTGTACCTGAATAGACATTTCTACAAAGAAGACATAAAAATGGGCAGTGTACCTGAATAGACATTTCTACAAAGAAGACATAAAAATGGCAAACACATATGTGAAGAAAATGCTCAAAATCACGAATCATCAGGAAATGCAAATCAAAATCACAATGAAGTATCACCTCACACCTGTTAGGATGGAGTTTTAGTCCTTTCTCGCATTGCTGTAAAGAAATACCTGAGACTAGGTAATTATAAAGAGAAAAGATTTAATTGGCTCACAGTTCTTCAGACTGTACAGGAAGAATGATGGTAGCATCTGCTTGGCTGCTTGGGGAAGCCTCAGGAAACTTACAATCATGGCAAAAGGTAAAGGGGGAGTAGGCATGTCACATAGTGAAAGCAAGAGCCAGAGAGCGAGGAGGGGGGAGGTGCTACACACTTTTAAGTGACCAGATCTCATGAGAACTTACTTTTTTAAATGACCAGACGTCATGAGGATAGTACCAAGAGGGATGATGCTAAACCATATATGAGAAATCCACCCCTATGATTCAATCACCTCCCACCAGACCCCACCTCCAACACTGGGGATTACAGTTGAAGATGTGATTTGGGTGAGGACACAGATCCAAACCATATCAGATGGCTAATGCCAAAAAGGCAAGACATCAAGTGTTGGTGAGGGTGTGGAGAAAAGGAATCCTTCATACACTGTTGCAGAAATGTAAATTGGTATAGCAATCAGGGAACAGTATGGACATTTTTTTTCAAAAAAATTAAAAATAGAACTACCATATGACCCAACAATTCCTCTTCTGGGTATACACCTGAGGAAATGAAATCAGCACCTCATAAACATACATGTACCCCCATGTTCATTGAAACATTATTTACAATAGCCAAGATATAAAAACAAACTAAATGTCCATTGGCAAATGGCTGAATAAAGATAAATATATAGATATGGAGATCATAATAGCATTTAACTTTAAAAAGAAGAAGAACAAAATCCTGCCATTTACAAGCTAGATGCAGCTAGAGGACATTATATTAAGCAAAATAAGCCACAGAAAGAAAAATGCTGCATGATAAATCTTATAAGTGAAAACACACACACACAAAAAAAGTCAAACACATAGAAACAGAAGAGGGCAGTGGTCACTAGATGGAAGTGGGGAAATGGGAAGATGTAGGTCAAAGGTTGCAAAATAGCAGCTAGTAGGATGAATAAATCTAGAGATCTAAAGTACAGCATGAGGACTATAATTAATAATATATTGTATACTGGAAACTTTCTAAGGGGTAGATTTTAGGTGCTCTTATTGAAAAAAGGAAACTATGTGAGGTGATGGATATGCTAAATTGTTAACCTGTACCAAGCATTTCACTGTGTATATATCTATGAAAACATCATTTTATACACCTTAACTTTACATGGTAAAATAATAGTAACAAAACTATAAAACACTTATAGCAGTGCCTGGAACATAGTGAATAGTCAGTGCATATGAGTTGTTTTTGTTATTTTCTCAAGTTCTTCTCTCTGCCTGAAATGCCTTTCTCCCCATACCCAAACATGCAAAAGACCTACCTGCAATGTAACCTCCTCCACAAAATCGTTCCTGATTCCCCACATCTCCTCACCTAATCATCATCAGAGATATATTTTCTCTCTTCTTTGAAATTATGTCAAATAATCCCTTTGAACTTATTATGGACAACCAAAGCATCCACACACATTTCCAAATTCCCCTGTGGGGGATCTACTGCTCTTTGTTAAGAACCACTGAGAAGAGAACTAAGTGAGTGTTCAGTAAATACATGTTCATTGATTGTTGCCCAGAGTAGGCATGAAAATTCACAATAAGCAATCATTGATTTACCTTTTAAGTACCACTTTGTCAAAATGAGGTGAAACCAATAAGTCTACATTCAAGTCTACACAGGTTTATGATTCTTACCTTGAAGAGTATGGGTCAAGCCACTTATGTCCTACATAATTCATATATTATTTCTAATTAGATTTTTTCCATATTTCACTGGCAGATAGTGAGCAATGCAAAGTACAAAGCACTTCCACAAATTTTGTGGCAAGACAGACTGAATTGCCTAATAGGGTGTGAAGCACAGCTACATAGAAGATATATGAAGCATATTATCATTGGGAGTAAGCACAGCTCCATTGATTTCATGAAACAAAACAAAATTAAATTGCATAGAAACTCAAAGACATGGTAAATATGGGTTTTGAGTCTAATAGACCTGAGTTTGAAACCTGGCTCTATTATTTACTAGTTTTCTAGCTGTGTGGCCTTAGACTAACTTCCTCACCTGTGAATTGAGTGTAATATACCAGACTCAAAGTGTTACACAAAGCTTGCACTGTGAAGTGTGTGGAATATTAACCTTGGGTGCACAATATAGGAGGCACCAAAGAACTTAGTAATCAAGACAAATAATATTATATTTCAATCTTTTTTTAAAAAAAAATCAAATTTAATGCAGAACTCCACAAAGCAGAAAACATCAATTTTTAAAATAAAGACAAGATCAAATTCTGCATGTGGATGACTTGGCTTCCCTTGGCCCTCTCTAATCCTGGCCCTGAATGTTAAGGAAGTTAAACAAGGTAATAAGTGAAGTAACTTTGGCGTAGTCCTTGCCTTGAATATTCAGTTATAAACTATGACATTGAGGAAATGGCCCTTTAGTCTTGGTAAAAAAAAATCCATAGTGAATAATGTTCAAATACAAAGAAACCTAATCTATTTATTGCTCTTTGTTTTTAATTCTTAATTACATACATAGTATATAAGTATATTATTGGTAAGGTTAGCACCCCTTTAAAACTAGAATTTTTCTAAGCATTTATATGCATAGGTATATATGTATAGAATACATATGATAGTAATTTTTTTCTTTTTTTATGAAACTGGTATCTTGATATACAAACATATCTACAAGTTGGCTTTTGTTTCATTCAACACTATGCCTTATCAATGCCTCATCATTGTAAATTATTGCATAGAGTTTCATAATATGGATATACTGCAGTTTGTTCATTTAGTCCCCCCGTTGATATTTATTTAGAGTTGTTTACAGTTTATCAATATTATACACAGTGCTTCAGTGAACATTTTTATACCTGCACGTAGTTTTTTTTCTAATTTAGCTACTGAGAAGTAGAATTGCTGAATTTTATAGGATATGAACCCTGATTTCATTTAAATTGTTAATGTTTAACTGCCTTAGTGGCCATTCCAATTGATGGTCCCACTAGAAGGGCATGACAGTACTTGTTTTACCACACCACCATTGACATATTATATCAAACGAATTCATTATTTATTAATCTTAACTATCAATTAATAATGAGTATTTAATAATTTAATTAATAATGAATAATATTTAATGAAATAATTATAATTAATCATTTTTATAAATAAATTTATAAAAACACCAATAAACTTCTTATAAATAATTTTATAAATATTTTATAAAGAATTTATAATTTAGTTAATTTGATTAATAATATTTGATAATAGAATATTTAATTAATTTAATTGATAATGAATAATATTTATATAGGTATATCTACACATAGTTTTAGCCATTTTCTAATTTAGCTACTAAGAAGTAGAATTGCTGGATTTTATAGGATATGAACACTGATTTCATTTAAATTTTTAGTGTTTAATTGCCTTAATGACCATTCCAATTGATGGTTCCACTAGAAGGGTAAGACAGTACATGTTTTACCACTCTCATTAACATATGATATCATCAAACTAATTCATTATTTGCCAATCTGAATGAAATCTGATGGTTTAAAATGTTATTTCATTGCTGTTCTTTTCGCATTTTCTTACTTGAGAATGGGCATCTTTTTAATATATTTATGGGGCATTTGTATATCCTGTTCTATGAAGTGCATTTTCATATATTTTGTCCATATGTACATTAGGTAATTTTGTTTTTTTTAAATTGAATTCCAGGAGTTAGTTATGTATTATGGATACTAATATGTTATCTGGTATATTGCAAATAATTTAACTTACTATACCTAGTCTACTGCTTTTTGTTTAGAGTATCTTGTCATAGAGGAGTTTAAAATTTTGAGGAAGTTAAATTTAACGATCTGAATACATCATCAATATATTTGTCCAGAAGTGCCCAATGCTCACCTCCTTCACAAAGAAGGACCAAAACAAGTAGATAACAGCAAATTGAGTAGAATGTCTGTGAGAGTACACTGGAATTCAGCAAGAAAATGACAGACTCTCTGAGACACAAAAGCTTGAGATGGCAGCATACAGACAGAAATGAAGCACCCAGCCAGGATTCGCTTGGAGCCATGATAGACTCCCCTCCCTATTATAGGGAAAAAGTAAGCAAGAGGCTCTCAGCAGCGCCTATTGCCGCTGTGGATGCCTGCAATCCTAGCTAAAGGGGAACTCCACAATCCTCCAAGCTGTGAGGTAAGTATAGGCAGCTGCCTTAAGTCCATGTAGCTACATTGCTTCAGGGAAGGACTTCACATTAAGTCCCCTCTCAGCCCCTTGGGAGCTAGGCTACTATGGCATGGCACCATTTTGAGAGAGGAGCCACTACCAGACCACATTCTTCCCTGTACTTTAATAGCCCATGCATCACCACATCCTGTGACCCCTCAATTATCACACTGAGCCCACACAGAAGGCTGCAACACCACAACACCACCTGGACCCAGCAGTACAGCCATAATTCTGGCACACAAGCCCACATAGCATCCTATACCCCAAGTAGAACGTAATCCAGCATAGCAGGGAGGCTGCCCACAGTACCAAGGGAGCCCATGTGTGCACTCCCTAGAAGCTGAGGGCTTGCCTGCCAGGTGCCTGCTTCCATCACCACTCCCCCTCCTCCAGCCGCAGAGCTGCTGTGTGCCACATGAGCTCCCTAGTGACCAATGACTGGCTCATCCAATGTCCACTACTGCTACTGAACCTAGCACCTCCAGTGGTAAAGTTTCTGCATACTGCACAAACTCCCCAAGGACCAATAATTGATCCTTCTGACCTACCACTACTGGCAACCCCACCCCCTACAGCAGCAGAGACACTGCACCTACCACCACTGGCAACCCCACCCCCTACAGCAGCAGAGACACTGCACTCTGTGCATGTCCCCCAGTGACCAAGCACTAGCTCACATGGCACCCTGTAGAAAGACTTTCTGAATTTAAAATTAGGTCTTTTAAAATAAACCAGTAAGAAAAAAAAAAAGAATAAGAAAGAATTAAGAAAGCCTCCTGGACAGATAGGACACCATTAAGTGCACAAATTTTTGCATTATGAAAAGTCCAGAAGATGAAGACATGGGGAAAGGCATAAAAAACCCATTCAATGAAATGATAGTTTAATACATGATAAGTCTAAGGCAAGATGTGAATATTCAGATCAAGGGGGCTCAAAAATTCCCAAATAGATTCAACCAAAACAGGTCTTCTAAGCACTTTATACTCAAATGTCAAAAATCAGAGACAAAGAGAGAAATATAAAAAGAGCAAGAGAAAAGTGTCAAGTCATATATAAGGAAATTCCCATCAGACTAACTAGAAATTTTTTAGCAGAAAACTTGGAGGCCAGAAGAGAAAGGGGTGATATATTTAAAGTACCAAAAGAAAAAAAAAAAAACCTGTTAGCCAGTAGCACTATACCCAGCAAAGCTATCCTGCAAAAATTAAGAAATAAAGTATTTCTCAGACAAGCAAAAAATGAGGGAATTCATCACCACTATACTAGGCCTACAAGAAATGCTTTAAAGACCCCTACATCTGGAAGCAAAATGATGAGAACTACCATTATGAAAGCATGTGAACATATACAACTCACTGATAGAGCAGATACACATATGAGAAAGAAAAAAAGGAATAAAAAATTATCACTAAAGAAAACCACCAATCCACAAAGATAAATAAGAGAGTAAGAAAGGAACGAAAGAAATGCAAAACAACCAGAAAAAAGTAGCAAAATGGCAAGAGTAAATCATCACTTATTAATAATAACACTGAATGTAAATATATTAAATCCCCAATTAAAAGATGTAGACTGACTGAATGGATCCAAAAAAAAAAAAAAGACAAGACCCAGTCATATGACACCTATAAGAAATTCACTTAACCAGTAAAGGCACACATACACTGAAAGTGAAGGGATGTAACATGATATTTTACAAAAATGGAAACCAAAAATGAGCAGGAGTAGCTATATTTACATAAGATAAAATAGACTTTAAGTCAAAAACTGTTAAAACAACCATACAAGGTCATTACATAATGAAAAAAGGATCAATTCAGCAAGAATGTATCACAATTATAAGTATGTATGCCCTCAACACCAGAGCACCCAGATATCAAAAGCAAATATTATTAGATATAAAGAGAGAGGCAGAACCCAATATAATAATAGTTGAGGACTTCAACAACCCATTCTGAGCATTGGACAGATCTAGATAGAAAATCAACAAAGAGACATCAGTCTTAAATTACAATATAGACCAAATGGATCTAACAGACATTTACAGAACATTAACAGATACAGAATACATATTCTTCTTATCAGAACATGTAACATTATCCAGTATAGACCATATGTTAGACCACAATACAAATTTTTTAAAATTGAAATCACAAGTTTCTTTTCAGGCCACAATGGAATAAAGCTAGAAATAACTAACAAGAAAAACTTTGGAAATTGTATAAACAAATAGAAATTAAACAGTATTCTACTTAACAACATTGAGTCAATGAAAATATTTAGAAGGATGTAAAAATGCATTGAAACAAATATAAATAGAAACACAGCATATTAAAACCTATGGGATATAGTGAAAACTACTAAGAGGGAAGTTCATAAGAATAAACACCTACATGAAAAAAAAGTAGAAAGATTTCAAATAAACAACCCTACAATGCACCTCAAGGAACCAGACAAGCAATAACAAACACAATTCAAAATTAGTAGAAGAAAATAAATAATATCAGAACAGAAATAAACAAAATAGATACGTAAAAAACAATACAAAATATTAACAACCTGAAAAGTTTTTCTTTCAAAACATGAACAAAATCAACAAACCATTAGCTAGACTAAGAAAAAAAGAGAGAAGACACAAATAAATAAAAAATGAAAAATAAGGCATTAAAACTTATACCACACAAATGCAAAAGATTATTAGCAACAATTATCAACAGCAATATGTCAACAAGTTGACAAACCTAGAGGACATGGATTAATTCCTGGACACATACAACATACTAAGATTGAACCAGGAAGAAATAGGAAACCTGAACAGAACAATAAAGAGCAAAAAGACCAAATCAGTGATTAAAAAGAAGTATGCCAAAAAAAAAAGAAAAGCCCAGAACCAGGTGGCTTTACTGCTGAATTTTACCAAACTTTCATAGAGGAACATCTGTTCTTCTCAAACTATTCCAAAGCATTTAAGGGAATTATTCCAAACTCATTTTATGAAGCCAGCATTACTCTGAAACCAAAACCAGACAAGGACGCATGCACACACACACAAAGAAAACCACAAGCCAATACTACAGATGAGCATACAAGCAAAAATCCCCAAATACAAGCACACCAAATCCAATAGCACATCAAAAAGCCTATAAAGAAGACATGGTCACAAAGATGGTTCAGCATAACAATTCAATAAATGTTATATGTTCCTTTGACAGAATGAAGAACAAAAACCATATGATCACCTCAGTAGGTGCAGAAAAAGCATTTGATAAAATTTGACATGTCTTCATGATAAAAAAAAACACTCCCTACAAAGTATGCATAGAAAGAATGCACCTCAATACAATAAAGGCCATATATGACAAACCTACCCCTAACATCATAAATGAGACAAGGATATCCACTTTCAACACTCTTATTCAGTATATTTTTGGAAGTCCTACCCAGAGCAATTAGGCAAGAGAAAGAAAGAAAGGGCATCCAAATAGGAAAGGAGCAAAATCAAATTGTACCAGTTTGCAGTTGACATGATCTTATACATATATAAATACCTAAGGACTCCACCAAAAAAAACTTTTAGAATTGATAGACAAATTCAGTAAAATTGCAGGATACAATATCAACTTACAAAAATCAATATCATTTCTATACACCAATAATGAACTAGCAGGAAAAGAAATTAAGAAAGCAATTCAATTTACAAGAGCTAAAAAATAAAACACTTGGGAATAAATTTAACAAAGGAGGTGAAAGTTCTCTGCAATAAAACCTTCAAAACACTGATGAATGAAATCGAAGAATACACAAAAAATGAAAAGTCATCTTATATTCATGGAATTAGAAGAATCAATACTGTTAAAATAATGTACTACCCAAAATAATCTATAGATTCAATACAATCCCTATCAAAATACCAATGAAGTTCTTCACAGAAATATTTTTTAAAATTGTAACATTTGTTTGGAACCAGAAAAGACCCCAAATAGCCAAAGCAATCTTGAACAAAAAGAACAAAGTTGGAGGCAGTGCACTACCTGAATTCAAATTATGCCACAAAGCTATAGTAACCAAAACAGCATGGTGCCAGCATAAAAACAGACACATAGACAAATAGAACAGAATGGAGAACTTAGAAGCAAATCCATGTATTTACAGCCAAATGATTTTCAATAGAGGTGCCAAGGAACATACATTGGGGAAAGACAGTCTCTTCAATAAATGGTGATGGAAAAACTGTATATTCATATGCAGAAAGATGAAACTCAACCTCTATCTTTCACCAAATACAAAAATAATCTCAAAATAGATTAAAGACAAACATCAAACTTCAAACCATAAAACGACTAGAAAAATGCATAGAGGAAATACCTCAGGACATTGGTCTGAGAACAAAAGCAAAATTAGGTAAATGAGATTATACCAAATTAAAAAGCTGCACAGCAAATGAAACAATTAATAGAATGAAGAGACAACTTGCAAAATGGGGAGAAATATTTGCACACCATTAACCTGACAAGTAATTAATATGCAGAATATACAAAGAACTCAAAACTTAGCACAGAAACCAATAATTCCATTAAAAATGGGCTAATGATCTGAATAGACATTTCTCAAAAGAAGACACACAAATGGCCAGCCAGTATATGAAAAAGCGCTCAACATCACTGATCATCAAGGGAATGCGAAGCAAAACCACAATAAGATATCATCTCACTCTAGTTGGAATGGCTATTATCAAAAAGAGTAAAAGAATAAATGCTTGTGAGGATGTGGAGAAAAAGGAACACTATACACTGAGGGTGGGAATCTAATTAGTAAAGCCATTATGGAGAACAGTATGGAGGTTCCTCAGAAAAATTAAAAATAGAACCACTATATAATTCATCAATTCCCCTACAGGATATATATCCAAAGGAAAGGAAATCAATGTATCAAAGAGATATTTACACCCCCATGTTTATTGCAGCACAATTCACAATAACCAAGATATTGCATCAACGTTAAGTGTCCAACAACATATGAATAGATAATATCACATATATACAGAAAAGAATCTATTCTGCCATAAAAAGAATTATATCTTGTCATTTGCGGCTACATGGATGTAACTGGAGATAAATATGTCAAGTGAAATAAGCCAGGCACAGAAATATAAATACAGTATGTTCTCACTCATATGTGGAAGTTAAAATAATTGATTTCCTACAAGTAGAGAGTAGAATAGTAGTTACTAGAGGCTTGGAAGGGTATAAGGGAGAGCTGAATAGGGAAAGGTTGGTTAAAGCATACAAACCTACAACTATATAGGAGAAATAAAGTTCTAATGTTTCATATTTTTGAAATAGCTGTGTATTTACTCCATATTTTGAAATAGCTAGAAAAGAGGAGTTTGAATGTTTCTAGCACAAAAAATGATAAAAGTTTGAGGTGATGGATATGCTAATTATCCTGATTTGATCATTGCACATTGTGTGTACCAAAATATCACTCTGTACTCCATAAATGTACAATTATTTGTCAATTTAAAAAAGTGATCAATATTTTTATTGAAGTATTTTTTCACTTGTTTTAAAAAAAGCTTTGTCCCCTACTAAAAAGCCATACAGATAGTTTAATCAGTTCTATTTTTATGCAATAATATTTTATGATTCATTTTTAAGAATCAGTTTGGCTTTTTTTAATGGTACGTGGTATGGATTGTTTTTGCTTTTTTTCATTTATTTCATAACAAATGGTCAATTGTATCAGCATTCTTTAATTGAAATTTCTGCTTTCCAATACATTAAATTCTAATGTATATATGTGTCTGTTTTGGAACTCTGTTATGTTTCATTGATATATTTGTCTATTTCTATGCCAGCACCATGTTCTTTTAATTATGATAACTTTATAGTATGTTAGTTTTGCTTATGAGCGTCAGATAGTTTTTCACAAAGAAAGTGACTCTTGACCAGGTATTAAAAGATGCATGGACATTCAGCAGACAAAAAAAAAAAAAAAAAAAAAAAAAAAAGGAAATAAGGCATTCCAGTTAGAAGAAACATGGGCCAATACACAGAGGTATGAAATCAATTGTATGGCATATTTAAGGACTCTCAGCTGTGTTGTATCACTAGAGGACAGTTCTTATAGTAGTCCAGGGTGGGTTTTGAGGGCAGAGAAGAAGATTGGGGCATATTATATAAGGGTCTTTCATTGCTTTGTTTAAAAGATTCTGGAATTATTCTTGAAGCAGAGGAGAGTTACTGAAGGCTTTTGAGTAGGGGAATAATATAATCAGCTGTCTTTGGCAGAAGTGTGAAGATGGTATAAAGAGCTTATGGAACTGCTGTAGGTATTCAGAGAAAGAAGAGAGCTCTGCAATCTGGATTAGTCAGAAGAAGCTTTATAAGGGAACTGCTAAACTGTGAAGGAATGATAGGATGGGTTAATTTAAGGGAATACTCTGATTCATGGGTTCAGGAGGAGAAACCTCTTATATGTTTATTTAATTTATATTTGTATTATTTTTTATCTTATATTTTTTAAGAATCAGGTGAGTTAAAATAAATCCGATATTCATTAGGTGCAGATATCTTCCCATGTAATTTAATTCAAGCCAAGGTAGTCTTTGTTACAAAATGGTGCAATGTGGCTCTTTTAAGTAATCAAGCTTTAAAATGTCAAATAAAGATTTTTCATTCACCAAAAGAAAGCAATTCTGAGAGAATTTTTAAAACCATTAAGGACAGACATACCTTTAGTTTAAAAGGCAGCTTGGAAACTCATAGTGAAGGAAAGAGTAAGTGGGCAAGCAAAGCAGAACTTCAAGTTAAAACCTAGGCAGAAATTAAATATTTTATCCAACAAAAAAGCAGAGAGTATATGTTTGTGACTTCACTGTTACTCACTTTTAGTAAAGAGCAAGAAAGTGTCAATGGAACATTTTAAACCATGAAATGTAATTGTTTTAAAACTGTGATTAATCTGGGATAGATAAAACCAGAGTTCTTTTTAAAATGATTGGACAGCCTGTTGAGAGAAATAGGATACATAAAGCACAAATTAGAAAACCTTCACAGATATCTGTTGTTTCCCACTTGTTCTATGTGGAATTGCATGGCTAACCTAATTATTTACTAACTTTAAGTAATTTATTATACTTAAAATAACTTTAAAGATAAATATTAGTGAGCATATAGTGTGGACTGTACCAGTTTTTTCTTGGTTTGTCTATGTCTAAGAAAATCCAAACTGCCATGCCTGCTATTCTAGCTTGATGATTCACCACAAATTACACGGTGGCAACTTCCGGAAATAAAGGCAGAGTTCAGTAGGGACAAACTCAACTCCTCTCTAGGATCTGTTCTTAAACTTCATCCCCTGAAACATGGGAGAATTTCACACCCCTTGTGCCATAATCTCTTTGTGAGTAAACTGCTATTTTGAGCCACTGCTTAAAATGGGTTGGTTCTTTATGCTCAAAATATTTTAAAGATTTTAGAAAGAAAAAAAAATATGGGAAAGAAGCCTGATGGTGAACTCTCTTTTAAATCAGTTAATTGTAGGGAGCAAATAGCTTATGCAGAAATTACAAGTTTTTAAGCAAGGAGATAAATATTGGTAATATTATTCATTAAAAGAGGTATTTGGGGATGAAGAAAACATTCTGGAAATGGATAGTGATGATAGTCATACAACATTGTGAATGTACTTAATGGGCGCTGAATTGTACACTTAAAATGGTTACAATGGTAAATTTTGTGTTATCTATATTTTACAATTAAAAAAATAGTGCATGAGAGAGAGAGAGAGAGTTGGGGTAATTATAGAGAGTTTCCTCAAAGGAGATATTTTCCTCATAGAAAAATACATCCTATATATTTCCATCTTTGTTAAGTTTTAGTTTTTCCTTTTTAAGTGCATGGAACCTGAGTATGGCGAAGATGTTTCTGTCCCATCCTCAGTCCAGGAAAAATACCAGAAGTTTAAACTGAAGTGAAAAAGCCTGTGAGTCAGGAATAGATACGGTTTTATCAGAGAATAATTATAGTTAGCGAGTGAGTGATGAAGAGGTTTCAGTGCCTAAAGTGACCAGCCTCATGCCAAGCTCTGATGCCCCACACTCTCAATCAGAGCCAACAGATCAGGCAGGCAACAAACAGCACTTGTGCCCAGGCCAAGACCTAGGGCAAATTTTCAAAGCTGGTATGATTCAAAGTGAGTTCCAATTAGATTGGGGATCTGATTAAGCTAATTAGAATAGATAACAGTCTAATTTATTGCAGTAGGTGTTCATTTTACTTCAGGTATTTTTTGCCTTATGATGTTTTCTTTGATAGATTCATTCCATCTAGCCATCAAATTCATGGAGTTATTTTTAATAGAGAATATATGTGAACAGAAAAGAGGCTGTCTGCTTGCCTGTGTCTCCCATTTGAGAATATCTCTTACTGGGAAATGTAAAGCTACCATCCGTAGGTGTAACAGCCAAGAATGCATATCCATCTTTATGCATTAAGTACTTCCCTAGTTGGCGGGTTGGATTTGGTTTTTAGGATAGAAGATTGATTCTTGGAAACCATTTCAATAACAGTGACTTATTTTGTTCACTTATTTTACTGAGCCAGAGTTTCCTTCAATCAGGGTATCTTTTAAAGCCATTTTCTCTTTACAAAATTTGTAAAGTCATTCATTAATGAAGTATACTTTATATACAAGGAAATATACATTTTAAGTGTACAGATTGATGAGGTTGGACAAATGTAACTCATAAAACTACCAACCAAATTAAGGTTGAAACATTTCCTTTGTGCCCCTCTGTAGGCAATCCCCAGCACCTCCCCCATCCTTGCCCCAGGCAACCACTGAGTTTTTTCTTGCTATCTTTTTAAAATATAGATTTGTTTTGTATATAAGTCATGCACTATATAACAATGATTCAATCAGTGACAGACCACATGTACAACAGTTGTTCCATAAGATTATAACAAAGCTGAAAAATTCCTATTGCCTAGTCACATCACAGCCATCGTAAAATCATAGCATAACATATTACTCATATGTTTGTGGTGATACTGTTGTAAACAAACCGACTGTGCTACCAGTCATATAAAAATATAGCATATACAATCATGTATAGTATATACTACTTGATAATGATAATAAACAACTATGTTACTGTTTCTTGTATTTACTTATTCTATACTTTTAATTGTTATTTTGGCGTGTACTCCTAATACACAAAAAACGGTTAATTGTAAAAACAGCCTCAGGCAGGTCTTTCTGGAGGTATTTCATAAGAAGGCATTGTTATCATAAGAAGTGAAATCTTCACATGTGTTGTTGCACTTGAAGACCTTCCAGTGGGATAAGATGTGGAGGTGGAAGGCAGTAATATTGATTATCCTGACCATAATCCTGTGTAGACCTAGGCTAATATGTGTGTTTGTGTCTTCGTTTTTAACAAAAAAGTTTAAAAGTTAAAAAACAACTAAAAATTTGAAAACAGAAAGAAGCTTATAGAATGAGGATATAAACAATGAAAATATTTTTGTACAGCTATACAATGTGTTTACATTTTAAGCTAAGTGTTATTACAAAAAAGTCAAATAATTTAAAAATTTTATAAAATAAAAAAGTTATAGTAAGCTATGGTTAATTTACTGTTAAATAATTTTTTTAATGAATTTAGTGTACCCTAAGTATACAGTGTTCATAAAGTCTATAGAAGTATACAATAATGTTGTAGGCTTTCACATTTACTGACCACTCTGTGACACATCCAAGACAACTTGCTCTATTTAAGCTCTATTCATGGTAAATGCCCTATACAGGTGTACCATTTTTTATCTTTTATGTCATATTTTTACTTTACCTTTTCTGTTTATATATACAAATATTTGCAATTGGTGTTACAATTGCCTACAGTATTCAGTACAGTAATATGCTGTATAGGTTTGTAGCTTAGGAGCAATAGGCTGTACAGTATGGCTTAGGTATATAGTAGTCTATACAATCTAGGTGTGTGTAAGTACCCTCTGAAATTCCCAGACAAAATCACCTAACAACTCATTTCTCAGAACATATCCCCATCATTAAGCAACACATAACTGTATTTTAGACCTTCATGTACATGGAATCTTGTAGAATATTCTCCTTAGTGTTTGGCTTATTTTGCTCAGCATAAAGTCTGAACTTTATCCATGTTTTTGTGTGTATCAGCAGCTTTTCTTTTTTTATCATGGTGTGACTATAACACAGATTTTATCAGTTTAACAGCTTATGGGCATTTGGGTATTCTCTAGTTTGGGTCTATTATAATTATGTGGCTATGAGCCTTTGCATACAAGTCTTTCTGTGGGCATATGTTATTATATTTCTTGGGTAAATACCAAGAGTGGAATTTCTTGGTCATATAGGTATAGTTACCTTTATAAGAAACAACCAAACATTGTTTTTTGTTTGTTTGTTTGTTTGTTTGTTTTTTGTTTTTAAGACAGGGTCTCGCTCTGTCACCCAGGCTGGAATGTGATGTTGTGATCATGGCTCTCTGCAGCCTCAACCACCCAGACTCAATTGATTCTCCTCCCTTAGGCTCTGAGTCGTTGGGACTACAGGTGCATGCCACCATGCTTAGCTAATTTTTTTTATTTTTTGGAGAGACAGAGTTTTGCCAAGTTGCCTAGGCTGGTTTTGAACTCCTGGTCTCAAGTGATCCACTGCTTTGGCCTCCCAAAGTGCTGGGATTACAGGTGCAAGCCACTGTGCCTGGCCTAACCAAACTGTTTTAAAACATAGTTGTGGAAGGGGTGGAGCAAGGTAGCCAAATAGATGGCTCCACCAATTGTCCCTCCTTCAAGGACACTAATTTAACATTTGTCTACACACAGAAAAAGCACCTTCATAAAAAACAAAAATCAAGTGAGTACTTACAGTACCTGCTTTTAACTTCATATCTCTGAAAGAGGCGCTGGAAGAAGGCAGGAAAGACGGTCTTGAATCATTGATGCCACCCCTCCCCCATCCCCTGACAGCAGTCATGTGGCATGCACTTGAAAGTGCAGGAATTGTGAGACATTGGATTGAACTCAGTGCTGCCCTGTCTCGGCAGAAAGCAAAACGAGGCTGAACTCTGCTAATGCCCTCCCATGGAGGGAACATTTAAACCAGCCTTTGCTAGAGGGGAATCACCCATCCCAGTGGTTAGAACTTGAGCTTTGGCAAGCCTCGCCACCATGGGCTAAAGTGCTCTGGGGCTCTAAATAAGCTTAAAAGGCAGTCTAGGCCACCTGGACTGCAACTCGTAGGCAAGTTCTAGTGCTGAATGGAGCTCAGATCTAGGCATCTTGGGGGCCAGGAGAGCTATTGAGATACCAGCCAAGGTGGCTAAGAGAGTGCTTATACCACCCCTACCCAAACCCCAGGCTGAACAGCTTGTGGCTCCAAAAAAGATACCTTTTGACTACTTGAGGAGAGGAGAAGGAAGAGTGAAGAGGACTTTGTCTTCCATCTTGGATACCGGCTCAGCCACAGCAGGGTAGGGCCCATTTCCAGGCCATCTCTCCTGGACAACATTTCTAGACACACTCTGAGCCAGAAGAGAACCCAGTGCCTTGAAGGGAAGGACACGGTCCAGGTAGGACCTATCACTGGCTGACTAAAAAGCCGTTAGGCCCTGAATAATCAGCAGCGATATCCAGTTAGTATGCCATGGGCCTTCAGTGAGACTCTGAGACTAGCTGGCTTCAAGTGAGATTCAGCATATTCGCAGCTGGGGTGGTTATGGGAAGAGACTCTTTATGCTTGGAAAAAGTTGAGGAAAAGTAAAGGGCACTTTGTCTTGCACCTTAGATACCACCTCAGCCACAGTGGGATAGAGCACCAAGTGGGCACTTAGGGTTCCTGGTTTATGGTTCCAGACCTTGGCTCTTGGATGGCATTGCTAGACCTGCTGTGGGCCAGAGGGGAGACCAAGGCCCTAAAGGGAGAGTCCCAGGCCAGGCCCCATCCACCACAAGCTCATTAAAGAGTCCTCGGGCCTTAAGGGAACATTGGCAGTAGCCTCGTAGTACTCTCCATGGGCCTGTGGTGGTGGTAGCCATGGGGTGAAACTCCTTTGCCTGCAGAAAGGGGAGGGAAGAGTAGGAAGGACTGTGTCTCAAGGTTTGAGTGCGACCTCATCTGCAGTAAATAGAACAACAGACAGACTTCTGAGGTTTTTTACTCCGGTTCCTGGCTTCTGAATGACACCTCTGGGCATGCATGGGGCCTGGGAGAGCTTTGCCACCCTGACAGGAATAACAAAAGCCTGGCTACCTTGACCACCTTTCTGATAATCAAATTCAGTCAAGTTGCAGGATACAAAATCAACATGCAAAAATCAGTAGCATTTCTACATACCAACAGCAAATAATCTGAAAAAGAAACCAAGAAAGTAATCCCATTTACAATAGCAAACAATAAAACTAAATACCTAGGAGTAAATTTAACAAAAGAATGAAATATCTCTGTAATGGAAACTATAAAACATTGATGCAAGAAGTTGAAGAGGACACACAAAAAAAGAAGGATATTCCATGTTTATGGATTGAAAGACTCGATGTTGTTAAAATGTCTATACTACCCAAAGCAATCTACAAATTTAACACAAACTCTTTGAAAATACCAATGACATTCTTCACAGAAATAGAAAAGAAAATTATAAAATGTATATAAAACCATAAAAGGTCCAGAATAGTCAAAACTATCATAATGCAGGAGTCACATTATCTGATTTTAATTTATAATTCAGAACTATAGTAATCAAAACAGGATGGTACTGGCATAAAAACGGACCCATAGATCAGTGGACCAGAATAGAGGACCCAGAAATTTACATCCACACATCTAAATCCATACATCTACAGTGAACTCAATTTGGACTTAGGTGCCAAGAACCTACCATGGGGAAAGGGCAGTCTCTTCAATAAATGATACTGGGAAACATAAATGTTCATATGCAGAAGGAAGAAACTGGACCCATATCTCTCTCCTTATACAAAAATCAAATAAAACTGGATTAAAGACTTAAATCGAAGGTCTCAACTTTAAAACTACTAAAAGGAAACATTAGAGAAACTCTAGGACATGGGAATAGGCAAAGATTTCTTGAGTAATACCCCACAAACACAGGCAACTAAAGCAAAAATGGACAAATGGTATCACATCAAGTTAAAAAACTTCGGCACAGCAAAAGAAACAATCAACAAAGTGAAGAGACAGCACGTAGAATGGGAGAAAATATTTGCAAACTACCCATCTGACAAGGGATTAATAACCATAATATATAAGGAGCCCAAACAATTCTATAGAAAAAAAATCTAATAATCTGACTAAAATTGGACAAAAGATATGAATACACATTTCTCAAAAGAAGATATACAAATGGCACATGGGTATATGAAAAGCTGCTTAGCATCATTGATTATCAGAGGAATGCATATCAGAACTACAATAAGATATCATCTCACCCCAGTTAAAATGACTTTTATCCAAAAGACAGCCAATAACAAATGCTGGCGAGGACACGGAGGAAAAGGAACTCTCGTCCACTGTTGGTGGGAATGTACATTAGTACAACCACTATGAAGAACAGTTTGGGGGTTTCTCAATAAGCTAAAAATAGAGCTACCATATGATCCAACAATCCCACTGCTGTGTACAGAACCAAGAGAAATAAAATCAGTATATCAAAGAGGTATCTGCACTCCCATGTTTATAATAGCACTATTCACAATGGCCAAGATTTGGAAGCAACCTAAGTGTCCATCAACAGATAAATTAATAAAGAAAATGTGGTACATATATACAATGAAATACTCTTCAGCCATCAAAAATAATGAGATCTTGTTATTTGCACCAACATAGATATAACTGGATGTCATTATGTTAAGTGAAATAAGCCAGGCACAAAAAGATTCACTTTGCATGTGTTCACTTATTTGTGGGAGCTAAACATCAAAACAGCTGGACTTATAGAGCTAGAGGGTGGAAGGATGGTCACCAGAGTCTGAGAAACGTAGTGAGGGGTTGGAGGGATGGCTAATGGATACAAAAATAGTTTAAAATAATAAATAAGACCTAGTATTTGCTAGCACAACAGGGTGACTGTAGTAAAAAAATAATTTAGTTGTATATTTAAAAATAACTAAAAGAGTATCGTTGGATTGTTTGTAATGCAAAGGATAAATGCTTGAGGGGATGGATACCCCATTCTCCATGATGTGATTATTATGCATTGCATGCCTGTATCAAAACATCTCATGTAGTCCAAAATATATGCACCTACTATGTACCCACAAAAATTAAAATTAAATTAAAAGTGAAAAAAGCACATGAAACACTTTAAAAAGCACAACTGGAATACAAATGGAAGATTATATAACTATATCTTATCAATGTTAAATTCAATGAAGTTGATAACAGTACTGCAATCACATAAGAGAATATTCTCATTCTTAAGAAATACATACTAAAGTCTTTAGGAGC
Organism: Homo sapiens; assembly: GCF_000001405.40. Lineage (NCBI taxonomy): Eukaryota > Metazoa > Chordata > Mammalia > Primates > Hominidae > Homo > Homo sapiens. The sequence continues at coordinate 105,616,159 of NC_000023.11, forward strand.
TAAAAGCCTTGGTGAATGAAATATTCTCAAATGGTTCAGGCAAAAATAATATGCATGAGCAAGAGTGCGAATGATGAAGCAAAAAGGATAAAATGCTAGCAATAGATTAATATGGATCAGGAGTATATGGGTGTTCTTGGTACTATTTTTATTATTTTCAACTTATTTGTAAAGTTTAAAATTATTTCTAAATAGAAAGTAAAAATAATTCACATAATTTTACCATTTTATAATTCCACCAGCAGTGGATGAGAATTACAGTTGCTCTACTTCCCTACCAACACTTGGTATGATCAATGTTTTAAATTTTAGCCATTATAAATGTGTAAAGTGGTATGTCATTGTGGTTTTAATTTGCATTTCTCTGATGACTAATGAAGTTGAGCATCTTTCATGTGCTTCTTAGGCATCCCTATATCTTCTTTTGTAAAATATACATACAAGTCTTTTTTCCCATTTTTATTGGGTGATTTTCTTTTTATTATGTTGAAGGGGTTTGTTATGTATACTTAATGACAGTTTTTTGTCAAATATGGGTGTGGCAGATATTTTGTCCTGATCTACGGCTTTCCTTTTCATCTTCACAATATTGTCTTTTGAATAATAGAAATTTTTACTTTCGATAAAGTCCAGTTTATCAATTTTCTTTTTATGATCCAAATTTTTTGGCTCTAAGAAATTATGTTAAGAAATAATAATGTCATTATTATTATTATGTTGAGTTATTAAGAGAATGGACTTGAGAGTTACTCAGATCTGAGTTCTAGTGACACAACCACTTAATCTAGTGGCACTACCGTGACCCTGGGCAAGTGACCTAACATCTTTGTTTCTCAGTTTCCCCATACATAAAATGGGGATAATTTTATTACCTACCTTCCAGAACTGCTTTGAGGAACAAACTAGATAACATACATACAATACTTAATGATGTTCTTGGTACATAGCAAACACTTATTAAACAGTAGCTGCTGTTACTTGCAAATGTTTGTCTTTGGGACCTTATCTTTCTAAAATCTCCTCTCTTTTTAGCTCTCCCAACTTACTCAGGCAACCAAGAAAATTTCTCTACAGATATTGAATGGCCAACTCGATGAGGGAATTGTAACGAAATGATTCTAACATACTTTGAATTTTAACGAGCTACTCAAGATGATACTCCCCTGAAAAGAAGGGAGAGCATATGGGCCAGTGAACAGAGCCCTGAGTGGCCACTGACAACCTCAAGCAGCAGCTACTCAATTCTGGGGACTTGCTTCTTTGGTCCCAGGGCATCACATAACTCATAGGATACCATCAAGCCCCATTTCTTCAGACATGGTTTCCTGTATTTGATTTTGGGTCTTATTCTACTCTAAGACATTTTCCTTATTATTTTTAATATCCTCTCAAATTCAGAAAGCTCTTACTTTCCTGACCTTGTCATAATTAACAATAGCTATTTCTTGCTTATGAGTTGTTACCTACAATTTCACATAATTTTTCTGACAGGCTGACAGGCTGACTAATTAACAAGGTTTGACCACCCTCTCAAATCAGTTGGCAAGGCTTTGGGCTTTGACACTGAAAAAGTTCTTTGAAGCTTAGTTACCATTCTTACCTGCTATATGTGAATAATAAATGCAGAGTTGCTGCATGTAGAAGTTTGTCTTCATCATGTGCTTCAGCATTCAAAGATATCTTGACGCTCTCTTTAAGGGATTATCTGACAGGGATTAGATGCAATTTTAACTCCTGTCCCATAGATAAACACCTACTTAGAGCATTATCATTAAATAATTTTCACAAAGAACAAGTAATTTTTAAAAGATACTATTCAAAACATATTATTAACCAGAGAAGTCTTTCCAAGAAGGCCTTAACCTGATTATTTGGAGACCACATTTTCTTAATGTATGTGTCCATTTTACCCACACTTCCAGTAATAAAGATACTCGCTCTCTGTATCTCTCTCTCTCTCACTCACACACACACACACACACACACACAATCACATGCACACATTATACACCCTTAGGCAGAAAGAACAAGCAGAGGGAAAAAAGAGTATATGAGTCTTCAGTTCTCATCATTTAGCTCCCACACAGAGGGGAACAACAGACACTGGGGTATATTGCAGGGTGGAGTGTAGGAGGAGGGAGAACATCAGGAAAAATAACTAATGGGCACTAGGCTTAAAACCTGTGTGATGAAATAATCTGTACAACAAACCCCCATGACACAAGTTTACCTATATAACAAACCTGTGCATGTACCCCTAAACTTAAAATAAAAGTTAAATTTAAAAAAAAAAAGGTTTCAGTTAAGAAGTATGGTTGGAAATGAAGTTTTCTGCTCAACTCAACTATCTGGTTAGGGAGGTAGTGAAGCATAGCAGAAAGAATACTGGAGTTTAGAGTCAAAACAGAGGATTAAGTTCCCTTTACACCAGTTACTATATGTGTGACCTTGAGTCATAATCTCTCTGATTCACAATTTCCTCATGTGAAAAATCAGTATAGAAATGCTTATGTTACAGAGCCATTGAAATAATTGGAATAAAACCATAAAATCTTTGTAAAATCTAAGTGTCCTGTGACATTTAAATATTCTATAATTCTGTAAGGGAATATCAGAGAATTATAAATTTATGTCCTGGAACTACCCAGGTAAGAGCTTTCAATTAGGATATCTGTTGTTATGAGCACAGAGTTGCGCGATCCAGATTCCCCTTCAACAAAAGACTTATTGTCCCTGTTACTGGAAGTGTGGTAAGCAGATAGCCTTCAGCTTTAACCTCCTGAGACTGCTTCACCTGCACAAGAGCTGCCTTATGCTCTTCCCATGGAGGTATAAGGGAGGAAAAATAATTTTCTCTTTACCCTCTAGAGTTCTTAGTCGGGACAGACTCCTGTAATGAAAGACAGATTAACAAAAGGAAAGCAAACACAAGTTTATTAACTTATACATTTCATGTATACATGAGAAAAAAAAAGCAGAGAAATTAGTAAATTTTAAAGAGTTGTCTTAGACCTAAGGCTTAAATACAGCAGTTCTCTGAAACAGGGAAAAAAGGGTATGGAAAAGGCCTGGTTAAGACCAGAAGGCCAAATAAAAAAAAAAAAAAAGCACTGTTAAATAAAGGTAAGATTGATTATGCGGATTTGAGTCCATGCCTTCTCCACTGATCAAGAGTCTCTAGTGATTTGGTCATCCCTTTCTTCTTGGCACAAAGAGGGAGACACCATTACAAAATAAGATTTCCTTTATAGATGTAAATTTCTCTTACAAAATGGTAACTTTGCAGAGCTTCTCCTGTGTCTGCAGTTTCTGAAAATAACCAGCTCAATAATCCTTATGCAAAAGAGGCATAATTTGGAGTGGCATATTCTGGTCTCCAACAGTTATATTTTGGGATGGCATGTCCTTAACCCTATCAGAGGCCCACATTTAATACGTGATTGAGGCCAAGATATGAAGGCCCAGCATAAAAGCAGGGAGAAAAGTTAAGGTGCTCCAGTAGTTGTCCAGGAGAGAGATGATGGACACTTGGCCTAGAATAGTGCCAGTTGAGACAGAGAAAAATAGGTACATATATTGAGAATATGCTTTGGATGTAGATTCAATAGGACTCTAGGATGAGAGAAAGAATGGAGTAAATGATATGCCATAGGTTTTTGGCAAGGTATGTAGTGAAGATTTTTTTTAGGCCATATTAATTTTGAGATGCCTAATAGACATCTAGGTAGAAATTTAAAGGAGATAGGTAGATATATGAGGTTGGAACTCAGAGGAGAAATAAGGGCAAAAATGTAGATTTAGGAATAATCTGTATGAGGACATGGGACTAGATGAGATCATGTCCCTAGAATATGGGAAGCCAGTTCTTTGTCACTTAGTTATGGAGAACAGTGTTTGTTAATTTCACTCCTATAATAGTGTAGGAGTCAACACTTCATTGACTGTATGACTTAAATCCAGCAACCAGACCATTTAGAAAGAGTCCTCATTAAAATGAAGGGATTTTTGGTTGTGCTATTGCATACTTTAACCTAATAATTACAGAGTTCCTACTATGTGCTAAGGAATTTGTATGCATTATATTATCTTTAATCCTTAACACATGTAAATGAACACTACTATTATCCTGATGTCACAGATGAAGAAACCAAGGTTCAGGGAAGTGAAGCAATTTTCTCCAGATTACACAGTTAGTAAATTATGGAGTTGATTTCCTCCACGTTTAACCTCCACTTGCAGTGCATGATAATACCCAGTAATAGCAGCCATTAATGGATCACCTAGTAGGTCCAAGTCCTGAGATAAAGTGCTTTATATGGCTTATCTCATTCTAATAAAAATCTACTTATTATCCCTATTTTACAGATGATAAAACCTGTCCTTAGAGATGCTAAGTAACTTAGCCAAAATCTTATAGCTCGTGAGTGACAGAGTGGGGTTTCAAATACACATTTGTCTGAATCAAGAACTTTCATCTCCTCTGGCCTTAGCTGAGTAGAAAAGGAAAAAAAATTCCCCTAGAAGGTGATATAAATCTCCCCAAATGACAAGCAGATGGAAAGCATAACATTAAAAATGATTGGTATTAAGAAAATAAATTTCATTGGAAATAAGAAGTTCAAGGTGATTATTAAAAATCAACAAGACATTGGGAAAGCATCTTTTGAATTACTTTTTAAAGCGGTCATCTTTAAATAAGCAATGGTAAAAATATGAATCTAATCTTGCTTCTAAATCTAAATGTTTTGTGACCATGAAGCAGAGTGAACATCACCAACCAACATAAGATTGGACCCATGGCCTTGGCTTCTGAGGACAGAATTCTCAAGCACTTAGTGGACTTGAAGATTCTTCTCTTAGTCATGAGAAGCCCAGGAGATGTTCTAAAGCTGAGGAGATTTATTTGATTGGTTCCTATATCCCTCAACATAACATCAACATATAAGTATACCTGTAGTTTCTCTTCTTCTATCACTCATTCTTTCGGCTCCCAAGGAAGAGGTTTATAAACATGTCATAAATATATCTAATCTTAACAGGCATTATCCACAACATGTTAACAGTTGCTCTGGAGACACCAAATTGTTTTTGGACATTTTGAAAGAGGCTTGTGTGTAGAACTTACTGTGGACAAATTTATCTCTGGAGGTTTTTAAGATATTTAATTGATCTGCTTGATTTTCTCCAACACTTAGCACAGAGTCTGAAACTTACTAGACACAATTATTTGTTGATTTAATAAATGAGACTTCAATATCTCAAGGCAAAACAGTGTTCAGTAGTGTGAATTTTAAGGCATTGCGACAAGCTTGTTGTTTTTAAACCAGATATTTCTCCTTGATGTAGTGAGGCCGTCCTCTGGAATAAGGCTCAAGCCCAAGGTAAAACAAATCTTATTGCCTGTGATCCTTTCAAAAACACAGTTCTGAAAGGCTCAGTACAGAATTTGGTGAATATTGAATAGATGAAAATAAAGTCTAAAGCTTTTCACAAGGCAGGCATGTGTTAGTCAAAAGGGAAGGGGGATATGTATAGAATCTGTATCTACTTGGTTTTGTTATTTTAAGCTGTTGCCAGTCACTGATTTTAGGTGTTTGACTTAAAATATTTTAAGGGAGTGTGAATACTGAGCTATGATTATTTCCCCAGAGAGGAGAAAGCCTTTATTCTCTGTAGCTATTACTGTACACCTCAGGTACTAGTGATGGGGACATTAAGCTGACCCATGTGTGTAGCTCACCACATTCCCTCAGGGTAATGCTACGAAGATACATCTAAATATTACTTCTCACCTAAATGTGTGTGTGTGTATATGGGGGGATGGGGAAGTAACGATGGTTCAGTTCAGTGGCACTTACTCCTCTTCTGTCATCACTATCAAGTAAATTGAAATGCTCCTAGTATGTATACTTTGAGAGTGCTCCAGATTGGAAGATGCCATTTGACTCATTTCAAGTCACCTGCCTTTTTAATCATACGACAATTATACCAAATTTGACATTAGCATGACAATTAAATGTTTTAAAGTATTTAGGAGCTTTATATTTATATTAAATATGTATTCAGTAGAAGCACAATAAATAAGGTTCATTTTTATAAGCTGAATTAAAAGTCAATAAAAATAATAATAATAATAATAATAATAATAATAATAGAAGCATCAGAGACTGCCTAGGATTTTCAAACTACCAGTTCAGCCAAACATCATGTCCTGTCGGCAAGTGTACATCTAAGTACATAGGAGTTGTCAGACAGGAGCTAGAATGTGTTTCTCAGCAGGAATTTTTCTGTCTTCTGTCATTTTCATTCTGGGTGTTATAAATGGTATGTGTTGTTGTATTTCAGTTATTATCTTTCAATTATAGAGTCTGAGAGTACATAGGATTCTTTGAGGTTATCTCTTCCAGCTTCTCTCCCAATAAAGTTATCCTTTTAATAATATTCACAGCAGCCATTTAGACTGAATGTGTCCAGTGACAGGAACCTCATTCTTAAAAAGCAGACTGTTCTGTTGTTGAAAAGTGCTGAGTTTCAGAAAAGGTGTTTGACTTAAAGTATTTCTGTGTTAGGTAAAATCTCTTTCCTTATAATTAACCATCGCTAATGTATTTACTCTCTTGAGTCATATTGGGTAAATCTAATCCTTTTCTACATGATGACTATAGACATTTTTGAATACATCTACCACTGTCCACCCACCAATGACCAACCTCACCCCCACTAATCTCTTCTCAAGTTTTAAAACCTCTAGTTCCCTCATCTGTTTGTCTGTCCCTCATGTGAGTCTGTTTTAAAACCTTCTGTCTTTGTGACTACATAGACCTAGTTCAAGTACTGGTTGCTTATGATGTGACCTGTAAAATGGGGGAAGTTATTTCAACCTCATGAGATCTTATGAGAATTAAATTGACAGATAATCCTTTTTTTAATATTATTGGTCAAACATTATTCTATGTGTCTTACACATATTAACTCATTTAATTTTAATAACAGTCCTATGAGGTAGTTGCTATTATTATTTTCCCAATTTATACACAAGAATATTGAGGCAATAAACATTTATTCAAGGTCACATAACTAATTGGTGGCAGAGTAAGGATTTGAACCCAGGCAGTCTGGCTCTAGAGTCTTGACCTTTAATCACTATGCTGTACTACCTTTATTAAGTGAGGTAACACACACACACACGTATATATATATACATATATAAATGCATATATTTGGAAAATGGAAAAACTGTTTTAAAAAATCCTAAATTTTTAATTTAGGCCTGATACTACAGATGTAATCAAATAATCTTAGAGGGGCAGTTTTTTTCAGTTCTGGGACCAGGTTTCATTTGGACACTTTGTAGACTAGATGAATCTAAGTAAATCCTTCTGTCTGTGATGCCCACATGAAGATCCTCCCCTAAGATATAGTGACCCATTCATTTATCCAACATTTATTGAGCACTACTACAAATTAGGCACAGTGTCATCTGTTGTGGACTAGATGTATGCAAGTAAATCCTCTTGTCTTTGATGGCCACATGAAGGACCTTCCCTAAGTTATAGTGACCCATTCATTTATCCAACATTTATTTGAGCACTGCTAAAAATTAGGCATGGTGTCATCTGTTGTGGATACAATAGATCATGACCAAACAGATATAGCTCCTGTCTTCATGGAGCCTAGAATCCAGGTGAAAGACAGACATTAAACAAATAAACACAACAATACACGTATGATTACTAATAGTAAGGCATTTTGAAGGAAAATAATAGGATGTAATAAGAAACAATAGCACAGGGAAGTTATTCTAAAATTGGGCCAGTGGGTGGCTAAGGAAAAGCTTGTCCATGGAAATAAATCAGAGACTCAAAGGGTGAATTGAAGTTAGCCAAGGAAAATGTTGGGATACAGCATTCGAGAAGGATTTAAAAATATTTTGAAGGCCCTGAAGAGAAGAAGAACTTTACCTGGTCAAGGACCTAAAAGAAAAAGAAGGCCATTGTGGCTGAGAAATAGTGAAGGGGAACCAGAATGACTCTAAATGAAGTTGGAAGATTAGGCTGGAGCTACATAGCACCAGGCGATTGTGCTGAACTGATGCTGCTATTAGGAGTCAGCAGAACAATGTTGCAGAATTGTAGTTGGTGTTTTGGATGGTATCTTGAGAGGAGGCAGCTCAAAAGCATACAGCAAGGAGACTCCAGAGACTCCACCAGTTGCTGTTATAACTCACCTGAGGCTTATATACTAACATGCAATTAGCCTATAAATACTGATAAAACCTTCTTATTAATATCACCACTAACCTGTTATCTACATCTACAACTCCCACCTCAGGTTACCATTTTGTGCCTAGTTTGTGCCCTCGCATCTTCCCCAGATATTGTTTATAATCAGAGATCATCTATACATAAGTATTGAAGAAAAGGCTATTCAGTGTGATTTGCACAAGTAGCATTCACCCCTAGATATGGGACTGGAATCTATATACTGAGAGTAGGGTTGGTAATTATTATAGCCACGTGCCGCCTTTTTTCTGCCAGTAACGATAACATCAAGCCTCAAAGTTGAGCTCTGGAGTCACACTGACATGGCATGATTTCATAACTATGGATTAACTCTGCTACTAATTATCTGTGACCTTAAACAAATAAGTTAACCTCTCAGCCTTAGTTTCTGCATTTGAAATGTGAAACTAATGATACTTATCTAAAAAGATGGTTGTGAGAATTAAATTAAGATACTTAATATGTGGGAAAGAACCTGACACAATGCCTGATGGGCAGTAGATACTAAATAAATGATAAATTTATTTCTTTATGATATACAACAGAGTGTTTCTTTTCTACAAAGTCACCATAGGGTGATCCTTCACATCCAAATTTATTTCATTTATGTTATATTATACTTGGACATAGATATATTGTTTGGGTTTTACTAACCTCAATTCTACAGTATTTTTATGGAACCATAGTACTAGCATCTGAAAGGAGCCTTAGAAAACTATTTTTATCCTCATCCTTTTAGTAGAAATAGTGATAAAGGTTCCTAATCCTGAAACATATACAACACATGCAGACATTCATTCATACAGGTAGCAAAATGCTAATTAATCTCTTTGTGCCACGTTCTGTGCTAGGTCCTGGAGATACAGATATTACTAAGCATAATCCATATCCGCAAGAAGTTCATTGCCCAAAGGGTATGACAGATATGTGTGGAACTAACTATATTAAAAGACAGGCTCAGGTGTTTGGTGGGAGCACAGAGGAAGAAATGAAATCTGCCTGTGGATGTGGTCACAACAACTAGCCCTTTTATTATGTGTATCTGACTTTAGTATGTATGCTAACATTTCCAGACTCACTTGCTTCACAGCAACTTAAAACTTGCATTTTATCTTCTAACTGCTGAACTCATTCTTATTTGGAGCTTATTTTTCTCAGAACAATCAATCAAGTCTTTCCTTACTATCCACTCTGTGCTAGGGCTTGTGAGGGATAAAGGAGAAGCAGATTATTTGTCCCCACCCTCAAGGTGCCTGAAGTCCAGACAGTTGAGAGTGAAAAGACCCCCAACAATAAACTACTATTTACTACAGAGCTGCCTCTGAATATGTTCAGAGAAGAGAGCTCAGGGTGAGTTGGAAGAATTAGAAAAAAAAAAATCAATGTTCCGGCAGATTCAAACAGCAGTTCAGGCTTTTAAAAACTGCCTACATACAAATATTTAGAGATTCATTTAAATATTCTCCACTGCATAATAACTCAAAAGAGAAAAACAAGTTCAGTGTAACAGTATCTCTCCCAATGCTTGTTAATCTGAATTTATAGCACATTGATCTAGGAGTGCCTTATTTAAATTCTGTTAAAAATCTTAGTTGTAATATTCCTAGCTGGTCCAAAGACAGGGTAGGCTAAGCATGTATTAGTGAAGACAATAGACAAACAGATTCTCAAAGCTGTATACATTTCAGCATAGGAGGAACCTGACATAAGAAAAAAACAGGGATGCAATGAAATTCTTTGAAGCCTTGCTTTTTGTTAGATGAACCTTTGAAAAGGGTGTTTTGAATTTTTGAGGTGCACACACATTTTATGTCAGAGAAATATCACAGGAAGGTATGTTTGGAAAGAAGCTGATGGGGAGTGAGAAATGAGGATTGCTGCTGTAAGGCATTAATGAGTTGGAAGAAGGTCAACAACCCATTTTGAAGTAAATCTATTATCTGAGTTCAGAATGGTCCCAGGAGGAACTTGTACTGACACACCCAAAATTCCCTCTCTAGCCTAGAGAGATGGAAAACAGAGGAAGATAAATCTGATGGTGGTTTTCCGGGTACTTCTTACTCCTAAGTATGATGAATGGAAGTTTTAGACCCTTTGGTTTGTATGGAAGATTTTAAATATAAACATGGTCAATGGCAAATGTGCTTAGAGGTGATAAGTTTATTTTTAAAATTTTTATAGATTTAGTGGGTACAAGTGCAATTTTGTTACATGGATATATTGTGTAATGGTGAAGTCTGGGATTTTAGTGTAACCATCACCCAAATAGTGTACATCGTAAAAAGGTGATAATTTTTATTAGATTTCAAAAAAACATAAATAATTGAAAAGTTATCCAAGCTAGTCATTTAAAATCCATTGAGATATTATTTTCTACCTTTCCTTAAAATTAGTCCTATCTCCTTGGCCTAGCATTTCTCCAACTTCAGTGTACATCAGAAACACCTGGAGAAATTGTATAGCCTGCAGATTCTTGCTCCCCCCTCAGAGATTCTGATTCAGTTGGTATGTGGTGTGGCCCAGGGATCTGCAGGTCAGGAAAACCTAGTGCAATAATAACAGGAAAAAAGCTTTTCATTTCATCTTAAAAACTGTATTTATTATTGTCTGTAATGGAATTGAATTAAAAAGCAAACTGGTCCTATATTTTAAAAGGCTTTCTTTCTTTAGTAGGAGCTTACATGGCCTTTGGAAAATCTTATAACTGCAATTTGGGCCAGACTTGCATTTATTGCTTTATCAAACAACAAAACAATAACTAATTATTATATAGTTCATAATGGCTTATATTTAAATATTATCTTCTAATGAATATCCTTCTTTTATTATGATTATAGATTTATTTCCCAATTCAGAAAAAGCGTTATCCATTTTACAAATATAACTCTATTACAAGTAGAATTAAAAAATACAGAGAAGTTAAGTGATTAGCCTAAAGTCACACAGGAACCACCAAAGAGAGAAGGTGAGAATCTATATTTTCGGAATCACAATGCAGTATTCTGTTAGGCAACGCTGCTTTCAAACTAGAAAATATAGATGGGAGTTTTTAGGAATTGACATTTGAGCCACAGATACTAAACTGTTTCCCTACCTCACTCTGCCAACTTTCATTTCCCCTTATCCCTACCTACCCTACCTCATCTACTTCATCCTGAAGTTCCTTTCCCATAGTTACATATGTTCCTTAAGAATTTATGTTGTTACTAAAAATTTGTGAAATGTCAGAAAGTTGATCTCTTAATGCCATGAAGTTGTGCTGATCACCATTTGATATCAGATCTATTCCTGGCCCTAATGAATACAGTTTTATCTTATCATTTTGTGACTTGGGTGTGAATAGGCCCAAAGGTGTGCACTGAGCACTGAGCATGCATCCCAGGATCCCACTCATAATTAAAGAAGCTAGGTGGCTTCACAAAGTCAGCTTTCTTTGGCCATTCTACATATGGCAGGTTCAGGAATGGCACCTAAATTGCTGAAACCATCGAGTACAGAATCTCTGTGAAAGTTTACTTTCTCTGTTCAGGCCAGACCATGTCAGCAGAATTCCTTTATTTTGCTGCAGTTTGTGTGTCTGGGGAGGGAGGAGGTGGGATGAGGTGGGGATGGGAGGAGTATTCTCCAGGTGCTAAGTGTGCCTTTTGCTCCTTTTGCAAATAGACTTGCAGGCTGCCCTGGGGGAGCTGCTTTTATGCCATGGTGCATTGGTATTGTACCCATTTCATTTTTTTTCTTTTTCTTTTTTTATTATACTTTAAGTTTTAGGGTACATGTGCACAACGTGCAGGTTAGTTAAATATGTTCAAAAATGAAGAGACCCAGCTTGCTTACCATAGCTCAAAAAAGAGATTAGTCAATGAAGCTTGGGAAAATCATGACTTGCCAAATCCTTCCTAACTTTTACAGTCTGCTGTCTGCTGTGTATGTTGTCTAGATACCAAATAGACAGGGGCCTTTGTATCCTTGGCATGGCTGTTGTTAAAAGATAATTTTACAAAAAAAAATTGTAAAATTAAGACTGTCATACAGATATAAAAATGAACAAACACTAAAGATTTTGTTTAACTCAATAATGAGGAAACGTGTGGGGTGTTATAAACAGTCAAAGGGAGAATTCCCAAGAAAAAAGAAAGACACATTTATAAATTAGAAAGATTGAAATGAATGTGGAAATGGAAGCACACTGGCTTCTTTCAAAGTTGAGCAGGGGACCACGCATGGTGGCTCACGCCTGTAATCCCAGTACTTTGGGAGGCCAAGGCAGGTGGATCACTTGAGGTCAGGAGTTCAGGAGTTCAAAACTAGCCTGGCCAACATGGCAAATCCCCATCTCTGCTAAAAATAGAAAAATTAGTTGGGCGTGGTGGCACACTCTTGTAGTCCCAGCTACTTGGGAGGCTGTAGCAGGTGAATCACTTGTACCCAGGAGGCAAAGGATGCAGTGAGCTGAGATTGTGCCACTGCACTCCAGCCTGGGCAACAGAATGAGACTTCATCTCAAAAAAAAAAAAAAGTTGAGCAGGGGTTTGAACATTTACTGGAAGTTTACATGTCTGTGGACAAGAATCACTCTGCATTGCTCTCAGTTTTCCACAGTTTAGAGAGTTGTAAAATTGCTCAAACACAGTGAAAGACTAGAATCAGATAACTTGAAGGGTTGTGATCTAAACCATGTATAGCTTTCCATTCAATTTTTTTTTTCTCTACACTACATTTGGGAAAACAGCCCAGGTCTTGATGAGACTAACCAGTGGGCTTAGAAGCAGTAGGTTCCCTGTTGCCAGGTCTCCTTGATCCTTGTATGCCTGAACTGGCCAACTTAGAAAAATGTTTCTTGAGTCATGTTTTAGGATGCCTTCAGCCTCCTGTCAGGCTCTTGTTTTTGTCTTTGATCCTTTGAAATGGCCATTTGGTTCTATGACAGTTGCAATGTGATGGCAAGGAGACAGAAGAAGAGATTAGTGATGTAGAGATTTCAAAAAAACTCCAGAAGTTAAAAAGTCCCTTCATCTCATTCAGTTTCCACTGCCTATTCCCTTTCCTCAAAGAAAGGGAGTAATCCAAGGTGCTACTCTCTCCCATTCCATGAAGCCAACTTGCCACAACAGTTTGCTTTTGAGTTGATGAACTTGCTTTCAGTCTTCTATTTGATATGGTTTCAATTTTTCTCTTCTGTACATTTCATTCACTGAGCATGTACACAGGGATACACACAAAAAAACCCACATAAACACATGCATCATACACACACCACTTAAGAATTAAATCTTCATGTTTTCCCCCAAATTATGTATCCATCTGTTAAATTATTCATGCTAAAGAAACGGAGCAGAGGAATGGCTAATCCAAAATGCTAGATAATGCCCAAATGATGTAGTGGACTTTGGAGTATGTTTTGTGTGTGTGCTGATGTTTGAAATTAGATGTGCCTTATAAAAGCAGGCATTGGAGTACTGGAGAGGAATGCTTTGAGACTGAAATTATGGTCCTACTTCAACTAGGTTTGTGACCAAGTTGAATTCAGTTTACCTTTCAGCCTCATTTTCCAATTCTGTAAAATGAGAGATTTGAACAAAGTGATCTCTAAAGCCCCCTTCAGCTCTGACAATTCCAGAATATTCCAGAGATTGGCTTTAAGCCAACAGTAAATCAAATAAGCAATCCAAACTCAAACTCAAACTCAAACTCAAACCCAAACCCAAAGGGATTTTGGGAAGCTATTCAGTTTCCCCTCTTGGCCCTCTGTTTACCTCTTCCCTGTGACCTTCCTATTGAGAGTAAATCTCTCTAACATTCAAGTATTCACTCACACTTTTATTCAGTAATATAAATGGCCACCATTTATTGAGTACTTACTAGTGCAGGCACCCTACTAGGCACTGTATATGTATTACTTCAATTATCACAACAACCCCAGAGGTAGATACCATTATTCATTCAATTTTATAGATGCAGAAGTGAGGCTCCAACATGGCAAAGAGTTTACTCAAGGAAACATAGCTAGTAAGCATCAGTGCTAAGATGCAAATTGAGTCTGTCTGGCTTCAAATTCAGAGCTTTTTTTTTTTTTTTTAACTAAAGGGTGTTGCTTCTCCATATAATTATCAGAGTTATGTGCAAACAGTGAAAGGCGCTAGGGAGAATAAAATGTTGAAGATTCGATCTGTGCCCTTAAAGGTTTTCAACAAAGTGGAGAATGGATTATTCATCTGGGTGTTAGGGAAAAAAAATGAAAATGGTCTGAAAAGTAAGAATTAATTGTCAATTGAGTGAATTAAGTGTCAAAAAATTGAAAGGTGAAGTATGAGAAGAATAAATCACCTAAAAAAAAGAACAGAGATATCAAGTATGACCCATTTTATTATCCTATTTATTCACTTCTGTTCAAGTCAGAGGCCCTACTTCTGCCATAAATTGCTATGTGATTTTGGGCAAAACCTATTTCTTCTCTGGGTCTAGGTTTCCTCATTTTTTAAGTGATGAGGATAACTAAATGGTTGCAAGTTCCCTCGCTGCGATTCCATGATTATATAATAACTTGAGGCTATTTTACATTCACCACTGGAATTTAAGAATGGAATCTGAATGGGAGGATTTCATGCAAGGATCTGATCCAATTGTGGGGTAGAATTCCTTAAAGAAATGTGAATCTCCAGAAAATCAGCCAGGGAATTTGCATAGCCCTTTTGCACATAAATCTAATTGTGATAGGGAGAAAAAAAAATGGTGCATTCCACAACTATCCTTTGAAATGTGTCTACGGTATCCTTTAAAATGACACATTATAAGTTAGGGAACGTTTTCAGGCAAATAGGAGATGCCAGAGAAGTAAAGATAGATTTAGTCAGTACATCTGGTACATCTGGTGAAATGAATAGCCCAGCCAAAGGGTTAAAGCTGAATAGCACTAATTGCCGAGAATTCAGATTAGGCATATTTAATAGATATAAACACCCCAACCATCCATCATCCCATCTGGTCCTTCTTCATAGAAAATGGAGAGAAATGGTGAGGGCATGCTGCCCCGACAGACTCTACTTTTCTCAGAACACAACCCATCTTTCTACCAGGATCCCCTCCATTTTCAGAAACGAATAAACAAACAAACCCAGACTTTGCGTCTGCAAGGGGCAATATAGTAGCCCAGACACCTATTGACTGGAAATGTAGCCTCTTTATAAAAGGCAAGATGGCCTGGCACCATTCAAGCTTCAATGCCTTATGAAATGAGAAGGTAAGATCCGGTCTCAGTGCAAGATTTGGCACTTCCATGGCCTTCACATTGTGATAGGCAGGAGTGATAGGAAAGAATTCAAGCATATCAAAAATCCTTGTCCTTTTTCCTTCCTTCAGTTGCCTTAGCACGAAACCACAACTAATCTACCTGTGGACTCTGGCTTTTGACTTAACGAATCCAGCAGTTTTAAAATCAGTGTGGATATTAATTAAAGAAGGGAGACAACCCAAAGTTTAGGTCCCCAGAACAGTCTTCCCTCTTCCTCATTAGTGCTCCCTCACCCCCTCCTCTTTTGTATCTTACTCTTCTCTTTGATTCTCATACAATCTTTCCTTTGTCTTCCCTTACTCTCCCCAGTCCTCTCTTATTCCTTTCCCTTTTTTTTTTCTTTTCTGCCTATGCCTTAAGCCTGTCTGAACTCACTATGGCTTAACTCGGCTGACAGCCACAAAAAACTAAAGAAGACACCGGACCCTGACCTTCAGGATGGTCCCATGTGATCCTCATAAACTCTCTGAGATGAAAGTCCCTGCAACATGCTTTTATATTCTCCACTGAATCTAGGGCTGGATACTGTGCAAATGGTCAATAAACTCTTTTTAGTTAAATGTAATGGGTGAATCACTCTTCTAGGCTTCCATATGTTTCTGGGAATAAGACATTTTGTCTTTCGACAGCTGACAGAGTTTGACATTGACATGGGGACTCAGAATTTGGCCTGCTTGAGAGACCATAGATTTTTTAAATGTTCCTCTTCTATCAGTATTGAATGAGATTTGTTGACAGCATCAAGAGGAAAGTCAAAGTTGTCATTTTTTATTGAAGGTGGTGGAGCAAGAAGTTGGAGGAACTTATTCTATTAACAATTCTTGGCAGCAATCACTCTTCTCTTTTGCCCCCATACAGACGCCTCACTTTTGGGAAATGATTTCAAATCTTAAACAAGATGTTAGCTCAGTTTTATTTCTGCTGAATAGAACAGAAGTTTTAATACTAGAGTTCTGATAGGCTGTGGGCTCTTCTACCCTTTCATTATAATGTACTTTCACTGAGGCCATATAATCTAACTTGTGTAAAACTTGTCATTATTGGGGAATTGACTCCAAATATAACAAATCAAGATGGTCAACTTGCTCAACTGGGAAAGTCAACATTTAAGACAAATCTAATCATGCATGCCAGTTCTCAACGAGGTGAGTTTCAGCCATACCCAGTTGTGCAAGTTTTACACAAAACCCAGTTTATCTTCTTTGCTGCCTAGAGGAAAGGAATTTGGTAAAGAACTTTTTCTTAGTGCTCATGTGTGAAGGTACACCGTCAACACATTAATTCATTTCACTTTCCTCCCAGTTAGGGAAACTTCCTCTCCCGCCTCTCAGAGAGAAAAGAGAAATATGGGCTGTAGGCCAAGCATGAAGATAGATCAAGTGCATTGAGCCTTGAGATGCTGCTTCTACATTCCCATTTTTATTGTTTCATTCGTTGGTAAACATTTCTTTACTGTTATATAGTCGTTTAGATCAAGAGATCTTTTAGATAAAGGGGGCAACCAAAAACTAATTTAGCTAGGTTATGCAGCATGTTATGAACCTATTAGAGAATGACCATCCATAATTCCATAAGTTCTTACTTAAGGTGATTTTTGATAATCGTTCTTTGCTCTATTTTTTCCCAAGGGAGATACAATAAACCCAAAGTGATAAAATAATTATCATCTTTGTTGAGTTTGTCTAATTGCATACTGATTTCCCACCCTTGTTTATTGATCTTCAAAGAATATAAATACAGAAACAACTGCTTGAGTCTCGAAAATTTAAAAATGAAAGGTCAACACTAATAGTTCTGTTATTGAGCCTTATACCTACTTGACAACAGGTTTACTAGGGTAGACCTTTTATGTAGGCAGAGCAGTTGACCTATGCGATGTGGACTTAAAAGCCCTAGGAAAGCTTCTTTATCACTTAAGGGTTCTCGCACCACTTCCACTATTGGCTAATGCTTAAAATCTCACCATTAAAGTTTTGATTAGTGTTTATATAATGTAATGCACATATATATACACACACTCATGCACCCACTAAAACTCCCTAAGCTGTTCTTAGTGATTTATTCCCTAAGTGTGAATGAGAGGTAGATACTTGGTTTTGGATTTGAGCCTAGGGAGAAAATATTTGGTGCCCAGCACCTGAAGAGGCTCACAGAAGGGGTTACATGGAGAGATCAGGGGGCAAGTATATGAATACATAACCAATACCTTTATTTTATGATTTTGCCTAGATTTCACTCTAAGAATGCCACCAACAGAAGTCTTTTTTACTCTGATTTTATTTCCTTTCCTTCATCTTCTAATGTTCTCCCTGAGAGCTAAGGAAAAAGACTATGGGCCTCAACTGAGCTCATTTTAGGGTTGAGAGTGCGTCTTCTACTTCCCTTATTTGCCTTTCAGTGTCTACGTGTCTGTACACTGAAATAAATCAATTAATCATATTGACTGACTTTCCTAGTTCAAAAAGAGAAAGATAAGTGATAGTATCTGAAAAGAGTACAAAAAGGAAAGGTACATTTTCCCATTCTAATAATCAGGCCTACAATTGCTCTCATTAACTCTAAGACTAAGCCCCCTGCCCACTTACCTCCAGTCACCACAATCCCTAAGTAAACAATTTGCCATGAGAAACCACACAAAGAAATGCCAGAATCTATTCAAATGTAGAGAGAAAATGTTACAATGAAGTACCTTACATTCTTACACTAATCACTACTGCTTCCTTGGGAACCAAATAAAAAAGGAAAAAAACAAAGAAAAATGCCAAAAGGGACAAGCAGGATTGTCCCTTTGTCAAATAGGATTTGATGTACTTAAATTCAACAAAAACATATTGAGTCCATACACAGTCAGATAAAGCAGAAATGGTTCTTGCCCTCATATTCTAATAGTTGGAGGGGGTTAATGACAGATGTCAAGTATGTACATAATAATCCTTACAAAAGTTAGAGTTGAAAATGCAATAAAAGAGGCAGAACTTAATTGCTCTGGAGTTCCAAGTGAAGAAGTTATGTCACTAGTAGTCATAATAGTAGTAACAACAACAGTAATTATTACTATTATCTATTGAGGCTTATCATATGTCAGATGCCATGCAAAGCACTTTTGTAAGAATTTTCTTATTTAATTTAATCCTCATACAAACTTGATCCATTAGGGATCATGATTATCCTCATGTTCTTTATGAGGAAACTGAAGCTGAGAAATTTAGTAACTTTCCCATGGTCACACAGCTAGAAAGTAGTGGAACTAGAATTATTCCAGAGCTTGTGTTGATAAAGACTTCACAAAAGAGACAACATTTAAGATGGTCTTTGAAGAATGTGTTGGATTTTAACAGGAAAATAAAAGGACCAATACCAGCAAAACCGTATAGGTTGTAAAGCATATGTGGCATGTTTAGAGGATTGCAAATGGTATAGTTTCCCTGGAGCAAAGCAAAATTTGTGGTGCTAGTGACAGAAAGAGCCAAGTAAGGAGGAAAACCAGTGTAGAAGGAAAGACGATGAGCATGGCTGACACATGCGATAACCTTGCTCCTGAATTTCACACCAATATTTTCATCTTCATTGAGAAAGAACGAATAGGCCAAGAACAGAATTTTAGGACATGATCACACTGATGGGGTAGGAAGAGGAAGAGCCATCAGTTATGTAAATGTAAACAAAGCAGTTAGAATATTAAGAAGACCAGAGGTTGACAGTATGGTGGGTGCCACGGAAGGTCAGGGTGCCAGAAGAAGGTGTTTAGTTCCTACTTTAGTCAATGCTATAAAAATTGAAGAGAATCAGGATTTATAGTAGATTAGCTTGCTACCAGTTATTGATCACTTTCTATGCTTCTGGTACTATGCTAAGCACTTTACAACAGCAATTGTCTACCTAAACTTCAGAACCACTTGTGAGGTAGGGACTGTTATTTTCCCGATTTTAAAGATGAGGAAACTGAAATTTATAGAACTTAAAAAACTTGATCAAGACCTCATAGCTAGTTAAGAGGCACAGCCTGGACTTAAACCTAAATCTGTTTAACTCTGAAGCTTATGTTCTTAATCTCTAAGATCTATTTCCATTTCATTTTTATTTACCAGGAGTTCACCCTTGAGAGAGAGGTTTTTGGCAGAGTAATAAGGGTAAGAGTCAGAGAGCACAGATTGACTAGAAGGGAGAGGACAGATATTAGAATGATTGTGAAATGAGTGGGTGGTAAGACAGTGGAGGTTATGGCTATCAACTTATTCTGTCTATAGTTTAGAGGGAGTGGCAAAGAAAGGTAAACAATGGGAGTGGGTAGCCTGAGGGGACAGAAGAGTCAAGGGAAGTTTCTTTTAATAGGGGAGGAATGAACCTATTGTTGACTGAAGAGTAGCCAGTGGAGAGGGAGAAAGGGCATAATTTATGGAACAGGAATGTGGCAGAGAAAGGAGGAATAAGATTCAGAGGACAAGGGGGAAGGTTCAAATTAGAAAGAAGAAAGACATTTATTAGGTAACCCATGTTCTTAACCTTTTCTCCTCTCCCTGATCTCATCAAAATGTGTCTGATTCAGTAAGCACCTTAGTTGCCTAAGTATAATTACTTATTATACTTGGTATATATTACATGGACTGTTACTCATAAAAATATAATATTTAAAATGTGAGATGACTGAAACACTAAATATAATTAATTAGGAATTATAAGTAATGAATGAATTAAGGTGCCAGCGTATTAGATAATGATATAATAAATATGTTTTATCTCTCTGATAGTTGAATTTTCACAGAAATGTTGGAAACAGAGAAAAAATTTACAACCCCCCACCCCAGGTGACCCTTAGATACAGACAGATGTTAGTGTGAAACTGTCATTCACTCAGCAAACATTTACTGAAAGTCAGCTATATGCCAGGTTCTGTGCTACACACTGGGGATACAGAAATAAAGGACAGAGTTCACATCCCCAAAGATCTCACAGCCTAGTGGATGAGGCAGAGAAATCAACACAGTATAATACAGCTTGATGAATGCTGTGATTGAGGTAAAAACCATGAAACACTGTTGAACTACATAAGGAGGCAGTGGGCGGGGTTCAGGGAAGGCTTCCCAAAGGAGGTGATATTTGAGATGAGTTTTGACCTTCTACTGTTGCTTTTATAGGGATCTGCAAAAAGGGCCAGGAATTCCCCCAGGTGTCACATTACAGGCAACAGCTGCAACTCACTATCCTGGCTTCATCCTCAGTGTCTGACATCAAGGTCACTGAGCCAAAAGTCTTAGGTGGGGGGGAGTATACAATGGCACTAAGTCTAACCTCTGGGCTATTGGGTCATAGGAGAAGATGAGGGCTATAGGTTCCAGATTACAATCTGAATAAATAGCCTTCTCTTTTCCAGGGTTGGGAAAGTAAGAAAGTGGAAAGGGAAAGTGGAGAGGAGCTAGAAGAAGGAAGGAAGGAATAGCTACCTCTTTATTAGATCTTTCTGCCTGCTAGGAAGAAAGCCTTCTCTCTGCATATACACCACTCATATTGTTTTGTTTCAATCTTTATTCTTGGGTGTTTTTCCACATGAAAAGGGCAGTGAATATATCTCACCTCAGTGCAGAGACATTTAGAAATGAAAAACAACTTCAACCAAGCTCTATTTCTCCTTCTTTGAAACTGGAAGACTGATTGTAGGTCAGTTTCTATTTTATCTGAGCCACTTGGCCCATCTGGAATAGTCACTCTAGGAAATCGAAAACTAAATTTAAATTTTACAGAGGAAATTTTGAAGTGACTCCCTCAATCTGGTCAGACACATTCTGTTGCATTCCTCTGTCCAGGCATAACACTGAGCCTCTGACGAAAATCTGAATGACAATTGTCTGTTCTTAGTATTAAATTATTTGCCCCCCCCATTTCCATTAATTTGCAGACTCAGGCATACTATAGCAAAGACTCAACTTGAACTAATTGCCTTTTAAATTTACCTCTCATGTTCCTTTCCTTAGCAAATGAGAATAACCATACATTGAAGCAGGAAAGACTATGGTTAGACATAAGGAAAAACAACCTCAACCAAGCGCTATTTCTCCTTCCCTTGAAGCTGGAAGACTGATTGTAGGTCAGTTTCTATTTTATCTGAGCCACTTGGCCCATCTGGAATAGTCACTCTAAGAAATCAAAAACTAAATTTAAATTTTACAGAGGAAATTTTGAAGTGACTCCCTCAATCTGATCAGACACATTCTGTTGCATTCCTCTGTCCAGGCATAACACTGAGCCTCTGACGAAAATCTGAATGACAGTTGTCTGTTCTTAATATTAAATTATTTGCCACACCCCCTCCTCATTTCCATTCATTTGCAGACTCAGACATACTATAGCAAAGACTCAACTTGAACAAATTGCCTTTTAAATTTACCTCTCATATTCCTTTCCTTAGCAAATGGGAATAACCATACATTGAAGCAGGAAAGACTGCAGTTAGACATAAGGAAGAGCATCATATAGCTACAACATTGAGACTGGCAGTACTAGAAGACATTATGGAACATTTTTAAAGTTTCTTCTTTTCTTTTTTTTTCTTTTTTCTTTTTTTACTTGTTTGTTTGATGTTATTCTTGCTGTTTGGGCAGATGGGTTGTTCATAAAAGACCACATGATTATTAAAGACAATTTGAAGGGGTAAAGAGAAAGCCATTTATCCTGGATGGTTTACCAGTCTGAAGGAGGAAGACAACCTTTTACCTCAAAAATTATATGATTTTACTCTCTGATTTTCAGGTGACCTCAGGTCCACATTAGCCCTGCAATGCGGAAAGTTTTTTCTTGTACCAGGGACGGACTCCTTTTAGAGATTCCTTTAATGGTGTGGAAGAATCATAATTCTAATCAACATGAAAGCATTTGAAAGGAACCACTGCTTCAAATATGGCTATTCAAGAGAAAAGGAAAAAGAAGGCATTAAAATTCTAAGAAATTAAAACTGTTGGAGAAAATTAAATTGCAATTGAGTTAAATCTTGTGAAAAAAATGAAAGAATTTCAGTTTTGGTATCAGGAATTTTGTACATTTGTGGGCACCATGTATGGTGCAGGGTAGATGTTATTCTGAAAAGAACAGATTTCTTTAATTCATATGCTGGGATTCACTTGATCCATCTCAGGCTTTTATGTTGACCTGGGTTATATTTTTTTCTTATTCTTTTCCCAGAATCATCCAGGAGTTACGCCCAGTGGAAAAAGAATAGAGAAAAAATTACATTAATGATCAAATTGGTATTTCATCTCTAAATCTTAACTGGCACATAGAATGTGTAATAATTTAGCCATAGAGGAACTCTAAGTAGAAATATAAGTTCTATTAGGGGAGCCTTAATTTTGTTTTTTATGCGAGTATTTCCCAGTTAGTATTAAGTTATAACCACTTTGGTATTACATACTAAGACCTAGTATGGATGTTGTCAGGTTTGTGCTGAGGAGAAAAGTCAGTAAATATTTCAAATTTAAGTCACTCTGCATATCTCCATGCCTTATCAATTTACTATTTGAAATCATTTATTTCTTAAATTGATCTTATACCATTATTGTATAATTTTTAATCCTTACCTAAGAGCCATCAGGAACTCACCATATTGCATGGGACACAACCTGCTATAACTCTCCACTGGGCATTTTCTGTACAGAGCCAAGCTAAATCTTGCTCTCGTGAAATCAGGCACAAGTAAGATGTGAACATCGGTGCAGCATTCAGAATGTCACCATTAAGGTGATACTGAAAAGAAATTCTAAAAGGGTAAGTAATAGATGATCTAGTACACATCTGAAAGCAGAGGAGCTCTGTGCTTCGAATTAAATATAATACTTTATAAAAATGGAGAGCCTAAAAAATGATGAACCCTTGTAGAAAACTGGAATTAATTACTCTCCATAAAAGGTTTTAATTTTATAATTTCATTTACCTTTACAGAAATAATCGTCACTCCTCATCTTTATTTTAGAATAACCATCCATTCTCAACTTTATTTTTACTAACTAAAATCCCCTTATTAGGCTACTCTCCTTACCTTTCCTTTCCTCCCTGCACCAAAAAAAGAAAGAAAGGAAAAAGGAAACAAAAAACACATTCACACAAAAAAGCCAAAAGCCATGCATTTTAAATACCCAAGACATGAAGCCTATTGGCAGAAATGACAAGTACCGTATGGTCTCCTATTTTTCATGGTCCTCTGTGAGGTCATTGGTTTCTCATTACAGCCAGTCAAGTCATGTCAAACTTGGAGTCTGCCTCTTACCATTATTTATATTAATATCTACTAAAGCTCCAAAGATATTCTGTGAAAATCCAAAACTCTACCTATCTGCATATCTATCTATCTATCTATCTATTTATTATTTTTTCTATCTAACTGAAGACTATAGGAATTGCTTGTGTTTTTTGAAATATATAGGAGGGAAATTTAGTAGCTGTTACTGTTGCTATAACTCATATCTAAACTCATTTAGGTTTGTGTTGGGAATTTGAATTAGAGACAATTCACTTGAAAAAAAAATGAATTAGCAAAAAAGTTAGTGGCCTGGCTTCTCAGGAATGCCTACCATCAGCAGGGACCAGTCACACATTTACTTCCAAACACCTACCCTAGGACCCTTCTTCCATCTCTGTATGAGCCATGACAAAAATTTTCTTGCTATTTCAGTCTATTTTCTTTCGTGTGGGAGCTACAAATAATGTTGCAACAGGCTCAAAATACCCACAGCCATTGAGGCCCAGTTGCAAGAGGATCCTCTAGGACAGAGTTTTGTGTTTGAATATTAAACTGTTGAGATCGTTTGTTTTCACTGTGCACAGATATGACCAAAAAGACTGGGGTTGATTAACAAGCTATTTGCCTAAAAGTCCCAAAAGTTTTTAAAAACTAGTGCAAGCATTGATCATTAAAGTACACAAATTATGTATGTGTGTGTATATATATATATATATATATATATATATATATATATACACACACATATACATATATATACACACACATATCTATATATATAGATATAGATAGATATAGATATAGATATAGATATAGATATAGATATAGATATAGATATAGATAGAGAGAGAGACCGAGAGAGAGTGCCAAACAGGTTTGCCCATTTGTGGGTTTTCCTCTCCTCCAGTAAGTCCAGGCTCTTGTGTTTCCCAACTAATCTATTAATGGCTGGAACTGATTGACAACTGCAACAAAGCCAGTGTAAGCACTGTGGGAGTCCTAATTGGGTAGTTCTTTATAAAGGGAATTGATGACTGAGTAAATATGGTATTGAAAGTAGATGGTAAACATACAAAAAATTAAGCACAAATTAGCTAGATTTAGAGTATAAATACTTACGATTGGAGGACCTGAGAAAGGTTTTGAAATTTATTCAGCAAATAAAAACGTGAGGCCATTGGGAAAATAGATTTTCTTGAGTTGATATGTCAACCCACAAAAGTACTTAATTTGTGCTTGAGGGCTTTTTATTTTATTTTATTTTATTTTTGCCTGGTTAGAATATGGGATCTAACAATTCATTTCTAAGTAAAATCTATGAGTTTATTTGTTCATTCATTTATTCACTCAGCAAATTTTCTCTATGCCAGGCACTCTGCTAGGTAAGGGGTACAGAGAAGAATAAGATGTAGCCCTTGTCTGGGGAGCTCACATCTATTAATAGTAGAAACCAGAAACATGACTAGACAATCTTGATATTCAACAATGACTATAACTGACAGCAGATCCTCCATAACACGGGGAAAGGCTGGATACAGGCAGATTTGTTGGGAGGCTACTTCAGTAATCTAGACAATAAGCAAAGTGAATGTGAACTAAGGTAATGACAGAGATAATGGAGAGAGGAGTAACAAATATTTGAATTATTATTTAAAAGAAATAAAACCTCTAGAATCTAAGGACTTGATGATAGAGGTGGAGTGATGAGGAAAAGGAAAGACTCCAGAAGGACTTCTGTTGACTGACTGGGACAGCAAGGTAATTAGAAGATAGTTACATCAACCAAGATGATATGTACAGAAGGAATATATTTATACATATTGGTAATACCTGATTATTTGTTCATATTTTGGTTTTGAGGTGCTTGGTGGATCACCCATATATGGACATCCAGTATGTAATTGAAAACATGGGTGTGGAGCTCAAGAGAAAGGCATGGACCTTGATGTTTGACTGTGATCCTATAACTGATGTTTACAAAGCCTATGCCTCTGCTTTCACTTTCTGACCCTTTTTGAGTATTGTCCCTTTTTAACCTCGCAAGGTTTCTTCAAGTTCCTTATTCCCTCACGGTATTCACTGACTGCCTAGGGATCCCTACTGACGAAGAAGGGCAAAACGTGTTACCAGATCTCTACTCCTAAATAGCCCCCAATGGTCTGGATCCTTTTCCCCCATATTCCCTGCACAGCCCCCCACTCCTGCCCTCACTCCTGCCCCATCAACATTTACCTATCCTGCAACTCATTCCCTCACAGCCCTGCTAGGTGGTTGGCTAATCTAAATAAATTAGTTTATACTCAGACCTAAGTGACCAATTCTGGTTTTGTGCATCATACTTCCCAAGTAATATACAGATGCAAAGAATGTAGGAATTGCAAGTGGAATTGTAGAATATCAGAGAAGCACTTGGTGTCAATTGGGTTCCTTCAGTGTTTCTTAAACAACATCATTAAACATCATTACACACATATAATTCAGTTATTTAACAACCCTACTTTTAGACTTTTAATCAACCTGAAGTCTTCGTTTCAAATGAATTATCCCTCACCAACTGCATTTCCTTCCCTCAGACCCACAACACATAACCAGCATTTAATTCCTGATCTCTCTTATTCAGCTTTGTAATTTATTGCTATTATTTCCCAGTAAAACCCTCATTGGCAATCAGGCTTCAGGGCGTCCACAAAGACGAATTTCTACTCTATTCACTTGTAACTGCCTGTTAAGCAATCAGTGAATCCTAGAAGATGAGAAATGGAATTGACCACAGAAGGTTATTTAACCCATACCTTCTTGTTAGAAAAGAAAACCAAAACCCAGAGAGATGACAGGACTGACCCAAGCTCACACAACTATTCGTAGCTGATTATAGCTGGAACCCAAGTCTCCTGACACCTAAGCCAGTTTTCTTCTTACTATGTAACAATTGCTTCTGTGGGCATGCTGCCATCATATGCTTTGCTCAAAACATAGTCTCCTTACATACCTTAGAATTAATTATCTTGACTGACAAAGCTCTGTCCTCCATAATTTCCCTTTGGGCTTTTAGAAGCCTCAGCGTGCAACCAAATACAACTTTTGTGTTTTTCAAACTGACTTTTCAATGGATAAATATTCCTCTATGCCAGGTGTCTCATCTCTTATCTTGGCAAGGATTCCATGTAAGCTGGCATAACTGGTGTGGGCCCTACAGGGCTGAGGTGGGTGATAGGACTGTCTATCACCTACAGCTGCAGGTGTTTGTAACGGTGATGGTGTGTACAAAGTTGAAAGTTGAAAATTGTATACAGAGAGCTGAGGTAAATAAACCAGAGAAATAAGTCTAAATAGATTGTTGAATAAAAAAGTGCCTAAGGCAAGCATTAGAACCAGAGTTTAGAACCATTTGGATCTGAAAGTCAGAAAAGAGATCTGGTTGAAACGGGCAAGCAGGAGAGCAAAGACCCAAGGCAGAATTCTGTTCCTGAACCTGGGCTTTTGCATGTTGCCTTTAGCATATTACAGAGATGATCCAGATCCATTTAAAGGACTAGTGACAGGGACAGAAACAATACCACAGGCTGACAGAAAACAAGTCAAATGAGTACCCTCCCTGGATCATGCTTTTGGCCCTCTGCTTCTTTGCAAGAATCAGATGCAAGCTGATGGTCCCAGAATTTTATCTGCTCAGGCCTAGAATAAGTTTCACAACTGGACAAAGTTTTACACAGTGTCAGCGGCTGGGCAAGCTCCTGTTGGCACTGTTCATTTGCCACCTTTCATGTCCAGTCAGTCCTTGGCACCTCTGTTGAAACCCCTCAAGAGAGTGCCATGTATGCTGGTGATCTGATCCCACCCAGTGGGAACACTTTCTGATGATGACTTGTCTGTCTCATATTGACATTGTTGTCTTATGGTTCAATAGCACATATTAAAGCAAGCTTTTTTTTCTTTCTTTCTTTCTTTATTTTTGAGACAGAGTCTCACTCTGTCCCTCAGGCTGGAGTGCAGTGGCACGATCTCGGCTCACTGCAACCTCCGCCTCCCAGGTTCAAGCGATTCTCATGCCTCAGCCTCCTGAGTAGCTGGGACTACAGGGGCGTGCCATCACGCCTGGCTAATTTTTTGTATTTTTAGTAGAGACAGGGTTTCACCGTGTTAGCCAGGATGGTCTCGATCTCCTGACCTTATGATCTGCCTGCCTCGGTCTCCCAAATTGCTGGGATTACAGGCGTGAGCCACTGAGTCTGGCCAAGAGCACATGATTTTAAAATGTCAGAACTCTCATTACTTGGGTTTTGGTGTTTATTTTGATGAGAAAATCAATATTAAGGGTGTGTCAGGCATTAGCAAGGGGAAAAAGGTCATGAGGATGGCAGCTCAGAAGTTGATCTCTCTGATATCAGAGATAAGATTTTTAAGACAATCAAGATTTCCTTTTCTCCCAAACCCCCATAAAATTAAAAGTAAAAATTGATAAATAACATCATAAGGTTTGTCAAGCAAGCCACAGCAACCTCATTCAGGAATCGTTTCTGCTAAATTTTCTGGTAAAGAAGTAGGGACAAAATGCCCACTAACTTCTAAGTGAAAGCAAGACCCTCATATTGTTCTGTCTGAACTCCTTTTTGGCTAGTTTCTACTGTTATTCTTCAAGTTCTTGTTATTTTCTTATTTTTTTTAATTATACTTTAAGTTCTGGGGTACATGTGCAGAACGCGCAGGTTTGTTACATAGGTATATATGTACCATGGTGGTTTGCTGCACCCATCAACCCATCATCTACATTAGGTATTTCTCCTAATGCTATCCCTTCCCCAGCCTCCCATGCCCCCCCAACAGGCCTCGGTGTGTGATGTTCCCCTCCCTATGTCCATGTGTTCTCATTGTTCAACTCCCACTTATGAGTGAGAACATGCAGCGTTTGGTTTTCTGTTCTTGTTTTAGTTTGCTGAGAATGATGGTTTCCAGCTTCATGTTCCTGCAAAGGACATGAACTCACTGTTTTTTTATGGCTGCATAGTATTCCATGGTGTATATGTGCCACATTTTCTTTATCCAGTCTATCATTGATGGGCATTTGGGTTGGTTCCAAGTCTTTGCTATTGTGAACAGTGCCTCAAGCAAGCTTTTCCATCACACCTGTAGCTTCAGAAACAATTCTCAGGTTTGATGTTTGTGTTTTCAGCACTCCTTTTCTAGGCAGCCATGCAGCAAGTCCTGTGTCATTTATTCTCATGACATGCTGGCAAATTTCTGTCCTAAACGTCCCATCATGCTGTATTTTTTCCCTCTTTGATTGTGTAGTTCAAGGCTGCCATATCCCTAGGAAGCTTTGTCCAATGGGCCCAGCCTCCAACCTGCCATAACAATTTCCTTCTCCCAATACACTGTCATTTTGTATTCCTGGGTTGCTTTTGTGTATATTTTGAGGAGTTGAGTGTACTTCCTCTAATCAAATAGTAAAATCTGTAGTCTTTGATAGCAGGGACCATGTCTAATCTTAGCTACGGGCCAAAAGTCTCAAATGCAATGTGATCAGACAATATATGTAAATAAGTAATATGAATAGTCTTGATAGGTATGGAAACAAAATAGTGTGGAGGATAAATGCATCTGACAGTATTTGGTTCCCATTTGAGTTCTGCCATTTATTAGCTGTGTGACCTTCCTCAAGGTAGTTGATATCTCTGAAGGTTTGGTTGCTTCATCTGAAAATGGGGTATATCTATTGCTACCCCACACAGTTTTATTAAACAAGTTTTTAAAGGTATCTCAGGTAAAGTGCTTTTCACAGTGCCTGACACATAATGAGTATTCAATACATGGTAGCTAATATTATGGTTGGCATTTATCAGGTTAATTGCCCAAACATGTGAATTATTATGTCTGCGGTCGCTGGCATGGGTAATCTGTGGCCTTGGCCTGACTCATCACTCCCAAGATCATTATTACAGTTGTGCTACTATCTCCAGCATATGTTCAACTTTATTCTCTCTCCCCTTGTGCTCTCCCTTGCCCTTCTTTACTTCAAGTTTCCCAGACACCTTGTCTCCCACTCCAGATTTTTTTTCCTATCATGCCCATGACATGGACCTGATCCCATACTCGGTACCCAGAAGCTTTCCTAAGCTGTTCTTTTTGCTTTAGTGGTGAACCTGGGGTTGAAGGAAGCTCTTCGTTGTGTTCAGAGCTGCTTAGCACTCCAGGGTAAAGGCAGGGTTGTATTACATGAAGCTGAAATTACATCATAGCAATTGGCGGGAGGGCAAGTGTGTGTGCATATGTGTGTCTCTGTCTGGATTTGTGTGCATTGATTTGTCAGTGATTTTGTGTAGCTTTGTCCAATAGTTCAAACCCTGAGGCTTTTCATTCTCTGAAGAGGGGCTGGATTAGGAAGGGCAAAGGCTTATAATTAATATTCTTTTTCTTAATGGTTGTAATAGCAATTGGCTGTATTTGCCAGTTTTGCTTTTTTAGAGATAGCCGTTTTAGGAGCCATTTAAAGAAATTATCCCATTTTTATAAAGTGTCATCAAACCATTTATATTACTTTGTGGGAAGGCAGACTGCTGTTGGTCAAGCCTATTGAGTCAACATCAATCACTGAATACCTA
Organism: Homo sapiens; assembly: GCF_000001405.40. NCBI lineage: Eukaryota > Metazoa > Chordata > Mammalia > Primates > Hominidae > Homo > Homo sapiens. The sequence goes on from NC_000023.11 coordinate 105,646,555, forward strand.
TTTTTTTACCTAATCAATCAGGTGCAGTGGAAGATATAAAAACAGGTAAGGCAAAAGCCCTACCTTCAAAATAGTTTGGTTAGTACAACGTGGATAAGTGTACTTTCTGAATTAGGTCAAAAGCCTCAAACCCTTAATCTATCCCAGCCTATATCCCCATGACAGCAATGAAAATCTGCCTCTCAGTTCTCTTACTGTGAGGAGTGTACTTGAGTGACAGCCCCAGCTGCTAAGTTCTGAATCTGCCACTGCATTAGGGGCCATACTTTTCACAGACTGCTCCCAGCCAGTGACTAAGGACACTAGGACAGGCCCATTTCTGGGAGATGCAGTGTTACCAGCCAGCCTTTGCTCCCAAAGCTCCCAAGATGGTGGTGGGCCGCTCCCAAGATGGCGGCAAGCCTTTTGTTCTCTGACTTGGGGTTCTTGGCCTCAGGGATTCCAAGGAATGGAACCTTGGGCCATGCGGTGAGTGTTATAGCTCTATTAGAAGCCGTGGCTCACGGAAGAGAACTGTGGAACCCAGCGACTAGTGTTTAGCTCCCGGGCACTTAGCTGCACAGGAACAATAGCAAGCCTCTAGCCTGATCGGGAGTGGCAATGAGTGCCTCGCTGGATCAGAAGCGTAGCGGACACCCTGCCAGATCCGGAGGGGTGGAAGCCAGCGATGGGTCTGTGACAACAGTGATCAGCAGTGGTGGACAGCGAGCGAAAGCTCAGCTGGAGCCAGAAAAAAACAAGGACCAGAAGAGTATGCAGTTTCAAGATTTAATAGAGTGGAAACAGAGCTCCCATACAACGGGAGGGGACCTAAAGGGGGTTCCCTCTACCGGCTCGAAATGCCTGGGTTTATATCCCGATCATTGTCCCTCCCCCTGTACTCTCAGGCTTAGATGATTTGATTATTTCTTTACCTCCTGCTTTTAGCCTAATTGGTATTTTAGTGAGCTCCCTTTACTACCTGATGCGTCAGGTGTCAGCTGAGTTACAAACCCCGTGTTTAAAGGTGGGTGCAGTCACCTTCAGCAGCTAGGCTTAGGAATTCTTAGCCTAGGAAATCCAGCTAGTCCTGTCTCTCAGCAGGACTCCTCTGATGGATGGCTTTTACTCTAGGACTTCCCATTGGCTTTGCCAAAACTTTTTAAGAATTGTTCTGCAGTTTAAGACTCATTAACTAACTCTCCATTCTTCCCTTTCTCCTCAATAGTCACAACAGTATCACAATATTTTGGCTCTGCCAGGCTCCTTTGTCTCTCTCCCCATTTTCCCTCACGGGTTCTTTAGCCCTCAGCAAATCTCTTGCAGGTATGATCTTGCCATGACATCTGCTTGTTAGTGGACTTGAACCAATATATCATACAACTCTATACTTTGACTTGCCAATGTTGCTTGGTCACAAGTTAAACCTGATGAGCAGTCCAATGACTCAGTAGCCATAGCACAATGTAAGAAAAAGAACTTGCAATTATTACTTCAGTTCTCTAAGCCTTTGCTATATCTTGCAGTGTTGTTGGGAAGAATTATGATAATGTAGGCAAAATCTCAATAACATGGTAAGAACTTGATACGTTCATTCATATTAATGAGAAGATAACTGTCCTACTAATGGCAGTTCTTATGAAGCAGCTTCTTAAATGAATGACAGCCTTTTCTCATTAAGAAAACTGCTAGATAATATACAAAAGGGAATCAGGAATTTTTCTAGTACCCAGAATTGTATTGTTCTTTTATGATAGAAATCATGAGCAGTAGAACATGTTCAATACAGGGGTCTGGGCTCCTGGAAATTCTGCCTGTGGCTTAACTTGCTAGGAATATGTCCAGTTTCTTTTCTGCAGGTTGTCTCAGGCTGATATGGAATTAGAATTTTTAAAAACAAGATAAAAACTGAAATAGAGAGAAAGAATGAATTTCAAGTTCTAGATGCAACTTAATAATCAAATGGATATGCTTAACTACCCTCAACAACTTCACCAGGTCTGTGATACTACAAGTAATCAGCAGAGCACTTCACAAAGTGAAGTGCTTTCTTCACAAAAATAGAAAAGAAAGGACAGATTCTCCTTCCCTCAGGGCTGCATCACTATTGCATTGTAGAGTTTGCTATACTAAGGAAGAAGCTGTTAGGTGTTTAACGTAGTTGGCACTGAGCTATTGTAATGTATTCTGTTTTCCAAGGCAACAAAACTGTGATTCTTCCTTTGGCAAAAGGCACAGGCAAGCTGATCACTAATTTCACTTACTTGCCCTAGTGTAGGGAATTTCTGTGAAGCCACTGAAAAGGTCAGGGAAGGAATAACAGGGCAAGGTTACCAGTGCACTCAATCCCAAGTGTCAGTGTGGTCGCAGAGCCCTAGGCTGAAGGCAAAGAAGAATACAGTACACCTAGTGGTCCCTGAGGGTAAGAAGAGTCTGTAGGCTATTTAAAGCTGGGGTTAAAGCCTTTCAGATTGCCTAAGTACCATTTTCTGTGTTAATGGTAGATGATAATAGGAAGCTACAACTGAAAGTTAGTGTACATCCAATATGCAACTGAGGGCACTATATCATTATTTTTAACTTTGTGCTTTGCATATTTTCTATGTTTCTAGATAAAAAGAAATGTGTCAAGATTTCGACAATAAATTTCCATAACATGGTCACCTTTATCCTCTTTCTTTAGTCTGCCAATATATTCACTCAGGGCCCAATTCTGTTTTCCAGAATTTGTTAATTGAACTAAATCCTTTAGCCAGCATCAGTCAAGCAAAAAGAGGCAAATAGAGAAAGACTGCTAACCATGACCCACAGGCAATAAAAGATCCTAATGAGCCATTTAAATTGTCAAGTAAAGATTACATGATGTTCGCTATAGTTTTAGCATTTAGTGTATTTGGTTTCTTTCCAACTTCTTGATAAAACAGTTAGTCTATTATGGTATTTCTAATGACTCACAGTTAACTAGAGACTTTGATTAACCAGAATGACTCTATTATTTCCAATACTAAATAATAGTCACTACAAACTTGAAAACATATTGGCCAGGCTCAAATCACAATGTAGGTAACTTCTCAACAAATACTTGAGTTGAGTGCATATGGAAGCTACAGAGAGGCAGAGGTCAGACCCAAGGAGTGTAGGAAATCTGCCTGTGGGTAGAAATGGAAATGTTTAAGGAGTGGGGCAAAGAAGCTTTGTCCTCTGTAAACTACAGAGGAACATTCCTGTCATGTCAAGGGAAAGGTCATATGCTTTCTCTGGAATTTCCCATAAGACAAGAGATTGAAAGACATGTAACAGGAAATATACCGCACTTAGGGGTGCAATTGGGCATTGTCTTCCCAAGGAGGAGAGAAAAGATATCTCAAGTCTTCTGAGGTCTTTCCATCCTTCAGAAAGTAAGGAGGAGGAGAGAGGTAGTAGGGCCAAGCACGCAGAACACTGGTAAAAGACCAGCATTCCGAGTACAGCAGATTATGATATAGGGGCTAATAGGAGCTGTCCTCCCCTAATTAGTGGTGTTGGTCAAGGGGCACTCTTTAGGCCAAGATTTCTTAACCTCAGCGCTCTTGACATTTCAGGCTGGACAATTCTTTGCTGTGGAGGGCCATCTTGTGCACTATAGGTTGTTTTGCAGCATCCCAAGCTTTGACCCACTGAATGCTAGTAACACCAATATCCCCAGTTATGACAACCAAAAATGACTCCAGACATTGCCAAATGGTCTCTGGAAGTCAAAATTGCCCCTAACAGAGAGCCACTGGTTTATAGGGACATTTGAAGACATACCCTTATGGTAATGGAGGACGATGGCACTTTCACAGCGTGGTTGAGTTCCAGCTATTACTCTACTAGGGAATAAGACCAAAGTTCTTTATGTGTTTTTGTTTGTTTGCTTGTGACCAGGGTTCCTGGGACTCATATTCTTCAAATTTTTACCAAATCAAATTGGTGGGGCTGGGGAAAATGCTTGATATTTTTTGAAAAATGTGACATTTCCCCAAATCTTCTCTTTCTAGATATAGCACTGTACTTCTCTTCTTAAAGAAACATGGCATTTTACCTTGAATTGGTTATGACTTTCTAAACCCTCTGACAGTTAGTCTTTGTCCCTTACATTTTGGGAAAATGTTACTTTATCATTTGAAGGCCTGGGATTTTTCCCTCTATCATTAGCTCTATTTGGGTTACTGAGGAGAGCTAGGAAAGGCAGGTTCAGAGTTCAGGAACATAACCTTTGCCTGAGGCTATGTAAGTTGGTAAAGCTTCCTGTGTCAGTGACACTTTGAGTAAATTCTCCCTTTATGTAACTATGCAATTTACCCATGAAGACAGAAAAAAAGGTTGATTTTTGTCCACGTCAGAAATAATTCTTCTGCACAGTTCAACTCCTTAGAGAAATACTGTTTTTTAGGTTAAGTAAGATTTTCCACTGGCATTTGTCATTGAGAAAAGGAAAAGAAGCTAGTTTTTAAAATATTCTTGGCCTTAGGAACCTAGGCGGATATATGCTCTTTTTTAAAACAGTTAGAGCTTTAATTGTGTGACTATTTGGCATGAAAGACAGCAAGGCTGTTTTTCTTATTATAAAGCTATCCCACACAGACATGATAAACAGCAGGAAAATCAGCCGAAGAATGAAAACCAAGGGGAATTAAGATTGTTCAGCCCATAGAAGAGCTGGCTAAGAGGTGACTTAGTAATGGTCTTCTAGGACCTGAAAGACAATCATTAGGACCAGATGCTCCACATCTGCAGAGAGGGTGGAGACACAGGAAATGACACTATAGCAGGAGAAAGCTTAAGGAAGAATTTCCTGGCAATGAAGGATGTCAAACATCAAGAATACATTACTTTAGAGATTATACAATTACCTCTGGGCTGTTTTACATTTTGGTTTCAAACAGGATAGATTCTGTCTTGTGTGAGATGGCTGAGGTGAGGTTTTGCATGAAGATCAAGAGAATGGACAAAATGATATCTCAAGATTCTTCTTAGTTCTATAATTCTGTGAAATCTGTATCTTTATATATTATTTGCACTATGTCCCCCAAGGTGCTCATTTTACAATGTGCTATTTGCATTATATTTTCACTTAATGGGGTTTCAATTTCTGTTATTCCTAGTTATGGAAATTTATTATGTGACTTTTGTACCCTCTTGGATTGTTGAAAACTGCAACTCTGCCTCACTGTTCTTCTATTTTCCAATACTGTATTTTCTCCTTTTGTTAATTCTCTCACTTTTCAGTCATGTGTTTACTCCCCTGTGAAGACCTCCTGAAAGCAGGTGCACGCTTTGCACAGTATTTAGCACAATTAGTGTTTTAAGCCAATTTAATAACTAATTATTGTTTTATAATTTCAAAATGTAATGCAGTATGAGAAAATGTGATCCCATACAATGATATTCTCATATAATCTATAAACTTTTCACTTGACCTTCACCGAGTATATGCCTTTAGAGCCACATTTGCAGTGTCTATGTCAAAATAACCATTTGGTTCAGTAATTTTAAGGCAGGGGGTAGGTGGCTTCAGCTAGAAAGAGAAACTGTCAATCCACTTAATTGGCAACTTTAGATTAAAATTATCATTTGATTGCCTGAATCTTTCTTTGTACTAAGTTGTGTTGGCTGACATGTAGGTATGTTATATGCCTGTCTTGGTAAAAGAACCTACAGATCCATTTGATTCTAGCAAGAACCCATCAAATGCCAGAGGCTCCTCACTGCCTAAACAAAATTCTTAATTCATCAACCTCACACTCAAGGTTCTTAATCTTGACATGAACCTTCCTCTGCTATTTTGATTCCTCAGAATGTGTCCTCTTTTCTAACTAAACTGTTCCTGTCATGTTATGCTTATCCTAAAATCCACTGCTTGCTCAGATGCTTTCTATTACCTGAAAATTACCATCCTCTCCAATTATCCAATCTTCTTTCTCTTCATTTTACTGAAATTATTATCATTGTCATCATAGATACTACTTGTTGGTGGCTGACCACGTTAAGACACTGTGATAAGCCTTCAAATTCATTATCGCACTTAGTATTTGCAAGGACACTATGTGATACAGATTATTGTTCAGAGTTCATTTCTAATAGCTTCTCTTCCAAGAGACCTTTTTTAACCAGTTGAACTCCAGTAATGCCCCCTTCTCTGAACGGATAATACTTATTATCTTTACCACTTATTAATCTTACTTCACAGTTTCTCTCATAATATTATTTCCATGAGTAAACTGTAAGACTTGAAGGGAAGAACTGTGGCTTATACTAATTTTTATAGTAGTGTAAATGCAAAATATGTAATAAACCCACAATAAACATAGTACTGTATGGAAGGATGAAAAAAAAGATGGACAAGTGGATGGGAAGGGTGACCAGGATCAGGTCAAGTTACACCTTGTGGCATCAATGGTATGTTATCGCTTCATTAACTAATATTTATTGGGCATCTACTGTATACAAATACTGTGCTGTAATCTATGAGGGATAAAAGAGAAGGGGAAAATACTGCTTTTGTTCACAATATAGATAGGAAGACAAAACAAAAGCCAAACAAACCAAAAGAAACAATACCAACATGGTGCTGAACTGAGCAGCATGATATAGTAATGGAATACGGAAAATATAGCTTCTGAAATCCCTAAAATATATCCTCCTTTTTCAGTTTCCTTAGGAAATTTCAGTTTTCTTCAGAAACTTGAATTTCCTCCTTTAATTCTGCACATAAAAATGCATGAGAATGTGACACATCAAAATAAGAGAAAGAATTTGTGATGCTGAAAAATGGAACCTCGACCCATTGTTTGGCATAGTAATGGCATCACAGATGTATTATAAAATTGAACATTTCTGAAACTCAATTAGTGTAAGAATCCAGGCAAAGAAATTTAAACTATATCTGATATAGCAATGATATTTTATGCATCTGAGACTGTGTGGTCATTTTTCCTCCCTCCCTTCTTCCCTCCCTTCCTCCTTCCCTCCTTTCCTTCCTTCCTTCCTCCCTTCCTTTTTTTCTTCCTTTCTTCCTTCTTGCTGAGACTTTTTCTTTTAATGCAGTAGACAGTAGTGTTATTTTTTCCCTGTAAGTAGAACAATTTTAAACCCTAGGAAAAAAGTGAAAAACATGTTCCCTTCCTCACACTCAAGCAAGTATTACTCATATGAAGTTTAACTTGAAGGTATATCTTTAAAATTTCTCAAGATAAATACTCCTTCCTCTCAGAGATTAAATTGTTTTGACTTAAAAGAACCAGGGCCATCCACTGTTTTTTGTGTATGTGTTTTTGCTTGTACATATATTTGGCAGGAGGATCAGTGAGGAGGCTGAGTATCAGTCTTCTTTATAAACTGGTTTTGAGTCTCCTTTGTGATTGTCAAAGTATGTATACAAAGTGTGGTTGTGTGTGTGTGTCTGTGTATGTGCACACACACAAACACACACACACACGCACACACCCTTTATGTTAGAGAATTGAATTGCTACAAGTAACATACTTCAAAAGTGCCCAACTTGATCCAAGGATGAAAAAGAAGCCACAGAAATCTCAAAAGCAAGCCCTGGAGATTCCAGCGGCTTGGCTGTGAGTTACTCATACTTTGACCTTTGAGGTGATGGCTGAAACTGAATGCTTAAATCTTTTAAACTCCACACTCCAGAAGAACTTTGTGAAATATTGTAAACTCCTGTCAATATTTCTGGAGGCCAGCAGAAGATAGAAATTAGGTCTCCCTCTCCTCTACCCAAATGGAGGAATAAGAGCTAATTTTTCTTTTAGGCCACTTAGCTCCTCTCTAGGTCAACACTCCATAGGCTCAACTTCTACTTTTCTTTTATCCCCTTTAATCTCTTACCTTAGCCTGTGAAACATGAAGGTTTAAATCTGGATTGATGAGATGTTTCTTTGATATTTTGAATAAAGTTTATAATCAATATTCAGTAATAATATGGATTATGGCTATAGTAATTTGAGAAGTTGCTAAGTGGCTTGCCTTCAAAACTGTATCAAATATGGTCCTATTTGACTATTTTCAGTCAGAATATTTTAAATTAAATATTTAAAAGTCCTCAGCCTTCCTTTCTAGTCCTCCATTGCTTGTGTGCCAGTATCTATTACCAAACAGGCTAAAAACATCTTATTTTATTTGCTTTTCTGCAAATAAGCTCCATTTTAATACTGCAACCAAAGTCATGTTTCTGGCATTTATTGACTTCCTGTTTTAGAATAGTTTCCCTTCTTTGCTTTTCAGAACACACCACTATGGCTTTCAGATACACATCAACTTGTTCTCCTGTCATCAGAATTTGGGCTGAAAGAAAATGAATTTGGAAAATCTGTGAGACCTAGGTACAGATCACTCTCCAGTTTAATTCTCCCTCCCTGCTCTTCCCACTTATCCCATTGACAGACAATCCCTGGAGCAAGGGTAGGCAGAAGCCCCCGGGAAGTGTGAATTTTTCAAGAAATTTTAGATTTGGTTGAAATGGTGGAAAATCCTCTTGTGGTTCTGAGAGTGAAGATTCTTCAATATGGCCATGCTGGCTTACACCTTTTCATTTGGTACTTTAAAACTTTGGATGTTTCTTTCTGCCGTAAGCCTAACATAAGTGATATTAGGTCATACACTTGATCTGTTCCTAAAAAGTGTCCAAGTATCACTTTTCTGTGCTGGAAGCAAACATCTATTTGGGCTCTAAATCAGGACCCAGGCACAAAGTACCAATCTTTAGTCTGTGACAGTGGAAACTTATGGGGCACCCCATCTCTCCCACCATATAACATCTCATCCCATCTCATCCCAACCCATCTCATTCTGTATACATATATAATTTCTTTAATTACAAAATAATCATTTCTATTTCTGAAATTGTTTTCTGTATTTCCAATTATTTAGTGACTTTTGGCTTATTAAGCTCTGTAATCTGTTGCTCTTCTTATGTTCCAATGGACTTGTTTGGCTGCAAAAATGTTATAAACAGTCTTAGCCTATTTTGCAATTATCTGTATTACTTGAATGTCAGAGTACAAGTAAAACACATTTTTGATGAAGAGAATTCATTTAACATTTTAGCCATAAACCTGGATCTTTGAAAAAGCATGAATCAGACAGTAGAATGGGTCACAATTATATCACTCTTCATTTTGGTTTTCAGTCCTTCTAAAAGTGATATTTTGTTGATTAAGGAATTAGACCATTGGCATCAACATGGTATATCTGACAGCACCCTTCCTTTATCATTGCAGTTATCAGGTTTTCTTGTCTTTGCTTTTATACATTTTTTGTTTAATTTTTGTGGGTACATAGGAGGTATGTATATTTATGGAGTAAATGAGATGTTTTTATACAGGCATGCAATGTGAAATAAGTACATCATGGAAAATGAGGTATCCATCCCCTTATGCACTTATCCTTTGAGTTACAAATAATCCAATTACACTCTGTAAGTTATTTTAAAATGTATGGTTAAATTATTATTGACTATATTCACCCTATTGTGTTATCAAACAGTAGGCCTTATTCATTCTATTTTTTGGTACCCATCAACCATCCCTACCTCCCTCCCAACCCCCCACTACTATTCTCAGCCTCTGGTAACCAACCTTCCATTCTCTATGTCCATGAGTTCGATTGTTTTAGTTAACAGGTTCTTGTCGGAATTGAAATATTGGGAGATTGTCATGTACCTTTTAATTTTAATTTCCCATTTTAAAAATCTTTTATTGTTGTAGAGGTTAGCAGGTGATGGGAGAAAAGAGAAGCAAGTGAGTTCTACATATGCATACCCCCATTATTTGTATTATCTTTGTTTTGGAGTAGATACATGAAAGGAAAATAATTGCCATTGCATAATAGCAAGTCTTCATATCACAACCTGTTTGGTTATTTTTTTTTACTACTATTCAACAAGAAAGAACATATTTATTGAGCACGTATTTTGTGAGAAGTACTACATAATGTGCTCTAGGAGACCAAAAATAACTGAGATACAGACTATATCCCTCCAAAGAATGTATTGTCCAGTAGTTGTATCATTTTTTAGTACACACTTTACCTTTGTTTTATTTTCCTGCAAAGCAAGAGACCATAAGCCCTAACCAATCACTCATTTGGGTACCTGTCAAGAAGTGGTATGGTTTCTGGAGGACTTTGTGGCAATATCTTTTGCTCGAGAGGTCTTTTGGTTCTCTTCTCTCTTTTCACAGGGTGTACAGTTGACAAATTTTGCAAAGAATATCACAGGTTCCTCTGTCTCTCAAATCAAGAGTCTTGGTTTTAGCTGCACAAGAAGCACATATTCTCTGTTCTAAAGAAAGCAATAACTCATTGTTCAGAATATTGTTTATTCTACTTCTGACTTTCTCTAGACTCATGGATCACACATAGGTTACATATAACTTTCCATTAATATCTTTGACCATGACAAACTATTTTAGATTTCTTTTACCTTTGCAAATAGAGTCCATTTCCTCCGTGTCACATTTATAGGCCCTACAAAATCTATGATCACACTACTACTATGACTCTGACTCTGACTACTCCTATTACTACTACTACATACACACGCATGAACACATACCCTGCACACTCATGCTATTCCTGAAAAGAGCATGAAGATATATAGTGGTAGAATGATGTTATCTGTGATGTCAAAATAAAAAATTGAGGACATCCCTATATATTCCTAGCCATCTTTAATTTATTATGAGCCTGTCATTTAGAAATTTATTCTAAATTCTCCTTGAACCTAATTGTACTTGTACTTTCAGCCATTTCCATCAGTTGGTATATCAAACTCTGTGTGTCTACTACCTACAGTGGGAAGTATAAGTGTTCTGTTTAATTTTCATAACATTATTTCTAAGGAAATTCATCTCTTTGGGATGTCTCAGATAATTTGGTGACCAACTTTGTGTTTTCTCATCCATCTGTATCTTGATATTGTGAACATGTACCTTACTCAGAGCTATACTTTCTTAGACTTGAGAGGTATGTCTTACTTTGCTTCTATCTCCCACTAGAGAGTTCAGCATGTAGTGGTGTACTAAAAGACCTGAATCAACACAGTCATTATCATTCTTCTTTTGTTGAGATGGAGTTTCGCCCTTGTTGCCCAGGCTGGAGTGCAATGGCACGATCTTGGCTCACTGCAACCTCCGCCTCCCGGTTCAAGCGATTCTTGTGCCTCAGCCTCCTGACTACCTGGGATTACAGGCGCCCACCTCCACACCCGGCTAATTTTTTGTATTTTTAGTAGAGATGGGGTTTCACCATGTTGGCCAGGCTGGTCTTGAACTCCTGACCTCAGGTGATCCACCCACCTCGGCCTCCCAAAGTGCTGGGATTAGAGGCATCAGCCACCGCAACCAGCCTATCCTCGTTAATCCAATGGCCTATTATAGTAGCTATCTATCATGTTTGGAAGCACCAAATTAAAAAAAAAAAGGACTTTCTAAAATCTACTTAAATAGATCACATTCTGATTAATAAGATTATTATAACATGGCTGGCCGACTGGACCTTAGAGTATAATACTATTAGTCTATGTGAACTATTAAAGTACATTAATAATGTATAAGACCCATCCTTCTCACAGAAAGCTGCATAGACTAAGAAGTTAGAAAAAAAAAATAATTAACTCGCCCCTCCTCCAGTTACACACAGTTCAGTGTGGAGAGAGTGACTCCATTTGTTTAGGGGAAAGTAAGGGAAGAGAACAAGAGTCTCTGCTTGGTGATCCAGGGAAATGCCCAAGACCACAAAAGCAATACCTCCACAAGTACGCAAGAGCCACAGTATAACTGGGCTTTGGGTGCCCCCTAAAGCAGATATGACTATAGTTACAAAAATCTTGCATTGCAACACCCACATCCTTTAAATGCCTGGAAAGCTTTCTCAAGAAGGGTGGACACAAACAAGCTAAGATTGCAAACACTAAAATAAATAACTCTTTAATATCCAGACACTGACTAACATCCACAAGCATCAAGAACCCCCAGAGGATAGGCACAGTGGCTCACACCTGTAATCCCAGCAATTTGGGAGGCCAAAGCAGGTGGATCACTTGAGGCCAGGAGTTCAAGACCAGACTGGCCAACAGGGTGAAACCTGTCTCTACTAAAAATACAAAAAAATTGCCGAGGTGTGGTGCCTCACGCCTGTAACCCCAGCACTTTGGGAGGTGGGCAGATCATGAGGTCAGGAGTTCGAGACCAGCCTGGCCAGCATGGTGAAACCCCATCTGTACTAAAAATACAAAAAAAAAAAAAATTAGCCAGGCATGGTGGCACGTGCCTTTAGTCCCAGCTACTTGGGAGGCTGAGGCAGGAGAATTGCTTGAACTTGGCAGGCGGAGGTTGCAGTGAGCCAAGGTCACGCCATTGCACTCCAGCCTGGGTGACAGAGCAAGACTCCGTCTCAAAAAAAAAAAAAAAAAAAATTAGGTGTGGTGGCACGTGCCTATAGTCCCAGCTATGTGGGCGGCTGAGGCACGAGAATCACATGAACCTGGTAAGTAGAGGTTGCGGTGAGCTGAGATCATGCCATTGTGCTCCAGCCGGGGCAACAGAGTGAGACTCTGTCTCAAAAAACAAAACAAAAAGAAAACAAACAACAGCAACAACAAAAAACCACCAACACCACCCGGGAACACATAAACTCAACAAATGCACTAAATAAGGCACCAAAGACCAATCCAGGAGAGACATAGATAGAGACCTTTCAGACGGAGAATTCAAAATAACTGTTTTTTGAATCCAAGATAACACAGAGAAGGAATGCAGAGTCCTATCAGATAAACATAACAAAGAGATTGAAGTAATTAAAAAGAATAGGGACGGGCGCGGTGGCTCAGGCCTGTAATCCCAGCACTTTGGGAGGCCGAGGCGGGCGGATCACGAGGTCAGCAGATCGAGACCATCCTGGCTAAAACGGTGAAACCCCGTCTCTACTAAAAATACAAAAAATTAGCTGGGCGTGGTGGCGGGCGCCTGTAGTCCCAGCCACTCGGGAGGCTGAGGCAGGAGAATGGCGTGAACCCGGGAGGCAGAGCTTGCAGTGAGCCGAGATTGCACCACTGCACTCCAGCCTGGGCGACAGAGTGAGACTCTGTCTCAAAAAAAATAAATAAAATAAAAAAAAATAAATAAAAGAATAAAAAAAATTCTGGAGCTGAAAAATGTAATTGACATACAGAAGAATGTATCACATTCTCTTAACAGCAGAGCTGATCAAGCAGAAGAAAGATTTAGTGAGCTTGAAGACAGGCTATTCGAAAATAAATACTCAAAGGAGACAAAAGAAAAAGAATAAAAAACAATGAAGCATACCTGCAAGATGTAGAAAATATCCTCAAAGGGTAAATCTAAGACTTATTGGCCCTAAAGAGGAAAGAGAGAGAGATATTGGGGTAGAAAGTTTATTCAAAGATTTAATGACAGAGAACTTCCCAAACCTAGAAGAAGATATAAATATTCAATTACAAAAAGGTTATAGAACACCAGGTAGGTTGAACCCAAAGAAGACACCTCAAGGCATTTATTAATCAAACTCCCAAAGGTCAAGGATGAAGAAATGATCCTAAGAGCAGCAAGAGAAAAGAAATAACATGTAAAAGAGCTTCAGTATGTTCTGGAATCAGATTCTCAGTGGAAACCTTACAGGCCAGGAGAGAGTGGTATGATATATTTCAAGTGCTAAAGAAAAAAAACTGTATCCTAGAATAGTATATCCAGTGCAAATGTCCTTCAAACATGAAGGATTAATACTTTCCCAGACAAACAAAAGCTGAGGGATTTCATCACCACCAGACCTATCCTACAAGAAATGCTAAAGAGAGTTATTTAATCTGAAAGGAAAGGACATTAACAAGCAATAAAAAATCATCTGAGGGTACAAAACTCACTGCTAATAGTAAGTACCCAGAAAAACACAGAATATTACAATGCTGGAATTGTGGTATGTTAACTACTCATATCTTGAGTAGGAAGATGAAAAGATGAAGAAATAAAAAAATAATAACCATAACAACTTTCCAAGACATAGTACAGTAAGATATAAATAGAAATTTAAAAAAGTTAAGAAGCAGAGGGACACAGTTAAAGTGTAGAGTTTTTAGTAGTTTTCATTTTGCATGTTTGTTTATGCAACCAGTGTTAAATTTTTATCAGTTTTAAATAACAGGGTATAAGATATCATTTGTGAGACTCATGGTAACCTCAAAACAACATAAAACAGATATATAAAAAATAAAAAGCAATAAATTAAAACACATCACTGAAGAAAATTGCCTTCACTAAAAGGAAGACAGAAAGGAAGGAAAAAAGGAAGAGAAGACCACGAAACAATAAAAAGACAAATAACAAAATGGCAGGAGTAAATCCTTACTTATCAATAATAACATTGAATGTAAATGGACTAAACTCTCCAATCAAAAGATGTTCAGTGGTTGGATAGATTTAAAAAAAAACAAGATCCAGTGATATATTGCCTACAAGAAACACACTTTAGCTATAAAAACACACAAAGACTAAAAATAAAGGGATGGAGAAAGATATTTCATGCCAATGGAAAACAAAAAAGAGCAGGAGTAGCTATCTTTATATCAGAAAAAATAGATTTCAAGCAAAAATTGTAAGAAGAGACAAGATCATTATATAATGATAAAGGAGTCAATTCAGCAAGGGGATATAACAATTATATTTGAACACAACAATGGATATCCCAGATATGCAAAGCAAATATTACTAGAGATAAACAGAGATACAGCCTCATGCAATAATATCTGGAGACTTCGACACATCACTGTCAGCCTTGGACAGGCCTTCCAGAGAGAAAATCAACAAAGAAACATTGAATTTAATCTGTACTATAGACCAAATGAGTTTACTGGATATTTACAGAACATTTCATCCAATGGCTGCAGAATACAATTTATTATCTGCAGCACATAGACCATTCTCAAGGATAGACCATATGTTGAGCCAAAAAACAAGTCTTAAAACATTCAAAAAAGTTGAAATTATATTCAGAATCTTTTCTGACCATAATGGGATAAAACTAGAAATCAATAACAAGAGGAATTTGGGGAACTATAAAAATACATGGAGGCTGGTCTGAGAATCTCAAATATTGTAGCTGTCTAATACTTATCAGTTTCTAATTTCTGTCCGCTGATTCACAGAGTAGCTTACTACTTTCAAAAGAGAAAGAGCTTGAAAGCCATTCTGCATTCTTTTTCTACTTCCCAGTTGACACTGGAGTTGCTGCAGAGGGTTCCCTTTAAAACTAGTTAAAAAGTATTCCATAAAATAAATGCAATATTTTTCATCTTTTCTTTCTTTTATTTACTAAAGATACGGACTTACTTTCAAAGTCTATTTTCTTCTTTACTGCAAAGTAGATTTGGCAATCCTGAGCTAGATCCATTCCATTACAAACTTCAGATAAAATGGCAGCAATAGAAATAGATTATTAAATCATTAGCCAGTTGTCTAATTACACTGTGAAATCTAAAGCATACCTCCTTTATTGTCACTCACAGAAACTTTCCCTATCTTAGCAAAATCTTCAATCAGTGTTTATCTCTCATTCCTTTTCTTCTACACTCTTCCTACTTTATCTTCCACCAAAGCCAGAATTTTCACTGCTCTCATGCTTTTTTGTTTCTGTACATCAGAAGCTCTTCCAGTGATACTTACAGAATGCTCATGCTTATGAGTGGGAATAGCATCTGAAAAGCTTTGTTAGCATGACATCTCTTTATGAGCTGATTCCACATCTTAGACAGAACTCTCAGAATCTCCCTTTGTAAAATCTTAGATTTTTACACTGACCTTTATGTTATATGGCTTGTGTTTTGTGTACCCAATCTCTTATTGGATGTGTGACTAATGTGAGTATCATCAACTGATACAAGGAAAGATGCCCAAAATAAACAAGTTAGCCATGGTAGTGCTTTTGAAAAATATACACACATTATTTGAAACTCCTCCCCTCAAGAAGTGGAGACTAGTTCCTCTCTCTTAGAGTATGGGCTGACCTTAATGCACTTCTAACAAATAGAGTAAAACAAAGGCAGGTGTGTGTCACCTTGGCGATTCGATCATAAAAGGTACTGTGTCTTCCTCCTCACTGGCTCTCTCTCAGGTCGTTTGCGCAGAGGGAAATTTACAGCCATGTCATGAGGACATTTAGGTATCCTATGGAGAGGCCTACCATGGTGAGAAACTGAGGCTTCCTGCTAACAGCCATGTAAGTGAGCCATCTTGAAGTGGATCTTGAAGACCTAGTCAAGACTTCAACCTCCTAGGAGATACTGAACAGAACCAGCTAAGCCATACACAAATATCTGACAAACAGAAACTGTGAAATAATAAATGTTGATTATTTTAAGTCACTAAGTTTTAGGGTAATTTGTTACATAGAAATAGGTAACAGGATATTCATAGGTTTAACAATTAGCCTATCACATCTCTCAAAAATGGTAAAGGGGATTTTCTATATGATACTTACCTATATAGTTGACCCTTAAAACAACATGTGTTTGAACTCTGTTGGTTCACTTACATGTGGGTCTTTCTCCACAAATATATCAGAAAATTTTTGGAGAGTTGTGACAATTTGTAAAAACTAGGAGATGAATTGCTTAACCTAGAAATATCAAAACAATAAGAAAAAGTTATGTAATGAATGCACAAAATATATGTACATCCTAGTCTACTTTATCATTTACACAAATATAATATACAAAAGTATATTACGAAAAGTTAAAATTAAAGACACTGTATCAAAAAAGTTTAAATTTATCAAAACTTATACAAACACAGATCATACATGGTGCCATTCCCAGTTGAGAGAAATGTAAACAAATATAAATATGCAGTATCAAACTATAACTGCATAAAATTAACTGTAGTCCATACTATACTACTATAATAATTTTGTAGCTACCTCCTGTTGTTATTGCAGTGAGCTCAGGTATTGCGAATATCCACTTAAAATGCTGTGTGCTGCCAATCATCTTCATGTGAGCAATTCCTCTCTCCCGTAAATTGAGTATCACAGAAAAAAGTGACCTCTGGTGTTATTCATGTAGTTTTCATTGATTTTAGGGCAATACCATAAGCTTTGGATAATACCATGAGAACCCATATGAATTGCCACAAGTGATGCTGGAAGTGTCCCCAAGAAGCAGAGAAAAGTCTTGACATGACAGGAAAAAGCTGAATTGCTTGTTATGTACGATAGATTGAGGTCTGCAGCTGCAGTTGCCTGCCATTTCAAGGTAAAAGAATCCAGCTTGAAGATTATTGTAAAAAAGAAAAGAAAAGAAAAGAAAATTTGTGAAGCCATTGCTGCAGTTACCAAAAATGTTGCACTTTTTGAAAAATGCCTTTTTATTTAGTATTGAAAATGCAGCTTTTAGGTAAGTGCAGGATTGCTATAAGAAAGGCATACCTATAAAATCTAACATGATTTAAGCAAAAGTCAAGTCAATATATGATAACTTAAAACAAAAGGAAGCATACAAAGTTGAAGAATTTAATGCCAGCAAAGGATGGTTTGGTAATTTTAGAAAGAGGTTTGGCTTTAAAAATGTCAAGATAACAGGAGAAGCAGCTTTTGACAACCAAAGAGGCAGCACAAGTTTCCAGATGCCATTAAGAAAATCATTGAGGAGAAAGGATATCTTCCTGAACAGGTTTTTAATGCAAATGAAAGTGCCATATTCTGGGGAAAAGTGCCACAAAGAACATTTGTTGGTAAGGAAGAGAAGCAAGCACCAGGATTAAAGGCAGGAAGAGATAGGCGAATTCTACTCTTTTGTGTAAATGCAGTCAGGTTTATGATAGGATTGCTCCTATTTATAAAGCTGGTAACCCCTGAACCTTTAAAGGAAAAGATAAACACCAGTTGCCAGTCTGTTGATTGTACAACAAGAAGGCCTGGACAATCAATGAGAACCCTTTTCCTGGATTGCTTCCATCGATGCTGAAGTCAAGAAGCACCTTGTCAGTAAGAGACTGCCTTTTAAAGTTCTTTTGATATTGAACAATGCCCCTGACTACCCAGATGCCCCTGTGAGTTCAACACCACAGGCATCATAGTGGTCTACTTTCCCCAAAACAGAATGTCTCTAATCTAGCCTCTGGATCAGAGGGCCATAACAACCTTTAAGGCTGATTACATACAATACTCTGTGGAAAAGATTGTCAATGCTATGGAAGAAAACCTCCTCAATAAAGAGGGTGTCAGGGAAATCTGGAAGGATCACACCATTAAAGATGCTGTCTTTGTTATAGAAAAAACCATGAAAACAATCAAGCCCAAAACAATAAACTCCTGCTGGAGAAAACTGTGTCCAGATATTGTGCATAACTTCACAGAATTTGTGAGAGAACCAATCAAGGAAATGATGAACAAGATTTCTCTTTCTTATGATTTTCTTAATAACATTTTTTCTCTAGCTTAAATTATCAGAATACAGTATATAATGCATGTAGCATATAAAATATGTGCTAACTGAATAAGTATGCTACTGATAAGGGACCAGGCAACAGTAGGCTATTAGAAGTAAGTTTTAGATGAGTCAAAATTATATGTGGATTTCTACCTGCGTGTGGGCGGGGGATTAGCGGCCCTAACCCCTGCATTGTTCAAGGGCCAACTGTAGTTGATAATCAGTCAAGCCATCAAGCATAGTGGATTTTCATACTTTCACCCTTGTCTTGAATAGTTATAGCCCAAGGAGCTCAGCCTTACATAAAAGGAAATTTTATGAGCCTTTATTTTATGCGCGTGCGTGTGTGTGTGTGTGTGTGTGTGTGTGTGTGTGTAATTTAAGCCACCTTAACAAAGCATCTTATTGTACTGTTTTTCC
This sequence comes from Homo sapiens, assembly GCF_000001405.40. NCBI lineage: Eukaryota > Metazoa > Chordata > Mammalia > Primates > Hominidae > Homo > Homo sapiens. The sequence goes on from NC_000023.11 coordinate 105,665,423, forward strand.
TCCTATCATTTGGGAGGACAAAAAGACAACTTACAGGAGAAAACCTGTTACCTCTTTATGGATGGAATTTTAAAACACTTGATCTTTTGAAAACTATATTCACCATAATATTATTTAACATTACTTGTTTTTCTGAAAAAGACAAATAACAAGATATTTTCTTTCATTTTGACAGATTAGAAGAGATTAAATTTCACTGTAAATTGTTTGCTGAGTGACTGAAATAAAATATTAATTCACTAGCTGAGTATGTGTTTATTGAACTGGATTTATCTTTTTGTCCTTTCAATAGTTTTTATTTTTGTTTTTTTGTTTTTTTGTTTTTTTTTTTTTGTTGTTGTTGTTGTTGTTGTTTTCCGAGATGGAGTCTCGCTCTGTCGCCCAGGCTGGAGTGCAGTGGTGCGATCTCGGCTCACTGCAAGCTCTGTCTCCTGAGTTCATGCCATTCTCCTGCCTCAGCCTCCCGAGTAGCTGGGACTACAGGCGCCCGCCACCACGCCCGGCTAATTTTTTGTATTTTTTGTAGAGACGGGGTTTCACCGTCTTAACCAGGATGGTCTCGATCTCCTGACCTCGTGATCCGCCTGTCTCAGCCTCCCAAAGTGCTGGGATTACAGGCGTGAGCCACCGCGCCCGGCCGTAATAGTTTTTAAAAATGGGTTTTTTTTTTTTTTTGCTGTTTTGAGCAAACATGAAGTACAAAATACAGAAATTTTTACTTTCCCCAACTCAAAAACTAATAAAAAACCCACATAGCTTTATAATCTATTGCGGGATCTGGCCAGCAGCCCACAATGCAACAGGGCTCTCTCTTTGTTCCCAGGTGGATAGGCAGGTCGAGAAATAATAGACACACACAAGATAGTGAAAGCTGGGTCCAGGGGGGTCACTGCCTTCTGGTCCCGTGGTGCCAACAATGCACTGAATATACCAGCATTTATTATTAAGTTTAGTGAGGGCGGGGGTAGGTTAGTGAGGGATTTAGTGTCATTTGATTATGAGGTGAGATGGTCACATGGGGATGAAGTAATTCTTTAACATAACATCTGTATGCAGAAGTACAGTATACAGAGAAAGGAATTTACAATATAGTGTGTGCATCGGTAATTTCTAACAGAGCCGTAAAACAGAAACACAGTCTTTCCATAACCTATTATTAGCAAGATATTAATCAGCAGTAACAGTTGCAGCAAAAGCTGGTTACAAACAATCCATAGAAACAGGACTTGAAGCTAGACAACCAGTTAGACCAGAAATTCTCAGAAGGCAGTATGCCTTAACCCTAAAGAAGCCTAGAAGAGCCGTGGCAAGATGAGGGCATTTATAGTCCTATCTTATCCATATGGACAGGCGCCCCTCATGTGTCCATTTATAGGCTCTCCACAAGGGTCGCATTCCATTCCCAGAGCTATGAACATCTGCTTTTCTGGGATAGGAATCTTGGTGATGTGAAACCTCCCTGACTGCACGTCCATTCATAGGCTCTCTGTAGGGGGAAGCACATCACGCGCTGTTGGCTCATTCTGGCAGTCCAGCCTGGCATTGTCTTTACACAATCCTGCATGCAACTTTGTATTTACAATAATCAGGAGCATTTCATCTTTTATTCCATAGCAATAGTTTCAGGGGGTCTCCCTACATCTCCCCCTTTTCTCTGATTTAAATGAACCATAGCAATCATAGCTTGGCACTGATCACGACTGGATTGAAGAATATTTTTTTCCAATTTTACATATGAACAATAAACCAATAGCACAAATTATACACAGAACAAAATTAACGATAGTGGATCCTCCCAAAGATTTTACCCATTGAATGGGGTTGAGGTTAGATAACCCCTCAGAGATACCGTCTAAAACTTCAGGACCGGGTAAAGCAGTTAAGTGTGCTTGAGAGGCCTCAAAAATCTGTTGTTTTAGCTTGCTTATGTCTAAACTTAAATTGTCTTCACTTCTTTGTAAATGGCGTTTTACTGATTCCCAATTGTGAACAGACTCATTATATTGAAACAGAGTTATACAAAAATCAGAATTATTCCAATCACATTGCATTTATAATCTATGTTCTAAACTCAATTCTATCTCCCATCCATATAACAGTTTGTCTTAGATCATTAATTTGATTGGCCAATTTTTGATCAATACCTGACTGAGAATTCCACATCCAAGTAGAATTTTTTTGCCATTTATCCACAAAATGAACAGTTTGAATAGATTGATGTAATGCAACTCCAGCAGTAGCAGCAGTCACAGTAACAGCAATCAAGCCCATTATTACTGCAATTAATGTAAAAATAAATCGTTTACTCCTTTTAAGAGTTTTCCGTAGAATATTATTAATAACATGGATAGAAGGGGAAGATTCCCAAGGCCTGTGTAAGGCTACGGGGAGCCAAATACCGTCTCTGGCTCTGACTATTAAAATACTATGATATTGATTAAAGGATGAGTCAATACAAGTATACAAGTAACAATTAACACAGGTAATTATGTTGGTTTTTGAACTAACATGCATCTTTCCTATAATAACATATATGGTGATTTAACACAACTTTTAAGTGGTATAGTTTTGTTGGACTCCATATAGATAGTATATATATTTTGGGATGGTACTCCTTTTTGTGAATATGGGGTGGGGGGAATGGGTTGTATGAGAGGTGGTGGGGGGACATTAGAACGAGGGGGTATAAGTCCTTATAATCTTTACTGTCCCATCTTTGAATTGACCTTTTGACAATTGCCATAGTGATATTTTTGGCTGTATGGAAATAGTAGTGTAAATCAATCTGTTGTCTTAGTTTTTGAGGTGACAAGGTGGATTTACTTATAACACTTTCTCCAGCCCAAACTCTCATACCAGTCATAGCTATGGTTAATCTCCATAATTCTGAATGTTCAGGTCCTAAGTGGGGAACAACGAGCCTTGGCTTTGGAGGGGCAACCCCTGCCCCTTTCCACTTAAGAGGAAAAAAGGAGTTAAATCTACAATATAATAGGGGAGGGTTGTCACTACTTTTTTGATAAGTAATATCATAGAGAAAATGTTGACAATCTCTATGACCTTGAGAGCAATCATTAGTAATATGACCTTTGGGAGCCCAATCAACAATGGTGTAGTGAGAAGAATTAAATAACACAGTTCCTTCTGAACTAACACAATCCTTCCATATTAATTTGCCAGCATTTGAAGACAAGTTGAGAGGACATGCAGGTCCTAAAGGCTTATATTGGGATGTGTGAATATAATCAGTGATTCCTGTTTTGATCTGCCTTAGAGGTTTTAATGAGAGCCCTGATACCAAGTGTCCTAAAGGAGGGACAGAGTGACCAGACGGTAGTGTGACCACCCATGTTTGAATATCTAATAAGAGACATCCATTAGTGGGTCCCAGGCACAAAGGTGGATACCTAAAACCTAAAGCGATATTGAAAGGGGTTCCTTCTTCTGAAGGTTGGGCAGGACAAGGATCATCTACAGAACCAGGCATCCAAATACCGTCATTAACATAGACCTCAAAAGGAGCATCCATCCATGTCATGGCTCGAGTAAGAGGAGGAAAAGGAATATAGGCCCAATATGTATAGTTTTAACAGTCTGTGGGGTTAAAGAGGGTGGAAGGATCTCATTTTAAAATTATCTAACATTATTTTAATAGCAAGCTGCAGCTCACAATTAGTTGATCTCTTTGTGATCTTTACCATGTTTTCAACAATATTTAAATAAAAATAAGATTACTTATTTTTGTGAGTTATGTGGATTCCAAAATAAGTTAGAGTAAAAAGCAGGGTGGGTGTTTCTTAACCTTGTACAAAAAAGCAATAAAAGATTTCCCATGTTGATTATTTCTCATTCATTACGCTTTCTGGGATTCATTGGTTCAAGTTTTCTCCGTCTTCTGCACATGTGCTTAATATCCCCAAAGGATGTGAAAGGGGTAAACATTTTATATTAATTATGTATAGAAAATCCTGGCTTGTCCCACCCACAATTTCACCTTGGTACCCCATAGCCAAATACCTGAGACTTCATTTCTTAGAAGATAAACTCAAGCATCACATTGTCCTGGTCTTGCGGCATTCTTCTCTTCTTTTTCCACCCAAAGCAATTTTTCTAATTAATTTTTAAATTTTGAGATGACCATTTTACAATCACATGCAGGTGTAATAAATAATTCAGAAAGATCCCATATACTCTTTACCCAGTTTTCCCCAGTGGTAAACTCTTCTGGAACTATAGCACAATCTGACAACCAAGATACTAACATTGATACAGTATCATAACACAGAACAGTTCTATCCTGACAGAAATCCTTCATGTTGCACTTCTATAGTAACACCCATTTCCCTCCCACCACTATCCCCTATTTAACTTCTGGCAACCACTAAACTTCTCTCCATTTCTGTAATTACGTTACTTTGAGAATGTTGAATTTGTTTATTTTTCTAAAACTTTTACAGTGCTACATTTTACATTTAAGTCCTCAGTCCATTTTGAATTATTTTTATTATATAACTTGTGAGACTTAGTTCACGGTTCATTATTTTTTGCCTATGGATGTCCAGTTTTTCTAGCACCATTTGTTGAAAAGCCTGTCTTTCCTCCATTGAAGTACTTGAAGTACTTTTACATTTTTGTAAAAAATCAGCTGGGAATATTTGTGTGGCTCTATTTCTGGGTTTCCTGTATATATATATATATATATATATATATATATATATATATATATCTCCACCAGACCACACAGTCTTGATGACTAAAGCTATATAATAAATCTTGAAATCAAATGGACTGATTTTTCCTACTTTTTTTTTTTTGCAATACTGTTTTAGCTATTCTAAGTTCTTTGACTTTTCACATAAATTTAGTGTAATCTTGTCTATATCTTTTTTTTTTTTTGAGACGGAGTCTCGCTCTGTCACCCAGGCTGGAGTTCAGTGGCACGATCTCGGCTCACTGCAAGCTCTGCCTCTCGGGTTCATGCCATTTTCCTGCCTCAGCCTCCTGGTAGCTGGGACTGCAGGAGCCCGCCACCGCGCCTGGCAAATTTTTTGTATTTTCAGTAGAGACGGGGTTTCACAGTGTTAGCCAGGATGGTCTCGATCTCCTGATCTCGTGATGCCCCCGCCTCAGCCTCCCAAAGTGCTGGGATTACAGGCGTGAGCCACCGCGCCCGGCCAATCTTGTCTATATCTAAAAAAAAAAAATCTAACTGGAATGTTGATAGTAATGCATTAAACCATTATAACAATTTGGGGTAAATTGACATCTGTACTATGATGAGTCATCCAATTCACGAACACACTGTGTCTATTTATTTAGATCCTTTATGATTCATTTATTCAGTGTTCCATATTTTTGACATACAAGTCCAGCACATGTTTTGTTAGATTTACACCTAAGTACTTTATTTTTTCAATGATTGTAAATGACACTATATTTAAAATATTTTTTGGTGTGTGTGTGTGCGTGTATATATATTATATATATATACCATACATATATACATAATATATAATATATAATATTTATTATTTATTTATTTTGAGAGAGAGTTTCACTCTTTCACCCAGGCTGGAGTGCAACTGTGTGATCTCAGCTCACTGCAACCTCCGCCTCCCAGGTTCAAGTGATTCTCCTGCCTCAGCTCCCGAGTAGCTGGGATTACAGGCACCCACCACCACGCCCTGCTAATTTTTGTATTTTTAGTAGAGATGGTGTTTCGCCATGTGGGCCAAGGTGCTCTCAAACTCCTGACCTCAGGTGATCCACCGGCCTTGGCCTCCCAAAGGGCTAGGATTAAAGGCATGAGCCACCACGCCTGGCTGGTTTTTATATTTTTAATTGGTGTCTATGAATTGATTGCTTAGTTTATAAAAATACAGTTGATTCTTGTATGTTTATATTATATCCTGAAACATTGCTAAACAACTCTCTTATTCTAGGAGTTGCTTTTTATTTTTTTATAGATTCCCTAGGATTTTCAACATAGACATTATGTCATCTGGAAATAGAGGCAGTTTTATTTCTTTATTTCCAGTTTGCATGTCTTTTATTTTATTGTTTTGCTTTATTGCACTGGCTAGAACTTCCAGCAACGTATTGACTAAGAGCAGTGATTTTCAGCTGTTGATAAGGGGTCATTTGGCTCTGTCTGCTTTCAAAAATTTGTCTTTGTGTTTAGTTTCTAGAAGTTTAAATATAATGTGTCTTGGTATGGATTTCTTTGTGTTTACCCTGTTAGAGGTACACCCAACTTTTTAAATCTATAGGTTTATATTTATACCATATATGGGACATTTTTAGGCATTATTTATTTGAGTACCAACATCATTTCCTTTTCTCCCCAGGACTCCAATGGCTTGAATGTGAAACCTTTTGTTATAGTCACACAGGTCCTAGACTATCTATTCATTTTTTTTTCTAGTCTATTTTTTCTCTACTGTCCAGAATGAGTAATTACTGTTCTATTTTCAGTTCGATGGTTTATTTCATCTATCCCCTCCATTCTGTTTTTGAGCCCATCTATTGAGCTTTCTATTTCAATTATTGTACTTTTTAATTCTGGAATTTTCATTTCGTTCTTTATATTTCTAATTCTTTGCTGGGACTTTCTATTACTATACTGAGGCTTTAGACTTGATTCATGTATCTTCATAATTGTTTGCTGGAGTTTTTTTATTATGACTGTTTAAATAATTGCCACATAATTTTAACATGTCTGTCATCTTGGTGTTGGTATCCGTTATCTTTGTTCATTTTTTTTTGAGATTTTCCTATTTTTGGTATAACTACTAGCTTCCAATGTAAACCTAGACGTTTTGTACTATGTTCTTATTTAAATCTTCTATTTTAGCTGTCTTTCTCTAATACTGCTCCATCAGGGAAAATAGGGAAATTAGCTCATTGTTGCTAGGTGAAGGTAGAAGCCCAGGTTCCCCACTCAGCTTCCACTGACAGCCAAAGTGAGAGTCTCCTAACTACTACTACATAGGTGAGAGTTCCAGGTTCTTCCATGGTCTCCACTGATACCTTGGTGGAGGTGGCTTTATTATTACTTGGCAATTGTGAAAGGCCTCCTCCGACAGAACCCCTGTAGGGGGTAGAGGGATGTCTCATTACAGCTGAGTCGGGGTAGAAGTCCAGACTTCTCACATGGTGTCTCACATAGATACTGCAAAGGGGCAAGAGGAGTGTGATTCTCATTAACAACAGGCAGGGATTAAGTCTTAGCTTTCTATTTGGCCATCTCTGATACCATCCCAATGGCATGCTAGACAACTTGTTACAGCATCCTAAGAGTGAATGTCTAGGCTCTCTAGTTATCCTTTGCTGGCATGGGCAGGGATGGTACCATATTTTTTTCTGTGATGTTTGGTTGGACTATAATAATTATTATCCAAAGGCTTTCTATCTTTCTAGGCTTCCCCTTTTTTAGTCTTTTAGATAGGAAGAGCAGATCTTTGCTGGGCTTTTTATGTCTGCGACTGTTGCCATTTCTGGGTTTCTGGCTTGTTCAGTAACAAGTCTGGTGTATATGAGACACAAAGAAGACCCAGGGACCTAACCACTGTGTCATCCCTTGTGTCCTGTAGTCCTTAGCCTGTCTGCCTTCTTCTCCCTGTTTTTCAGCATCATCTTATGTTTGCTTTACACATAATATCCAGACAGCTTAGTTGTACCTCGTGGGAAAAATAGGAGATATTATAGCGACTCTATCTTCCCAGAAGCATAAGGCTTTATTTCTATTTTTAGTTTTAGTTCTGGGGTACATATGCAGTATGTGAAGGTTTGTAACATAGGTAAACGTGTGCCATGATGGTTTGCTGGACCTATCAACCCATCACCTAGGTATTAAGCCCAGCATGCATTAGCTATTTGTCCTAATACTCTCCCTACCCCCATCCCACTCGCTGACAGGCCCCAGTGTGTTGTTCCCCTCCCTGTGTCCATGTGTTCTCATTGTTCTGCTACTACTTATAAATGAGAACATTTGGTGTTTGGTTTTCTGTTCCTGCATTAGTTTGCTGAGGATTATGGCTTCCAGCTTCATCCAAGTCCCTGCAAAGGACATGATCTCATTCCTTTTTATGGCTGCATAGTATTCCATGGTATATATATACCACAATTTCTTTATCCAGTCTACCATTGATGGACATTTGGGTTGATTTCATGTCTTTGTTATTGTGAATAGTGCTGCAATGAACATACACATGCATGTATCTTTGTAATAGAATCATTTTTATTTCTTTGGGTATCTACCCAGTAATGGGATTGCTGGGTCAAATGGTATTTCTGGTTCTAGATCTTTGAGGAATTGCCACACCGTCTTCCACAATGGTTGAACTAATTTACATTCCCACCAACAGTGTAAAAGTGTTCCTCTTTCTCTGCAGCCTCGCCAGTATCTGTTGTTTCTTGACTTTTTAATAATGGCTGTTCTGACTGGTGTGAGATGATATCTCATTGTGGTTTTGATTTGTATTTCTCTAATGATCAGTGATGTTGATCTTTTTTTCATATGTTTGTGGGCTGTATGAATGTCTTCTTTTGAGAAGTGTCTGTTCATGTTCTTTGCCTGCTTTTTAATGGGGTTGTTTGTTTTTACCTCAAAAATGTGTTTGAGTTCCTTGTAGATTCTGGATATTAGATCTTTGTCAAACTGATAAATTGAAAAAATTTTCTCCCACTGTGTAGGTTGCCTGTTCATTCTAATGATAGTTTCTTTTTCTGTGCAAAGCTCCTTAGTTTAATTAGATCCCATTTATCAATTTTTGCTTTTATTGCAATCGCTTATGGTTATTTCATCATGACATCTTTGCCCATACCTATGTCCTGAATGTTATTGTGTAGATTTTCTTCTAGGGTTTTTATAGTTTTGGGTTTTACATTTAAGCCTTTAAGCCATCTTGAGTTAATTTTTTAATAAGGTATGAGGAAGGGGTCCAGTCTCAATTTTGAACAAATGGATAGCCAGTTCTCCCAGCACCATTTATTAAATGAGGGATTATTTCCCCATTGCTTCTTTTGGTGAAATTTGTCAAAGATCAGATGGTTGTACATGCGCAATCTTATTTCTGAGTTCTCTTCTGTTCCATTGGTCTGTGTGTGTTTTTGCACCATTACCATGCTGTTTTGGTTATTGTAGCCTTATGGTATAGTTTAAAGTCTGGTAGCATGATGCCTCCAGCATTGTTCTTTTTGCTTGGGATTGTCATGGCTATATGGGCTCTTTTTGGTTCCATAAAAAAATTAGTTTTTTTCTAATTCTGTGAAGAATGTCAATGGTAGTTTAATGGGAATAGCATTGAATCTATAAATTACTTTGGGCAATATGGTCATTTTCATGATATTGGTTCTTCCTATCCATGAGCATGGAATATTTTTTCATTTGTTTGTGTCCTCTCTGGTTTCCTTGAACAGTGGTTTGTAGTTCTCCTTGAAAAGGAACTTCATTTCCCTTGTTAGCTGTATTCCTAGGTATTTTATTCTCTTTGTAGCAATTGCGAAGGGGGGGTTCCTTCATGATTTGGCTCTCTGCTTGCCTGTTGTTGTTGTATAGGAGTGCTTGTGACTTCTGCACATTGACTTTGTATCCTGAGACTTTGCTGAAGTTGCTTATCAGCTTAAGAAGCTTTGGCGCTGAGACGATGGGGTTTTCTAGATATAGGATCATGTCATCTGCAAACAAGGACATTTTGATTTCCTCCCTTCCGATTTGAATACCCTTTATTTATTTCTCCTGCCTGGTTGCCTGGCCAGAACTTACAATACTATGTTGAATAGCAGTGGTGAGAAAGGGCATCTTTGTCTTGTGCCAGTTTTCAAGAGGAATGTTTCCAGGTTTTGCCCATTCAATATGATATTGGCTGTGGGTTTGTCATAAGTGGCTCTTATGATTTTGAAGTATGTTCCTTCAATACCTAGTTTACTGAGAGTTTTTGACATGAAGGGATGTTGGATTTTATTGAAGACCTTTTCTGCATCTATTGAGATAATCATGTGGTTTTTGTCTTTAGATCTATTTATGTGATGAATTACGTTTATTGATTTGCATATATTGAACAAGACTTGCATCCTGGGAATGAAGCCAATTTGATCGTGGTGGATAAGTTTCATGATGCGCTGCTGCATTCGGTTTGCCGTATTTTATTGAGAATTTTTGCATCAATGTTCATCAGGGATATTGGCCTGAAGTTTTCTTTTTTTGTTGTATCTCTCCCAGGTTTTGGTATCAGGATGATGCTGGCCTCATAGAATGAGTTAGGGAGGAGTCCTTCCTTTTCAAGTATTTGGAGTAGTTTCAGAAGAAATGGTATCAGCTCCTCTTTATATTTATGGTAGAATTCAGTTGTAAATCCAACTGGTCTTGGGCTTTCTTTGGTTGGTAAGCTATTTATGATTGCTTTAATTTTGGAACTTATTATTGGTCTATTGAGGGATTCAACCTATTCCTGGTTCAGTCTTGGAGGGTGTATGTGTCCAGGAATATATCTGTTTTCTTTAGATTTTTTACTTTATTTGCATAGATCTATTTGTAGTATTATCTGATGGTTGTTTATATTTCTGTGGATCAGTGGTGATATCCACTTTTTCATTCTTTATTGTGTCTGTTTGATTCTTCTCTGTTTTCTTCTTTATTAGTCTAGCTAAAAATATGGAACACTTCATGAATTTGCGTGACATCCTTGTGCAGGGGCCATGCTAATCTTCTCTGTATTGTACCAATTTTATTATATGTGCTATCAAAGTGAGCACAGCATAAGGCTTCTAAAACGATTTTTAAAAATAAGAATTGTGTCCACCTGGGTACCTCTTCCACTGGTAGAAAGTAATGAGCTCATTTAAGATCACTGAAACATCACAGGCCAGACTAGAGCTCATTCACAGTAGCTTCCATCTCATCGTAGTTTGATGCAGTCTGTTGGTAATGATAAATATTTTTCTAGACACAATTTCTCCTTGATTGGTTAGCTGGAAGGCAGGAGAGCTTTTCAGTCTCCCTAGGTGGACTGAGCTGATTATGAAGAGACCACAGAAAACTTGTCTTTTCCTTGATGGCATCAGACTCAATAGAATCCGCTTAGGGACTATACACAGGAAAGCAAGATGGGGCTAACTAAAATAATGTAGGAAAAAGGTATTCTCTTGTACCTGATGATCCCCCTTTGGCAAAAGGGAATCTCTGTCACTTGAACATCTATGTCTCTAAAGGAACCTGCTAAAGGTTACTGCTACAAATATTGGGAAATTGGTTTTACCATTAGATTTTGCTTGATACCACATTGCATGGGCTGCTTCCCAAGGTGCAAAAGTGTTAGATAAATGTCTTCTTCAATAATTACATAGTAACAACTGAATGTGTAACTACATGACACCTTGTCAAAACTCAATTACATAGTATTTTTGTTTTCCTCAACTAGTGCTATTATATCAGAGAAACAGTTATACTAAATCATAATGCTTTAGTGATGACATATTTATTTACTAAATGATCAGGTATGACATGAAATTTCTTCTTAAATTATATTTAACAAGATACATAGTAATTTCATCATTTTCTGCTGTTTGCTATGTGAAGTAAACCTCCAATTTTTTAAAGTTTCCAGTGTCTCTTGTGGTTGTTATTATTCTTGTTTTTGTTTATTAAAAGTGTTTATTAACACTTCTGTTACATTTAAAAGACATGTTACTCTTTCATTGGATAATGTAAATAATTTAGTTTAGTTTTGTCTTCCTGTTTCCAGCTGTGTGTTGAAGATATTTTCAAGTTGATAACTTAGATTACAAGGGAAAATTGTCATTGAACACTGCCAGATCAAAGAAAATGTCACTAGTTCTAACAGTTGCTGAGAAATTGACCCTCTTTGAATGAAATGTAAGCATTGGATCCCACAGTACAAGTAAAACTTCTTTAACTTGAAGATTTTATTCAATAAGCATCTATATATACTGCACATTCTAAAGCTCACATTACTTTTCTCATTCTGTGTTATTTAAAATTCTGTAATTTCCTCTACTCCTAATCACCAGGCTCTATAGAACAAACAAAGAGAAATACTTGCATTAAGTTGCAGACAACTTTAACAATCTGATTTTACAAAAGTCAGAAAGTATTTTTTTCTTGGTAATCCTTATTTGAAATGAAGCATTTCAATAGCAGGCAAACAGCATTGTTGACACACTAATCCAAGCTCTCTCAATCTCAGTACTGTTGACATTTAGGATCTGAAAGATTTTTTTTGGTGGAAGAAGGGGCTGTCCTCTGCTGTTTAGTAGTACACCACTGGCCTTTACCAGCTAAATGTCAGTAGCATTTCCCACCAGTTGTGACAACCCAAAATGGCTCCAGACATTACCAAATGTACCCTAGGGGGCCAAAATTGTCCCTAGTATGTATCCTCTAAAAAAAGATTAAATGGAAGTTAAATAATGTTCTGATGGAGATTGCAGTGTAGTCAAATTCTACCACATATTAGCCTATTAATGAAGTGAAGCTATTCGAGAAGAACATTTCCTGAGAAGAAAGCTGTATCCCCTGCCCATTTGTAGTTAAGTGCCAATAGGGAGTTTATGTGACCTCCTGAAGCTCCAATTCTTTGCCTGATATCAAAAGTATGGTTACGTTATCCTGTGCCTAGTAACTAAAACCAAGAGATGTTGACAAATGTATAGAGAATAGAGGTGAATAATAAAAAAAGAGAGAAAACACAAACAATACATAAATATTAGTCTGTAAGATTCAGTACTGACATAAAATATGAGTAACACATGAGCAATAAACTTTTTAAAAAAATCTTGTGAGTACATAGGAGGTGTTGTATTATGGGGTACATTAGATGTTTTGATACAGGCATGCAATGCCTAATAATCAAATCATCAAAAATGGGGTATTCATCCCCTCGAGCATATTTCCTTTGTGTTACAAACAATCCAGTTATACTCATTTAGTTATTTTTAAATGTACAATAAATTATTTTTGTTTGTAATCACCCTGTTGTGTTATCAAATACTAGGTCTTATCTATTATTTCTAACTACTTTTTGTATCCATTAACCATCCCCATCCCCCCCAACCCTCATTACCCTTCCTAGCCTCTGTAAACCACCCTTCTGCTCAGATGAACAGTAAATTTAATGGAACATATAGACACTCACAATGCATTTTATAGGAGACCTGGTGCTCATAGCTGTTCTTCAGGTTATGAAGTCTATTGCCACTGATTTTTTTTGTCTTTTCCTGACTTCTGAATAGTTGATACTAGGAGTCAATAGGGTAATAGCCAAAGTTTAAGATCAAAAGTCTCTGATACTTGAAATTGCAACCCCCACCCAATCCCTGTGGAGAGCCCTAAGGAGATACCAGGTCTTATCAGAGAGCAACAATTCTCTTGTCTTTCTTTGGCAAACTAGAGAGTAACAAAGGCTAATTTATATTGCATATAACTAAAACATATTATAATTTTCTATAACAAGCAGAAACATTAGTTTTAAAATATGTATGCACAATAAAAAAATGCATAAATGAAAAAGGCAAGATATTATTTGGTTAGGGGATGGATTACAGCCTCCAAATATGTCAAGGAATGGCTTGCAGAAAAGTTTCTCTTTTTTTTTTTTTTTTACTATCATGTGATAGACAAAGTCATTTCTTAATTACTTTTCACAGCTTCTAATCCCCTAGACTTGTTTGCTATATGGAATCATAATGAAAGATGCATGAACAACAAGCTATGATACTATAATGACACTTGAGGCTCTACTTAAGTTATAATCCAAGTTATATGTCATGGCAGATCAAGCACTTCTTTTGTAAATACTTTTTGTTAAATCATAAAGTTCCTTACTAGGGGGAACATAACTAGCTCTATGATTTAAACTCAGAAAGGTAACCAGGAATTAAATATCTTGTTAAAAGTTCACTTTCAGAAAGTTCACTTTCAGAACAAGGTAAAATCATGACTTTCATACAGACACAAAAATTGATTAAGGATTTATTTTATTCATATGGTATGAGGGAACCAGGCAGATATTATAACTGGTTCAAAATAAAAGTCAAAAGAGCTAAAATTTTTATGGAGTAAAGGAATGTTGACAAATGGAGACAAAACTGGTTTTTCCAAGGTGAAGTGGATGAACCAAATGTCTAACAGACAGAGTAGAATTTATATATCAGTTACCTTCAACTTACAAGAAGTTGCAAAATAATTCAGACAAGGAACAATGAACAATGAACAGAACAATGATTTTGCTTAAATCAGGCCTAAAGGCTAGAGATGATGTATCATTTCCCACCAAAACATATCAATTTTTACTAAAATTCCCCTCCTTTTTGATCAAAAAAGCCTGAAAAATTATCTTGATCAAAAAATAAGACATATCATCAGACTGGACCTAATTATTTATGAAAGTGCAGCAAGTGTGCTAATTTGCCATATGGACCTTCTTAAGTTTATTTTGATGGATGTTTTCATAAAGAATCTCAGATTGGACTTTTAAAAGCTCTTTATTATGTGTGGACCTGAGGCTAGGAAACAAGGATTTTGCCAATAGTATCTACAAATGTGGGTGAATTTCTTTCTTTCTTTTTTTAATTTTTTGAGACAGAGTCTCGCTCTGTCACCCATGCTGGAGTGCAGTGGTGCGATCTCGGCTCACTGCAACCTCCGCCTCCCAGGTTCAAGCGATTCTCCTCCTCAGCCTCCCAAGTAACTGGGACTACAGGCATAAGCCACCATGCCCGGCTAACTTTTTCTATTTTAAGTAGAGACGGTGTTTCACCATGTTAGCCAGGATGGTCTAGATCTCCTGACCTTGTGGTCCGCCCGCCTCGTCCTCCCAAAGTGTTGGGATTACAGGCATGAGCCACCGCACCTGGCCTGAATTTCTTTCTTTTTAAGGTTCTCAAAACGTCCTAAAGTCCCTGGCTTGCCAGGAAGTGACCTTCCTTACTCATCTGTAAGTCTGAGAACCCTGGAAGCCAGATACCATGCCAGTTTTCCCAAGTTTACTTTGTAAGCATTGGCTTTATAAAGTCAGCTTTGGTGCCTTAAAAGTATCTGTTCATATCTAATTGAATAAGCATAATTTTCACATATAACATCCTAGGCAAGTCCTTGGTTGTATAACCAATGTTTCCAATTATTCTCCAGTTAAAGGAGAATAAATTCTTACTGCAACTATGCAAATCACTACATTGCTATGAAAATAAAAATGTTCGATAAGAGTTTCTGAATTCTGAAGGGGTCAACAAGGAGAATAAAATATCATTTATAAATATTTCATTTCAGTTTATAAAAGCAGAGTCTACTAAATTATTATAAGTTGTAGATAGTGTAAAAGTACAAAAGTGTGATACCTTTCCTCACCAATCATAAGGGTAACAGCCAAGACTCCTATAACAAAAGATAGGTTAACAAGAGACAAGCATGACAAATTTATTTAATCAAAATTTCACATGACACAGCAGCCTTCGGAAATGAGGACCCCCAAAACCTAGAGGAAACCATCTATATACTTAGGTTCAATAAAGAATGGATAGCCACGTAGAAATGTGATTAGACAAAAGAGTATGACCTAATGGTAATAGATTGCGTGGGGGGATCCAGCAAGGCCTATCTGTTCAGAGACTGGTTGACTTCTCTGTGTAGCATTCCTTCTTCCTCAGTATGATACACGACCTCTCTGGAATGAAGGTCTTCAAGGGAAAGGGGAACAGGGAGAGAGTTACCTTTCTAGGTTTAATGGCTTGCTTTTGGGGAGAGGGGTTCTAGTTTTCATGACCCTCTTTGGAGAAGAGGAATTCTGGTTTCCATGACTTGCTTTGGGGGAGAACAAGGAGGAGGAGACAGGAGAATGTAAGAAAGATCAGAAAGACCTTGCTTCTGAGGCCTTTCTAGTTTCCTTCAGTTCGAAGTATTCAGTATGCCAAGGTGCCATACTTCGGGGTATCATGTTCTGAGCCCCAACAATAGCATAAAAGACAAAGGACTTCCTTATACATCTTGAAAAGAAAACATTAAAACATCAACAATATTATTTAAAAATTTACATCATAGGCCAGGCACAGTGGTGCACGCCTATAATCCTAGCACTTTGGGAGGCCAAGGCGGGTAGATCACCTGAGGTCAGGGGTTCCAGACTAGCCTGGCCAATGTGACGAAACCCTGTCTCTACTAAAAATACAAAAATTAGTTGGGTGTGGTGGCAGGTGCCTATAATCCCAACTACTCAAGAGGCTGAGGCCGGATAATTGCTTGAACCCAGGGGGCAGAGGTTGCAGTGAGCCAAGATGGCACCATTTTACTCCAGCCTGGGCGAAAGAGCGAAACTCTGTCTCAAAAAAAAAAAATTATATCATATCATTCAGTCTTATATAATTATTCTTGCTCCATAAGATCTTGTATTAGCAGAAGCCTATACCCAAAAGTACCTGTTGTAATCCTTTTCCATGAGGCTCTGAGACAGTCATCCTTTTTTAATGACGAAGCACTGAGGACTGTAGTTGATTGCATATGCTTTCAAGAAAGGATCAGAGTAAAACAAACAAAAAAAATATCTAAGACAAAAGACTATGGTTAGTTATTACTGATAGCTTTCAAAAGTGAAAGGTCTAATGAGCATTTGTTGTAAGAAAAATGCAGCTGACAATAAAATTTGGTTTTTTCTTTGACATGCAATACAAGATAGTTAAGCCTGCCGAAAAAAGTTTTAGACAAAATAATTATAAACAGTGATTAAATCTATTATTAAAGAAGATAGTGAAGATTACATCTAAATTATAAAAATAGATGAATATATCCTTTACAGAGAAAAAATCTTGAGATATATAAGTCTGAAATAATATGCAATAAATATACTAAGCATATAGTAAGAATATGCCAAAAATATGTCAATATTAAGTAAAAAGATTCAGTAAGTATGGAATACACCACAAACATCTGTATATTAATAAAACTCCATAGTTAAGTGATGTGAATTCCTATTTGAAATCTAGTGGCCTAGAAGATGCCATTTTCAATTTAAAGTAGCAAAGTTGTAACCAAGTTAATATTTTTTAAAATAACTGAAATTATGACTGATAACACTATACTGCTGTCATCTAATATCAGACAAAACACCACTAGCACTCTGATAAATAAAAATATATATCATGGACAGCAAGGGCTTTGACAAATTTCTTGAAATTTCCCTAGCAGTATACCATTTCTGAAATATTTATACCAATAATATTTTAGCCACACAAATTTAACTTACAGAAGGCTCAGCATCTTTTCTGATTTGAAAACTATTCTCATAGAACTCATCAGCAGTAACATATCAATAAACCTAATTATTTTTAACACCTCTCATTTTACTAGATGAAGGAAAAAATCTTTGTGCCATTGCACAGGGCCTAAAAAGGTAATTTTAGTTGTAAAAGATAAGGTGAAAGCTTTATTTTATTTTTTTATATGCAGGATTAGACTTGGGGAAGGCAAAAATAAAAAACGTCATGGTATTTGAACATTTAAGATACAAATTGGATCATAGGTGCCTGAGAAATAATACTTAATTATTCATTTCAAAATGTCAATAAAACATTAAAAGAAAACTTAGAAGATAACGTGATTGTAATGAATGTTTGTTTTTGTGAGGAAACTTTGTTTTCTTGAATGACCAAGGACATTATACAGACAACATAAACCATAGAATCTTATTGTGGTATGACACAAATCTTTGTTATCTAAGCAGATTAACGGGAAACAACAACAATTACAACAATAAAAAATAACCTTTCTTATAGTAGGTGAAGGCAATGAACCAAGGAGACAGGCCTATCAATTTAAGCAAACTCTGCTAAGGTTTTTAACACAGTTCATAACTTTTCAAACTCAGGTATTATAAAGCAAGGGAAGTAAAATGTATTTCTACCTTTTGTCTATCATTATACTCCTTCATCTTCTGGAATAAACTGACACTTTACTCTAGGACCCATATCAGGATGTCCACAAGGTCAGAATTAATTTCATAATATTATTAGTAACATTCAATGTGTTCATTGTTGCTATCTTTGAATTCATCAATAAGTGTGCATTTTAAAAATTCCCCAGTTTCAATTTCCAATATAGTAAGTATCAATAGAACCTACAAAAAAAAAAGCTCTATGTGGTCCTCAATAAGCTTTAAGTGCACAAAGAGATTTGAAGAGTAAAAAAACAGAATAAAAAAAAACTCCTTTAGGAAGAAACTACTCCTTTCCATGGAAAATAAAAATACATCAAACACAGTTGTAATTCTCTGAAACTATTACTCCTACATAGTCTCATTCACATATATTAATTTTAACCAAAGCAATTTCTACTTCACAGAGTAAACTTCCTTGCAGTGCATCCTTGCAATCTAGCAGAGCTCATGAATACACATAATACAACTTTCTACAGTCATACTTTATATGATTTCTCAAAGTTGCAAAATGAACATGTTCATTAACAGACCCAAATATATCATCTCTCTGTAGCATATACAAATAAGAAGCAAAAGTATATAAGCTTAATATTATGATTAGTAATCAATATTTTGGCATTCTATCCTACTTAGAAATGATCTAGATATCCAATGACTATCTATTAATTAACCCAAAAGGATATCAACTGGGGTGATCATTCCAAGATGGCCGAATAGGAACAGCTCCAGTCTGCAGCTCCCAGCATGATCGACACAGAATATGGGTGGTTTGTGCATTTCCAACTGAGGTACTTGGTTCATCTCATTGGGACTGGTTGGACAGTGGGTGCAGCCTACAGAGGGCGAGCTGAAGCAGGGCGGGGCGTCGCCTCACCCGGGGAAGCACAAGGGGTTGGGGGATTTCCCTTTCCTAGCCAAGGGAAGCTGTGACAGATTACCTGGAAAAATGGGACATTCCTGCCCAAATACTGCACTTTTCCCAAGGTCTTAGCAACTGGCAGACAAGGAGATTCTCTCCTGTGCCTGGCTCAGTGGGTCCCATGCCCATGGAGCCTTGCTCACTGCTAGTGCAGCAGTCTGAGTTTGAACTACGAGGCAGCAGCCTGGCTCGGGGAGGGGCGTCTGCCGTTGCTGAGGCTTGAGTAGGTGAACAAAGCGGCCGGGAAGCTCGAACTGGGTGGAGCCCACCACAGCTCAACAAGGCCTACTGCCTCTAGACTCCACCTCTGTGGGCAGGGCATAGCTGAACAAAAGGCAGCAGACAACTTCTGCAGACTTAAACATCCCTGTCTGACAGCTCTGTAGAGAGCAGTGGTTCCCCCAGCATGGCATTTGAGCTCTGAGAACGGACAGACTGCCTCCTCAAGTGGGTCCCTGACCCACGAGTAGCCTAACTGGGAGACACCTCCCAGTAGGGGCTGACAGACACCTCATATAGGCAGCTGCCCTCTGGGATGAAGCTTCCAGAGGAAGGATCAGGCAGCAATATTTGCTGTTGTGCAATATTTGCTGTTCTGCAGCCTCTGCTGGTGATACCCAGGCAAACAGGGTCTGGAGTGGAACTCCAGCAAACTCCAACAGACCTGCAGCTGAGGGACCTGACTGTTAGAAGGAAAACTAACAAACAGAAAGGAATAGCGTCAACATCAACAAAAAGGTCATCTACACCAAAACCCCATCTGTAGGTCACCAACATCAAAGACCAAAGGTATATAAAACCACAAAGATTGGGAGAAACCAGAGGAGAAAAGCTGAAAATTCAAAAAATCAGAGCGCCTCTTCTCCTCCAAAGGATCGCAGCTCCTCACCAGCAACAGAACAAAGCTGGATGGAGAATGACTTTGACGAGTTGACAGAAGTAGGCTTCAGAAGGTCGGTAATAACAAACATCTCCAAGTGAAAGTAGGATGTTTGAACCCATTGTAAGGAAGCTAAAAACCTTGAAAAAAGATTAGAGGAATGGCTAATTAGAATAAACAGTGTAGAGAAGATCTTAAATGACCTGATGGAGCTGAAAACCGTGGCATGAGGATTTCATGATGCATGCGGAAGTTTCAATAGCCGATTCAATTAGAAGAAAGGTTATCAGTGATTGAAGATCAAATTAATGAAATAAAATGAGAAGACAGGGTTAGAGAAAAAGAGTAAAAAGAAATGAACAAAACCTCCAAGAAATATGGATCTATGTGAAGAGACCAAATCTACATTTGATTGGTGTACCTGAACGTGATGGGGAGAATGGAACCAAGTTGGAAAACACTCTTCAGGATATTATCCAGGAGAACTTCCCCAACCTAGCAAGGCAGGCCAACATTCAAATTCAGGAAATACAGACAACTCCACAAAGATACTCCTCGAGAAGAGCAACCCCAAGACACATAATTGTCAGATTAACCAAGGTTGAAATGAGGGAAAAAGTGTTAAGGGCAGCCAGAGAGGAAGGTCGAGTTAGCCACAGAGGGAAGCCCATCAGACTAACAGCGAATCTCTCAGCAGAAACCCTACAAGCCAGAAGAGAGTGGGGGCCAATATTCAACATTCTTAAAATAAAAGAATTTTCAACCCAAAATTTCATATCCAGCCAAACTAAGGTTCATAAGTGAAGGAGAAACAAAATCCTTTACAGACAAGCAAATGCTGAGAGATTTTGTCACCACCAGGCCTGCCTTACAAGAGCTTCTGAAGGAAGCACTAAACATGGAAAGAAGCAACCAGTACCAGACACTGCAAAAACATGACAAATTGTAAAGACCATCGATGCTATGAAGAAACTGCATCAATTAACGGGCAAAATAACCAGCAAACATCATAATGACAGGATCAAATTCACACATAACAATATTAACCTTAAATGTAAATTGGCTAAATGCCCCAATTAAAAGACACCAACTGGCAAATTTGATAAAGAGTCAAGACCCATCAGTATGCTGTATTCAGGAGACCCATCTCACATGCAAAGACACACATAGGCTCAAAATAAAGGGATGGAGGAAGATCTACCAAGCAAATGGAAAGCAAAAAAAAAAAAAAAAAAAAAAAAAGCAGGGGCTGCAATCCTAGTCTCTGATAAAACAGACTTTAAACCAACAAAGATCAAAAGAGACAAAGAAGGCCATTACATAATGGTAAAGGGATCAATTCAACAAGAAGAGCTAACTATCCTAAATATATATATGCACCCAATACAGGAGCACCCAGATTCATAAAGCAAGTCCTTAGATACTTACAAAGAGACTTAGATGCCCACACAATAATAATGGGAGACTTTAACACCCCACTGTCTGTATTAGACAGATCAACGAGACAGAATGTTAACAAGGATATCCAGGACCTGAACTCAGCTCTGCAACAAGCAGACCTAATAGACATCTACAGAACTCTCCACCCCAAATCAACAGAATATACATTCTTTTCAGCACCTCATTGCACTTATTCTAAAATTGACTGCATAATTGGAAGTAAAGCACTCCTCAGCAAATGTAAAAGAACAGAAATCACAACAAACAGTCTCTCAGACCACAGTGCAATCAAATTAGAACTCAAGATTAAGAAACTCACTCAAAACCACTCAACTACATGGAAACTGAACAACCTGCTCCTGAGTGACTACTGGGAAAATAACAAAATGAAGGCAGAAATAAAGATGTTCTTTGAAACCAGTGAGAACAAAGACACAATGTACCAGAATCTCTGGGACACATTTAAAGCAGTATGTAGAGGGAAATTTATAGCACTAAATGCCCACAAGAGAAAGCAGGAAAGATCTAAAATTGACACCCTAACATCACAATCAAAAGAACTAGAGAAGCAAAAGCAAACAAATTCAAAAGCTAGCAGAAGGCAAGAAATAACTAAGATCAGAGCAGAAATGAAAGAGATAGAGACACAAAAAAAAAACCCTTCAAAAAATCAATGAATCCAGGAGCTGGTTTTTTGGAAAGATCAACAAAATTGATAGACCGCTAGCAAGACAAATAAAGAAGAAAAGAGAGAAGAATCAAATAGATGCAATAAAAAATGATAAAGGGGATATCACCACCGATCCCGCAGATATGAAAACTACCATCAGAGAATAATATAAATACCTCTATGCAAATAAACTAGAAAATCTAGAAGAAATGGATAAATTCCTTGACACATACACCCTCCCAAGACTAAACAAGGAAGAATTTGCATCTCTGAATAGACCAATAATAGGCTCAGAAATTGAAATAATAATAGCCTACCAACCAAAAAAAGTCCAGGACCAGACGGATTCACAGCCAAATACTACCAGAGTTACAAAGAGGAGCTGGTATCATTCCTTCTGAAACTATTCCAATCAATAGAAAAAGAGGGAATCCTCCCTAACTCAGTTTATGAGGCCAACATCATCCTGATACCAAAGCCTGGCAGAGACACAACAAAAAAAGAGAATTTAGACCAGTATCCCTGATGAACATTGATGCGAAAATCCTCAATAAAAACTGGCAAACCGAATCCCGCAGCACATCAAAAAGCATATCCACCACAATGAAATAGGCCTCATCCCTGGGATGCAAGGCTGGTTCAACATATGCCAACAAATAAATGTAATCCATCACATACACAGAACCAACAACAAAAACCACATGATTATCTCAATAGATGCAGAAAGGCCTTCAACAAAATTCAGCAGCCCTTCATGCTAAAAACTCTCAATAAACTAGGTATTGATGGAACCTATCTCAAAATAATAAGAGCTATTTATGACAAACCCATAGCCAATATCATACTGAATGCGCAAAAACTAGAAGCATTCCCTTTGAAAACCGGCACAAGACAAGGATGCCCTCTCTCACCACTCCTATTCAACATAGTGTTGGAAGTTCTGGCAAGGGCAATCAGGCAAGAGAAAGAAATAAAGGGCATTCAATTAGGAAATGAGGAAGTCAAATTGTCCCTGTTTGCAGATGACATGATTTTGTATTTAGAAAACCCCATCGTCACAGCCCAAAATCTCCTTAAGCTGATAAGCAACTTCAGCAAAGTCTCAGGATACAAAATCAATGTGCAAAAATCACAAGCTTTCCTATACACCAATAACAGACAAACAGAGAGCCAAATTATGTGTGAACTCCCATTCACAATTGCTTCAAAGAGAATAAAATACCAAGGAATCCAACTTACAAGGGATGTGAAGGACCTCTTCAAGGAGAACTACTAACCACTGCTCAACGAAATAAAAGAGGACACAAACAAATGGAAGAACATTCCATGCTCATGAAGAGGAAGAATCAATATCATGAAAATGGCCATGCTGCCCAAAGTAATTTATAGATTCAATGCCAACCCCATCAAGCTACCAATGACTTTCTTCACAGAATTGGAAAAAACTACTTTAAAGTTCATATGGAACCAAAAAAGAGCCTGCATTGCCAGGACAATCCTAAGCAAAAAGAACAAAACTGGAGGTATCACGCTACCTGACTTCAAACTGTACTACAAGGCTACAGTAACCAAAACAGCATAGTACTGGTACCAAAACAGATTTATAGACCAGTGGAGCAGAACAGAGGCCTCAGAAATAACATCACACATCTATAACAATCTGATCTTTGACAAACCTGACAAAAACAAGAAAGGGGGAAATGATTCCCTGTGTAATAAATGGTGCTGGGAAAACTGGCTAGTCATATGTAGAAAGCTGAAACTGGATCCCTTCCTTAAACCTTATACAAAAATTAATTCAAGATGGATTAAAGACTTAAATGTTAGACCTAAAACCATAAAAACCCTAGAAGAAAACCTAAGCAATACCATTCAGGACATAGGCATGGGGAGAACTTCATGACTAAAACAACAAAAGCAATGGCAACAAAAGGCAAAATTGACAAATGGGATCTAATTAAACTAAAGAGCTTCTGCATGGCAAAAGAAACTACCATCAGAGTGAACAGGCAACCTATAAAATGGGAGAAAATTTTTGCAATCTACCCATCTGACAAAGGGCTAATATCCAGAATCTACAAAGAACTCAAACAAATTTACAAGAAAAACAAAACCCCATCAAAAAGTGGACAAAGGATATGAACAGACACTTCTCAAAAAAGACATTTATGCAGCCAACAGACGCATGAAAAACTGCTCATCATCACTGGTCATCAGAGAAATGCAAATCAAAACCACAGTGAGGTACCATCTCACGCCAGTTAGAATGGTAATCATTAAAAAGACAGGAAACAACAGATACTGAAGAGGATGTGGAGAAATAGAAACACTTTTACACTGTTGGTGGGAGTGTAAACTAGTTCAACCATTGTGGAAGATAGTGTGGCAATTCCTCTAGGATCTAGAACTAGAATTACCATTTGACCCAGCAATCCCATTACTGGGTATATACCCAAAGGATTACAAATTATGCTACTGTAAAGACACATGCACACGTATGTTTACTTCGGCACTATTCACAATAGCAAAGACTTGAAACCAACCCAAATGTCCATCAATGATAGACTGGATTAAGAAAATGTGGCACATATACACCATGGAATATTATGCAGCCATAAAAAGGGATGAGTTTATGTCCTTTGCAGGGACATGGATGAAGCTGGAAACCCTCATTCTCAGCAAACTGTTACAAGGACAGAAAACCAAACACTGCATGTTCTCACTCGTAGGTGGGAATTGAACAATGAGATCACTTGGACACGGGTCAGGGAACATGACACACCAGGGCCTGTTGGAGGATGGGGGGCTTGGGGAGGGATAGCATTAGGAGAAATACCTAATGCAAATGATGAGTCGATAGGTGCAGCAAACCAACATGGCACATGTATACCTATGTATCGAACCTGCATGTTGTGCACATGTACCCTAGAACTTAAAGTATAATAACAAAAATTTTTTTAATAAAAATAAAAAAATTTAAAAAATGTTATCAACTTAACGTTTTAAGTTATCTAAAGATCTTGGAAATTATCTTCAAGCTGACATACTATAAAACATAATTACTGGTTAAATAAAGTTTGCCAGAATAATTATTCTGTTTGATTAAACACAAATTTACATTCTTCATAATCTTCAACCTTAAGTAGATGCAATATTAGCTTATTCCCTCAGTAAATCTGTACAACTTTAGGAAGAACATGCCGAAGTATAATAAAATCTACACTTCTACTTAATAATGATAAATCAGAAAAGACATAGGTCTTTTATTAAGCCAAAATATTAAGCTAGTCTCATTCACCAAGCACTTACCTACATTATGTGAACTCGAATTCTTAAAATGTTTTGAATTGGTTTCTGAATTCTGTGAGAATACTTTTAAAATCTAACATACCAAAAACATTAGAAATTCAATTTCCTTATTTTCTGAGAATTTTAGGAATATTCTAATTACATAAGAATTTAACCATCTCTATAAGCGAATCCTCTAAGATACTTTATATTCTAATTTATTAATATCACCCAAACATAGCAAAATATTATACCCTGTCTTAGTTTACTCAGGCTATCAACAAAGCACCATAAACTGGGTGGCTTAATCAACAAAAATTTTTTCCTCACAGTTCTGGAGGCTGAGAAGTCCAAGATCAAGGTGCCAGCAAGATAGGTTTTATTCTGAAGGTCTCTTCTCTTGACTTGTAGGTAGCTGCCATCTTGCTGTGGTGCACATGACCTCTTCTTTGGTCACAGTCCTATCAGATCAGGGCCCCACCCATATGACCTTATTTAACCTTAATTGCCTCCAAAAGAGCCTATCTCTAATGCAGTCACATTGAGGGTTAGGGCTTCAACATATGAATTTTGGTGGGACACAATTCAGTCCATGGCATATCCTTACAAAAAAAGAAGTAAAGTTCCTTATGAAGTACAGACACTTAGACATGCAGACACAGTAAGAGCTTATGGCATCAATTCTAAAATATCAGCCAGGAGCCAAGAGTAAACTCAGAAGTATATAACTCATTGGTCCAAATCAATCAGATGGTCTCTTCCCATTCTTCAATTCTTAATTGAACTTGAGCTTAAAATAGACAAACAAACAAGCAGAAAAGACTAACAAATCGGATTTTCTATTGTCCCTCAGCCAACAAAGATCACTAAAAACCATTAATCCACTTACAGAGATCACTAAATAGTCATACCACAAGACCAAATTCTCAATGGGAAGCAACTTATTGGCCATAAACCAAAACAAAATTAGTAGAGTGCAAAATAAATATTACAAAAACAGTGTCAGCATAGTTCTATTGCCACTTTGGATTCACCTTCTTAGAGCCAAGTAAAGACATGCTTGGATTAAACTGTTAAAAGATAATTTTCAGAAAAAGGTAAAATCATGGCTCTCATACAGATATAAAAATAAACATATCCTAAAGATTTTACTCATATATTATTAAAGAAGCCAGACATATGTTTTAACTGGTTTTTAAAGTCAAAAAATCACAAATGTATATAGAATAAAGTAGTAATGAGATGAAATGCAAATGGAAACAAAACTGATTTTTTTTTATGAAGAAGGGTGGCATAGGGTGAAGAAAAGTCAATTAATTCTCCACCCAGTAGCACAGACTTTAAAAATTCCAGTTATAACATAGCTGAAAGAAAATGAGCAGATCTAGAATTAAACAGGGCACAAGTTTTCCACTGAAAAATAGATTTCTACTGAAACACAGTATTTTTTTCTACAAATAGAAATAATTTGGAACTATTTTAGAATATATTTTATAATGAGTTTTATTGGGAATATTTCAGATTCCATTCCTAATATGGTTTTGTACAGGTTAATCTTCAACTGAGTTAACATACCCTCATAGATAGTAGAGTTAACAAACATCACCATTACTATGACCACTACCACAACAATCGTTACAACGATTCTTAGTCTGCATAGCACTTTACATACATTAATTCACTTATTCCCCACAACTCTGAGATAGGCACTAATATTATCTCCATGTTACAGGCAAATAAACGAAGACACAGATAACTGAAATAATCTGTCCATGCTTACAGAGCTAGCAAATGTTGATAGCTAGTCCACTGAGATGTCAGCTAGCTATTTGGAGACTCTCACCTGTATTTTAATAAGTTGATTAATATGATCTACAAAATGCAGAAGCTAAATTTCCTGAAATTGTTAACTGAGGAACATTATAGCCCAGGTGCTGTGCTAAGCACCTGAAGTATATATGTAAATGAAGCAACATCCTTGGCTTTGAGTTCCCAGTCTAGGGATGGAGACAGACATGTACTCAGATAATTACAAAGCAATATTCAATAACAAAAGCTAGAATTAAATGATGCAGGGGCACACATTTCAAAGAAATGAATGCTGAATGAAAAAAAAAAAAAGGTGGGAGAGATGGGCAGGATTGAGGTTGGTGAGGGCCTTGAATACCATGCTAAGCAACTTTGACTTTATCCTGAAGGCCAGAGGGGGCTATCGTAGGGTATTAAGCAAGGAAGTGACATAATCAGGATTCCATTTTAGATAGATTGCTCTAGTAGCAGTATGGAAAAAGAATTAGACAGTAAGCCTATATCCCAAGAGAACAATATATCAGTTATCTGATAATAAAAATACAAAACCCTCAAAACGTAGTGAACTATTTATTTAAGATTCTTCTGTGGATCAGCAATTTGGGCTGTGCTCAGCTGGACTATTCCTCTGCTGTTCTCTCCTGGGCCTCATCCAGAAGTCTGATCATTTGTGCTAGCTCTTTCCTGGTCCTCTCTATACCCATGGGTTTTCACCTTAAAAGGGTAGCGTATTCTTCTTTACATGGTATGGCAAACAGAATAATGGCTCCGCAAAGGTGTTCATGTCCTAATCCCCAGAATTTGGGAATATATTATTTTATGTGGTAAAAGAGACATTGCAAATGTGATTAAGATAAGGATCTTGATATGATTTAGATTTTTGTCCCCTCCAAATCTCATGTTGAAATGTGATTGCCAATGTTGGAGGTGGGCCTGGTGGCAGGTACTTGGGTCATGGGGGCGAATCCCTCGTGACGGTCTTGGTGCCATCCTCATAGTAATGAGTGAGTTGTTGCTCTATTAGTTCACAAGAGTGCTGGTTGTTTAAAAGAGCTTGACATCTCTCTTACTTCCTTCTCTCTTGCTCCTTCTCTCACCATGTGATATGCCTGTTCCCTCTTCATCTTCCCTGACGAATGAAAGCTTCCTGAGGCCCACATCAGAAGCAGATGCTGGTCCATGCTTGTACAGTTGGCAGAACCATGAGCCAAATAAACCTCTTTTCTTCATAAATTACCCAGCCTCAGGTATTTCTTTATAGCAACATAAAACAGACTAACACAGACCTTGAGTTGAAGAGATTATTCTAGATTATCTGGGTGGGCCCAATCCAATCACAACAGTCCTTATAAGAGAGAGGCAGAAGGATCAGAGTCATAAAAGGAGATGGGATGACAGAAGCAGAGGTGAAAGAGTTGGAGAGAGATTTAAATATGCTACAATGATGGCTTTGAAGCTCGAGGAAGCTGGGCCATGAACCAAGGAACCGAGGCAGCCTACTGAAGCTGGAAAATGTAAGGAAACATTCTCCCCCTAAGCTTCCAGGAGGAAAGCAGCCCTCATGACACTTTGACGAATCCACTGAAAGCAGTTTTGGGCTTCTGACTTTTAGAACTATAAGATAAATTTGTGTTATTTTAACCTACTAAGTTTGTGGCTTTTGTCTTTTATAACAGCAATAGGAAACTAATACACATGGCATTCTCAGGGCAACAAGAGATTAAATAAAAGCAGAAGCTACAAGCCTCCTGAGGCCTTGCTCAGTAGTTGCACAGTGTTACTTTTGCCCTGTTCTGTTGGTCAAAGCAAGTCATAAGGCCAGCCCAGATTCAGGGATAGGAAAATAGAATTCATCTCTTGACTGGAAGACCTATAAAGAAGTTGTTGCCTCTTAAAATGCACTGCAACAAGTTAGGGGGCAATTAGAGTAACGCAGGTAAGACATGAAAAGGACTTTAAGGTGCTATAGGATGGATGGTAAGGAATGGAGAATTTCAAAACATACTTAGTAGGTAAAACCATCAAAATTTGATGATTAATTGAATGCAGAGGGTGAGGAAGATGAAACATATTTGATCCTCACATCAAACCTGTGAAGTTAAGTAAACATTATCATCTACCTTTAGCAGAAGAGGAAACTGAAGCCCAGAGAGGTTAAATCATTTGCTTGATGTCCCATAGCTTGAACTAGAACATAAAATTCCTGACCCATGATCTTTTCTTCTGGTTGGACTATGTTGCTTACATATCCCTTCCCCTTCCTCATCCCCTCCTGAGATCTCATATTAATGGACATATGCCGCCACTTACTCTTCCATCTGGAATGGGTACCCTTGTTCACTTCTATTCTTGTGACTTTATGTAACTGGTACAGCAACATCAACACCTTCCATGTCAGCTAATATAGAAAAATCAAAGGAGAAACTAATAATAAAAAGGCAGATCCAAATAAGCCACTTTTTAGTAATCACATCAATAGAACACTACACATAATATGATGAATTGATTAAGATTTCATTTGGGAGGCTGTGATTTGTAAAGGAAAAATGACCTTTAAGGCATTTTTCCCCTGGAAATGAGACTAGTTCCTCTTTATCTCCTTGTGAATCATTAGTGAGCTGAGGAATCAACGAACACTGAAAGTTGAGGAAGGTTAGCTTCATTTCTTAAGAGCTATTATATCATGTAGCTAGTTTCCTTAGCAACAGTGTACATATCTCCCCACATGGTATCTTGAAAATTGCAAAGACAAATATGGTAGGTGCCATTCTTAAAGTTATCAAAAAACTGCTTCTAAATGATCCTACTTTGAATTTCCATGTAAAAAACTTATTCTAATTTTTTGTCTAATCATTGTAGACAAGGACTGTAACATTTTATAAATCAATGGATACATGAGGTAGTTAAGCAACAAAAAGAGGTATCGTATTTTCAGGGAAAAATGTGTCAGATCCAAAGGAAACTTTCAGATTGGAAATCCTCATGCCACCAAATACAGAAGATCATGTCTTTTAGAGCATGAATATTATTTGCATGAGGCTTACAGCTAGATGATATTAGCCTATGGACTTTTTCCTACGGTAGGAAATCTAGCCAATATAGGATAAGTGTTCAATAAATGCTGGTTGCTATTATTATTATAATTGGAAATTTACAGAAAATAATCTAAAAATAGAATTGCAGCTGCTTCCTTGGTATGTATTATCCATGCATAGAAACTCATGGTGTGTTTAGGCCTCAAGTTACAAAAAAGTAGCTATAGTAACAACATAAAAGCTACCCTTTATGGAGCATTACTATGACTCAGACATTGTGTTAGGCATCTTAACGTACCATATCATTTAGTCATCACAAAACATTGTACAATAGATACTACTACCTTCACAATTGTATAAATGAAGAAATTAAGGTGAATAGAATAAGTGTCTTGACCAAATACCCACAACTAGAAAGTGAGAAAGCTGGAAATTGAATCCAGAGATCAAATCCTTTTCTGCCTAACTCAAATGCCATGTTCTTAGTCAATTGCTCTTTCACCTGTGCTGCAATGTCTGCATACAATATTCTCTAATGATGTTTCATCTAAGGCCAGGAGGACAGTTAGAGGACTGGGAAATAGATTCCCACTTAACTGTGACTTCTCTCCCAATCCTTTTAATTCCCCACCTCATGTATCCTGACTCTGCTCTGGAAAATTTAAATGCAGCCTGCTAATATTCAGTATGTACTAGGAATGTGCAAAGATGTAAGAACAGGAAATGGTTCCCTTCTTGAAGGAGTTCATAATCTAGGTAGAGACATTAAGGATAACACATTAAATAACGAGAATCATAGATGACTGAATAAAAACAGTATCAAATTGGTCATTTTAAAATTTTGAGACATGTGGCGCTTTAGCCACATAAATCAGTAAAACAGAAAGGATAGGTCAGCCCAGGACTAGGGTGAGGGGGCCTGGCACAGCTGGAGGGCATGATTCTGGATGGTTAGCGATCATTCCAGTGTGTCTTATTTAAAGAGATGTGCTATCTGAAGGGATGTGGTTGATCTGGACTATGGTAAATAGCCAAGGAGCACCAATCTGGTGTTTAGGACTGGTAATACTTCAAAGCAGATGAAGTGCTAACAATGTGTTTATTGACGATGAATAAATATAGGACACCACATCCACCCCCCCCACAAAAGTAATAAAATCGAGGGACTAGAAAAAATTAGAGTGTCATGGTCCTGGCCAAATGGACTGGAGTTCAAATCCATCCATGAGGGAATTTGTAAGAATTTTGTAAACATGGCAGGGAGAAGACTGTGACTTAGGGCACATGTGAATACCTAGGGCTCACCTTAAGGATAACATAGGCTAGCCCTGTTATCTGGTTTCCTCTCCGGGGACCAGGAAAAACCTAGCCAGGTACCCCTGGATACGGGTTTCTGGGAGCCAGGTGTAGCTAAAACAGGGTATTTACTTTAGGTGGCTATGTTAGTCCACTTTGCATTACTATAAAGGACTACCTGAGACTAAGTAATTTATTGAGAAAATAAGTTTATTTGGCTCATGGTTCTGCAGGCTGTAAAAGCATAGCACCCACATCTACTAGGCTCCTGATGAGGACTTAGGAAGCTTTTACTCATGGAGGAAGGTGAAGGGGAAGTAGGGGAGTAGGTTTGTCCTGTGGTGAGAGAGGAAGTGAGAAAAAGGGGGGGAAATGTCAGGCTCTTTAAATAGCCAGTTCTTACATGAACTAATAGAGCTCTCGAGAGCTCATTACCACGAGAATGGCACCAAGCCCTTCATAAGGGTTCTGTCCTCATGACACAAGCAACTCCCACTAGGCCCCACTTTCAACCTTGGGGTTCACATATCAACATGAGATTTAGAGGGGACAAACATCCAAACTATATCAGTGGCCTAAACCAACATAGCTCAAAAAAAAAAAAAAAACACCAAAATTTCAGTCAAGGAAGGAAGGCAAAGTTCTTGGTAAAAATGCATTATTAAATGCCAATCCTGAGGTTTGAAGCAGGACTATAAGTGGGAGAAAGAATAATGAGATTAAGTGGCAGAGGAATCAGCAGTTGATTAGGCAGTGCTCAGAGTGGGTAGAAGCAAGCTATTTAGGGCTGCGATGTGTACGGAGAGAGATTGATTGACCCTTTTGTTTATATGATGCCAGCTGACTGCTTGGGAACTATAGCGGACATGGTAGCTTAAAGAATATCAAGACAGGAAGATGAATTCCAGACCCACCCATGGATAGGATGGACTGTTCTAATGTACTGTCTGCTGAAGTCAGAATTGGCTTAGAAACTGCAAAGGCATATTATGGCACATGCATATAAGTACACCTGAAGATTGAATCAATATTATGTCTTATTCATATATACACCACTGGCATGTTTGAGTTGTGTACAAATGCTGTTATGATGAATAAAATACCAATTTATGTTAAAGCATTAGTGAATTAGTAGCTATTTTTCTCATTATATATTTTTCTTCAAAATTGCATAGTAAAAATAAGAGTGGTAATCCAGGGAATTCTTGACATTGTTAGGACCAGAATTTAGAGGCCCTTTTCTATGGAATCACTACATTAATTATGTAGTTATATAAGCCAACAGTTTTTCCCTCCTGCTTCCTGAGATTCAGATCAGACAATAAGGATTTGGTTCCTACCAGAGATGTTTAAGGGAGGGGAGTAGACACAGCATCAGACTGACTCCAAGTGTTGCTTCTCCCATAACTTGTCATCTTCTACAATATTTAAGATCTTTTACATTACACAATCATCATCATTGTTGTCATTGCCACTATCATTATCATCATTATTATTATCTGTATTTGTATAACACTCTGCACTTTGCAAAGTGCTCTTATCTTCAGAGGTCGATTTGCAATGAAGCTAATGAGGCATAAGCCTTACAAACCCCCTCCAAACCTCCTAGAGTAGCTTTAGCAATGCTTTTATCTGACTATATGTTTTTGTAAAGCTTTCCGAAGATATTTTAACTAAACTTAACTTAGACACTTTTTCTCTTGTCTGGTAGCATTGGAGTGACCATGAAAATTTTAGGGCTTTAGTTAAGTAAAATTTGAGTTGGTGAAATATTTAATTTGGGTTTAGTAGGACATTTTCAGTGCACAGTCACCTCTGTATATAGTTAGATTATGCTAGCCACCCCAGTATCAAATGACTTCCAAGAAATCATCCTGCCACCCACTGTGCTGACTAAACCAAGGGCCAGAGGCCACAGAACCAGAAGTCATTTCAGGATAATAACATGTCCTTAAGTGATTGGCAACAGAAGTAGAAGTGAATGTAAGAGAAATAAGCTTTGAAATATAGAGAGCTAAAATCAGTCTGTGAAAAAATACTTTATATCTAAAAGAAAATTGAGAGAAAACTGATTTTTAAAATGGGTAGGTGTTCCCCAAATTTGACAGCAATTCTCAAACTTTACATGACATTAGCAATAACAATTATAAACCTGAAGAAAATTCCTAAACTTATTAATAAAAAACAAATCTCAATCAACCATGCTAGAGGAACTATTGAATTCCCTTTCCATTCTGTTTATAGAAAATATTACGAAGTTGTCATATGAAGAGAAAAACAAAGTATATGCAATACAAGTATAAGTTATAAAAGTTATTATTGAAGTATGTCAGGCAGTTAATTCATGAAAATATGTAGGGTTTTTTTTCTGGATTTTGTGATGTTTGTGGCATTTATCATCTTTTAAAATGTGTTACATATACCAGTTTATTTTCTCATCCTAAAAATAATCAATTTTATACTTAATTTTGTATTTGTAATCTTGCATTCTTCTTAAGACAATCCCCCTTGACTTGTATAAACTTTAGACACACAAAACCTGGATTAATCCCGGTGCATGCATTCTGTCACCCAACTGCCACAATATTCCTAGACAAATTATACTTTACAGATTAGAGAGATGCACCTCACTCATTCAGTCTTTCAGCAAATGTTTATGAGAGCCTACTACGTGTCAATTACTCTTCCATGCTCTAGGGATGTAGCGATGAACTTCACACATAAAAATCCTTGCCTTCCTAGATCTACATTCTAGTGACATTATAACAAGGTATATAGATAAGTTGTTATTTATTCTGTGTCATATGATGTAAAATGAGTAAATAATCTTGGACTAGAACCCAGGTGTTTTCCCTCCAGTTAAATTCTCTTTCTTTGATTATCTTAATTTACATGGCTCTTGCTTCATCTTCCACATTCCTCTGTGGGATGGGATTTGTAATCCATCATCTTCTAGGCTTGGACACATCTCTGCTTTCCCTGTGACCTTCTCAAGAGTCCTAGTACAAAGCTAGATGCAATTCTTAGAGAGGCTTATTTATTTTTAACATGGCCCAATTTTATCTCTTTTGGATGAAACACACCCTGAACATAAAACTTGCTGTGCCTTTTTGTCCTTTTCTCTAGGTCACTGCTTAGATTTTTTTGAGTTTCCAAGTTGCAGTCAGCTCATGTTGCAGAGAACAGATTCTTAGCCATCAATTTTTGCCTTCTAGGTAAAAGCGAATAAATTACTCCTTTCAAATGTCTTCAAGCAGCTGCTGAATTTTTCTCAGGAGTATCTGTTGTTTTGTTTTAAATATATTCTGAGTTTTGTTTTTTGTTTACCAACAGAATTTTTCTGGCTGGCAATTTCTTCCACTTTTCATTAATTGTGGAAGTGGTTGGTGTTAATAAGAAAGGGTAAATTCTCCCAAGGATATAGAACACAGTAAAAACAGCAGTATAAATTGGTGAGGGCTAAGTTGTTCAGTAAGAGTCACTTTTTCTGCATTACTTTCGGCTCCATCACTGCATTCAGAGAAAAGTGAGTGGTGAAATCAATTTCCTATATAAATTTGGCAGAGAACTGAATCTGAAAAACTGAGGCAAAAGAGGTCTATTTTAAGCTTAAATTATTGGAGATAATTGAGTCATGTAACCACTTCATTCTCTATGTTTAGACAGAAGCTTAGACATCATCTGATTTTCTTCAAAGATGTACATTGTAAAAACAATTTCCCTAAATAACTTGCCTAGTCTTCCAAACTCAATCCTGTAATTTTATTCCCTTCATTCCAACATAGCTGTCTGTCATTCTCCCAGGCAATGGGGGTTGAAATTCTTGAAAAGCACTTAAGTCTCAGTGGGACTTCATGGTGACATTTTGCTAATGTGCCTTGGTAAACAAAACATCCTAGGTTGTGAAACCAAAGCCTACTTCTATGGCGTTGTTTTTGTTTTAAACATGTCATTAAGAAAAAAGATATTACTGCTTCAGTATTTCTTTGATTTATTATTGGTCTAGAACTTGTTTATTAGACTCTATTTAGTAATAACATTCATTATTTTACTACCCCTTTATTTCATAGAGAAATATGATAAAGATCTCTTAATGATCATGTTGATTTGATAAGCAGATGAAAGGCTAAAATTTTTAAATCTATCTCATACCACTAGGTTGACAAAATTTGAAAACTTTATTATCCAGATGTTCTTTTCAATGCTCCCCTCTCTACTCAAGTGCTCCCCAGTGGTGCTTCAGGTTTACCACCCATAACTCTCCTCCTGCTCCTCTGGACCTCATCAATATTTCCTCCAGGGTCACATGTCCTATCTCCCTTTGGGACTTCATGGCAGGTGCCCTAATGAGGATCTTAAAAATGAATTGAGGTTTGAATGATGGGAAAAACTATCTGCTATTCCTCTTCCCCTGGGAGTTTAAAAATTTTAATAAAGGACAACTGAAAGTAAAATGCATTAACCTGAGAAAGGAATGATAGATGGAATTTTGGGCACTATGCAGGCCAATTAGGTTTGCAGAAGGAATGAAGGGTATGGAGATGTAAGAGTAGAGTTCAAACCTTTACATCATAAAACACATAGATAGTGATCTATAATGCACAAATACGTGCCTACCCTTGAGACAACTCAAGGGTGATTTTAAGTCCACTCATTTAGACATTTTCCATCTGTTTAAGAAATGAATTTTCACTATAACAGCTACTGTTCATTAAACAAACAGGTACAAAGAGTATTTATTTTTTAATATATTGCGACATTGAATTCCTGCAATTCCTCTTACCAGCTTCTCAGTTGGTTTAAAATGTGTATGTCATTCCAGTCTACTTAGATCTATATCAAGCTAATCACTTCAGGGCAGCTGTAGATTGATGTCCCAAGCCAGGGAGGAACTGGCCACTTACCTACCTGCCTGCCTGCCTGCCTTCCTGCCAAGTAGAGCAATTGTTACTTTTTAGCTCTCTCATACTCCATAATGACAGTTCGACTCCTTACCAATTTATTTGATCATTTTAAGAGCATCTTCATAGATTTCAAAGGAAAAACTATATCCTTGTTTTTTGCACTGATATCATGTGCATTGTTGTGTTGTTGTTGATGGTTGTTTGCTTTTTCTTTTGTTTTGCTGTGTTTTCCTCTTTTCAGAATTTTGTTCTTAGATTGCAAGAGTGACCTCTAGTGTGAAACATCTGTATAGTTATTATCTCAAGCTCCAGGGCCTCTTATCCAGCCTTAATTTCCATAGGTATTTGTGTTATACAAAATATAATTAGCAAGACCTCCACAAATATGGCAAGTTATCATCTAAGAATAAAAACTCCAAGTCAGGTTTTTTCTTATTACTACTCATTTATTTTATTCTTAAACTTTGGCTAACAAAGTACAGCTGCATTCTGGGGATTCTGGGATGGCAAAGGCAACACTTCCAAAAATGTCTTTGCAAGGAACTAGAAGTAAATTACGGCATTCTTTATGAGCTGGGTGTATTTGACTGCAGAAAAAAATGTTTTGCAGGCCTCTTGTTGCCCCTGGCATTCCTGTTGTGAATAATCGGTTGGTGCACTCCCCTGTTCTCTTTCTTCTCCAGAAAAAGGAAGTGTTTTCCTTACCACCATACTGGGTAGATGCAAGGCACAAAGAACACACTGTATTCTTCATGGGGAAAATTAAAGTCGACTTAAGCATATGTCCTGCCCTCACACAAGGCCAGCCAGAAAATTTGCAGTATGGTCACGGGCATTGCTTATTCCCTACACGAGGTAAAATAGAAGCTTTAACTGCCTTTCAAGAGCTAGCTCCCCTTGCAATAAAAATAACAACCCCTCATATTGGCATAGTGCTTTAAAACTTACAAAGCACTTTTATTCATAAAATTTTACTTCATCCTCTGACCACCTTTAGGAAGTAGGCATTATTAGTCCCATTTCAGTGATGAAAAGTATGAGGCCCACTGGGGTGCAATGACATGTGCAAGGTTAAACATATTTAGTAAATGGTGGAGTTAGAAGTCTTTGGACTCCAAACTTAGTGTACATTTTCTCACAGATTCCTCAGAGTCTAACAATCAGACTTTGGCAAAATAATATATAAGATTTTCAAAAATAAAAACAGTCTGCATTCATATTTCTATGAGCCTTGAAAAGAGAAAAGATGATCTGGTTGTAAGGATCAAAGAAGGTTTTTATGGAGCAGGTTATATACTTCAGTCTTTAACAAATAAGAAAAATGTAGACAGATGAGGAAAACCATTTCAAGCTAAGCAAAATCAGGGCAATAGGAAAGTATAGCACATCTATAAAAAATAGAAAGCACTTCAATCAATGTTTCTAAGTGTGGGAAGGTTGTAGGAAATAATTCTGGAAAAGAAAGTTAAGATCAGGACCTGAAAATCCTCTAATTCTAGAATAAGTTTTCTTAATCTCAGCACTATTGACATTTGGGACTAGATTATTCTTTGTTGTGGGGGATGTCCTATGCACTGTAAGATGGTTAGAAGAATGCCTGGTCTATACCACCAGATGCCCATAACACCACATCCCTCAGTTTTGAGAAGTAAATATGTCCCAGATATTACCAAATGCTCCCTCTGGGGCACAACTTCACCCTATTGAGAACCATTTAAATTGGTAGATTATGGGGACCTTTTCATATTTTGAAGCAAAGTTGTGTAATGAATACACCTATGCTTAGGGAAAACAAATATGGCAAAAGTCTACAGAAAAAAAATGGAAAAGGGAAGAGGTTGAAAGCCAAGAAAAAGCCCCTCAGGAAGATATGACAGGGGTCTCACAATGTAAGGGCCACAGATAGCTGCTATATTGGAAAAAGCATTAAACTTAGAGGCAGGCACTTGGACTACATTGCAAGCTCTGCCAACAGTCAGTGTGTGTTCTTGGACAAGTCATTTAAAACTGTGCCCTCTATTTCTCATCTAGAGTGAGAAGATGAGAGGATGAGACGATGATCTCAAAGTTCCCTTCTAACTGCATTAGAGAAAGATATGCAATGCTGTAACTAACTTTATCTGCATTCATTCTTCTCCATATGTCTTTTGAAAGAATCTTGGTGGGTATCAAATGTGTGTTTGATTTCTCTGTGTAAAGATAAACAGCATAACCTCACTGTCTCAGATTAAGTTGGATGAAATGACAAGTCAGAAATAGTGAAAAATATGAATTATTAAGTGCATTTTAAAGACATGTAGTTATATTACTTTCAAGTACATGAAGTACTTAGAACATAGATGTTGAAGTATTGCTTAGGCGAGGTCTCTTGGAAGCTAGTTTAGTTCATTAATTTAGCATGTACTGAAAGCACACAATGTGCAAAACACTCTGCTAGGCTTTTCAGAGGTTACCAAGATGGATTAGTTATGTGACCTGCCAAAGAGCTTACAGTATAGTAAGGGAAGTTAGCAATATACACAACGATAATACAAAGCAGAATGTTGTACATTCCAAACAAATTGTATGTGCAAGTCTTATATACAACAACAGGCTGATTTTTAGATTGCTTAGTCATGTAGAATACAGCTTAAATCCAGGTTTTAAAATAATCAAATATATATTTAAAACACATACACAACTTTTTCACCGAGTTGCTAAAATATTTGAGTAAGAAAAAATACAAGCTAAACAATTATCCATCAACTCAACTAAGATATCTGCGTAATATATAACTGAATTGTAATGGTACCATACATAGGCTAACCTCACTTGCCAGTGGAGCCTTAACAAGTAGACAAAAATGGTTGGCATCAAGCAAATTGCTTATATTTAAATGGTTGTTTTAAAGAACTTGTAATAATTCTCCTTTTTAAAGTATTTAAAATATTAAATATACTTTAAAAAATCTTGTCTATGCTATTTTGTCCCTTGCTTTGGGAATCTTTGTTCTAAAGAAGCAGCAATTTTCTTTTCTTTTAAATTTTATTTTTAGTTCTGGGGTACATGTGCTGGATGTGCAGGTTTGTTACATAGGTAAACATGTGCCATGGTGGTTTGCTGCACCTATCAACCCATCACCTAGGTATTAAGCCCAGCATGCATTAGCTATTTTTCCTAATGTTCTCCCTCCCACCACCCCACCCACCAACAGGAGAGGCAGCAATTTTAATGTTAAAGTTTTACTATATACGATGTAACCAAGTGCAAATTCTGTAAGAACATTTTTCCCGTTGAGCTGTTTTCTAATTTTAATGTTAAAGTTTTACTATATACCATGTAACCAAGTGCAAATTCTGTAAGAACATTTTTCCCGTTGAGCTGTTTTCTATGGTGTTCCTTCTTGCTGTATCTTCAGGTGATTAGCAGAGCCAAATAGCAAATGTACAACTTTGGTCAACAGATTATATCTGAGATAATTTTTGATTTACCTACTACATACTCATGTGCACACATACACTATGTAAGAGGGCTGTGGTAAAAACTGATGTAATTAATTCAGGGAGAGAATGCCATGTCATTTGGGGTGGGGGGGATGACTAATAAATAGATAGATGATAGATGAATAGATAGACGGATACAGATAGATAGAAAATAAAATATCTGTACTAGTAGATATATATGTGTGTGTATGTGTGTGTACCTGTATATGTAGGCCAAAGATAAAAAAATACAGAAAAATCGCAGTTACTCAGGAATTTGTTGTACAGTTTGTACAGAAAACTAAACTGTGAGTGTCTTTTTAACTTGAGAGCTTCAGGGGAAAGAGGCTGTTTTTTAATCAGATTTTTGACTACAGAAGTAAATACAAGACAGTGTGAGAAATGGACCAAAGTGGAAGAATATTGAGGTCCCTGTTGGTTCCAGTCAAGTAGAGAGATGGGTGTAACAGAACAATTGACTTTGAGATATTTTCCCCAACTATGTCACTCCTGGTCTATTTATTTTACAACCTTCATACTGTGGGAAATATGGAACAGTATAAGGCACAGTCCTGGCCCTAGGAAGTTTATAAAAGTTCAGAAGACTGAACAAAAACAAGTGATAAGAAAACTACCAATCTAAGACATGCTATGAAGCTATCTTTGATAAATTATTCTTAGTGACACAACAATCCTTGAAGGCAGAGACTGACATATTTAACGTATCCCCAAACACCTAGGAAGGGATCTTGCCCATTGTAGATACTTGTTATATGTTTGTTGAAATGAAGTGGCATGCTTATGGAACAAAATATAAAAGCTTAGAAATACAAAATAGAGAGATCACTGTTTTCAGAAGCCTATATGCAAGATACTTATGAAGTAATTAATAGTGTGACTGGAAGGTTGTAGTGTGTGATTTAATTTTATAGCATTTAGTATTTTCATATTAAAAAATTACAGCTTTATAGAAGCTTATAAAGGAAAGGGCAGGGAACAACTTATTGAAGACAGAACTAGATCCAGAGGAGAGGAAGAGTAGGGATGACTGAGGAGACAGGATAGTTCCCTGTGAATTTGGAAGAGAATTTTGAAGGAGAGAGAGAAAGGATTGTTGAGCAACTGCTTTGAGGACTTTGAGTCAGTAGATGAGTAGTGAGGAATTTTAGAAATCTCCGCTGTTAAGCAATTCTTATTGCTTAACAATTTTCCCACTATTTGAGAAACTGCTAAAGATACACATTAATTTTCAAAGAAAAAAATGCACATTACATGGTAAAGAATGGAGAACTTCCTTATTAGCTTTATCCCATACTGGAAAATGATTGGGCATTATTTGATGAGACTAGCCAATTGTTTTACCAAGGAAGGAACAAAGAGTAGTGGAAAGTTCCAGTGAGGAAGGGTTGTGTAAACTAGCAAGGCTGAGTGACTAGAATAGAGGCAGTCAAGGATACTCATAGGAAAGGCAAGAACAATGATGGAGTTGGGAATCCATTCCTAGCAGGATGGCTGGCTCAGTTTTACAGGAGGAGTAATGTAAAGACCCAGAGCTGGAGAGTACATGGCTCAAGGAATGCGGATAAAGCCCTGGAGGATACAAGAGAACCTCACCAACTTTGTGAATTACATTCAGGCCATTCCTGCCTAAGACTCAGAAGCTGACTTCTGACTTTTCTTGTGAGCAATGATGGGTCTTTACTTTTTTAAATTATGCCCTTCAGCAGAGGCAGCAGGAGAGGTGACTTCTTTATTATGATATTGCTAACTGCAATAATTAGCTTTAATATCCTTTATTTTCTGTCATTTATGTAACCTCCTGTCTTCAAAGAACAGAACAAAAATATTCAAACTTATTAAATGGCATATAACTGCTACACTCTCCCATAGTGGATACATTGAACTCATTTCCTTCTCTCTTCAGGAACTTATGGACATGGGGAAAGAAAGATTACATACAATTCAAGATAAAATCCAAATTTCAAGCAAAAAGAGATGGTGACAATCGTAGATTGGTATCACCTGAATACAGCACTCGGAATGATTTCCACAGGCATATAAACATTGAGGTTCTTTTCTCCCATTTTGTTGTTGACTCTGCCTTGCAAGAATTTTTGAAAAGGCAACTCAGATCAGTTTGGCTCCTCTTCCCTTTCCTTTCTCCCTCCTCCTTCTTTAAAAGGGTTAGCAAATGAAAGGGAAAACTTGAACTTCAAGGCCATTATTTATTATTTGTACCCTGGTTCATTCCAAAATGGATTGGTGAAGACCGGCAAAGATACATTTAATGCTGCAAGAGAAAACCGATTTAAAAATAAGAAAAATTAGTCGAATTGAACTAAGCGTTTGAGAATCAAACAAGTACTATTGAGCACAACCATGTGCCTTGCAGCATGCTAGTTCCTCTAAGGAAATGAAAGTGAAATATAAGATATGGTTTCCATCCTTAAAGACTGTAACATTTATTTGGGAAGAGGAGGCAAACACCTGTGAAATGCAGTATGGAGGAGTGTTTAGGATCTTTGGCTCTAGAGTCTAGCTGTCTGCTTTTATATTTCTCCCACTTACAATGTTTGTGGCTTCAAACAAGTTAACTTCTTTCTACTTTTCTCTGCTCATTGTAAACTGAGAATAATAATACCTTACTCCCTGGGTTTCTGTGATGATTAATTTGGTCAGAATACCTTAAGCACTTAGCTTATTTTGTTGTAATAATTATATAAAGCAAAGTGCAGCTAAACTTTTAACTTCCTGTGACATGTATAAAAATGGGATTCAGAGAAAGCAGAGTGTGCATTAAGGAAGTCAGGGATGGCTTCATGGTATCGGTGGCACTTGAGCTATATTTTGATGGATGAGGCTTTAAGTGAGCAAAAGTGGAGGGTAAAGGCATGCCAATCACGTAGGCTACAAAATAGAGTATAATGAATGGCAAGACCAGAGGGATTTGTCATCAAAGGAAATTAATAGTCTAAAAGAACCCTTATAATACTTCAGAAAATCAATACTGTGACATGAATCTGATCAGTAATATGTGGACAGCTTTGCGTTTCATTTTCTCAACTAGGCATTAAACCTTGATATTTCCATTTTCTAAAGGATTAAAGGATCCTTGTGGGATTATTTTGAACATCATTTCTAGAGTCACGGTGTGCAGACAGCCAACAAGACTTATCAAAGTGAATGGGACCTATGTTAAAACTACAGACACATATTATTCATTTATTTTTTGAGGATATTTTAAAAACTTTCCACAGCTGTGTTTTAAATCTCACTATAATGTCCAGAAAACACATCAGTATTTTCTTCAGTCACCATATAATACCTGGATCAATCTTCAGATATACAATAAGAATTGCCATGTTTGTATTGATTCATTTTTTTTCCAAACTTGTACAGCAGGATTTAACTAGCAAGTCATTCCTAGTACCAAAAGTTGTGATCTTATTAGTAAGGGATTCAAAGTACTTTTGATGATACAGAAGTTGGGAAAGTGAAAAAGATTTCTGTTTCCAATCAGATGTTCTCAAATGACAAAGGTGACCTCTTTTTTGGGAAGTAATGGTTACTCTGTGTTCTATTTTTACTACTCTCTTGTCTAGCTGCTAGAATAGACCTAACTTTGTAAGCTTTAACACTTAATTCCATGTAGTGTAGAGCCAAGTAAATAACTTTTGAAACAAATGAAAATAACAACTTTAAATATGAATTTAATATGGACTGAAACCATTTTTCAATTGATATGATTGTATAGATTGGCTACTCTACAAACCTAGATTTCTAAATCAATATGGGAATTTTTAGTTTCTTTCCTTCACCTAACACAATACAAAGAATCATGTGTATTTAATTTTAAACTATTAATTCAATCCAAATGAATTATTTTGCAACTATATGCACATTTGAATACACACATACAACATATTTGCTTGCTTCAACTCTCCTGACATCTCAATTTGCTGAGTATAATTTGGACTTGCTAGTATAGTGAGTTAATATCCAAGGATTTTGTCTTTTCCATAGGGAGCTTTTAAAAATTCCTTTGTCAAGCTGAGATATGAAAAACACTGGGTCAAAGAAAGCAGGGTCATAAGCCAAGATCAGCAGAGCCAACAGAAGCAGCCAGGGTCAGGTTAGGTGGAGAGAACCTAGGGTTCAAGGCAAGGTAGGGTTTATAGGCAGGAAACCCACTATGAAGTAAACAGAGGTTAAGGGATACACAGGAACTGGGATTCCAGGCACAGAAAGCAAGCT
Organism: Homo sapiens; assembly: GCF_000001405.40. Classification (NCBI taxonomy): domain Eukaryota; kingdom Metazoa; phylum Chordata; class Mammalia; order Primates; family Hominidae; genus Homo; species Homo sapiens. The sequence goes on from NC_000023.11 coordinate 105,709,321, forward strand.
GATTCAGGCCAAAAACCAAATGGCCCAGGGACCTTGACGCTAAAGTTAAAAGCTACCTGAGGCACAGAGATTTACATGCTTTTTATTTTGCAGAAGGAACTAATGACTGGCACTCGAGAGCTAGGACTAAAAGTGACACAGTTCATCCCACTTGGAAAATTCTAACACTCTAGGCCAGCTACAAAATATGAGAACATCAGACCTGAAAGAGTCCTTAGAGATTCTCTCAGTTGACCCTATAATTTTTAGAAGAAGAAAGTGTGGCTTATTAGAGGAATGGGCTTGTCAAAAAAATCAAAGCAGTATAGTGGAAGGGCTGGGGCTATAACGTTGACGTCCTAACACTAGTACTCTTTACATGAAATGTCTTTGCCTTGCCTACATTTGGTACCCTTAAATGTGAGATATGACTGAGAAAACTAGGATCTTAAGACTCTGAGCCACACTCCTTGTCCAAAGGAAATGAAAAAGGAAAAAGGAAGCAAAGTTAATGGGCGGGATATGTAGTAACAATGGGGGTTTTATTCATTCAACCTAGATAAAATTCAGTAACAGAAACTTCTATTGGGATTGGGGCAACTTGGTGACACAACTATGTAAGTCTTATAACTAAACAATTCCTCATCCAGTGGACTTTGTAACTCTTATCTGATTGAGCCAATTGTGTACCAAAACAATAACAACAATAACAACAACAACAATACTCCTTTAACCAAGAAAACAATGCTCTGTCTCATCTTACTTTGAGGTCTGCTGCTGTGCTACTTCCCTCTAGCACAGGCAAATAACTATGAACATATTCCCCACCATCCCCAAGAAACATTACCTGGCTTCACACATACATTCTTTGAAACCAGAAATAGTAGAAAGTTTATGGGTCTCAGTCTCTCTTTGTCTATCTCTTTCTCTCTCCCAAATCATTATTCTATTCTAAGGTTACTCAAGTATTTTCTCCTGGTCTTCTTCCTTCTCAGATTAATTAGCTTTGGTAGCCACTGTCTTATCTCACGGTCACTGTTGTCTGGGTAGAAAATCCTACTTTTTTTTTTTTTTTTTTTTCGGTTTCCACCATCTGGGATAACTAACTCATGTCTTTCTGCCTCATCAACTTTTCATCTCCCTTGTATCTTACTGGAAGAAATAAATTCTTTCTTCCTTCCTTTAGCTTCATAATAGCTTTATCTCAACTATAATTTAGAATTTACCTCTGTGACTGTTTCATTTAATTTAGAAATGATGGGGAGAGGGCTCTTCTTTAGAATAAAGAATTTAAAAGGGCTTTATAAAATCACTCTGAAATGTCAAACTTCTTTTTTTTAGTAGATTAAACACTGTACTACATATTGGAAGACATTAATTTCTGTAAAACAACATCAAAGCTGGTTCATAATTTGACCTCAGAAAAGTCAGTTAATTCCTATCTGAGCCTGTTTCTAAATCTCAATGATTCATTCAGTTTGTTTGAGATAATAATCTCAGAGAAAGAAAGGACCTTGGTATTTTTACCAGTACAACATTGGCTGCAAGTGGGTACTTGATATATTGGATGACTGATAGAAAAGGCCAGTGTGAGGAATGATGAACTACCTTGTGATTAAATTACACTGATATACATATAAATATATATATATATTTATATATATATGTGTGCATATGTATGTGTATATATACATACACATACATATACATATATAGATATATGTGAATATATAGGAATTTTATTTTCAAAATGAGAGAATATATGTTTCTCTCCCTCTCAGTGAAGCTACACCCGGGGATCACTGGCTTTCAGCTTTTTCCTTCTTAACATATAGAACAGATGATACGTACTGTAAGAAAAACTATTAATGGGTCTCTTAGTCCATTTTCTACTGCTGTAACAGAATACAACAGAGTGGACAATATAGAAAAAGATTTATTTGGCTCACAGTTCTGGAGACTGAGAAATCTAAGAGATGGCACCAACATCTAGTGAGGGTCATCCTGTAATAGAAGGCATCACATGGCAAGAACATGAGTGTGCAAGTCAGAGAGATGAAATCCAGCTGAATTCATCCTTTTACTAGGAGTCCACTCTCTCTCTCTCAATAATGGCACTAATCCTGTGATAATGGCATTAATTGATTCGTGACAGCAGAGCCCTTATTACCTAATCACCTCTTAAAGATCCTGCCTCTCAACACTATTACATTGGCAACTGAATTTCAACATGAGCTTTGGAGGAGACATTCTGCTCTTGGTCCCTCAAAACTTATATCCTTCTCACAATGCAAAATACATTCCTTCCATACCAATAGCCCCAAAGTCTTAACTCATTACAACATAATCTCAAAAGTCTAAAGTCTGAAGTCTTATCTAAATCAGACATAGATGAGATTTAAGGTATGATGCATCCTGGGGCAAATTCCTCCATCTGTGAGCCTGTGAAATTGAAGAAGGTATCTACTTCCAAAATACAATAGTGGGACAGGCATACAATAGACATTCCCATACCAAAATGGATAACTGGTTTCAAGTAAGTCCAAAACCCAAAATGGAATACAACATTTAATCTTAAAACTGGAGAATAATTTGCTTTGCCTCCCTGTCCCATATCCTGGGTACACTGGGGTATGTGGCTGGGTCCTCAAACCCTCAAACCCTTTGGCAGCCCTAACCCTGGGGCTTTTATGGATTCAGTCTACTCAGCAATTCTCACAGGTTGTAGTCTCATGCCTGTAGCTTTTGGAGGCTGGTGTTATATGCTTGTGGCCCTACAGTTCTGGGGTCTCTGAGGTGACCCCACTCCTACAGCCACACTAGGCATTCCCCTAGTGGGAACTGTCTGTGGTAGCTCTAGCCCTGTGGCTGGTTTTACCCTAGGGCCCTAGGCTATCAACAGCATCCATGCACACACAACTCTTGCATTTTGCAAGCCTGCAGACTTAACTCCATCAAGACTTATAGATTATACCTTCCATTTTGGCAAGTCTAGCTACATCTGGGCCCTCTTGAGCCATGGCTGGGTGGCTGAGGGGTGCTACGCTGGGATTCAGGGAGAAGAGTCCTAAGGTGGCCCTGAGCAGTGAGCCTGTATCAGTTTATTCCCACACTGCTATAAAGACACTACCTGAGACTGGGTAATTTATAATGGAAAGAGGTTTAATTGACTCACAGTTCTGCTTAGCTGGGGAGGCCTCAGGAAACTAACAATTATGGTGGAAGGTGAAGGGAAAGCAAGGCACATCTTACATGGTGGCAGGAGATAGAGAGTGCACAGTGGAAACTGCCACTTTTAAAACCATCAGATTTCATGAAAACTCCCTCATTATCATGAGAATAGCATGGGGAAAACTGCCCCCATGATACAATCACCTCCAACCTGGTCCCTCCCTTTCAACATGTGGTGATGCCTTCCCAATAGTCCCCCAAAGTCTTAACTCATTCCAGCATTAACTCAAAAGTTCAAGTCCAAAGTCTCATCTGAGGAAAGGCAACTCCGTTCCACCTATGAGTCTGTAAAATCAAAAGAAAGTTAGTTACTTCCAAGATACAATGGGGGTACAGGCATTGGGTAAATGTTCCCATTCCAAATGGGAGAAAATGGCCAAAACAAAGAAGCCACAGGCCCCAGGCAAGTCTGAAACCTGGCCAGGCCATCATTAAATCTTAAAGCTCCAAAATCTCCTTTGACTCCATGTCTCACATCCAGAGCATGCTATTACAAGGGGTGTGCTCCCATGGCCTTGGGCAGCTCTGCCCCTGTGGATTTGCAAGGTACAGCCCCTGTGGCTGCCTTCATGGGCTGGTGTTGAGTGCTTTTAGCCTTTTCAGGTGCATGATGCAAGATGTCAGTGGATCTATATTTCTGGGGTCTGGAGGATGGTGGTCCTCTTCTCACAGATCCGCTAGGTAGTGGCCCAGTGGGGACTCTCTATCAGGGCTCTGACCCCACATTTCCCTTCCACACTGCTCTAACAGAGGTTCTCCATGAGGGTTCCACTCCTACAGCAGACTTCTGCCTGGACATCCAGGCATTTCCATACATCCTCTGAAATCTAGGCGGAGGGTCCCAAAGCTCAATTCTTGTGTTCTGTACACCTGCAGGCCCAACACCATGTGAAAGCTGCCAAGGCTTGGGGCTTGCACACTCTGACACATTTTAAAACCATCAGATCTCATGAGAACTCCCTCACTGTCATGAGAACAGCATGGGGGAAACTGCCTCCATGATCCAATCATCCCCCACCAGGTGCATCCCTGGACACATGGCAATTACAATTTGCGATGAGATTTGGGTGGAAACACAGAGCCAAACCATATCAGAGCCCATGGAGGATACCCCAGGCCTGTTACCCCAAACAGTTCTGCCCTGCTAGAGCCCCTGAGCTTGTGATGGGAGAGGCTGTCTCAAAGATCTTCAAAATGCCTTTGGGGTCTTTTGTCCCTTGTCTTGATGGATGGCACCTGGCTTGTTTCTATGCGTATTAATTCCTTTAACAAATGGTTGCTTGGCCACACTTTTTGTATTCTCTTCTAAAGATGCCTTTTCACTCTTTACCTTGCCAGCTTGCAAATTTTCAAAATTTTTCTATTCTGCTTCCCTTTTTAAGTATTAATTCCATCTTTAAGCCATCTCTTTGCTCTCATATCTCCCTATATACAATGAAAAGTAGCCATACAGTAGCCTGAATACCTTGCTGCGTTGATATTTCTTGTACCAGATGCCCTAGTTTATCACTTTTAAGCTCTGCATTCCATAAGCCCTGGACACAGACACAATTTCATCACCTTCTTTGCCACTTTATAAAAAGGATAGCCTTTACTCCAGTTTTCAGTACCTTGTTTCTCATTTCTTTCTGATACCTCATCACAGTTGCCTTTACTGTCCATATTCCTACCAACATTCTGGTCATAACCCCTTAAGTAATCTCTAAAAAGATCAGACTTTCCCTACAGCTCTCCTCTTCTCCTGAGCCCTTGTCAGAATTCTCTTTATGGTCTGTCCACATCAGTACAAGATTTTTCTAGCCTTTTCCTCCAGATTCGTTCAGCCTCTGCTCATTACCCAGTTCCAAAGCCACTCCCACATCTTCAGGTATTTGTTATAGCAACAACCCCACTCTCGGTACCAATTTTTCTGTCTTAGTCCATTTTCTGCTGCTATAACAGAAGACCACAGATGGTGCAATTTGTAAGGAAAAGAGATTTATTTGGCTCTCAGTTCTAGATGCTGAGAAGTCCAAGAGCATCAGCACCTGTTGGCATTAGGTGAGGGTCATCCCATGGCAGAAGGCACACATATGAGACAGAGAGAGGAAATCCAGCTCAACTCATCCTTTTCTCAGAAGCCCACTCTCAGAAAACACTAACCCAGTTCCACAATAACATTACTCCATTCATAAGGGCAAAGCCCTCATGACCTAATTATCTTCCAAAGGTCTTACTTCTCAACACTGTTACATTGGCAATTGAATTTCAATATGAGTTTTGGTGGGGACATTCAAACCATAACAATGAAACATGCCTCATATACAAGTTATGACTTTACCCCTTAACTCCCATTCAAAAAGAAGTATACTGGAATGCATATGTGTAAGAGTGACATAATATAATGGTGACTTCAGCTCTCCTGTAAATTTTTAAATAACTAATTCGTTAACTTCATTATTACCATTATTAGCAACAATCTTCTTAAAATATGTCTTACAACTGAAAGTAGCATGCTCCAGTGTTCCATGTGTTCTGACACTGGCCTGCTAGACTAGAGCATGTGGTTCAGGGCACTCTCACAAATACAGATAAAAGATTTGTGCCCTGATTGTGGATTATCTTAAGGAAGAAATAAACGTCTTGAAAGGTGAAGCTACAAAGTTAAATACATAAAGCGCAGCAGGAAGGTGATTAGTTTTCACATTGGCATCACAACTATCCATTCTTCTTTTTATCTTATGTTGAAAGGCCATATCAAAGTGTGGGCCCAGGGAAGAAAGGATACATTAACAGTAACATTAATATAAACTCTATGTTTAACTCCTTGGTAAGACTGGTGAAATTAAAATTAACTTGATTACGTAGGACAAAGATACACAATTTATAGATTTTTGTGGTAGAATTTCAGGCACCTAGTCAATAAGGTAGAATGAATTGAAATGGTAAAGATCACCTCTTGTTCTAACTACAGAGAAATGCTGGTCAAAATAAGGCAAATAATTTACATGCTTAGCCCAGCTGGAAAGCAAGTAAGGGAAATTCTCAGGCCTTAGTGATAAATAGGGAGCTCAAAGTAAGAGAAAGGAGTATAAATTGAAATTGAAGATCTCCTGGAGATATCAAAACCAAATGTGGATATTCAGGGTACATGGGCTTGAGTTTAGGATCTATGTGAAGTATGGAGTTAGAGCAGATCCCAGCAAAAATCTAGAAAACTGAATGATTTACAAACCCTGAAATCTATGAAATGGGGCCTAGAAAACTCTGCTTATTGATTCAGGAAAGTGTACAGAAAATTCACATTCACTCCAGGGCCATAGCTATGAATCCAAGGAAACATTTAAGAGAAACTGGAACTCTAAACCTGTACCAAGCATGGGTGTGGACTCTAAATTCACATAACTCATATATGACACAAGCCCCCAAGCAAAGAAATTGACAGAAAAACTGGTTCCAAACCAGTGAAACTTGTAGGGCCTTGGTAGAAGCAACCTTGGAACTTCTCTAAGGGAATTCCTCTATAACCCTCAGCATGTGGGACTACCACAGAAAACAATCCCTGCTGTAGATGAAAATACAGCAATGAAATTATAAACCTCATAAGAAAATTAACCACCATGATGTTGCTTCCCTTGACACAATGGAAAAAAAAACTGCATACCAAGAAGTAGAGATAATAGGACAATTTAATAGAGACTTTAAAAGAGGTTGAAAATTGTTTAAAGAGAAAAACAGAATGGAGAAAAATTGTTTGTCAAGAAAAGGGCAGTGATGGTTATCTGTGGCCTTTACAAAAATATCTGTCTCTTGTGTTTATTTAACAAGAACCTGTTTAATGGGAGAGTAAAAACATTCCTCCCAGGAGAAATTGCAGCAATAGTCAGTACCTTATGTGTAGTGCCAAGAAAAGAGCAGTCATTTTTTGATAGACCACCTCAAGGAGGCCCCATTTTACACAGTGCCTTCATTCTGATTTCTTGTTCTATCCAGGCCCACAGCCACTTGGATGCTTCCTACTCACACTGAAGTGGATCTTGCCACTCAGCCACCAAACTCAAATACCAATCTTTCCTGGAAACCCCAGACAGACATACCCAGAAATAATGCATTACCAGCTATCTAGGTATTAATATTTCTTAATCCAGTCAATTTGACACCTAAAAATAACCATTATAGTTTATATTACCTAATTTTTCTTAAAACATGTAAAAATCAGAATAAACAAATTTCTGTGTAATCTTAATAACAGTGGAGAGTATATTATGATACGTCTTCTCACCAACCAAAAATTTACTTATACTTTTGATTAATGTTAGTTTCAAGGGCAAGTTCAAGTTAGCAGTGCTTAATATTCTCAAAAATAAACAAAAAAGATAGTCTTTTCATTTGATTTTTTCGTATTATTTCATAAGAAGGAGGCAGCAAAAATAAACAGTTTTAAAACCTGTGTAACAAACAGCTTTGGGAACATAGGGAGACCCTGTGTGGTCCCAGCTACTTGGGAGGCTGAGGTGGGAGGATCACTTGAGCCAGGGAGGTTAAGGCTGCAGTGAGCTGTGGTTGTGCCACTGCACTCCAGCCTGGGTGACAGAGTCAGACCCCTTCTCAAAAACAAACAAACAGAAAACTGAGTAACTTTGTATTCCCACTTTTGATTATACTTTGAATTTAAGTTTTTTTCTAGAAGCCCTCATAACTATTTAAAATTTTTCCCAGGTACAATGATAAGATGACTAGAAAAAGAGTTGAAAATTGGGTCACCTCTGAGTTTTCCTTTGGATGTTAAATGGTCGCTTCCTGTCTCCCACTGATAATCAGGAGTCATTTGCTCATTTCTTTTTCTCTCATTCTCAGGTAAGCCTCTGAACATCCCCTGCAAAGCATTCTTCGGATTCAGTGGAGAGTCTGGGCCAATGATCTACTGGATGAAAGGAGAAAAGTTTATTGAAGAACTGGCAGGTCACATTAGAGAAGGTGAAATAAGGTAGAGAGCTTGAATTGCTTATCTTTCTTTGCTGTCTTACGGGATTCTGCTCAGGATTTTAATTGCAACTCCAAATCATTCCATTCTCTAAAAGCTGATCTTATGGAGAGACCAAGGATGACTGCCTTAAGAAATGCCAATGTGTAAGCTTCTAACATAAGTAGGTCTTTCTCCCATTTAAAGATTATGTCACCAGGGTATAATGACCCTCCAAAAGCTGCCTAAGCAAATTCCTTTGAGTTTCTAAAGCTAAAACCACTGGTACTCCAACAGTCACAGCAAAGGTCCAGTCTTTGAAGGTGACTCCTCAGACCACTGGGCAAATTGTTTATTTTCTACCTGGGAACAGACAACCTTCATATGTCATAAGTGTAAAACTGCAGTGGCAATGGTAAGCTGGTCTTCAGCCAAAATAACTGTTAACTCTTGTTGAATACTGTTTATTTTTCCCAACATCTAATACTTATCCTGAAAAGACTGATCCTTCAATTTAGTACATGTTTAGACCTCTTTTCACTCTCCTGTTACACAAATAATTCTCTGGTTTATAGATACCAATTCTATTGGTTTTCTAATTCTATTTAGTACTTTCTCATTTGTACAAAAAAGATATAAAAATATAGGTAACCTTTCTCGCCTCACTCAGTTTGTGAGGTTTCTCTTTGGTTTCAGAGATGATGATGTGTAGTGTATGTTCCTGATTCTGATAGGAATTGGGATTCTTCCCTCTTCACTCCCATTAAGAATCATGCAGTGAAAATTAATCTAAAATTTCAGTATAACTAATGTTAAAGTTTATTCCTTCAGTTTTCTTATTGAATATAGAGCAGCATAAATGAGACAAGTATGCTTTGTATTATTTACTATGTTTAAATGTTATTTATAATTACTCTCATGACAGTTTCTCTCCATGTGTCTACCCAATAACTCTTTTCTAGGGGTTCATAACTTTGAAGGTCTGTGAACCCCTTAAGAGTCTATGCAAAATATTTACTATAGGAGCATATTTCTAGGCAAAATACACATGAAAAGGTGTTTGACATGTTTAGTAATCAAGGAAATGCAAACCAAAACCACATGATACCACTTTATACTCACTAGGATGCACTAGGATGGCTATAATTTAAAAAGTCAGATTATAGGCTGAGCACAGTTATTCAGGCCTATAATCCCAGCACTTTGGGAGGCCAAGGTGGGTGGATTGCTTGAGCTCAGGAGTTTGAGACTAGCCTGAGCAATATGATAAAACCCTGTCTCTCCCCGCTTCCCTGCCAAGAAAAAATACATATATATGTACAAATCTTAGCCAGGCATCGTGCTATGTGCCTGTAGTCCCAGCTACTTGCTACTTGGGAGGCTGAGGTGGGCACATCACTTGAGCCCAGGATGTTGAGGTGGCAGTGAGTCATGATTGTTCTACTACACTCCAGCCTGGGTGACAGAGCAAGACCTTGTCTCAGAAAAAAAAGTCAGATTATAACAAATGTTGGTAAGGATATGAAGAAATGGGAAACCTCATATACTGCTGGTAGGAATAGCCCTCCTAGGGATATAAACAAAGTAAATCAAAACATATATCTACAAAAAACTGGTCCATGAATGTTCATAGCAGCATTGCTCATAATAGACAAAAATGAAAACAACCTAAATGTCTATCAACTAAGGAATGAATAAATAAAATGTGGTACATTCATACAGTGAATATTATTTAACCATAAAAAACGAAATATTGGCATATACTACAACCTGAGTGAACCTTGAAAATGTTCTCAGTGTAAGAAGCCAGAAACAAAAAAAACACATACTATATGATTCAATTTATATAAGATGTCCACAATAAGCAACTTTATAGAAACAGAAAATAGATTACTGGGTGCTTAGCGCCAGTGGGGAGGAATGGAATATAGATGTGATAGCTAAAGTGTATGGGTGTGTTTTTGTGTGTGTGATAGAACACAACATAATATAAAATTCATCATTTTAAAATTCACAATTTAATGGCATTCAGTACATTCAGAATTCATACAACCACCACCACTTTATAGTACCAGAACATTTTCATCACTCTAAAAGGAAACGTTGTACCCATCAAGCAGTCTGGGGCTTCTTTATAAGATAATGAAAATATTATAAAATTGACCATAGTGATAGTTTCACATCTGTGAATATTCTAGAAAACAAAGAATTGTATACTTTTAATGGATAGATTATGTGGCATATACATTTTATCTCAATAAAGCTGTTTTTCTTAAAAAAAAAAAAACCCTTGAAATTAATTGCCTGACACAGAACAGATTTTCAGAAATAAATAATGGATATATTACAAATGATTCTAAAGTATTAATTGCCATTTGTACTTTGAAGTTTGTAATTAGTAACACTTTATTAGGCAATTTTAATTTAATATTTATTTGAAATCAATACAACTGAATTCATTTTAAATTGTTATAGAAGATACATATTTAGGATTACTGTCAACGTATCTGTGTATAAAAGACCTTAAGGGTCACTTTTCATTCTACAGAACAAGAAACTGGTCCCAAAATGGATATGTGATAGGTACACTAGTATATAGTTAGTAGCAGAAGTTCCATCACCAAAAAGCTCAGAGATATGTTTTGTGATCAAAGGTACTAATTATATGAGCCTAAGGTAATAATCTCCCTTTTTGTATGTGTGACTGCATGTAACTTTTAAAATAAACAGCTTTATCAGAGTATAATTGACATATAATAAATCACACAATTTAAAGTATGCAATTTGTAAGGGCGGATTGATATATGTGTACACCTGTGAAACCATCACCCACAATGAAGATAACATATTAATCACCCCCATGTTTCCTGGTGCCCCTTTGAAATCCCTCCCTCCCGCCCTTCTCCAACAACAGGGATCTTCTATCACTATAAATCAGTCTGCCTTGTCTAGAATTTTATATAAGCAGAATCATACAATAGGCACTTGTTTTGCTCTGGATTATTTCATGTAGCACAATTATTTTGAGATTTCTCCCATCTTGTTATATGTGTCAATAGTTCATACCATTTTTATTGCCAAATAGTATTCCATTACGTGATTATACAAAAATTACTCTTCTATTCACCTGTTGATGGACGACATTTGGGTTGTTTCCAGTTAGGACTATTATGAAGAAATCTGCTAGGAACATTCATATACATATCTTTGTATGCACATATATTTTCTTTTCTCTTGCCTGAATAGCTAGACATGGTGTGCTTGAATTATATAGTAGACATAAATTTAATTTTTAGTTTATTCTTTAAATAAAATTTAAATCATTTTTAAACAAACTTTTTTAGAATAATTTTTGATTTATAGGAAAATCATGAGGATAGTATATAGAGTTCCTATATACCCCATACCCCGTTTCCCCAATTATCGACATCTTAGGTTCTTATGGTACCTTTGTACCATAAGAATACTGCTCATGTCTAGGTATTCAGGCAAGAGAAAAGGAAATATATGTGCATACAAAGACATGTATATGAATGGTCATAGCAGCTTTCTTCATAATCGTCCAAACTGGAAACAATCCAATGTCCATCAACAGGTGAATAGATGAGCAAATTGTTGTATAGTCATATAATGGAATATACTTGGCAATAAAAAAGGAATGGGCCAGGAGCGGTGGCTCATGACTGTAATCCTAGCACTTTGGGAGGCCGAGGTGGGTGGATCACCTGAGGTCAGGAGTTCAAGGCCAGCCTGGCCAACATGGTGAAACCCCGTCTCTACTGAAAATACAAAAATTAGCTGGGCATGGTGGCAGGCACCTGTAATCCCAGCTACTCGGGAGGCTAAGACGGGAGAATTGCTTGAACCCGGGAGGCAGGGGTTGCAGTAAGCTGAGATCATGCTATTGCACTATAGCCCGGGTGACAAGAGTGAAACTCCATCTCAAAAAAAAAAATCAAAATTAATACATTGTTATTAACTAAAGACATTTCTTTACACACCTTTCTTTAGTTTTTGCGTACTATCCCTTTTGTTCTGCAGGATTATTTAACTTTTTAAGAATCTGCCTAACTGTATTCCAAACTGGTTATAATTTTACAAAAGAAAAGTGAGGCACTGCTACTCTCTCCAGCAGCAAATGATTAGAGTTGGTGGGAGACAAAACATATATACATGAGTTGGATAAATCCTGAACAAGCCACCATATTAGGGGCCAAATGAGTCAACCAGCTAGGAAATGCTATAGGAAGACAACCTTTCAGGACTTGCAAAATGACATTGTTTAACTGATTTTGTTACATCCTGTTTCTCCACCAAATCCCCCAGTAAAATAACTATATTAGCAGTGACGGAAAGTTCCAGGAAATTTATTTTGAAAATTTCACAAGACCCTACTAGCTAACTAAAGTCACCTTCATAGAAGTGCCAACAAAAAGGCAGAAATTCCCAGCCTGGGACTACAGGCACATACCACCATGCCTGGCTAAGATACAGTCACTCATTTTGTAATATAGTCAGGAGTTGCCTAATGATGGGGATACGTTCTATGTAATACATTATTAGGTGATTTCATTATTGTGCAAACATCATCGAGTGTACATATACAAACCTAGATTATAGCCTACTACACACCTAATCTATATGGTATAGCCTATTGCTCCTAGGCTACAAACCTGTACAGCATATTATTGTACTGAATACTGTAGGCAACTGTAACACCATGGTAATATTTGTGTATGTAAATATATCTAAACAAAGGAAAGGTACAGTAAAATACAGTGTTATAATCTTATGGGGCTACCTTTGTATATGCAATATATCATTGACTAAAATGTCATCATTCCACTTCATATGTCTTGTGTGATCCATGATCTATTTGGAAGCTTGTGTGGTTTCTATAATTCTTTCAGTCTAGAGCCATTTATGCTAATACAGGAACTAATTAACCATGTCTTCTAGCCTCCAAAGTCCTTGAAACAAAGCATACAAGATTTTATACAGCACAGCAAATTGGAACAAATCCAGCATTTTAATAGAAAAAAATTGCTAATCATACTATTTAGGTGAACCAAGAGAAGATTCACATTTTTTCATAACCCATATATTTTCTCCATAAGGAAGAGTTCTGACGGCAGAATACTGAGAATTTTTAATTAGGGGATTCCTCTCAAAGGCATTTCTAGAAACAAAATTTATTTCTGGATGCATGGCCCTTATTCAGTGCTCTCTCTGTCTGTACAGGACATTGTTAAAAAATACCTTAGACTGGGGTAATTTATAAACAACAGAAATGTATTAGTCAAAGTTCTGGAGGCTGGGAAGTCAAGATCAAGATGCCTGTAGATCCAGTGTCTGGAAAGGGCCTGTGATGGCTGGGGTAGCCCTGAAAATCTCTAGAATTCCTTCTTCTATCGTCCTAATGAATACCCTCTGGCTTCCTTATATCTATACTAATCTTATCAAACGTTTTCTTGGCCACACTCTTGGTGTTCCCTATTTAACACACTCTTTCATTCTTTGCAACATGGCTGGGCTGAGAATGTCCCAAATCTTTAAATTCTGCTTCCCTTTTGATTATAAATTTTATCTTTAATTCATTTTCTTCTCTCATTTTACCATAGGCAATCCAGAGAAGCCATGCCACACCCTCAGTACTTTGCTTAGCAATTTCTTTCACTAAATATCCTATTGCACCATTCACACGTTCTACCTTCCACAAAGCACTAGGACATGAAGAAAATTCAGCCAAGTTCTTTGCCACTTTATAACGAGGATGGCCTTCACTTCAGTTTTCAATAACGTGTTTCTCATGTAAGTCTGAGCCCACATAAAAATGGCCTTTACTGTCCATATTTCTATCAATATTCTGATCATGACCACTTAAGTAATCGCTGAGAAGATTGAAGCTTCCTCTACAGTTCTCCTCTTCTATTGAACCCTCACCAGAATTGCTCCTTACAGTTAGTTCATGTTGATATAGGCTTTTTCTAGCCTGCTCCTCCAAATTATTCCAGCCTCTGTTCATTACAAAGTTCCAAAGCCATTCCACATTTTTTGGTATTTTTTTTAACCAGAGCACCCCACTGTCAGCACCAATTTTTGTCTTAGTCCATTTGGGATTCTATAACAAGATACCTTAAATGGGTAATTTAAAAACAACAAAAATTTATAGCCCACAGTTCTCAAGGCTGGGAAGTCCAAGATCAATGTGCTGGCAGATTAAGTGTCTGGTGAGGGCCTGTTCCTCGTGGATGGAACCTTCTGTGTGTCCTCACATGGCAACAAGGGCAAGGGAACTCATTCATGCTTCTTTTATAAGGGCACTAATCCCATTCATGAGTGGGGAGCCTTCATGATTTAATCACTTCTCAAAGGCCCCACCTCTTAATACTATCACGATGGATATTAGGTGACAGCATATGATTTTTGGGAGACCACAAACATTTAGACCATAGCAAGGGCATTGCTTTGGGCCCATTTAAAAATTGAATCATAGCTCTTGTGTTGTGCACACATTTCAAAATTGCATTGTGTAATATAACCAAGCAGTGAGGATGTAAATAAATAGCTCTCAGGCAGTTGACTTGTGGAGAAGCTTCCCCAGAAGCACTGGGTCTGGCAGGAGAACTAGCCCCTCTGCCTAGGTTCTCAATTTCCTGTGCAGCAGCTTGATCCTAGAAATGTGTGTTACAACTTTTTATTTCTTAGTTTGCCACAGAGGAATAGAGGACTTAAAACAATACCTAGTAAAAAAAAGCTTAGATATTTACTGAGAGCTTGATGAGATAATGTCACTTGGACTTCAGTAAGTATAACATCTGTACTCAGCATTTCCCCTGCTGCTTGAATAGCATTTTAGATCAAATCCTGTCTAACATTTTGGAGTTCTCATTTGTTTGCTCTCTGGGTCAGTTTCACCACTGTGGTCCCGAGCCTCTCCTGATTTTCAGCCCATTGCCAAAGCACTTAGACCCCACTTTGGGCATACAGATTCCCCTTTATCTCCCTTTAAGCAGAGATTGGCACAGTTCTCCCATGCCTCTGATGTTGCTAAGAGACTAAGCCACAAGGAAATCTGAACCCAAATGTGGTAACCATTCACAACTGCTAATCTATCCCACACAACTGCATCACAACCCTTTCACTAACTCCAGAAGATATAATTTATAGAGATGGTAAAATAATTTTATGTGTGCAGTAACATAAGATGTAATTGTACAAGTTTGGTTATTTATTTCTACAATTTTAAAATCATTCCAACAATCTGCTCTCTGCCAAGCTCTACCATGTTTATTCAGAGAAGTCAAATAATTATTTCGAGGAAACCTAGTAGGAATCATAAGGGGAAGACTTCTTACTTTCTGTCCTTCTGTTAAAGCTTAATGGGAACTGCTGCAAAGGAGGATCAGAGAGTACCCGCACAATGTCCTTTGGGGATAATGATTCTAGGAAGGCCACCTCAGTCCTGTACCACTACAGAACTTCCTTCTAATCAATCTTACAAGAGGCTTGAGAATTTTGTTTTAAGGAATTTGCTAGTGAGGTATGTATTCTACATAGCTAATTTAAAAAGTCAGAAAAATTGAACCAGTCCTATTAAATAAGAAATAATAGTATTATAGATTGCCTACAGGGTTACGCATTGCATCTGATTGTCAAAAAAGACTCCACGAATTTCAAGACAATTGCTTTGTCCCAACAGAGAGTCATTTTCAATTATAAATCTCACTTTACAAATCGCCCTATCAATACCTAATGTTTTCTTCCTCAGGCAATACTATAAAACAGTTTACCAAATCTTTTCTAAGTCTTGACCTGAAAAACATATTCAATTTATCTTAAGGTTTTCAGAAAAGCTTACTAAAATGCAAATAATTTTATTTACCTTCAGTTCCTGAAAGGCTGTGAGCTGAATATGGTCTTTGCTGGTTTGTTTTAGTTTTGGTTTCTTCACTGCTGCTTTTTACCACTTTCTGGTCTTCGGTTTCATTCCTTTACCTTAACATCCTCTCCTTGCATGACTGAAATGCTCTAATAAAGAGGGAAGGTGATATAAGCATGAAAATTTTTATTCTTAAAATAAGGTGAGTCTATCTTAAAGACCAAAACTAACCTAATAATGACCCACTCTTTTTAAAAAGCAATATGGAGCTGTGAATATGTTGTTTGTCCCTAAAATACAGAGGAAATAATTGGACTCCCAGGCAGTCCTAGGGAAAATGATGAGATGTATTTTGGCAACTTCTCACACAATTTTTAATGTCTTGAAGGACCCCACATGTCCTTGGTTTTCCCAAAGTTGAGCTTCAAAAAAGTATTTTCCTTTCTTCTACTCTCAGCTCATCCTACTGGAAGAAGAAATACAGATCAATCACTTTGCTTTAATTTAAATAGGTTTCAAATCTCATCACACCTGTATGTGAATGTACACATTATAAACAGCATAGTTTTACCTAGGGCCGTCCTTAATTTCTAGTTAACTAAAGGTACATTTTTGAAGGAGTGGTGAATACTATTGATGATTCCAGGGTTGGTCTTATCCTTGATCTATGCATAAAATACTAAAAGCCTACCTAAAACATGTTTGTTGTTTCTCTTCATTTATTGAGCAGATTTTAGATGCTCAGTCTCAACTATGTTGTGTTGGGTTGTAAGCTACTCTAGACAAAAACCTATAATTAGTAAATAATAATAATAATAATTCCAGTTCATCCTTTTATAGTACACTGCATATTGCAAAAGCATTTCACATCTTAAAACATATTGGATACTCATAATAACCATCTGAGATAAATACTATTAGCTTTATTTTGCAGATAAAGAAACTGAAGTTTAGAGACTGAGGAAGAGCTGCTGCCCTTTAGTGATTGAGGGTTCCTATAGGGCTAGACTGAATTCATCAAAGCTAGCAAGAATCCTCAATTGTCCAGAATGTTTTGTTGTACTCCAGATTTAGACTATAAAAAGTCAAAATCTGTCGGGGACTGAAAGAGTGAAAATCAGTGTGGACTGAGAATAAGCAGCCCTGCTATTAATCAGGCTGGGAGGACAGACAGATAAAGCCAGCTGCAAAGTTAGCAGAAAACACTGTTTCTCCCAAGGTCATGCAGCAGTTGTAAAATGCCATAATGACCCCCTCCTCCTTTGAGTGACTACTGCTTTCTTACCAGTGATGCCCCAAACCTGCTTTGCTGCTTACATTAACTACCAGGGATACCCAACTGCTAAGCTATCCTTGCCCCATAAGAGAACCCAGTCCCTAGTTAACCCCCATTTTTTCCAATCCTGCCTCAGAAACTCCAACCAATCCAGGATTTACCCCTGCTTCCCTAAAACCTCATCAGAATCTTTCACTGTAAATGTAAACATTACAAAACTTTCTTCCTTCCTTCAATCAAGGATTAATCCATAGTTCCTCTAGAATGCCCCTCCCTCAATGCATTGAGCCAATAAATCTGATTTTGTCAGACTCTGGGCATGATGCTGGACTTGGAGTAATAATGCTTTAATGGGGAGGGGGGAGCAAATAACACCAAGAAAGAGATCTTGTTTAATTGAACATTTTAATTTTTTTAAACATACCTCCCATCCTTAATTTTATCAATCATCATTCCTGGACAATGATTACTCATACTCAGGATAATGACCCAGAAACTCTGCAAGACACCTAGCCATCAAAGGAGGACTCAGAATACTTCAAGGGACCATTTACGATGAATGAAAATTGGTCTTAGAAATTTTATAATTATTTACCTCAATTAAGAAACCAACAGGACTTTCTATTTAAATTTCAGGTGAACAGAAAATTCAGTTAGCCAGAATTTCCATCCCTGAGCAATTCCACTAACCAAGATTTCACTAAAATTTCATTGCATTTGTGTTCTTATCTGAATGTTATGTTATCATTCCCTTCAGCATTGCTTATTTTAGTTTATGATCTTTAGGACAGCAGGGAGCACCTACATGTAAATATTAGTACAATGTCTGGTAGAGCAGATTGCTGTTTACAAATAAGTACTTTTTGATAATGAGGACAGCAGAAGTGCTAGTAGTGATATTGATGATATGGGCAGATATTGAAGAGTATAAACTCTCTGGTGGCAGTTCAACATCTTTATAAAAAATTCAAAGTAGCATGTCCCCTGGAAGAAACTGGAAAGTAATTTGGAATCTGCCTGCTAATAAAGTATTTACTTGTTTACTTTCTCCTTTTATTGCCTTAGTTAAATTTATTAGAGGAAGTCAATAATGAGAAATAATGCACAGTAGTTTGAGACGGTATTTGTTTATTAATACTTCCCAGCTTACCACATTGCCAGGCATATATAACTTTTAAAACATCTGTTTAATGGCATTGAATTGTACTAAAATGTGTTAATATAGTGTCTTGCTAGCATTACACACACACTGTAATTTTTAGAGCAGATTTAAGTTCACAACAAAATTGAGTGGAAAGTACAGAGTTCCCACATTACCCACAAGACTCCCCCCACTATCAATATCCAGCACCACAGTGGTGCATTTGTTGTAATCCATGAACCTATATTGACACATCCTGATCACCCAACGTCTATAGTTTACATTTAGATTTCACTCCTAATGTTGTACCATCTATGGGTTTCAACAGATGTATGATGACATGTATCCACCATTACAGTATCATACAGATGAGTTTCACTGCCCTAAAAATCTTCTGTGTTCCACTTTATTTATCTCTCCCTCTCCCAGAACTCCTGGCAACTCCTTATCTTTTTACTGTCTCCGAAATGTTGCCTTCTCCGAAATTTCAATAGTTGAAACCACACAGTACATAGCCTTTTCAGAGTGGCTTCTTTCACTTAGTAATATGCATTTAAGGTTCCTACATGTCTTTTCATGACAAAATACTTTAAAAAATGCATTCATTTATTCAATGTGCCTTTACTGAGTTTTCTTAATGCTACCAGCACCATGCTAGTTGCTAGTGGTACAAAAATTAAAGCTACAGCACACCATAAACAAGTAGTTCCAGTAAAACACCTTTTGAAGAGGCAAAGAAGATTTATTTATTTAATAAGCTTTATTTTTCACAAATAGCTTTAGGGTTACAAAGAAGTTAACAGATAAGAGGATACATTTTTTTTTGAAGAGTTGAGCAGAAAGTACAGAGAACTCTCATATAGCCCCTTTGCCTCTCCCAGTTTCCCATTTTGTTAATGTCTTGACTTAGTGTGGCACATTTATTACAATTAATGAAACACTATACATTATTGTTAAAGTCCATGGTTGACAGTAGAGTTCATTCTTTGTGTTATACAGTTCTATGGTTTTTGACAAATGTAAAATATCATGGATCCACCATTACTGTATCATACAGAATAGTTTCACTGTCCTAAATATCCCAGAGCTTTGTCTATTCATCTCTCCCTTTCTCCTCAAAAACTCTTGGTAACCAATGATCTTTTTTTAGTCTTTATAGTCTTTATAGTTTTGCCTTTTCCAAAATGTCATACGTTTGGAATCCTACAGTATGTAGCCTTTTCAGACTGACTTCTTTCACTTAGTATATGCATTTAAGGTTTTTCCATGTAGTTCTGTGGCTTGATGGTTAATTTCTTTTTATCAATGAATAATATTTTATTGTCTGGATGTACCACAATTGTTTACCCATTTACCTATTGATTGACATATTGGTTATTTCCAAGTTTTGGCAATTATGAATGAAGCTGCTATAAACACTTGTGCAAGTTTTCGTGTAGCTATAAAAAGTATGATTAATGCATCATACTGTAAGACAATGTTTAGCTTTTTAAGTAACTGCCAAAATATCTTTCAAAGTGGCTGTACCATTTTGCATTCCCACCAGCAATGGATGATAATTTCTATTGCTTCACATCCTTGCCAAAATTTGATGTTGTCAGTAATACTGGGTTTCAGTCATTCTAATAGGTGTGTAGTGTATGTCATTGTCTAAATTTAAAATTCCCTAATGACATATGACATTGAGCATATATTCAGATGCTTATTTGTTATCTGTGTATCTTCTTTGATTAGGTGTCTGTTCAGAACTTTTGCCCATTTTTAAATTAGGTTGTTAGTTTTTTTATGGTTGAGTTTTAAGAGGTTTTTGTGAATTCCATGTAGAAGTTTCTTAATCTGTATATGTTTTGCATATATTTTCTCCCATTTTATGGCTTAGCTATTTATTCTTTCAACTGTTTTTCACAAAACAGATGTTTATGATTTTAATAAAGTCCAACTTATCAATTGTTTTTTTCATGGACTACATTTTTGTCGTTGTGTCTAAAATTTTATCAGCAAACACACAAATGAGAAAGAGAAAGAACACAAATATTACCAGTACAGAAAACAGAAAACCACCAAACCACAATATAAAAAAGCAAGAGACGAAGGAAGGAAGGAAAGAAGGAAGGAAGGAAGGAAGGAAGGAAGGAAGGAAGGAAGGAAGGAGGGAGGGAGGGAGGGAAGGAAGGAAGGAAGGAAGGAAATAATACAAAACAACCAGAAAGTAATTACAAGATGACAGGAATAAGTCCTTACATATTAATAATAACCTTGAATGTAAACAAATTAAATATCCCACTTAAAAGATATAGATTGGCTGAATGAATTTTAAAAGTAACCTAAATATATTCTGCCTAAAAGAAACACATTTCACCTGTAGAGACACATATAGACTAAAAGTAAAGGGATGGAAAAAATATTCCATGGAAAAGGAAATGAACAGTAAGCAAAAGTGGCTACATGTATATCAGATAAAACAGACTTTAAGTCAAAAACAGTAAAAAGAGACAAAGAAGGTCATTATATAATGATAAAGTGATCAATTTGGTAAGGGATATAGCAATGGCAAATATTTGTGCACCTAACACAGGAGCACCCAGATATATAAAGCAAATATTTTTAGATCTAAAAGGAGAGATAGACATCAATAAAATAATATCTGGGGACTTCAGCACTCCACTCTCAAAAATAAATAAATTATCTAGACAGAAAACAACAAAGAAACATTAGATTTAAACTGCACCTTAGACCTAGTGGATCTAATAGACAATTGCAGAATGTTTCATCCAGCAGCTGCAGAATATACATTCTTCTCATCAGCACATCAACATTCTCAAGAATAGACCATATGTTAGGACACAAAACAAGTCTCAACAAATTTTTTAAAATTGAAATCATATCAAGTATCTTCTCAGACCACAATGGACTAAAACTAGAAATCAATAACAAGAGGAGCTTTGAAATCTGTAGGAATACATGGAAATTAATCAACATGTCCCTGCACAACGACTGAGTCAATGAAGAAATTAAGAAATAAATTTAAAAAGTCGAGAAACAAATGAAAATGGAAACAAAACATACCAAAACCTGTGGGATACAGCAAAAGCATTACTTGTTTATAGGTATAAATTTGTAGTAAATACAGTTAAAAGTTTATGCTTACATCAAAAAGTAGAAAGATTTGAAACAAACCACCTAACAATGCACCTCAAGGAACTGGAAAAGCAAGAACAAGCCAAACCCCAAATTAGTAGAATGAAAGAGTAGAGATCAGAGTAGAACTAAACAAAATAGACACTCAAAAACTACAAAGGATCAACAAAATGAAAAGTTATTTTGAAAAAATAAACAAATTTGATAAACCACTAGCTAGACTAACCAAGAATAAAAGAAAGAATACCCAAATAAACAAAATTAGAAATGAAAAAGGACACATTACAACTGATACCACAGAAATACAAAAGATTATCAGAAACTACTATGAACAACTATGTACTAATGAACCCGAAAACCTAGGGGAAATGGATAAACTCATGGATAAATATAACCTACCACGATTGAATAAAAAAGAAAGTGAACCCGAACAGACCAATAGCAAGTAATGAGATTGAATCAGTAACGTCTCCCAACAAAGAAAACAGTATAAAGACTTCTTAAAAAAACAAAAAGAGAAGTACCATATGATCCATCAATCCCACTACTGGGTATTTATCTAAAGAAAATGAAATTAGTATCTCAAAGGCATACCTGAACCCCCATGTTTATTGAAGCACTATTGACAATAGCAATAATATGGAATCAACCTAAGTGTCCATCAATGGGTGAATGGATAAAGAAAATGTAGTATATTTGCACAGTGGAATCCTATTCTGCCATAAAAAGAATGAAATTATGTCATTTGCAGCAACATGGATGGAACTCGAAGTCATTATGTTAAGTGAAATAAGCCCTGTACTCACTTATATGTAGGAAGTAAAAAAAATTGATTTCATGAAGGTAGAGATTAGAATGATGATTACCAGAGCCTGGGAAGGATGTGAGTGTGGGGCTTGGGGGAGGAAGAGAGGTTGGTTAATGGAAACAAACATATAGTTAGATAGAAGGAATAAGTTCTGATGTTCAGTAGTAGAGAAGGGTGACTGTAGTTAACAACAATGAATTATATGTTTCAAAATAGCTGAAAGTGAGGACTTGAAATATTCTCAACACACTGAAATGATAAATGCTCAAGGTGATGGATATCCTAAATACCCTCAGTTGATTATTGCACATTCTGTATATGTAACAAAATATTAAATGTACAACATAAATTAAAAATATTACGTATTAATAGAAAATAAAGTGATATTGATATAGCTGGTTAAACATCTACTATATTTATAACAGTTTTTTTATTCATTGCTCTTATTATTTGTTTCCTTTTTTGTTCTCCATGCTTTTTCTGCCTTCTCTGGTTTTAATTGAGCATTTTATATTATTCTATTTTTTCTTCTCTCTTAGCATGTTATATGGTTTGCTTCTTTGTACTCACCAAATCTCATGTGGAATTGTAATCCCCATTGTTGGAGGTGGGGCTGGTGGGAGGTGATTGGATCATGGGAGTGGTCCTTCATGAATGGCTTAGCACCATCCCTTTGGTGCTGTTCTCATGATAGTGAGTGAGTTATTGTGAGATCTGGTTGTTTAAAGTGTGTAGTGTGCACCTCCCCACCCCTCTCTTCCTCCTACTCCTGCTATGTGAGGATGCCTTGCTCTGTGTTTGCCATTCCCTGTGAGTAAAAGCTGCCTGAGGGCTCCCCAGAAGCAGATGCTTCTGTACAGCCTGTGGAACGGTGAGCCAATAAAACTTTTCTTATTAATTTTACCCAGTCTCTGATATTTCTTTATAACAATGTGAGAATGAACTCAAACAGCATATCAATTATATTTTCAAATTTTTAATTGTATCTCTAGAGTTTGCAAAATACATTTCTAACTAATCTAAGTCCACTTCCAAATAACACCATACCATGTCACAAGTAGTGCTGGTGCATGATAATGGAGTATTTCCAATTCCACCATTTTTTAACATTTCTGTCATTAATTTGCCTATTTATAAGCTATAATTACCAAATACATGATTGCTATTATTTTGAACAAACTGTTGCCTGTTAGATACGGAATAAGAATAATAAAATAAAATATTTTATTTTGATTTATCCCTGCTCTAACACTATTCTTTATGTGGATCCAAATTTCTGATATATATCACTTTCATTTTCTCTGAAAATCTTTTAACAGTTTTTCCAACACAGGTTGACTGGTGACAAATTCCCTGTTTTAGTTTGTCTGAGAAAGTCTTTATTTATCCATCACTTTTGAAGGATAATTTAACTGAATATCACATTCTAGGTTTGTAATTGTTTTATTTCAACACTTTAAATATTTCACCCCACTCTCTTCTTGCTTGCATGATTTTTACAGAGAAGTCTGATGAATTTCCTATTCTTGTTTATCTATAGGTGTGGTGGGTATTTCTTTTTACCCCTCTGGCTTCTTTCAAGATTTTGTCTTTAATTTTATGCAGTTAGAAAATGATATGCCTAGGTGTAGGTTTTTTGGTATTTATTCTGCTTTGTGTTCTTGGAGCTTCCTTGATTTGTAGTTTGGTGTCTGTTAATAATTTTAGAAAATTTTCCAAGCTTATTAATTAAATATTTCTACTGTTCCTTTCTTCTATTTCTGGTATTTATTATATGCATATTACTTCTTTCGTAATTGTTCCTAAACTCTTGGACATTTTTTACATTATTTTTTGTCCTTTTTTCTCTTTGAATTTCAGTTTAGGAGGTTTCTATTGACATATCTTCAAATGCATTGATTCTTTCGTTGGCTGTCAACATATTTTGATTTCTAGAGTTTCCTTTTGATTTTTTTCTTAGAGTTTCCATCTCTGGTTACCTTACTAATTTGTTGATATATGTTGTCCACTATTTTCATTGGAGCCCTTAATATATTAATCATAGTTATCTTATATTTCCAGTTTGGTAATTTCAAAATCTCTGCCATATCTGAGTCTGGTTCTGAATGTTTGCTTTGTCTCTTCAAACTGTGGGGATTTTTTGTTTTGTTTTGCTTTGCTTTGATTTTTAATATGCCTTGTTACTTTTTTGTTGAAAGCCAGATATGATGTATTGGGTAAAAGTAACTGAAGTAAATAGGCTTTTAATGTGAGATTTTATGTTTATCTGACTAAAAGTTAGACTGTGTTTACTCTTTGGTATAGCTATAGGTGTCAGAGGCTGAAATTCCCTCTAGTGTTTTTGTTCTTGTCTCCACTGTCTTGTTTGAATTTTCCTCGAGATTACTTCTTAAATAGGGCCTGAGCTTTGCAGGTTTTTTTTTTGCAAATAAAATCCCTTATTATTATACAGGAGCCTGATTGATGTTGTGGAACATATTTCAAAATTCTATGATGTCACTGCCTTTAGTGAGCTTGTGCCCCTGGTATGTTACCTTCATAAGTGTTTCTTAGCTTCCCCCATCCCTTTAGGTGAGAGGAAAGCTAGAGTAGTCATTTCCCTTCTCCCAGGTGGGCTAGGCTTTGGTAAAACCTAAGTAGTTTAGGTCATGATAAAGTGGTTTCCCTTGAGAGCAAGCTTTTAAAAAAAGAAAAGAAAAGAAACAGGATCTTGCTCTGTCACCCAGGCTGGTATACAGTGGCACAATCATAGCTCACTGCAAACTCTAACTCCAAGGTTCAAGTGATTCTCCCACCTCAGCCTCACTGGGAATACAGGTGCACACCATCAAGCCTGGCTAATTTTTTAAAATTATTATTTGTAGATATGGGGTCTTGCTATGTTTCCCAGGCTGGTCTTGAACTCCTGGCCTCAAGTGATCCTCTAGCCTTGGCTCCCAAGGCTAGAATTATAGGCATGAACCACTACACTGAGTCAACAAGCATTTTTAAAAGGAGGACAAAGTGCTCTGGGCTCATTTTAAAATGGTCACTTTTCCCTTTCCCCCTGCCAGAAGCATAAGGGAACCTTTTTCCAATCTTCACAGTAAGAACTTAGTAGCGCTTATGTAGGCAAAACTCACAAAATTGTGGGGTCCCCCTAAATATAGGTCTCATGGTGTTTTTAACTCTCAAGATAGTTCATGGTGGGTCTCCAGGAATTTATCTATTACATTATAAGTGTTTGTGGTGGTACTGGCTTTGCTCCTGGGGATCTCATTCCAGTATGCTGTGATTCTCTGCATTTGCCTTTCTCTCAACTTTCTGGGGCAGAAGTTTGCCCTGTGACTTGTTATTTGAGGGATTTAAGAAAAGTTGATAATTTTCAGTTTGTTCACTTTTTTCTTTTTGTGAGAATGAGAGGAACAATTTCCAAACTCTTTATAGTATTAATTTGTACTAATAGTACCAATCTAAATAAAATTTTGGAATATAGTGATGTCTGTCACCTGAACTGGTTACTTTCTATTGTATCAGTGTTCACTGCTACTATAACTTGCCTTTAATGTTAATATTTAGACCCCTCTGGTTACTACCCCTCCCTCACTTGCCATGGATGCATGCATATGTGCAAACTCATCAAATTGTATATATTAAATAAGTGAGTTTTTTTGTATATCTATTGTTTCAATAATCAGTTTAAAATGTATGTGGTTCTTACCCTCCCACATAATATCAATACTTGGAATGAGATACTTCTAAGGTCATATGAAATATATCCCAGGATTCCTCCCTTATAACCTCGACTCTGAAACCAGTCTCTTTAATACCTCTCTTTCACACATTCTGCAAAAACCTACTCTTGTCTTCTATTCTGGAAAACCCTCCCTTCTTTTCATTTAGTGAGAATTTTCTTAAGCATTTTTTGGATAACTTAGTCAACAGACATACTGTTGTAAGCATGAGTGTACCACCCTGCTTTGCCTTATTCTTTCTGTAATTTTCTGCAACTGTGTACATCGTGTCTCCTCATTTAAATTTTAAAGTTTAATGGAAGAAGGGACCACATCTTTTAATGTTTCTATTTCTTGTATGCCAAATATATAGCCCAGAGCCAGGCACTTACTAAATATTGGAAAAGAATCATTTATGGATTGTTATACTCTTCACGGAATTAGAAAAAACTATTTAAAAATGTATATGGAATCAAAAAAGAGCCCGAATAGCCAAGGCAATCCTAAGCAAAAAGAACAAAGCCTGAGACATCACATTACCTGACTTCAAACTATACTACAAGAATATAGTAGCCAAAATAGCATGGTACTGGTACAAAAACAGACACATAGACCAATGGAACATAATAAGCAATGCCACCAATCAACAACCATCTGATCTTTGACAAAGTTGACAAAAGCAAGCAATGAGGAAAGGACTCCCTATTAAATAAATGGTGCTGGGATTATTGGGTAGCCATACACGGAAGATTGAAACTGGACTCCTTACACCATATACAAAGATCAACTCAAGATGAATTAAATACTTAAGTGTAAAACCAAAAACTATAAAAATCCTGAAAGACAACCTAGGAAATAGCATTATAGACATAGAATCTGGCAAGGATTTCATGACAAAGATGCCAAAAGCAATTGCAACAAAAACAGAATTCGAAAAATGGGACTAATTCAATGAAGGAGCTTCTGCACAGAAAAAAAAAAAACTATCAACAGAGTAAACAGACAACCTACAGAATGGGAGAAAATATTTGCAAACTATATATCTGACAAAGGACTAATATCCAGAATCCATAAGGAACTTAAAAAAATTAAAAACAAAAAAAAAACTCCATAAAAAAGTGGGCAAAGAACATGAACAGACACTTTTCCAAAGAAGACATACATGCAGCCAAACAAGCATATGTAAAAATGCTCAACATCACTAAGCATTAGAGAAATGATAATCAAAACCACAACAAGATACCATCTCACACCATTCAGAATGGCCATTATTAAAAAGTCAAAAAATAGCAGATGTTGGTGAGGTTGCAGAGAAAGGAGAGTGCTTGTACACTGCTGGTGGGAATGTAAATTAGTTCAGTCATTGTGGAAAGCAGTTTGGCAATTTCTCAAACAACTTAAAAGAGAATTATCGTTCAACTCAGTAATCTCATTATTGGATTATTGGGTATATACCCAAGGGAATATAAATTGTTCTACCATAAAGATGCATGCATGGCTATGTTCACCACAGCAATATTCACAATAGCAAAGACATGGAATCAACTTAAATGCCCATCAGTGGTAGACTGGATAAAGAAAATGTGCTACATATACACCATGGAATAGTACACAGCAATAAAAAAAGAATGAGATCATGTTCTTTGCAGCAACATGGATGGAGCTGGAAGCCATTATCCTAAGTGAACTAACACAGGAACAGAAAACCAAATACCACATGTTCTCACTTATAAGTGGGAGCTAAATATTGAGTACATTTGAACACAAAGAAGGAAACAACAAACACCAGGGCCTACTTGAGAGTCTTGGAGGGTGGCAGGAGGGTACTATGCTTATTACCTAGGTAATAAAATAATCTGTACACCAAACCCCTGTGACAGGCAATTTATAAAACAAACCTGCACATGTACCCCTGAACCTAAAATTAAAATTAAAAATAATATATTTGCTAGAAAATTATGACTGCTCTGTTGAGTGATTTGTAGTCATAAACACCATTTTGATCTTTAATTCCAAAAAACACAAGTCACCTAGGTTTTTCAGGAGCTGATAATTAAGACACCTCATATATATTAATAGATGAACCAAGGATCATTTTTCAAATCCTCTCTCCAGATTCTTTCTGCAGCCTGTGAAGAGCTGTTTTTGGAAACTGCATTAGAAGAAGGAAAGGCTTGGTTTGGAAGAACAGGATCAGCTTTCCACCCTGTGCCTGGCAGAGGCTATGGCTGCCCTCCATGTGAAGCTTCAAATTAAAATGAAGTTGTGGTGCCTACGCAGCTTCTGGAACTACAGGGGGTTCTTCCACAGCAGGTTACACAGAGCTAAAATAATTGAGTGTGGTGTTGTTTACCAACATCAGGGAGAAAAACAGCAAAAGTCAATATAAACCATGAAAGTAGTAAATTCCCAATTTTGTCTTGGTTAGGTACATGTTGGGAGAGAAGAGAAAAAGAGAAACTACAACTTTAGTCAGGAAAAATAAAAACAATTTATAGAAAAACTAACCATAAGATGTGGTCTCCCAAATGCAGTTAAGAAAATTCTTATACTTGTCTGGTTCTGTGATGGTACATAAATGTAAAGGGCTTGAGATTTTAGTATGAGAGACTCAGATTTTAGAAACTCCATTCCACCAACCCAACTTTAAGCCCTTCCTGCTCTCAAATGGGAAGCAGAAGAGGTTAAGCCAAGCCAATCTTAAATGTCAGTAAATGTAAATACAAATATTTTTGGAGTAGCTAAAATACAATCTACCTTCAGATAATGAAATGTTTGTGTTTAATAACATACCTTTACATATGCATAGTGCTGTTTACTTTTCAAATCACTTTAACCCATTTTACCCTTACAACAAAGTTAAAGTGCGTATGGTAGTTATTTTACAGTTTCAGGATGAGTTAAATTAAGGCACCATTGAGTTAATGATTTGTAAAGACCAAGCTGGAGCTTGTTGTAATTGGGAGGCGGGTACTTAGAGCCCAGTTTTTTTCTAAGCAGTCATGTTTCCAATTTTATGCTGAGTGCCAGTAAGTCATAGGGATATTCCCTGCATTTATAACCAGGTGTCCAAAAAGAAGATGAGAATTACTTCTGCTTCTCCAATTTCCCATCTAAAATATTTCATGATTGAAAAATATATGTATTTAAGAACCTACTCCAGAGCTAAACTGCAGGGTTGTCACCATGTAGACCCATGATTTGCTCCTTCTTTGGCCAAAGGCAAGAGAAAGAAAAGAGAAGTTGACAGGGTACCCATTTTCATCTCACCCAGAAGGTAGCTGGTCGTTGTTGACAGTATAACTCTCCAAAGAAACAGGAGGCGCACTCTTCAGGAAATAACCCAAGCAATTCAGCCCCTCTGCAAAGAACATCTGTTCCTGGCCATACAAGATCCTTTGCAGCTTTAAAAAAAGCAAGGCTAGGAGAAAATGTTGCAGAGGGCTTCTCCTGTGAGGGCAGAAAGCAGAGGGACAGATGGGGAGCAGTGTCTGGAGAAATCAGGGTCATGGGGGTGTTAGCATTTTTGGGGGATTAGGGCTCAGAGCACATTACTGCATTGGACAAAAGCCAGGAGAAAAGCAGAGAGCAGGCTTCTCACTAATGTATGGAGATAGAAGGCCACTAAAAATCTTCAATTTGCTTCTCATAAGGCAACCATATTCAAGGCCCCCTTCTTTACACCTTTACCTCACTACTGTCAAAACTCTAACCTCTACCACAAAACCTATACTCCTACAGATTTTTTCCCTTAATGCCATGATGCAAAAATCCAATTAGTTTCCATGATCTTAGTTTAGAGCTTGGAACCCAGTGTTTCCTCCTTTTCACCATACAAGCCATGCTGACTTTATTTATCAAAGCCTAGTGGCATGTTAATATTTCTTTTTTTTTAATGCCAGAAATGTTTTACGATTTATTTATTTATTTATTATACTTTAAGTTTTAGGGTACATGTGCACATTGTGCAGGTTAGTTATATATGTATACATGTGCCATGCTGGTGCGCTGCACCCACTAACTCGTCATCTAGCATTAGGTATATCGCCCAATGCTATCCCTCCCCCCTCCCCCCACCCCACAACAGTCCCCAGAGTGTGATATTCCCCTTCCTGTGTCCATGTGATCTCATTGTTCAATTCCCACCTATGAGTGAGAATATGCGGTGTTTGGTTTTTTGTTCTTGCAATAGTTTACTGAGAATGATGATTTCCAATTTCATCCATGTCCCTGCAAAGGACGTGAACTCATCATTTTTTATGGCTGCATAGTATTCCATGGTGTATATGTGCCACATTTTCTTAATCCAGTCTATCATTGTTGGACATTTGGGTTGGTTCCAAGTCTTTGCTATTGTGAATAATGCTGCAGTAAACATACGTGTGCATGTGGCTTTATAGCAGCATGATTTATAGTCCTTTGGGTATATACCCAGTAATGGGATGGCTGTGTCAAATGGTATTTCTAGTTCTAGATCCCTGAGGAATCGCCACACTGACTTCCACAATGGTTGAACTAGTTTACAGTCCCACCAACAGTGTAAAAGTGTTCCTATTTCTCCACATCCTCTCCAGCACCTGTTGTTTCCTGACTTTTTAATGATTGCCATTCTAACTGGTGTGAGATGGTATCTCATTGTGGTTTTGATTTGCATTTCTCTGATGGCCAGTGATGATGGGCAGTTTTTCATGTGTTTTAGCTAGCAGAAGGCAAGAAATAACTAAAATCAGAGCAGAACTGAAGGAAATAGAGACACAAAAAACCCTTCAAAAAATTAATGAATCCAGGAGCTGGTTTTTTTGAAAGGATCAACAAAATTGATAGACCGCTAGCAAGACTAATAAAGAAAAAAAGAGAGAAGAATCAAATAGACGCAATAATATTTCTTTTTGCCAAGTGAATTATTCACTTCTTTTCTTTTCCATCTTATCTTCATGTCAAGAGCCACTTTTTGTGTTTTCTTGTAGAAGGTCCCACCCACACATACACCCAGCCAGGATTCTCCACGCCCATCATCAGAGACCTGTGTGAGCTGTGTGACCATCTGTAGTCTTGGCATGGCTGCTTTCTCCCCAAATCAAGCCAATTCAGCCAAGAATACCGTCTTTATTTCAGGCTTCTCAAAGAGCATCTTGGAGAAAAAGAAGTTGAATTGGCACTCATCTTTGACTCAGTTGTGGAAGCTGACCTGGCGAATTATACCTGCCATGTTGAAAACCGAAATGGACGGAAACATGCCAGTGTTTTGCTGCGTAAAAAGGGTATTTATTTTTATAACTATAACTATGGTTTGCTTAGCTATCAACAACTATTGAAGTTAGAGATATTTCCTGGCTTTATTTTATCATGTAGTGTAAACCTTTATTAACCATTTTGTCTTTTCAAGGAAAGATATTTCTCTTGCTCTGCATATTAGCATAAAATACCTATGATCTTCAATACCATTAGGAAGTGGATAAATGAAATGAAGTATTGTCATATGTTAAATCCAGTGATATAAATTGTACCTTAGTTATAAGTGTTACATAAAATTTGATATATATTTGACATTCAATATTTTCTCCACATTTTGCCTTCTTATATCTTATATTGCTTAAATGAAATGCAAGAGATTTTATTATTGGATGAGAAACACAGTTGCTTTTTTATTCCCTGACTAAAAAATAAAAAAATAATAATCCCATATAATATGCTTACAATTGTTATCATAAAAATTATAAACCATATTTTATGATATGACTTGGTATTAAGAGATCTTTATCAGGTGCATATATTTCTAAATATTTTGGCATCCCTTTCTCAAGTTGGTTCCAGACGGGGTGGAAATTGTATATAATGAACAAAGAAAAGAAACTCTAAATTTACATATAAAGGAGATAAAAAACAGATATACGAACAACAAACAATCTCAGCAGCTAGAGTAGCTTCTGAATTGGCTCTTACCTTGCTATGGCTTTTGATTGCTACAAAAGGGTAAATACTTTTTGTATATGTACATCCGGCAAAGGCTTTGCAAATGTAGCAGAACAAATGTTCTCAATCAGTGTTCTTGTTGCCCACGTTTTAGAGCAATAATAGAACAGATTCAATCAGCAAGGTCACTTAGTTGTACTTCCTGGCCAGGATGGAATTTATATTTTCCAGCCAGCCCTAATACTTGACAATGACAAGCAGCTCTTGAAGAAGCAGAGAGGAATCATTATTCTGAAAATAAGGCGTTTATATCTCTAGCACCACTTCGTACTCCATTAGACTTGATTTTATCTTAAAATAAAGGCATATTTAAGTGTAAAGAAGTCTAAAAGAGAAAGTAAAGTCAGAAGACCCAGATTCAGGAGATCCTGGTTCAGTAGGACTGACTTGTCTTATTAGACTCCCTAAACCTTAGTTTTCTTATCTTTAAAATAGGATTAATAATACCTACCTTGCAGAGTCACTTTGAGGTTCAAATAATAATGATATAATGGGTGTGAAATATGCCATGACCAAACAGTCTTTATTATTATACTGAACTTGGATAATTTATCCTAGGTAACCACTTAGGAACCACATGAAGGGCAGGTATTGATCATGCCCAAACACCTTGTGGCAAGGATCACTTTGTTTCTGTTCATCTCAGTCTTATTTCGGGCTTAGAGATCCTCCAATCAGAGCCTGCTGCTATACCTCTGTATCCTCAGAGATATCAACTTGAGCAGTGTCTAGCTAGTAATAAGCACTTAGAACCCATTCTGGTCAAATAAATGGCTAATTTTTTCTTTTATTAATGAAGACTTAGCTATAGCCAGCACTATGATAGGTGCTGGGGAATAGAATGCTGAATAAGATAGACATACCCAGGTCTTCTTGGAGCTTATACTCTTTGGAGGAGTGAGAATGCAAAGAAAGACCAAGATTAAACATTTTTTAAAATTCCGCAAAAGATACATAGTGTTATAATTAAAAACCTGCTATGAGGAAAAATAATGGGGGGTGTCTTATCAATCAGCCCATGTGGACAGAAATAACCTTATTTGAGTTTTAAAATAAATCCATTTCTCTTTAATAAGTAAAGCAACACAAGGCAGCCCCTAAAAATTTCTAAAAATTTGACACTACAAACCAAGACACACTGTAATACTCTGCTACCACCCAAGGCTTCTACAAGAAAACTGGTCTAAGTCATGTTAACTGACAATGTTAATTCTCATCTTCCAAATATTTAAATATTGGAGTTCCCCAGGGTTCAGGTCCCCTCTTCTCACTCATTCAGTAGGTGATTTCATTCTATCTCCATCTCATGGTTTTGCTTACCACTTATATGCTAACTACTCCCAAATTTATATCTAGCCTGGACTTCTCACCTGTATACTCAATTGCCTACTAAACAACTCTTCTTAGAGATCTAGCAGGCATATCAAATTTAGCTTGTCCCAAACAGGATTCCTAATTTCTCCTGCCTACAAACCTGATCCTCCAGTCCCCTTCTCCATCTCCATCACCATTGTTCTAGTTGCTCATGCCAAAATCTTTGGAGTCATTCTTCACTTTCTCTTTTTTCTACTCACATCCTATATCTACTCCACTAGCAAATCCCATGGCTTAACTTTCAAAGCCTATTTAGACTCTGAACACTTTTCCCACCTTCACTACCCACATCCTCTTCTGAGCCACCAGCACCAATTACCTGGATCATGGTAACAGCCTAACTGGTCTCCCTGCTTCCACCCTTTTCCTCTCACAGTCTATTCTTATCACAACAGTCAGAAGGATCATTTAAATATGTAAGTAAGGTCATGTTATTCCCCTGATCAGAACCCTCCATTCACAGTTCCTTCCCTTTCCACTAAGAATGAAATCCCAAAACTTTATCATGTCCTATAAGGCACTACACAATCTGTTCTTACATCTGATCTCATTTTCTACCACAATTTTCCTCATACATTATAACACTAGCCTGCTTTCTGTTTCTCATGTTCACCAAACACAGTCCTGCCTCAGGTCCTTTGCACTTGCTGTTTCATCTGTCTGGAACACTCTTGCCTCCAGCTGTCTCCATGACTCCCTCCTTCCCTTCATACAGATTTCTACTTAAATGTTACCTTCTTCATAGGTATTTTCTGTCCATCCTATATAAAATGATATTACCTTTCATTTTCTTTTTCTTCTAACCTGTCTCTACTTATTTTTGCTTTGTCTATTACTATTGGATATTATATTACATATTTGTTTGCTTCTTGTTTTCTTCCCCCCCACTAAAATATGGAATACTGGAGAACAGGAACTTTTCTTGCTGTATTTACTGCTGTATCTCTAGTGCATAAAACATAATAAGTGCTCAAAACTATTTCTTGAATGAAAATTCTCCTCATAGAGGACAAGCACAATCAGGTGAGCAATAGATAACAGGGATTGATAAAAAGAAGATTTGATCTGTGATTTTGTCATGACTAATGTCTTCCCTGAATTAGCTAAATGCATTTTTTCTTTTCAAGTATTGTTTACTTTCCAGGGTTCGCAAACTCAAAAGACCTCAGGTCCCAGGAAAATACTGAATTTTTTAAGAAGAGGGCTGGATATTAGACAAAATCAAAACATAGACCAGAGAAAACATGCCTTGCTTTAAAAGGGCAACAACTACTTTGTTCTATAAGATTACTGCTGTTTTTGCTGGAATATATGCCCAGGGATATGAGAGCTTTGAAGTTTTCAAGTGAAGCTGAAAGACTGGATATGATGTCTTTTAATTTTTAAATATTAGTATTCATTTTTGAAACATTGTGTGATCCAACAAAACCAATTTTTTGGCCCATAGTATACCAGTTTGTACTCTCCGTTCTAGGTAGCAGTTAAATGATTTCATTGTGCTTTACAAAAGTATGCAGTTAATCTTCCCTCACTTGGTCTCCTTAGGAGCTTCTGACAATATAGTGGAAGCCCAAGAAAGAGCAAGAATCCTTATGGAACTGTCATAATTTTTTTAAGTCAGAACAAGCTCTGGCTTGTTTTGAGAAACTTAAGATATTTCCTTTGGAGTTGGACCTTTTAAGCTTTATCACATCATAGCCTGGCCTCATTGGCAGTAGTATTCCTACTTGGAATACTAGTATGGCTTGTTTTATGGAACAATAACTTCTTGATGAGCTGTAAGTCAAATATTTAAAATGCCTTAAGTGATCATCATGGAGAAGAAACATGATGCATCCTTTCATTAAGTGAAAAGGGCTTTTGTAAAATGAAAACTCACATCTAATATATCCAATTAACAGGATCAAGTTTTGTAACCTATCCATCTTCTTACCTATCTGTCTTCTGTCTGCACCTACCACTTCCTTATTCTCAGGTGAACAATTTGCCAGTAAGTGCAACTAGCATTTCAGTAAGAAGTTCATCCTAAATTTTTTCTTTGGTGAGCCAAGAGTCTGAACTTAGGTTCAAGAAATTCTGATAATTATTTCTGTTTCTCTGCACATACTTCCTTTCTCATAAAACAGGGGCATATCATTGAATCTCTCTCTCTTCATTCTCAGTGCTGCTGCTTCACTCTGTCCCACCATACCTGAATAGAAAACTTTCTAAGCCTACTCAGGATGCTATAACAAAACACCTTAGACTGGGTAATTTTTAAACATTACAAATTTAGTGCTCACAATCCTAGAGGCCGGGATGTCCAAGATCAAGGCACCAGCAGATTCATGTCTGGTAGGGGCCTGTTCCTCATTTTTGTCTGAGATATCAGAATGGCCTTCACCATTCATATTTCTACTAATATTCTGATCACGACTATTTAGGCAATCTCTAAGATGACTGAGGAATTCTCTACAGCTCTCTTCTTCCAAGCCCTCACCAGAATTGCCCTTAAGGCTCTTTTCATGGCAATATACCTCAAATCTCTTCTACCCTCTATCCATTACCCAGTTCCAAAGCTGGTTCCACAACTTTAGGTATTTGTTACAGCAGCACCCCACTTCTCAGTACCAATTTCTGTCTTAGTCCATTTGGGCTGCTATAACAAGATACCTTAGACTGGATAGTATATAAACAACAGAAATTGATTGTTCACAGTTCTGGAGGCTAGGAAGACCAAGATCAAGGTACTAACAGATTTGGTATCTGGTAAGGACCCATTTTGCATAGATGGCACTTTCTTTGTGTCCTCACATGGCAGTAGCAGCAAACAGGTTTCCTCAGGCATCTCTTATAACAGGCCCCATTTATGAAAGTTCTACCCTCATGATCTAAT
Source organism: Homo sapiens (assembly GCF_000001405.40). Taxonomy (NCBI): domain Eukaryota; kingdom Metazoa; phylum Chordata; class Mammalia; order Primates; family Hominidae; genus Homo; species Homo sapiens. The sequence continues at coordinate 105,745,653 of NC_000023.11, forward strand.
CACCTCTCACATGCTTCCCTCGTTTTTTATTTTTTATTTTTTTAGAAACAGGGCAGGGTCTCAGTCTGTTGCCCAGGCTGAAATGCAGTGGCTCAGTCATAGCACACTGCAGCCTCAAACTCCTGAGCCCAAGTAATTCTCCCACCTCAGCCTCCAGAGTAGCTGGGACTACAGACACACCACCATGCCCGACTAATTGTTTAAATTTTTTGTAGAGACAGGGCTTCACTTTGTTGACCTGGTTGGTCACAAACTCCTGGCTTCAAGCGACCCTCCTGCCCCGGCCTCCCCAAGTGTTGGGATTACAGGCTTGAGCCACTGTGTCTGGCCAGGCCTCCCTCTTATATAATCACCTTGGGGGTTAGGTTACAACATATGCATTTTGAACAAACATTCAGACCATGACAGAAGCCCTCAGGTGGGATCTCCTAACCTGCTTCCCAACTTGTGAGTCAGAGGAGCAAGCTCAAACATTCCCTGCATTCCCTCTCTCCAGTCCCTTGGCTTCAGTTGCTATTTGTCCCATTCTATAATGTCTGATCTTTGTGTTCACAGTGAAGAAATAGGTGGGTTCAAACTAAGAAGGTAAAAAGAGCTACACATGTACTTTGGGTGCCTAGAAAAAGTTACAAGCCCATAAATATTTGCTGTTCTTGCTACAGCTCTCTTTGTGAAGCATATACAAGACACAGCCCAACTAAAATAACTTTCCATTTTTTAGTCAGTAAATGTCCCTAGAAGTATAGATCCTGCTGAGATTGAAAATTGCAATTGAAAATAGAAGACAAAAGAAAATCCAGGTGTCATTAGGGTGATGGCAATTCTGCCCTCTGATTATAGGATAGATGTTTCCCTTTTGATGTGACTGCCTGGGCTGAATCAAAGAATCTGGTTGAGTCTCTGGGCCTAGGTTCACAGTTTTCAACTTGAACAGCCATCATTACATAATATCTTTCAAAGACATTTTTATAAAATGGACCCCAAAATCACAAAGGTACTTTTTTCACCATGGTTTTCTTCCATAAATTTACTGCTGAAAAAATATCTGCTACTTGAGAGCACAAATTGTTCCTGCTGCTGAAGTTTTCCATCTACCTAATAGCAACTCTACTCTGTAAATAACATAGAAATTGCTGAAAAACTTCCCATTCCACGACTTTTAAAACATTTGAAAGCTCTTCTGACCAGAGAGAGAGACAGAAAGACCAAAAAATTTATAGCATAAAGTGAACATCTTAAAACAGGAAAAACCTTTTGAATCAAGTCAATTAATGCCCCAAGATGAAAGAGAAGTCAGTTTTCAGAGTAACAAAGAAAACTGTATTGCTCTATTTAAAATTGGCTTTTAATAATGTATAATTGATGGTGTATATAAGATGGTGAGAAAACAAGTAAAAATTGTGATTTGCAGCCCACAGAGATTTCTTAAGAAAGCCTGCTTTATCCCCAACATAGGCAGAGGCAGAGGAAGGTAGTGGTTCCTGGAGAGCCACGTTTTACATAGAGGGCAGGAAGCATTGCTAATTATGTGGTGAAATTTTTTTTTTACCTGAAATTTTGTGGCTTAGTTTTTTAAAAGACCACCTCCTGCAGCAGGCATGACAGACACATATTCCAATTTCCTACCCCTATTCATTGTGTGTGCCCTCACAATATTCCTTGTTGGCATATTTTGTCCTTCACAGCAGCCCCACTCTCTTCCTTTTTCTATCCTTCCCCCTCTCTCCATACTCAAAAAGAGTGACATTTATTTGTGTTTCTTACATTTCCATTCTATGACTCTCCTGATTGGCTGTTCTCTCTCTCTCTCTCTCTCTCTCTCTCTCTCTGTGTGTGTGTATGTGTGTGTGTGTGTGTGTGTGTGTATATATATATATATATATACACACACACACACACATATATACACACATATATACACACATATATATATATTCTTTTTTATAAAATATAAACTACTAAATGGATCTTGTTATATTGAGCCTGGCTAATTTCTCTTAAGCAATAATCCTGTATAGACATAAGGGACATTCCTAGAGAAAGGTTGACAGTCTGGCTTTCAAGAGTGACAGACTGTCAATGGTCAGCAATTTGATTTTGACAGTGCCCCAGAATTGATCCATCCAGGAAGACTGACTGATGCCAACTAAACTCACAAGGAACTGATGTACAAACTAGATTGTCTCTCTCTTTTCCAGTTTCCAGTTACATGGTAAGCTGAATTAGTACTAAAATAGTCACTTGGTAATTATGTAATTACGTTAAAGGGAGGTTAGGTAATCTTGTAGGTAATTTTATCTAATTATAATGAGACCGATAATGTCCCTGTGGAAAATACGTCTCTGGTCTGATGTCTCTCAGATTCAGTATTTTTCCTATGGACATTGCTGAACTCACATTCTAGATTCTCCTCTGACTTCCCATTTTCTCTAAATTTCATGATACCATACCATCTTTTGATGATACACTCTTTATATTTATTAATATCACTGATTAACTACAGGTTAAGTCACTGTTCCCTGAGCCTGGGAGACATTATGTCTTCTTCCATTATATTTTGATTTAATTGTTCCAATGCTCAGAGTTCTAGGGATGCCCCCCTGGAGCAGCCTAAGTCTGCTATCAGGTAGGCTGGTGTTGGCTGAAGAGGCCAAGTGATTAGCCTGGATTTCTCATTCTGTTTTAGCTCCATTGGGCATATTATATCACATATATATTATTACAGTCATTTATTCAAATAAGTAGGGGAAATGGATAAGCTAATTTTACCTGCTTACCTTATATTGGATTATGTTCTACTGGGGTTAAATGAAACAGTTAAATCCTGCAAACTCATTAGATTTTATTTGATTCTGAAAGTAATTTTATGATGTTGTTCTGCAAAAGAATAGGGCCTGTGGCCTGAGAAGTACTAGATGGTAATCTTGCTAAACCAATAAGATAATTAAACAGAAATAAGAAAATATTGGCCTTGGACCCAGAATAAAGTAGCTTTAATAGTTCCCTGAAATACATTTAGAGCAAAAGCATATATGTGACATCTTAGATGCGTTCAAAACGAATTGAGAGCAACTATTCCTTTTCAGATAGACTTACCACTTTTAATAGTAAATTAATCAAATTTTAAATAGTTTATTTTACAAAAATTTGATTCATACAAATGTATCAAGAGCAAAGCTACTGCATTAAGCAAGAATTTTCTGGAAAGGAAAACAGAATGTTAGTACATCTTATATACTAGAAATATGGGAAGATCCCAAGTGTTGCTGATTTAATTACCTTTTCCTGTTTATTCTGTTCGCTCCAGATTTAATCTATAAAATTGAGCTTGCAGGGGGCCTGGGAGCAATCTTCCTCCTCCTTGTACTGCTGGTGGTCATTTACAAATGCTACAACATTGAATTGATGCTCTTCTACAGGCAGCACTTTGGAGCTGATGAAACTAATGATGGTAAGCTGTCTTCTATTGTTCAAATTCCATTAAACGGCATGCATTTGTGATTATGTAAGAGAACTTCCCTATTTTTAGAAAGTATAAGCTGAAATATTTAGGGGTAAAGGGCTATGGCAAGTTACTTACCTTTAAATAGTTTAGAAGACTTACCAAGAAAAAGAGAAAAGAGGAGAATATATTGACAATAGGTAAATCTGAGTAAATGCTATGTATGTTTTTTGAAATGGTTTTATTTTTATAATATTCCTATACATTTGACTTTATTTCCAATAAAAAGTTTAACAATGAGACATTAGTTGCTCAGGAGATAAAACAATTGCTGTCAAATCCCTCCCCCTTAGTAAGAAGCAAATTAAGAATCAATTCCAATTTTTTTCAGAAAATGCAAACTTAAGTACAGATCATTTATAGCCATTGCTGCCATCTACAAAACAAGCAATCATGCAAGAAACAGATTGAAAGCTATGGAGACAATCCTTTTAAAGCTCAAAGTACATGTATCTACATATTTTGAATGCTTATAGCACCATTCTCAAAGGTGACCTGAAAGAATAAAAATTCAGAGTGTAGCTCATAATTTTCTTATATTTGCTGTTTATGAATTTTGAAAATCTTATGAGTGAAATATCGATAAAGCAGTGTACTGAGCTTTGTTTCTTTGAACATTTAAAATGATTTAATTTTTTTCAAGAGTACAAACTGCCATGTTTCCAATCAAAATCAATAAGAAATCATGGCATGTAGCTTCTTATACATAAAGTTCTCATCCCGAAACTGCTGTAAGCCTTGGAAATGTGTATAGAATGCCACAGGTAAGCCAAAAATTTTTTAGAAAGTAGTCCAATTTGGAAAACATTAGTTTAAAAAGACAGACTTAAAACTGAGTTTTCATTGTACCAAAATAAGTAAGGTTGAGGCTTTTGTTTATTTTTTTGAGTTGGTGGTCTTACCTCAAAAAAGAGAAATTCACAGTTTTGATTTTAATTTTATAGTGATAGATGTAATGTCAAAATTTTTGAGGAATCTGATTTTGGTCTTATTGTTACTATTATGTGAATGATCATATGGGTGGGTTTTAATTGACTTTCATATTTTCATAGTAAATTACAGAAATTCTTTTTTTTTTGTTAACTGCAAAGCAATGTGTGTTTTTTGTTTTGTTTTGTTTTGTCTTTTTTTTTTTTTTTGAGACAGAGTCTCACTGTCACCCAGGCTGGAGTGCAGTGGTGCAATCCTGGCTCACTGCAGCCTCGAACTCCTGTACTCAAGCAATCCTCCTGCCTCAGCCTCCTGAGTAGCTGAGATTACAGGTGCATGCCACCATGCCTGGCCAATTTATTATTATTATTATTATTATTATTATTATTATTATTATTTCTTGTAAAGACAGGGTCTCACCTTGTTACCTAGGCTGGTCTCAAATTCTTGCATTCAAGTAATCCTCTGGACTTAGCCTCCAAAAGTGCTGGGATTACAGACATTAGCCACTGCACCTGGCGTGAAATGCTTTTTGATGAGTACATATGCATGCTCATTTGCTCATTTTCAAATCTACACATTTACTCAGCAATTACAGCAGCCAGTTTAAAAGTACTACAGACTCTTATTCAGACATATCTTAGAAATGAAAAATTAAGGCCTATTCCAATAATTATTGTATACACTGACAATATATATGGAAATATGATCAATTACCCTCAGTTCTTCCTCTATACAACAGTTAATATTGAAAAATCTTGACTTCTTATCTGTACACAGAAAAAAAAACTAGAGAGAATGTGTTACTGAGGGAAATGTCCCTGGTTCCCAGGTGCCAGCAAGTGGCTAAACTATCCAATTGTGAAGGTAAAAGATGTATTATCTATGTAAAAGAACATAAAAGGGGCCAGGCACAGTAGCTCACAAAATCTCAGCACTTTGGAAGACCTAAGCAGGAGGATTGTTTGAGCCCAGGAGTTCAAGACCAGCCTGAGCAACATAGGGAGACCTCATCTCTACAAAAATTAGTTTAAAAAATATTAGTTGGGCATGGTGGTGCATGCCTTTGGTACCAGATAGTCGTGGGGGCCGAGTCAAGAGAATCGCTTGAATCCAGGAGTTCAGGGTTGCAGTGAGCTATGATCGCACCACTGCACTCTGGCCTGGGCGACAGAGTGAGACCCTGTATCTAAAAGAAAAAAGAATAAAATAAATAAAAATATGAAAGGGAGGCTTCTGTGATTAATATGTTTTGAGTCCTGATAATATGCAGTTTGTTAATCTCTAAGATTATACAATTTATTATGTTAATCTACAATAATTAATTACCTTCATCACTGATACCCAATAACCTAGACTAACTGATCAGTTGTAGTACATATTTGTAAGATTAATTTTATGCTGATATGATATAATTTTTCAGGAATTAAATATTCCACTTTGCATCTTTATCTGCAATGTGGCTCATGGTTTCAAAGGTGTCCAGTAATATAGAGCATTTTGATTACATAATTTTATGTATTGATTCCAAATTCATTGTTTGGGGGGAAATGCAATATGGGGAGAGGGTACTTCAAGTGTTTTCATTAGGAAGGATGGTTAAAATATTTTATTTTTCTGCATAGAACCTTGGACTTTAAGTATATAACCTCTGTATTAGCTTCAGTGGAATACTAAAAAGTCAACATGTATATGGTGAAAATGAATAAATGAATTTTAACTGCCTTTTGGAAATCTACAGTTACAGAATGCCAAATGTCATCCAGATAATCTATCAAGTTTTTCATTTCACTATTGAAATATTTTGACATAACATAGACACAACTTAATTTTAACCATATGCTTTTTCTTCATGCTCTATGACAATATCTATAATAGTATTTCCTAAAAGTTATTATAAAAATGCCTGATTTTGTATAAAATAAAATCCATCCAACAAACTTTAACTTCTTAGCCATGTTTAAAATTTAATTCATTTTATTTCACCCCACCAATGATTGCTTCATTTATTTAACCTTTCAGTTTTTCAGTCATTAAATATTTAAGTGTCTACTAAATGGCAGGGACTATGCATGACGCATTTACTTATATTCTTCATCTGGATCAACACTGCAGTCACACACACACACACACATACTATAGTAGGTAGTAGGTATATAATAATCAACAAGATTACACAGTATTTGCTCTGTAGAAACTAGGAGTTTAGCACTCTGTTTAGCACAGCTGCGGAACAACTGAGTTATAAACACAAATGGCTTCTTGATAGGGAACAGGATTCGAATCAGATTTTAAAACAGAAAAGGACAGACGTAACAATAGGAAAATTCTTCTACAAAACGTTTCGTTATCTTCCTTATAACTTCTCTCTTTATTAGGAACAGCATACCTATGGTAACCACTGTGCCAGCCCTCTTCCTTACACTGTTCTGTCTGCATTGTGCTCTATTTCCTGGTTCCTCAGATGAGCTTAGGCAGCATGATTTAGCACAAAGGAAGGCTCATTAGCCTTGCCTAGAAAAGTGGTGCTGCTGAACAGCCTTTTGGTTTAGAAACTATTTTCAGGCCTTGCTGTTAACCTTATTTGCATCATGTTGTTGATTTTGCTTTATCTATCTTGCTCCTCTTTGTGAGCAACAGCTGCAGCTATTCATGAGGTTTTCTTGGCTGTCTACATAAGGCTGAAGTGCATTATTTAAACTGTAGCATCCGTGTCACTGCTGGCTCACTAGCTGGTATCCTAGAGCTTTTGGGACATCTGACATGGTGGCTTTGAGAGCTGTCTTCCTGCTCTGGCCAGCCACCATAAGCTCTTCACCTTTAGTTCATCTTAAAGGGACACGAATGAAACCAGAAGCATTCATTTTTTCAACGAATGGTGTGCTTCTAGAATGCGAGGTAAAATTTATAATCCAGATGTGTTGGGTGTTAATACGTACCAAGGACATGCATGCTCTTTGTCACATCTTAGAAAATGTAAGTATAGAAGTACTTTCTAGGGGTAAGTCTTTGTAGCATTGAACTGCAATATCAGAATATAGGTGGAGCCAGTAAGGACAGAACCAAGAATATGTGAGTTTAGTATGTTTGGAAGACAAATAACCATAGTACAAGCAATAGGACAGGAGTCTAGAAGGTCTGGTCAGATGGGTAAAGAAGTCAAGTAGCCATTGCAGATGCTCAACAAATAATTGTTGAATGAATTAATAAGTGGTTCAATTTAGGGAGGTTTGTGAAATAGGAAAGTTATCAAAGTCAGAGAGAGTAACAGGGTCTGGTCTGACATTATGGAGTTTGAGGCAGCAACACTATCTATCAAGAACAATGAAATATATTCTGCTCATGTGAATGGAGCTATTTGTCCTTTGGCCTATTTTATTCTTCCAGCTGTGTATCATCGGCAGCCCTGAGTCCCAGGTGAGTAATTATAGCTGGAGAAAGTCAGGGGCCTGCAGGTGTATCCTGCACGTGATTGGAACAAGGGCAGAGGTGCTAGGATTACCAGGAGGTTCTTACATTAGCATTGCTTATGAACATTCTCACTTCCAAGCAGAATTTTATGCACAACAGTGGAATGCGCCCAACTTGTAAGCGAAATGATCTCAACTACCCAGGGCAGTCCTTCATGTACATCTGCTTCCAGGCAATCAAGTAATCCAACCAAGGTTTATGGAAGCCTTTTGCAGCCAGAAAAGATGCTAAAGAGTATTAACCCTTTCTCCTTCCTTCAGGCACCATCTTAATACAAATAACCAGAATTTCTTTTGTTTCAGAGTGGTGAAGGCTAAAATCTTACTAAAATTAGAACAACATAATCCTACTTCAGAGATAGGGAGGTCTCATCTACTCCTAAAAGAGGGTATCTACAGCACATCATATGTCTATCATTTATTCCTCCTTCAGCATGTAGAATGAAATCATGGTGTGGGTTATGCTGGAAGTAAATGAGTGGCTGCTTCATTTTATAAATTACCTTTTGGTCAGGTTTTAGATATGTTCTAATTAGGTATGTTTTAATAGAAAATATTGATGTGTTTGAGAAACAAATCCTGAAATTTTTAACAGTCTTTCGCAGTTATTATTTGTAAGTAACTGGGTTTACGAATAGTTCACATGAGTCTGTGCTCACTACATTAACTTAAAAAAATTTTTTTTAATAAGGGAATTTTGAAAATCTCACTATAACTTTTTCAGTATGGATGTGGCCCATCTAAAACCTTCAGAAACTAATACCTCAAGTAGCTATGTTCATTAACATTTTGCAGGAAAAAAAATTGTATGCATACATGCACATTTTCTCTCTGGAGAGACTGGCTCTGAGCCAATACAGCAAAAAGAGGAAAAAATACACTTGCAAAGCACAGTTAACTCCCTGACTAAATGTGTGGAGGGAAAATCTAATTTGGCAATACTGGACGGATGTATATTTTGAAACAAAGGCTTCTTTTGGAAGCTTGTGTCATATTAGTTGGCCATGAACTGAACAAGAATAACAGGTAACGCACTTGTATAAAACCCAGCTGCTGTCTCTAATATTTGGTAATGAACTGCTTTTTGTATATGAAGATGATGACACTAACCAACTGGAACTATGGCATGTGCTGTGAACAGTGTCTCCAGGAGCAAGGCTGGATTATTTCAATCTTCCACACTCTAGGGCCCAGCCCCTGTTGGATCTTTTGCACATATTTGTGCAAACAAGGTATAGTCTGTGGCCAAGTAACAGAGCCAAGCCAACTGGAAAATAAAGGGGTTAAATCCATGACTTTGGTCTATTTAGTCCTGCATTCAAACACACTGAGCTAATCATTCACACATCATTGAGTATTACAAATGCATATAGTCACTGAAAGTCACAAATAATAATTCTCTCTTTTATTCTGTTCTGACTATAGGTGGCCCATTGCATAAGTTTCAATTCATATATGACTAGGTTATTTTGAAAGGGATTAGATTTCCTATAACATGGCATGTGACTTATTTTTTTCCAATTATTAAAGACGGTCACTAATTATTGTGCTATTCCTGCCTCTTAGTACTCAAAGAGAACCTGTTAATAGTTACAACCCTTTTGTTGTTCTTTATGTTTAAGACAACAAGGAATATGATGCCTATCTCTCTTACACAAAAGTGGACCAAGATACTTTAGACTGTGACAATCCTGAAGAAGAGCAGTTTGCTCTTGAAGTACTGCCAGATGTCCTGGAAAAACACTATGGATATAAACTCTTCATCCCAGAAAGAGACCTGATTCCAAGTGGAAGTAAGTACTTTCAAATTTTGTGTTTAAAACGTTCTGTTTCTTTTAGGATGTTATGTGAAGGCTTCAAACATCAGAGCCAAGTATTTAGACAGTTGTTTCTCACAGTAGAGTTTCTTAAATCCAAATTTTTCCCATATGCCTGTGTTCTGACTTTCTAGCACCTGAATATTTTTAAAGGCATTCTCACTAATATTTTGGGTATGATTTCTAAATTGTGCCATAATGGTCATTTTTATTATATTGCCTTAGTATCCTGAAAAGCATTATGATCTTTTAAAAAAATCTGTAAAAGTTAGTTAAAGCCTTTTCAATATATTTCAGTTGCAAAGCTGGTCTTCTGTCACTGAGGGTCTACTTATACCTACAATTATTGTTACTAATGGCTTTGAATCTATGCCTTTCAACCTTGTTATTCATTATGCCTTGTCACTTATTTCCAGATTTATGGAAAAATCCACTTAAAAAGGTATATGAGGCCATTGGGTACAGCACTCTCACTGTGTACTTAAATTATTTTCAAGACACTTGAATGCTAGGCTTGAATGCTATTTTTAAGTTATGCTACACATTGAAGACTATATTGAGGCTTTCAGAATAAATTCAGTTTCAAGGCAAAATATGTAGTTTTTTCCCATTAACATCCAGAGTGCATACACATACACAGTAAAGTATAAGGGGAACACAGAGAAATCTAAGACATAGTCCCTGCTCTCGAAGAGCTTAAAATGCCATTGAGGAAAATATAAGTTCTAGAACTTATTTGCATATAAGTACTAATATCCTTGAGAGGGGAAGATTGAACTGGTAACTACAAATCATAACATGTTACTTTCAACATGTGATAATAACAAAATAAAAAGCTTATATTACCAGTACTTGACAGTGTATAAAATAATTTCACATACATTACTTCATTTCATTTTTACAGTAACCCTGTGTTGCGAGAGAGTAGGTACTTATATCCTCATGCTGAGGAAGCAAACCCCAAAATCGTCCAAGATCAAACAGTTGGCAAATGGTTGAGCTGGCAGTGGAACCTAGATTTATTTGACTTTGGTTCTCACTCTGCTAGATCATGCTGCTCCTCAATAACATTTATTCAGATTACCAGCAGGCTGCCTTGGTCACTAAGCTGACAGGAGACAAATGGAAACAAATGGGTTTTGATTGTTCATCTCTTTTCTTAGCGTTCATTTATGTCTGTGTATGTTGATGTGTGCACGTTAGTATGCACACTTAGAAATGCATGGAAAGGAACAAAGAAGGCAATATTTACTGGTTTATTTTTTCCTGCTCCACAAATGTAAGAATTCCCCAAGCTTCTTATCATGGTCCTTCATTCTTTTCTTTCTGCAGTTTTCCCCATACTATCCTATATTTATTTTTTCCCCAAGGAACATCCTGATACCCCATTTTTACGACTTGAAATACTATTCTACATTTGTTGTTTCTCCAAGGAACATCCTGGTACCTCAGAGTCATTTTTCATTCTTCTGTGTCTTTCTCCCAAATTCAGTGTCCCTTGCATTTTTTTCATTCTCATTTTTCCATCCTAGTGTAGGCCCTAATTATCTAACTCCTTCAATGTTAATTATCCCTCTATCTTCCTTATCTTTCCTCCCATCCATTCAGCCCCACTAATATCAAGTACATCTCCTCGATCATGTCACTTCTGTGTTCAACAAATGAATCATTCACTATTTACTACAGGATAAAATTTATAACCCTTAGCTAAACACTTATACAATCTTTTGCCAGCCCAGATTTATCTCCTAAATTTGTCTCCTACCACTTCCTCTACTCATACTTTCCACTCTAGCCAAACTGTGCCTTTGATATACATTGTATGTCCCTGTAATGCATTTGTTCATGTTAGTCCTCTATGACTTTGCAAATCCTACTTATCCTTCTCCATATCATTGCCTCTGTGAAAAGTCCATAATAATCTCTCCAGCTGTAGAATTCATGATGTATAATCACTTATTTGACAGTAAATTTGTACTCCTGTGACATTTTGCATTTTAAAATAATTTTACTAGCTTTTCATCTATTTATGTCTTTTCTAGCCAGCAAGATTATAAACTCCATGAGGACAGGGATTATATCTCATTTATTTTTGTATCCCTATAGTCATCTAGCAGAAGACTTGAGCTCATTAGATGCTTCATAGATGTTTATTGATTTTGTTTGAAAAATGTCGTCAGGATGGGCAGAGATTTTATAGTCCATAGAAAATTCTTTTAATGCTTTAAAATCAGACTGAGTAGGGGCTTGGATCTTGGGTCCTCAATGGTGCACAGGAAGACTCCTTTTACAAGTAAGCCATTTGGGACAACTATGCAGTTTTTAGATGCAACCACTGGAGGGTGTTTGATTTTAATCCTTCCTTCCTGAACGAGGAAATTCATGTTCTCTGAATTCCGATTTGCGAGTGTAACCTGCAGAGGCTCTTAAAAAGGCCCTTTGACAATTTTTCTTTTCCATCAACATTTTAGAGTTAGCTGAGCAGTCACCATGTCAGGATTAACGAGTTTTTCCTTGGCATTTTTAGCATGCATTCAGGAAGTCAATGAAGTATATGAATAATATACTTGATTTACACATGAATGACAGAGTAGAACATTTTGGACTTGGTGTATATGTGCTATTAAAGAAGCTTCTGTGGTCTGTATTTTCAACCATTGGTACAGATTTAACAGCTTATATTATATAAATACAGACACATTCCTGTTGGGGGGGAAACCTAGTTACAGTATTATAAGCTGTGTTTGTCCCTCACATCTCATTTAAAACATGTTGACCTAAGACTACTCCTTCCTCTGAAAACTAGCAATGAGGCCTTTGAGGACTATGAAAGCAGACTTCATAAAATCATTCTTGATCCACAACAATAATTTTCTATGAATCAAATTAATGACATCTATGACATAAACCCATTCATATTTAATGTCTTCACTTTTGATGTATCTTCAGTCTTTTTGTACTACTCTCACGGTATTCCAACTCAACCTCATCAACACACAAACCTTTCCAATGTACACAGTTTCGAAAGTACATGAAAATCTCTCTCTCTCTCTCTCTCTCTCTCATATAACCAAGAATTCTCAGAAACCTTGGTTACAAAGATGTCACTTTCCAAGGTGAGCTGGGGGTGTCTGTACCACCCATGCCCTACCAGGAATATGTTGTCCTTTGGCCATTGTGAACCAGCAGAGATGGGGAGATTTAATGCAAATATTTTTCCTAAATGCTGAAACTGAGTGTTCCGATCTGGACATTATTTTCCTGGCAGTGACTACCTTTCCATTCTTGAGCCTGTGGCCAGGATCTTCCTTATGTTTTCTCAGGTTGGGTGCCTAAATATGGCAAGAATTCTTACTTTCCAGTAAAAGTTTGGTCTGTCTTTTCCCAGACTAGAAACATCTGTCCCTGAGAATAGCGAAAGCAACTTTGTTGCCAACAGGCATCTGAATGTCAGAAGTGACAGGCAACCAGAAGAAAGCCAGATAGAAAACACCCTATTCAAACTGCCTAGAGACACAAACTTGAGAAGTAGAGATTTTTCTCACCCATGCAGCTGCTGGTTTTTGTGGTATAAACTACTCTACACAGAGCACATTGTGTTCATGGGGCCTAGAGGATCCTTGAGGAATGAACAGATGTGCTCTGAAGCTGACATGTGACCAACAGAACCCAGCTGTGCAATTGAGATCCTGAGATTGGGGACATTTTTGGATGAGTACCATTTATGCTTTTGGGCCTATCTTATCTCAGTGTTTCTGTAGAGATTAAATAAAAACCAAAAATGTAAAAAGTTATTGAATCAGGCTGAGGGTCACTGGTCAGATGGAGAAAATAGCATTCTAAAACTAAAAGTAGAAACAACCCAATCCTGTACTCTTTGTTTCCCTTTAAAAGTAAGAAAGTAAGGTGCTGAAAGGTGCATATGCAATATTTATTAACAATTATAAATTAAACCAGTTTTGGATGAAGCTTTAGAAAAAGCTACAGATGTCTAAGTGGACTTTGAAGAGAAAAAAAATCCTTGGAAGGTTTTTACCTCAATTTCCCCTTCTATTTATAGAAAGACTATGAGGATCCCTATGTGAGTTGTTCATGCATGATTGCATTCAAGAAATACACTAGAAAACTAAAAATATTATCATGCTTATGGTTTATTGGCCACATCTTTTTAAATTATATTCATGAATTTAGCCTCATGTGTCGAATTATCTTTTCATTTGTCTTTATGCTCAATTTTCCATGAAGGAATCCTAAGACTTTCAGTAATTTAAGGGAAAAAGTATAATGTCTGATTACATTCTTGCATTTGGTAGACTTTCCTCACTAATCTAATCTTCAATTCTTTAATGCTTAGTACTAGCCATGTGATTGTGCTGACAATGAAATGACAAATGACTAGAGAATACATCTGGTGTCAGATGATCCCTAGTCACTTCTGAAGTGAGGCATGCAAAAAAACATTTTTGTACATGGATCTGTAAGCATTCATTGCCACTAGTTCCTCTAATAGCCGAACAGATTGGACACCATTTAATTAAGTTGTCTTTGGGGAGTAATAAAATCGTTTTCCAGACAATCTGATGTGTGTGACCTAAAAAGTTTGAGGGAGGGGTGACATGAACAATCATGGAAATTTAACATATTGTGTGAACTTTACTCACATGGAATAAAATTGAACGTGTCCATTATCCCCTTCATGTTAAAGTCAAGAGAGAAAAAAACTGTACTTCAATATGTCCAGCAATGTACTGAGGTCAATAGAATAATATTTCTCATCAAAGTTTGAGGTAGAGGTTAGAGTTGATTATGTAGAATTTCATTCAGGAAATCTGCTGTTTGGGTGGCACAAAGAACAGGCATCTCAAACAAACAAACAAACAAAAAAACATAGTATAAAACCAGGATAAGATTGTCTTAAGTACTGGAGGAAACACAGAAAAGACTGTAAGTAGTAAGTGGCTTTGTTCCATGTTCATTAAGGCTGCACCAGTGAGAATTAGTTACACTACAAGCTTTTAGGGCTTCAGAAGAGAGAAAGAAAGAGGTGGAGGGTATTTTGCAGGTTTGCTTTCTTTGCTACTCTCCACTTTATGTTTCTTTCAATCTTCTCTAAATGTGTCCCATTCCCTACCTCTACTCTCTGTGAAGAGGTGAAGAGAGAAGAGAAAGAAGACAGAAATGTGGACAGCATTCAGAGTGGATTCTTCACACCGTCATGCTTCCCCACTCACCCACAGGTGAAATGTGAAAGTACAGGATTCATTACTAGCAATATAGCCTCCAAACTCAGAACTGTAAATACACACAATTCCCTGTAGTCATCAGGTCTCAGCAAATTCATGTTAGCTGCTGAGTCAATGATTAATCAAAATTAATTAGGACCCTCATACTATAGAGAACAAAACTCCTGCCTAAGAAATTTAGCTCAGCTAACTGTGAATTATCAAGCCAAGAATTTGGAAGGGGAGAGGGCAGGAAAGGTTTTTGTAGGACAAGTAATATCACACATATTTAGAAAGGCTCCCAGCCAGGCACGGTGGCTCACGCCTGTAATCCCAGCACTTTGGGAGGCCGAGGCAGGCAGATTTCCTGAGGTCAGGAGTTCAAGAGCAGCCTGGCCAATGTGGTGAAACCCCATCTCTACTAAAAATGCAAAAACTAACTGGGCGTGGTGGCAGATGCCTGTAATCCCAGCTACTTGGGAGGCTGAGGTAGGAGAATTGCTTGAACCCAGGAGACGAAGGTTGCAGTGAGCCAAGATCACGCCACTGCACTCCAGCCTGGGCAACAGAGCGAGACTCCGTCTCAAAAAAAAAAAAAAAAGAAAAAGAAAAAAAAACTCTTCCTATACACACACACACACACACACACACACACACACACACACACACGGCTAACTTAACATTATGTAGCCTCAGTCTCCATGGCAAACAACAGACACAGAATCTTACATCTGTCAGAGACAGAATCAAGACCTAAAATCTTTAGCAACATCAGCCAAGATAGAGTCAATGTGTGTAACTATGCCAGTAGGTTAGTATTTAGAATCATTATATAAAACTCAGATAGTATTTTTAGTGATATAAGGTAACCCACTGTAAGCCTCTAGTTATAGCAAATGTGTGATATTTTCCCCAACTATGTAGTGGTGAATAATATATTTTTCTTTGATATATAGGAAACATATGTAGGCTTGATTTTAGGTCTTGATATATTAACCTATAGGTTTTATAAATATTGTTGATAGCTATAAATTAGCTAACGTTCACCAAAAATTAATGGAGTATTATCTGTTTTGATGCATCCTGTCTCACCCTAATGGTGTGTCTTTTTAACTAATAATAGCTGCTGTGCATAACTGTGAATTTAAGCATATCAAATTACTATTATATGAATCTGGAAAGTAATAAATTATGCTTTTGTTTACAGGCTAAGTATCTGTCTTTTAACTTCTTAAAAAATATATCCTATATGCTGCTGATAATGACCTTGACATTAGTGGAGGTGTCAACACAAAAATAATTTATAAGGAGCTAATTGATTGATTAGTTTGAGAAATCAGATGGTTAGTAGGCAGGAGTAAGACCACATAGAAATTCATGAATATAGAGTTTTTTCTCCCATGTCCTTCTTGCCTACATCTGCAGTAGACTCAATGGCCTGAGAATTAAGAAAGTACTGAATTCTTTTGGAAAAGTGTATGTTTCCCATTAGAAGCAATTTCTTTTGTGGCTGCCATTCTTCCTGCTTCTATTTCCTCCTTCAGTTTGCCTTTTTCCTTCGTTAATGAATGGCATAATTTGCTTTTAAGTCACTTTTCTAGATCTAATTCTATTTCTCCTCTAAATGCACTAGAATTTTGTTTTATACAATGGCCCTTGAAAGATATTTTAAAATTGAATTTGCTTTGTTTTTAATAAGGCTTTAGGTAGCAACTTTCTTTGCTTTTTACAAATACTGGTGCTACTGGCATGATGTTTTTTTCATTTCTCTAATAAGTACATATCCCAAGGAGAGTCTAGTGGCAAGGCATTGTATTCCAGAATATTTTCCTAACTCTCTGTCAACTCCCAGCAGAGACAAAAGAAAAAGTTTTATTTCATTTGCACTTATAATGTGAAAAAATTAATTATATCAATTTAAGCACCCTATCAAAACTATGTTCAAGGAGACTTTTTTCTTTCTCTAATTGTTGAAGATTATGAACAGGTTAAATGTACTTGGCTTTGTTTCATGTCTGATAATCTGCTGTGGTTTCGCAGACTGGTCTAGAGAAACAGAAGGCTATCAGACACAGCCCCTTTTGGTCTTTTCTGTCATCACAAGTTACATCAAACCACAGCTTGCAAAGAAATGACTTAGTGACCTTTTATTTAAGGGATATCTTATATTTTTATGTGGAAAAAGTCTTTTAAGGGATTCTTGCTACTCAGTTGCTAAATTTGCCGGAACAAGTCAAGGCAAGATTTAGTGAGTATTCATATGTGCTGTGGATTTAGGGATTTTTTTTTTTGAAAAACGTTTCTTTATTATCTCTTCGTGGTAACAAGCTTTTAAAAACGTTTTCTGAAGGTTTCTAAAATGTCTCCCAAAAAACCACAACCCTATGAGGGCAAACCCCACTGCCTGTCAGGGACTACTACTAACTATGGGCTGGCAATGTCTTAACTTGATACCTGTTTCTGCTTAGATTATTTGGAACTTTTCCAAACCCAACCACCCTCCTTGGTCTTTAATTCAGGGGTGGCAAAACTTCTTTGTAAAGGTCCAGATAGTAAATATTTTAGGTTTCGTAGATTATATATGGTCTCTGTTGCATCATATCTTCTTATTCTTCTCTTTTACAACTCTTTAAAAATATATAAATCATTCTTAGCTCACAAGCCATACAAAAACAGGACATGGGCCTAATGTATCAGTCTCCAGATCACAGTCATTGGATGCAGACATACAACCCCAGGGTGAAGGGGAAACTGGGGCACTTGCTTGATAGAAGCCAGCAACAATTCCCTGGCTAAAGATTAGCAAGTAAAAAATATGAACTCTACCTATTTGATTTCTTCCTCATTTACTTTTGTTTTCTGTGATGGCTAGGTTCTTATATTTTCCCAAAGACAACAAAAGAAAACTTAAGAAGAGAAGGAAGAAGGAAGCAGAGGGAGATAGGATAGAGAGGAAGAATGGGATAGGTAAAAAGAAAGAGCGAGAAAGAAAACAAGTAAAAAGAAAAGAGAATAAAAGGGCAGAAAAAGAAAGGGATAAAGACAGAGGTAGAGAGGGGGAAATGGGGGAGAAAAAGAGAGAAAAACAGAGAGCAAGCCAGAATATGGAAGCTAGGGCACAGTCTCGCCTTCTTTTCCTAAGAGCCAGTCAGCTCTTAGAGGCACCTCCCCAGCTGCTTTCAAACATTGAGGTTGCTGCCCAGCCACTGATCATCATCCCAAGAAGTGAAATGTGGGCTTCACATCTGAAAACTTCCACTTGGTTTTTCACCAAGTGAAATGGAATACGAGATTCAGGGCCCAAGCAAATGGCTCATGTTTTCTTTGGGACACTGGGGCTGTGTCTACCCAGGGAAAATTTTGATATACTGACTGACTGACTCTAGTGCATATGATTAATGTATACATAGGGCAAACCAGGATAATTTAGACCTTTTTTCTTCTACAGGAGGTTTTCAGCAGGAATTATCTGGATGGTTGCCTCAACTCTCCACTAGGCTTTGCCAGAATAAGCACAGCCAGTAGAGTATGCAGGAGACAGGGACCACTCCCTCTCTCCAAGGTTCCCTTTAACTCCCACACCCCGTGTAGCTAAGTATAGTGGGACCTGTACTGACAGGCATTCCTTCTGGGGGCAAATGTAAATTCTGTCTAATAAGTCTCTAAGAAGCCCCAAGAACCCTAAATATTGCATACTGCTTTACTGTCAGATGGCAAAATATAATAGATGGATGAAAGGGGAGAACCATACTTATGGAGGGAAAATGTTACCCTGTTCCTTTCCTCATCCCAAAAAGAAGCTAGCAAAGCCAAAGCCCATGACATCCCAGTCAAATGAATTACTACATGTGCGTACAGTTTCTCTTATAAGTGTGGATACCTGGGTTGTAATTTCTTTTCTTTAAGTTGATAGACTCATGTATAGATATAGCTTTAGTTTCTAAAAGCATAGTTTAAAAGTGCATTTGAGGCTGAGGACAGAGGATTGTTTAAGGCCAGGAGTTTGAGACCAGCCTGAGCAACATAGTGAGACCCCACCTCTATAAAAAATAATAATAAAAAATTAGCCGAGCATGGTGGCTGGCACCTGTAGTCCTAGCTACTGAGGAGGCTGAGGCAGGAGGATTGCTTGAGATCAAGAGGTCGAGGTTGCAGAGAGCTGTGTTTGTGCCACTGCATTCCAGCCTAGGCAACACAGCAAGACTCTATCTCAAAAAAATAAAAAAATAAAATAAAAGTACATTTAGACTAAAAACTAACACATAAAAATTATGTTGTTCCTAGAGGTACACTTTATGTGACAGAGTGTTACTGACAAGGTTTGTACAAGGTTTAATTTTTTTAAATGGAATTACAAGCTGTAATTAATTAGGGAACAATACTACTCAAAGTAACCCCTTGGTAAATTATTTTGTGAAGAATGATTCTATAAAATTAATAATGAATTCATAATTCACCTGGTAAAACTGTATCTTCATTGACTCCTGCACTGATATCATGATTCTGGGTTTGGGTTTTGTTCTGTTTTGGAGGAAAGGTGAAAAGAATAATGAGAAAAATGCATGATAGTTTATTTTACTGTATCTTACAGATCCAACTTCTAATGATGAAGCTTCCCACATAACTTCTTTCTTTTTGGGAGCAGAAAGAAAGGAAGAAAATGAAGAGTCAGAGCTGTTGATACATTGGGAAAATATTTTTCCACTCTATTGAAACTTCCTACCTTTCCTTCCCTTCTGTTTCACCAGTTCTCTAAGTGATAATTACAGAGTGATAACTTCTCAATTACTATTTCTGTGGTGTTTTTTTGTTTCATTTTGTTTTTGCAGATTTCACTGCTTATTTTTTCCCCTGAATGCATAATCTCTAAAATAAAACAATCAAAATTCTTAAAAGTTCCCTCTCTTCTTAGACACTGCCTTATCCCGACAGATACAGTCATTGTAACTACTGCATGAGAAAGATCCTGAAATGTATTAAGTCAAAACCCAAAGAACAGTAACAACAAATTGTTAAATGGGCAATTCTATGTGTATCTCTTAAAAGTTTCTTATTTATCTGTAGGGTATAAAGAAAGTTTGCTCATTTTCACTTGTAAAAGTTTTCTTGCTGCCAAGTAGTGAAAATAAAACCTTAGAAAAGAGAGAGCATCTGTAAAATATGCATCTGTAAAGTAAGTTTCTCTTTTCAAATTGCTTGTACTGAGCTGTTTGGTGGCCCCACAATATGTGCTGAATGTGACTCCTTGAAAGCAGTCTGTAACCTTGGGCAGATTTGTGTTGACAAATGTTGCTATGCTTCTTTCTGTAAGCACTGCTTCTGCTAGAGGGCACTGTACATTAGACAAGGCCTTGTGTTCTGCTTCGTAAAGACAGCTCTCTGGTGTAGCACCTGTGTCTAAGTCTCCATTTGTTAACACATGTGTGTGTTTCCCTTTTTGGCAGATAAGACTTTGGGAAGCATGATTCCAAAGGGATTATTTCATGTGATAAATAAATCCGGAGTTAGTTGAGTGTTTCTCTACCATGTAAAAGCCATAGATAACATATTCACCTCACTTTCAGAATTGCTCCACAAAGTAGGGCAAATACTTTCTTTTCAGTTGGTAGACTCCTTCACTGTTCATTTCACACCATCCCCCACCTCCGACTCTACTCTTCACTCTTCCTTGGAACAAAAGCAGCCAGTTCCAATTAAACTCATGGGCACAAACCACTTCCCTATCTCTGGGTTTGAAGGGCATAATGGAGAACCTAAGTTTGCAAATGACAGAAATAATCGGAGAAACAAGCTATGATTCTAAAAGAGATTTTCCACCATCTCTATATCACAGTTATCTCTCAAGTAGTTAGTATACATAGCCCCCTCCTTGTTTAGTAGTTGAAAACTAGGGGCCATACATACAGTTAGTATTTGTCAATTACAATAAATAATATTAATAAAAATAAAATTAAAGAAGAAAAGCAAACAAAACCCATAAATACAGTAACTCTGCATTTATTAAAAGGATCCATTTCTCTTTTCATCGGCTCCTTGATTAGTTGTTCACTTAGAGTACTAGCTTGGAAGCCTGACTTGAATTAAATGATTACATAAATAAAAATCACTGAAATACACCTAAGCTCTGAAGAAGTCAGAGTTTATGTTAGCCAACAAAACACTGTAAGTAATGGTGAGGGAAAAGAAAATAACGATTATAAGCAGTTTTTTTTTTTTTCAGTTTTAAGGAGGGGAATGTACCATACAAGAAAAGAAAATGTGATGGACTTTAGTGAGAGACTGGATCTTTGCTATACTAGTGTGCAAACCTGATGCTTTAGAGACTGGCAATGTCTTTGTTTTACTCTTTCTCTCTTTCTGTGATTTGTAGCATACATGGAAGATCTCACAAGATATGTTGAACAAAGCAGAAGACTTATTATCGTGCTAACTCCAGACTATATTCTCAGACGGGGATGGAGTATTTTCGAACTGGAAAGCAGACTCCATAACATGCTAGTCAGTGGAGAAATCAAAGTGATTTTGATTGAGTGTACAGAATTAAAAGGGAAAGTGAATTGCCAGGAAGTGGAATCACTAAAGCGTAGCATCAAACTTCTGTCCCTGATCAAGTGGAAGGGATCCAAAAGCAGCAAATTAAATTCTAAGTTTTGGAAGCACTTAGTATATGAAATGCCCATCA
Source organism: Homo sapiens (assembly GCF_000001405.40). NCBI lineage: Eukaryota > Metazoa > Chordata > Mammalia > Primates > Hominidae > Homo > Homo sapiens. The sequence continues at coordinate 105,767,276 of NC_000023.11, forward strand.
AGAAAAAAGAAATGCTACCTCGGTGCCATGTTCTGGACTCCGCAGAACAAGGACTTTTTGGAGAACTCCAGCCTATACCCTCTATTGCCATGACCAGTACTTCAGCCACTCTGGTGTCATCTCAGGCTGATCTCCCTGAATTCCACCCTTCAGATTCAATGCAAATCAGGCACTGTTGCAGAGGTTATAAACATGAGATACCAGCCACGACCTTGCCAGTACCTTCCTTAGGCAACCACCATACTTATTGTAACCTGCCTCTGACGCTACTCAACGGACAGCTACCCCTTAATAACACCCTGAAAGATACCCAGGAATTTCACAGGAACAGTTCTTTGCTGCCTTTATCCTCCAAAGAGCTTAGCTTTACCAGTGATATTTGGTAGTGAAAAATCTGAATTCCTCTGAACAGCTAGATAAGCATAGAGAATTTCTGTTATACCAAGCATAAAGTACACCTAATAACGTTGTGTTAAAAAAGTGTTTGAAGAAAAAGGTACAAAAATGGCTTTTATACTTAAATATTTTTGTTTACATTTCCAGAATAGTGGGGGGAAAGAAGGACCTGCTTTTGTAGTATGGCACCTTGTTCCAATGTACAGTTTTGATTTCTTCCTGAAAACAAAAATTTTAAAATCCTGTTGTCTTAGAGTAGCTTTTATGATAGCACATGGACTGCATGCTTAGTAGGTGAGCTGTCTTGCCCATATTTAAAAAGATTTCAGTATTCACATGGTATTTGAAATAAAGAAAATTTAAAGACTTTAATTGAATTTGAAAATTCTGAACCAAGTTTAAGGGAAAAAATGACTTCTATAGAGTTCTGAAAACTCAGGAATTATCAAGAAAGAAATGTTGATGCACTCCAGTTAGAAGACTGTTTGTAGAGGAAGATCAGTTGAGAAAAAATGAGAACTTCTTCAACATAATGGACACTTTCTGTAGACTAAATCAACAGCTCATAATAACAGCTTTTAGTTTTATTAGAGAATCACATCTTCTGTAGGCAAACTGGTAGATAGGTAAACAATATGCATTTCTTACGCAAATGAATAGACAGGCTGTGAGTTCTTTTAGGATGATTTTGAACAGCCCTTGTGGCTTTCTAATTCCAAAAGTTTTACAACTTTGAAAACACATTTTGAAGTACACATTTCATTGTTTGCTAACAAATTCACATTTGGAATTTTTCCTTGACCTGCTATAAGTATTATATGAAGATATGGACATCGTCCTGCTTTTTTTCAACATCGTTGACATTTGAATTTAAATACATAGACTGCAAGTGTCAGCAATTGGAAAGAAGTACTGCAACAATATTCGCAGATGAAGTGCTAAATGATTTATGTTTACTAGTGGTAGAGCAGCAATTGCACAGTTTCTCACCGGCAATGTAGTTATAAAACAGACTATTCTGTATATATAGTATATGGCCATCTGTGCAAGGCTCCTGCACAAGTATGTCTACTCCTGGTGCTTCGAAGAGTATATATTTGATAGGCTAAACTTCTCCATCATCACATAGTGACTGTGACTGTACCATGCCAGAAAATCCTTGTAAATAATCTAAGTAAGTATTGCCTATTTGCTGTAAGGAATGTGCTCCTATTCTAGTATTTATTATGGATTACTACTTTATGTTCTTTCCAATTAATCAAATTAGATGTGCTCTCCACCTAGATGCCTGTGAGGATCATTTGTTAATCAAGGTCAATTTTGGCATTTTGCAATAGTTCTTAAATCATGTTCTTGGACAAACATAAAACAAGGACAAATGTACACAGTGTGTAAAAATGAATAATTTGCCCACCCCTTGTAATTGTGAATCTCAAATGTATAAGAGAACACCAGATAATATGCTTTATTTCTTTCGATCTTTTTTCATTATTGATTTTCTGTGATCCACGAGTTTTGTTCAAAGTACTTGTTTCTCTGTTGCTTTTCTGTATCCAGCCATTCAGAAAATGCATTCTGCACCAACAGTAGGTGAAAGCTTAGCAGTGCTACATGTTCATTTCACAGCGGGACAATTAGTTGCTCCTTTGAAAAGTCCTGTTCAACACATGTCGGTGTTTTATAGATGTACTTTTTCCACTGAGAAAGATAATTTTGTTCCGTAAAATCTGTAAGTAAGTCTTTCAAAATGAAAATTTATCAATTCTGAACTGTTTCCAAGTGTTATAAAGTTGTATTTACTGTGGTTGTTCTTTAATGCTATGTGTAATTACTAAGTTAAAAATCTGCATGAACTCATATACTCATGTAATATAAGTTTAAGTGACCAATTGTATTTTTTATTATATTATTTTTCACAGAAATCTAGATTAATTCAAATGAATGTTTGGTGGTATTTTTAAACTAATAGTTCTGTATTGAGCATGTAAGTTCTGAAAATATAACGTGAGTCTCTCTGCTTACTCTATTTACAATGATTAAATGTGGGTAGCAATTTGAGTTGGCTGGCCACAATGTGTCCTTTCACTACTAGTAGGTACTCAAAAACAGAGCATTCACACTTGTGCTGGGGAACTTGACAAGAAACCTTTTCTACAAAATTTTCAGGAACGAATGTGTACACTATCTATAAAAATTTGTTTCTAGATGGCAATTCAAAATTTAATTTTCATCTCAGATTTTTAAAAGATATAGCCCATAAGGGTATAATAAGTATTTAGTCTAGAACATGAAGTATTTTCCTAGTTGTATTCACAGAGGGGAAAAACATTTCTTCTCAATTTTTCACTGAAATTTATTTTGGAAATCTAGAAAAACACTGGTAGAACTAGTTATCATATATCGATGATAACAAATTTATTGTTATGTTATTGTATGCAAGAATGTATACTTTTTAAAACAGGTTATTTTTAAGGCGAAACATTCGGAAAATATAAGAAATGATGAGACAAATGAGAAATGTACAAAACCATAGACAAATAGGAAATTAAAATTGCATGAGAACAAACAATGCTCAAGGATATGGGCAATGTGTACATGGGTTTAATTAGGCAAAATATGAAATATGGCGGGATTGATAATCTATGGGCTCCAATATAACTATGGAAACTCTAAAAAGTGGCTGGATGGTACCTGAAAAGAAGATGTCTGTCCTCACTGCCTCTAAGCTTTAATTGAATTAGTTCTAAATCTGGTCCACTTTCAATCACTCATTCAAAAATATGAGTACAGATTTGCAGGTTTCTGGTAAGGCTTGAACCAAAAATAGCATCATGTGAGAGGTTGATATTTTGTCTGAGGATTGATGGTTAACATGGTAGGGCATTGGAGGAAACAGTGCAATCAGAGGGTGAAACAGAGTTCAGTTATGAAAGAGAAGTTTATAGAGGTGTCCAAGAGGACATGGGAATGAGTAGTATCCTGGGGATAACTTCCACAACAGGTTGGAGAATGGTAAGTGTGAGAAGGAAAAAAAATTCTTGCAGGAAAGAGAAGGAGAGTCTTTGACCCATGTAATATTTGAAGGGCTTACGGGAGTATGAAACCACTGCTATAAAGCATTTACTGCCATTTGACATTTTGTTTTTAAATAAATTGGTTGGTTTTTACCAAGTATTTTCTAGAAAATTGAGTAATGGCCAAGGGAAATATCCTGAAAATTACACATATAAATCTTTACACTCCTGATATTCATTTCCCAAGTTGAGGTAGTGTGCTGATAAAACCAGATTCAAGACAGAAAATAGTTCCATAGTGACCAGTTAAGTTTGAACACTTGCAATTGTTGTTGCTCTTTTCTAGGACAGAATTTGATGTTGAAAATGGTCTGGCTTCAATTTCTCTATTACTCATGCATTTTTGTTCTGCTATGTCTGATAGGAGATCACAGTGTTGAGCATTAAGGCTTTCTGATGAATGTATGGAGTAGTTTGATAAACAATAATCATTCACTTCAAACTCTTACATCAAACTTGTCTTGGTTTAGAACTGGATTCAGCCACAGGAAATGTACGCTTATTCAGCAGTCCATTTAATTACTGTGAGATCAGAACTTGTAAAGTCACCTACACTCATCTAACTTGTCTTTCCAAATGCTCACTGCTGTTTGCTCAACATTTTCTCCAAATGGTATTAAAGTAAATCAGCATTTATTGAGTGCCCACTGTGAACTGGCCACTGCATAAAGTATAATAGAAATCCTTTAAAAAATTGAAGTCCCTGTGCTCAAGCAGTTTACACATCATATACATGAAGGAAGTGGGGGGTATTTATAAAACACATTTAAGTGTAGGAAAATTAATAAGTGAGGTGGGGCAATTCAGTGCCGACTGGAGCAAGATAAAAGTTTGGAATAGATCCAACAGTGGTGAAGAATAGGAATTTCTCAAGTGCAGAGAATAGCACATGAGAAGAAAGATTCAACAAAGAATAAGACGGTCTTATTTAGCTGATAGCAAGCACATTTGGTTGGCAAGAGCAGACTCTGTGTGAGGACATAATAAGAAATAAGAGCCAGGTGCAGTGGCTCATGCCTGAAATCCCAACACTTTGGGAGGCCGAGGTGGGCTGATCACTTGAGTCCAGGAGTTTGCGAACAGCCTGGGCAACATGGCAAAACCCTGTCTCCACCAAAAAAAATACAAAAATTAGCCAGGAGTGGTGGTGTGTGCTTGTAGTCTCAGCTACCCAGGAGGCAGAAGTGGGAGAATTACTTGAGCTTGGGAGGCAGAGGTTACAGTGAGCTGAGATCGTGCCACTGCACTCCAGCCTGTGCAACAGAGCAAGACCCTGTTGAGAGAAAGAGAGAGAGAACTAAGGCTGAGAAATGTGGTGAAGCATTCATCTGATAATAGATGCAGGAAAAAGTAGATAAGGGGAGATAATGGAGACAGGGAGACCAGCTAAGATGCTGTTATCATAGTTCAGGTGTGAGGTAAGAAATGATGTAGCTAGGGTGGTGACCTGGATACTCAGAAAAAGGCAGATCTGAGGAGGGAGAGAAATAGGCAGGATGTGGGATTTGATGAACATAGTCTCTGTTACTAAGATGCTGAGCAATTGTTTTCCATAACACCAGAAGATGAAACACAATTTAGGCAGGAAAGTTGTAGGAAAGAGGGCCTTTACGTCTTCTTTCTTTCTTTTCTTTTCTTTCTTTTTTTTTTTTTTTTTGAAACGGAGTCTCACTCTGTGGCATGTGGCACAGGCTGGAGTGCAGTGGCGTGATCTCAGCTCACTGCAGCCTCCACCTCCTGGGTTCAAGTGATTCTCCTGCCTCAGCCTCCTGAGTAGCTGGGATTACAGGCGCGTGCCACAACGCCCGGCTAATTTTTGTATTTTTAGTAGAGACGGGGTTTCACCAAGTTGGTGAGGCTGCTCTCGAACTCTTGACCTCGTGATCCTGTCAGCCTCGGACTCCCAAAGTGCTGGGATTACAGGTCTGCACCACCGGCCCAGCCCCCTTTACTTTCTGAGATAGAAAATGCCAGAATAGTTGAAGAGTTGCTGAAGACCAGTGGTCTCATCTTACTCCTTACTATAGTCCAAGTGTCCGTAATAGTCCTGGTCACAGAGTAGGTGCTCACATCTCATTTGTGGATTAAATGGACAAGTGGATTTGGGAGCACGGTCAAGTTTAAATTCCTACAATCCTTAAAAAATATGAGAGTTTATTTTTTCCATTTGCTTCTTTCAGCAAGCAACTTTTTTATTGTTTGCAACATTTTAAAAAGAAAGAAAATAGTGTATTAGATTATCTATCTACATCCTGTCTAGGTCTAGCATTTTAGGATTCTAAGTCAATTTGTGGTTGGAGATAAAAGTTTCCTAAGCATTCTGCCAGTCACACAAATCATTCTTCTTCAGAGCATTTATACAATTTAGTTCCTTGAGGCCACCCAACATAGTTCATTGCTCCTAACCACATAGTGATTTTTCTTAAATACATACTTTATATGCTGACATTGCCAATAAAAACATTGCCTTTTTTTTTTCAAAAGGTAATTTATGCCTGTAATTATCATATCGGGTCAAAGAATAGGGATTAGATTAACCTACTTTACTGGGCACAGTAGCAATTCCACCAATGAATTCAGGATGCAGAGATATCTGAGTTTCTGTCCTCCTCTGATGTATTTTCTAAGCATCCAAAAGCTTGAGAGTCCTTAACTTTCTTGATAGAGTGGCAAAATACCTAGAAAAGATTAAAATGTCATCTATTTTTATGTGGGGCAAAATAGCCTTTCTGTGCCTCCATTTCCTCATTTGTAAAATGTGTATACCAATAATACACAGGAGTGTGAACACTGTAAGTTAATGTATGTAAAAAGTGCTTAGAACACTGTTGGCACAGAGTAAGAGCTATGTAAGAATTATTGTTACAATTATTATTTTACACAAAAATGTCACTGCTGACCTACTGTCCACAGGAAATACATTTTATTTTACTTTCCAACTGGTAGAGATTGGTTGTTAGGTTTCTTGCATGACTGCCTGTATGACCAAGGACACTCATTTTCCAAGACAGCTGGCTGAGGTTAGAGGTGCATTTTGTGGCCATGGAACAGATCACAACTAACTGCCCCCATTCAAGGAACAAACCTACAGTAACTTTAACCTCATTAGTAATGTGTTCTGAGCTAGACAAAAACCAGGACTCTCAGGACATGGATTATTCAGATTTGTTGTCCATGTTAATCAAAGTCCCCAGATGATTGCTTGATACTCTGCTTCACTTTAGCTAGGTTTACATAAGACCAAAACATCTGGATGAGAAGTGAAAAAATACAGATGTTTAAGCCACATGATGGGAAACATCCAGATGTCTCAAATTTGGATTTGTCATTTTGTTCTTTGTTTTAAAGGAAAGAGAAGCCAAAAGAAAAAAAAACCCACCATAGTTTCTCTTTTTCCTTGACCTGGGTAAAATCAAACTGGTTTCTTGTTATAGAAGTTTAAAATGCCTACAAGTTGATTAGGAAGCTTTTTGATAATATCACTAGATAAGCTGCATTTCAGGAGGAGTTTTTTTTTTAATTTAAAGAAGCGTCTGATCTTTGAGTAGCGCTTGTGAGAGGGGATTGCTTTTAGAGTGAGACAATATCTTGGAAGAGTTGCTCACAATGAATTCTCTGGGAAAGTATGGCTGGGATGATACCAACAGTAAAAGAAAGTTTGCTAAAGAAACTCCTCAGAAATATTGCTTATTTCCTAAGAGGATATGACCTCAATTAAATGTATAAGGAGTTAAATCTGAAATAATACATGTAAATCTCTTTTTATGTTTATGAAATATTTGCTACCTGCAAACCAACAGAGAGAGTTAATAATAGGAATACACAAAATCGGTAGCCTTTTATGGAGCACATTTTGAAGGAAATCAAAATTCATGAGGAAGGCAGTCCCCAAAATGCCTATCACCAGTGTACTAAAATCATATTAACTAGGTTAAATCATGATGTCCCCATGGAGTTGCCACAATCTAGCCTTTATGATTCCACCAAACTACTCTATCAGGAAGGGAAGCACATTTTCTAGATAACACATTAATGTAGATATTAACTCATGCAATTTTAGAAATGAATGGGAACTTCAAGGCCATCTATTTCAATTCCTTCATTTTACTTTAGGAAACCTGAGGCCCAGAGACCAAGTGACTTGATCAAATACCAGATGGTGACATGGAGTACAGAAACCTACAATTATGAAGCAATTCGTGGTTATGTCTTGATAAAGGTAGAAGGAGATAGAAACAGAAAGTAGGAGGGATTCAAAAATTCAAAAACACACTTGGCACATGGGGAATGTTAGGAATATGCTGAGGTTAGGAGCAGAAGTTAGGCAGGCACCAAGAGGAGTCGTAGGCATCCTAATTAAGCTTCATCTCTGAATAATTTTGTTAATATATGCAACATTTTAACACAAATAGCAACTGTTTGTGATTGCCCCATCTTCCACAGTGGTTAAAAATCATTGAGTATAGTGTTCTTTGGGACCTGGATAAGCTCATTTGACAGATAAAAATATAAAGGTTTAGGCTTTTTCCCAAAGCCTCAAATAAAGCGTCAAAAACTAAGCTCAGGTTTGGGGAGTTGGTTTTGATTATCAGCTATTACTCAATTGCACAAGCACATGCCAAGCAAAACTACCTTCAGATCAAAGTGAGTCTTTCCAGGTCTCTGTCACTGTCTTTGGCAAGGGTATGTGGAGAAAATACAAATCAACTGTTCTCAAATGCTTCAAAAGGCATGGATAAAAATAAATGAGGAAAATATTCAGCACACCTGGGTTTCCCCAAGTAGAAAAAAAACAAAGAAGAATTTTCTACTCAGAGTCCTCTGGTCTTCTCAAAAGTGCTCCTAGGTAATAAAGAGAAGCCTAAATTAGGATGTATCTTTTTTTTAATATTAGGACCAAAATTCATGTAATAGGTTGCTGATTACAATTATGACATGATGAGCATTTTCTTAACACAGTGGAAATCTACCTAGAAATAAAAGTGTGTGCATTAAAGAGAAATATAGAATATCGCTATAGAATTCAAAGCTCAGCCATTGCACCATAACCAACCATTTATCATTTCAATTTAAAAACAGTAATGCTGCCAGTGGAAACAGAAAACAAGTTGTCAGCATTTTTTTCTTGAACACGATGGAACCACAAAGCCATAGGCCAGGCAGTAAAATTTGTTTAAAAAGCTCAATGTTTCAAGACAAGCCAGATTATTATGAGAGATATACTGTAAACTATTCATCTAATTTATTTTGCACTGATGCCAATTCACATGAAATTAGCTTTCTCGGTTTGAAAGATTTCTTTTTCTTTCTTTCTTTTCCTGTCCTCTAATGTGCACAAACCCAGTTCTGAGCCACGTAGTGGAGGATGAGGGTCATTGATCTCCCTCTTTACTTTTCAATTTCAGCCACAATCGAAAGATAATTAAAAATGGTAAAGCCAGGGCTTGAATTTATTTCTTCATCCATGAAAGTTCTTTAAACTTTTTCTCTCCTTCTTCACCATTGGTTTCCTTTACTCTCTTAAAACATGGAATGTTAGATTTGGAAGGGCTCTGAAAGATCATCTAGTCCTCTTAAAGGTGGGGAAACTGAGACTCAGAAATATTAAGTCATATTAGTGACAGCCGAAACTAGAATCCAGGATTCCATACTCTTTCCACTATCTTCATCTTCATCATAGACTGGATTTTTTTTTTTTTTTTTTTTTAGACAGGGTCTCCCTCTGTCACCAAGGCTAGATTGCAATGGCAAGATTATGGCTCACATAATTTTGCGTATTCCTATAGTTAACTTTCTGTGTTGGTTTGCAGGTAGCAAATATTTCATAAACATAAAAAGAGATTTACATGTATTATTTCAGATTTAACTCCTTGTACATTTAATTGAGGTCATATCCTCTTAGGAAATAAAAGTTCAGACCTCTGTCACCAAGACTAGCATGCAATGGGAAAAGTATGGCTCGCTCACTGCAGCCTCGACCTCCTGGGCTCAAGCGATCCTCCAGCCTCAGCCACCTGAGTAGATGGGGCTACAGGTGCATGCCTTCATGCCAGGCTAATTTTTTTGCATTAGCCTATACTTTTTTGTAAAGACAAGGTTTCACCATGTTTCCCAGGCTGGTCTCGATCTCCTGAGCTCAAGCAATCTGCCTGCCTTGGCCTCCCAAAGTGTTGGGAATTCAGGTGGGAGCCACCGGGCCTGGCCAGACTCAATTCTTAAAGTGTTCGTCCATCCATCTACCTTTTCAGGTGGAGGGCAGACAATGTCTTGCCAATTCATAAAATGTTAAATCCTTTCAAACATCTTTATGTCACATAGATCTATCTGCAAGGTCCCAAACCCTTAACCAAATACACTACATATGCAAAGGGAGTAGAATCAATTGTGAAATCTCTTCCTGCGTAATCATCATCATTTGCAGGAGAGAAGATATATTAGTCTGTAATATGGGAGCTTAACTCACCCTTAAATTTGGTCTGCTAGCTAAAGCAAGTTGGAGACATTTTTGAATTCTACTATTCTGACTAAGATGAGTGTTTGGATATGAGAGGTGCTTTGAGCACCAACTCTACAGCCAGACTTCCTGAATTCAAATTCTGCACTTATTTTTACTGTCTATTTCACTTTGGGTAAATTACTTAAAGCTCTCAGTGTCTCAGTTTTCTCAGTGGTAAAATAGGGATAAGGAAGATGAGGATAACAGTAGCATCTACTTCATAGGATTATTAAGAAGATTAAGTACATAAAGTGCTCAGAAGAGAGCCTTGTATATATAGTAGATGCTGTGAAAGTGTCAGCTATTATTTGTATTCTCTGCTGTATAGAGGAAAAAAAAGTTGGCTCAACAAATTAATGCCCAACATTGAGCATTACAAAGACAGTTTTAAAGGATGTTAACCACGAAATGTATACAAGGAAGGGTGCTGCTCGTCATGCCTATTCATCATAGCTGGTCAAGCATGTTTTTTCCTTGAAAACATCATCACAGTCTTTATTCCAATTAATATTTTTATATTAAAGAACATTCTCTTTCAAATTAGAATGTGATTCAGACTTTTCACTAATTCAGTAAATAGACCCTCCAACTTCTCAGAATTATTAGTGAGTTGTGACTGTACCTCAGCACTCACCTGTCCCCCAAAATAATAGCAACCCTATATATTTTAAAGAAATAAGTAGTTTTTCAACCTGCCAAGCTCCCTGAATTTTCCACTCAGAAAGAATTTATCAGATCTGAAAGGCCAAAATAATAAAGAGGAAGTTTACCAGGTTAACAAGCCATCATATAGTTCTGGTTTAAAGGCAATTACAAGTTGAAATGAGTCAACAGTGTGATGTAGCTGCCTAGAAAGCAAATGCAGTGTTAGAACAGAGCAATACAAGTACAATGCCCAGTTCAAGGGAGGAGCTTGGCACTAGTCAGACCACATCTGGTAGGCTGTGTTCATTTCTAGGCACCCACATTCTAATAGGAACTTTACCAGTCTAGAGAGATTTCAGAAGAAGATGGTCCAGATGGTGAAATATCTGAAATCATGCCATGGAATAAATGATTGAATGAATTGAAAATATTTTTCCTGAAAAAGAGAAAATTTAGCCAAAATGTGACGTTAAAGTAAAATTAGACATAATCAGTGTGGCCCCAAGGGGTGAACCAGGATAATGAATGAAACTCACCAAGAAGGCAAATTTAGGCTCAGGATCAGAAAGTTCTGTCTAAGGACACAAACTACCCATAAACCAAATATGCTGCCTTGAAAAACCTACACTTTGTCACTGCAAACCGTCAGAGACTGACTGGAAGAATGCAGAAAGGATTTCGAGTTTAAGTGTGAGGCTAAAATAACTGATATGTAAGAATATTTCCAATTCATATATATTATTGTAGCTCCTGACTGCTCAGATCACTGAAATTATCTATCTAGCTGTTTTGTCTTCTAATTCACCCTGACCACTACTGTCAGACCCATCTTTCTACTTGACTTTTATTTCTATCTGTTCCTCTCCTCTCTCCTTTCTCTCCCTCCTCCTCTCCCCTCTCCCTCCTCTCCTTTCTCCCCACTCCCCTCCCCCATACACATTTCATAGCTTAGGCATATATCAAGTTGATTGTGGGCCAGTCACTGTTCTAAGCACTATATGCACACATACACACTTTATATTTGACTGCATTGGGTCCAAATCTCTTTTCTTTTTGTACCTCCTGCTACCTGAATTCCTCCTTTTAGGCAACCTTATTTTGCCCAGTTCTCTAAAACGTATAAGTTCTGGTCCATCTTTTACCTGTCACATTCTTTTACTATTACAGCCCACTGTGTTTATTGTTCCTCTGCATTTGTAAACATAGAATTATCATATGTTCAGTATCTAAGTTTGTCTACTCAGTTTTCCAAATGAGAAAATATTAATGCTCCTAAAAAAGTGACTTTTCCGGCCGGGCGCGGTGGCTCACGCCTGTAATCCCAGCACTTTGGGAGGCCGAGGCGGGTGGATCATGAGGTCAGGAGATCGAGACCATCCTGGCTAACAAGGTGAAACCCCGTCTCTACTAAAAATACAAAAAATTAGCCGGGCGCGGTGGCGGGCGCCTGTAGTCCCAGCTACTCGGGAGGCTGAGGCAGGAGAATGGCGTGAACCCGGGAAGCGGAGCTTGCAGTGAGCCGAGATTGCGCCACTGCAGTCCGCAGTCCGGCCTGGGCAACAGAGCGAGACTCCGTCTCAAAAAAAAAAAAAAAAAAAAGTGACTTTTCCAAGCTAACCCAGCTGATTAATAGCAAAGTGAGAAAGAGAACTTAAATCTTTCTATTCTTGGTCTGGGTACTTTAGCGTGCAATTGCTTTGTTATCTGTTCATTTCATGTCAGGTGGATTCTAAACTTATGAATAATAATGACTTCTCCATTTTAAAAGTTTTCTTTGTGTCTTCAGAGAACTTACCACTTTATTAACCACATGGTTGCTGCTCAGTAAGCTCTTATTCATTGATTGTGTCTACTTGGAAAGTTTTACTGGGAACCCTCTCTACCAGGCACTGTTCTAGTTATTGGGGTACTGAAGTGAATAAAAAAATACAAATACATGCCCTATAGAGATTACATTCTAATGTATGGCAAATAAACTCCTAGAAGAGAAGAGCTTGTCATAAGTAGAGTTTATCTGACTTACCCTTATGTAAAACTTTCTTGCACACCCCCAAATGGACTTGAATTAAACAACACTGAACTTACCACGTGGAACCATTTTGGAAACTGCATTATTTTTCTGTGTCTTAATGTACCCATTAGAAGGGTCGTATGTCATGCTTGTGTGAATAAAAGTATGTCCTGGAAGCTTCCAGTTTTGTCCGGTCTAACAAGAATCTTGTCCAGTCTAACAAGAGTCATGTCCACTCTAACTAGATCCAAACTTAGTTGACCACCACTAAGAAGAGAATGGCCAAATTTGTCTCTCCAAAGCCACATCTGACCAATGAACTCTTTTCTTTGGCTGTATACCTTTAAATGAAAATCCAACCTCCCCACCTCTAGGAGTTAGAGATATTATTTGAAGTCACTAAAGGCCAGAAATCACTAGTTAACATGAAAATTAAAATAATCAGTAGATATTGAGTATATATTATATATTGAGCATTGTGCCAGATATGCACGATTCCAAAGTATAAGTCATGGCCCCTGCTTTTAGTAATGCTAGACAAGAAATAAAATGTAGAAGAGCAGAAAGTCTATAAAGTATAGGTGAATGGTGAATGTAGATATAAGAATACCAACTGGGAAACATAAGCACTTCATATGTAACCTCCTCCCATTAAGCCAAACCAAGCATATGTATTGCGAACAATATTGGGAAAGGAGATTACTTAAGGGCAGAAATGAGAGTTCCCAGTTGACAAAACCTGAAAATATCCCAATTCTGATATTGTGCCTCAAAGGATGAAACCCTGTTTCTGAGAATTTAGTTCTCAGTCAACCTTGAGAAGTTGAAGGAGCTCTTTTTATCCCCACTCTTCACTTCCCCCACAGACCAATGCAGACTATGGAATGTAAGTCCACAAACCACCACATCTCCACTCTTTACCTTGTGAGGAGGCCAAAAATGTTTAGCTATGTCAGTGGGTCCAATAGCCAAACCTCATATTTTTATGCATAAATAATTGAGAGTATGTGTAACACTCTGTCCTCAGGATTTTCAGTGACTGGGAGGGTGTAAATCATCTTAGAGTGCTGAATAAATGCAGATTGATAAAGAAATGTACACAGGTTTACACATATAAATTTACAGATATTAATATGCTGGAACATTTTCTCCGGCAACCTACAAATAACAACTGGACCTCAAATATTTGAAAAAGATTTATAAGTCCAGCAACAGTTCCTTTGCTGTTTCTCGTTTAGGAGCTACAACTGGTGATTTTTATGTGACTTCCAACAGCTCAGCTAGTGGTCTGTAGGTTTCAGCAGCTTGAATAAGGAGATTCAATATCAAGGTATAAGGGTTCAATCCCAAAACCAATTTTTACATTCCAGAAAGTTCTAATCTCACTTCATGAGAATCTCATTCCCTAAACAAAGATCTCACTCCCTAAACAAAGAGACATCCCTCTTAAGAGGAAAATTCTTTTTGAGTCACAGACCCTTACTTTATTATCTGAAGAGTTCCCTTAAAGCATATCTGCTTAGGTTTATATGTCATAATACTTTTGAACACACTTTTGGACTACTTTGAGAACTGCTAAAATTTATAGATCTTATTTTTCAGAAATAAATGCACACATATAAAAATGTACATAATTTTGCTCAGCTCACAATCTGAAGGGGTTTGTGTATCTTCAGAAGCCCATCTATGGGTGCCATTAAAAGTGGTCCCCAAATTAAAAGTATCTCCTTTACAGAATTTGAAAACTGAATGTAGTTAGAGGGATGCTTAGGAAAAAGGAAGGTAGGGGATATAATTTAACACTTTTAAATGAAAAAAATGTGAGCAGTCTAGAATTATGGCTGTGATAGCCCCAGACCAGTAACAAAGCAAAAAAATGATAATGTGAGGAGTTGTCACAAAGTTATGTGCTTTTTACTCTGCAAAAATAAAAGCAGAATATGCTTAAAGATATTCTTGCAGAATGTAGAAACTGTGACCCTTGGCTGCTATCATTTTTTTTCTATTTTTCTTGCCAAATAAATGTTATGAAAGAATATCTCCAGGCATTCACTCTACCCTGAGGGTTAAAAACATGTACATGATGGAAACTGGCAGAGTGCTGAAGTTGGCGGACTCATCTGCCTTGCTAAAGCTTCTAGAGACTTTCAAGGGCTCTAGGGATGAGGGAGTTGTCTTTTTTGGAGAAAATCAGGTTACAAAAAAGTGTCCAAGTCTTCAGAACAATTGAGCCATGGCAGCAGATACAAGTAAAAATAAAAAAAAATTCTTCAGTGTAGATCCCATGATCTCAGAATGCTGTATTTTACATTAAGAGCATCTACAGGAAATACTTTTGCCAGCAAAAATAATCAGGAACCTTTCTCAAATGGAGAGGCTGGGAACAAAACAGCAGAGACATTATATCTTGGGAACAGATAAATGACTGAGGCTTTGAGACAGGATTCCTTGTGGATAAAATTCTCAAAAATAATTCTATGGTAGCTGAAATCACCCTCAGATATCCCCGGGTTTCCGAGGGTCTTTTCATTATTCTCCTAATGCCAAGAAAGTCAATATTATACTGTCTTTTGTATAATTAAGTGCCTCAACAAACTTTTCTCAGTTCGTCTTATAGGCTCTGCACTTTTCTGTGCTCTAGAAACATAGCCAAGAGTAAAATTGATATGGATCTTATTCTTCAAAAACTCAAAGTCTAGTGGGGAAAATAGACATGCAAGCATGTAGTTATAATTATAATTGTTCTAAACACATTAAGAAACAGATGTATAAAATATCAGGTAGAACAGAGGAAGGAAGAAGTAAGTCAGCTTAAGGAGGTGACACTGACTTAGGATATGAAAGAGGAGTGGAAGTTTGCTAAATAGCCAAGAGTAAGAAGGGCATTCCAAGCAAAGTAGACAGAAGATAAAAACGGATCAAGAAATGAAATAACATGCATGTCTGAGGAACTACAAATGGGATATTGTTACTGGAGCATAACATGTAACAAGTTAAATGGAAAAAATTTAATCTTTCACTTAGACCCATTGATTTTCAATGGCCATGATCTGTGATACCCAAGAGAGTTATCATAAGGGAGTAGTTTGACCTAGATGAACTTCAAGGAATCTTTTAACTTGATATTGGGCTGAAAAATGGACAAGACTACTTTTCAAAAATATATGCCTTAAAGAGGTCTTTTTCTATATATTATCTCTCTAAACCCAATTTTTCTCAGAAATGCAAAATGTCAACCTCACGGCTGAAACACAGATTTCCATGAAAACAGCATGAATAGTGATTGCCTACTACCTTTTAAGGAAGCCAGGAGACTTCCTTACTAAACCAATAAGATTTTTTACATTTTTTGAGGTGAAATTTACATAAAATAAAATTAATAATTTTAAAGTGTACAACTCAGTGGCATTTTGTACATTCGCAACATTTTACAACCAACACTTTTATCTAGCTCCAAAATATTTTCAGCACCCAAAAGAAAACCACGCAACCATTAAGAAGTTACTCCTACTTCCCTCCTTCCCCAGGCTTTTGGAAACCACCAATCTGCTGTCTACATGAGTTTACCTATTCTAGATAGTTTATATAAATGGAGTCATATAGTATGTGACATTTATGACTGGCTTATTTCATTTGCATAACAATTTTGAGGGTCACAATGTGGTAGCTTCTGTCAGTATTCCATTTATTTTTATGTCTGGGTAGTATTCCATTGTATGAATATAGCACATTTTGTTTATCCACTCATCAGTTAATGGACATGTGGATTATTTCCACATTTTGGCTATTGTGAATAGTGCTGCTATGCACATTTATATACAGGTTTTGTTTGAATACTTGTTTTCAATTCTTTTAGATACATACCTAGGAGTGGAATTTCTGGGTCATATGTTAATTCTATGATCAACTTTTTGAGGGATTGTCAAACTGTCTTTCACGGTGGCTGCACCATTTTACTTTCTTACTAGAAATGTATGAAGATTCCAAATTCTTCATATCCTTGCCAACACTTGTTATTTTTAGTTTTTAAAAATTTTGATTATCCTAGTGTCTGTGAACAAGGTAGAATTTTCCACAATACAATAGAGAACATCTACTTTAAGACAACTTTTCTGGGCTATCATATCAACTTGGAAAACATTGATTTTTCTCTTCCTAGAGCTTTAAAATCCATGGACAGTTAGCAACTTGGTTAAAACTAGGATGATCAATAAGTCACAAATATAATCCTTTAAAAAAACTATGTATTTATTTATACACACACAGACACACTACACACACACACACACACACAGATATGTATCCTTAACCCAAATGTTCACAAGGAGACTAAGTGGTGAAATTGTGCAGCTCGATGATCTAACCACACTAGTAGAAAAAAAAAAAAACACTAAACTCTCATGATGACAAGTTAGAACATATTTTTCTTCAATGAGAGATGTATTTCTTCATTAACATTAAAGCTTATAGATGTTATTTGCTTTGTTTTTTTTTTTTTTTTTCGTTTTATTTTTTAGACGGAATCTCGCTCTGCTGCCCAGGCTGGAGCGCAGTGGCGCGATCTCGGCTCACTGCAAGATCTGCCTCCCGGGTTCACGCCATTCTCCTGCCTCAGCCCCCAGAGTAGCTGAGACTACAGGCACCCGCCACCACGCCCAGCTAATTTTTTGTATTTTTAGTAGAGACGAGGTTTCACCGTGTTAGCCAGGAGGGTCTCCATCTCCTGACCTCGTGATCCGCCTGTCTCGTTCTCCCAAAGTGCTGGGATTACAGGCGTGAGCCACCGCGCCCAGCCCAAAAGCTCATTTTTATGGAATATCTGAGCTTGCTAAACCCTGGGGCCAGCTCAGGATTTCTTTATCAAGTAGAGCTACAATATTTTTCCAGTGATTTCAATTCTGATCGCATCCCTGAGGGAACTAAGCTTCTTGGGTGGGGTAGAGAGCAGAGCTTTGTATGAAAATTCTAGTATTGAACAGTCTCTGGCAAACCAAAGCAGCTGGGTGAGCAGCATAGAAAAATTCATATGAACCTGGGACTGGAGTATATGAGTAGCCCTGAGTTCCAGAAAACTAGATCAGCAAGCATTTGTCCAAACTAATTATCCCAACAGATGACCCCCTTGGCAAAAAGCAGCATAAAATCCACAGGACAGACCAAAGTCTGGGCAACATTTTGTCCTTAATATATACCTAGTATAGCTGCAAATGATACTAGCAGTCAACTAGCGAAAAAATTTCCAGGTATCTAGGTCTTTCTGTGAGTCCATTTATGCAAATCAAAACTTAAGGAAGAGCTTCTTGAACAGCTAAGAATCACATAATGGAGGACTGAAGAAATTTGTAGTAAGTGGGGAGAGTATTCAGCTGTGAAGTTATTCAAGAAAAGGAAGGTAATCAACTGTTGTCATTATTGAGCCTGCCACAGATATAAGAATAAAGGTCACTCCCTGCATAGAGAAGAATGTGAGGGATGCCTGGAAAGGCCCTACCCCAGACAAAAAAAAATTATCTACCCTCTTAGTCTGCCTTGGTGTCTGAGAATTTCAATTTAAAACTAATTTTTTTCAGGTTCAGGCATTATGTCCAGAGAACTTCAAAGCCAACATATTAATAGAACCAAAGAAGGCCAGAATCAACATGATATTTTTGCTGTAGATAAATGTATTAATAATAACATTTCAAAAATATAATTGCAGTCACCATTTATGGAGCAATTACTTATGTAGAGCTCTATGTTAAATATTTTTGTTGTATTATCTCATTTAGCCTACACTAGGAGGAAGGTAATATAATTATTCCTCTCTTGCCAATTGACAGACTGAGGCTCTAAGGTAGTAAAGAACTTGGGCAAGTTTATACAACTTGCCAGTAACAAAACCAGAACTTATTATATATGTAAATTTCTTACTTAAAAAGAAAAAAATGTATAAAGCTTCAATTTTCTCACCAATGGATAGAAGGAGGAGTGAACATTGCCATCACAAAATAAATGTTTCCCATCACCAAAAACAATTCAGCATTCTTTAGAGAATTGCATATATTTAAGTAAGGAGAGTCTGCTGGAGATGGAGTTTAGTGAGAAAAATTTAGCTAAACCATTAAAAGCATTTTGAAATTAGACTACATATTCCTGAAATACAAGGAGTATGCCACAAGATATTTTGTATTAGTTTTTATTCTTCCATGATGCTGGGGTAGAAAGAAAGCTAGTGTTTTAAAAAATATTTATATGATGTTAACAGTAATATTAGACACAATTGTTAGATAGGACTAGACTTGTCTTTAAGTGACCAAAAAACCCAAAGTTGTACAGGTAGGTGTAGGTGATCCAGGATGGTATTGTACATAATAATCTCAGGAACTCAGGTTACTTTTTACCTGTTGCTCTGCTCTGTGGTTCAAAATGGCTGTTGGGGTTCCAGCCATTATAGCCTTAATATATATATCAAGAGGAAGGAACAGAAGAAGGGCACACCCTTTCTATTGAAGGACACTTTCAGAAAGTCATATGTTCCACTGCCGTATTTATCCCTGTATTACCTATTGCTGTGTAATAAAGTACTCTAAAATTAAGCAGCTTTTATGTGCATCAGGAATCTGAGCATGGCTTAGCTGCATCTTCTGTCTCACAATCTCTCACAAGGCTGCATTCAAGGTGTTGGCTGAGGCCGTGGTCTCATGTGAAGGCTTGGCTGGGGACCAGTCTGCTTCCAAGCTTACTCACGTAACAGTTGGCAGGATTCAGTTCTTTGCTTGGAGTTGCCCCCCAGTTTCTTGCCTCTGCCACCTGATATCCATTGGTCAGAACTTAATTGCCTGGTCATACCCAAATGCAAAAGAGCAAGAAAAATAAAGTCTTTATTCCAGGTGGCCATGGGCCAAGATAAAATTAATCATTTTACTATTAAGAAATAAAGGTAGTACAGAATATTGGGGAACAACTCATGGTTTCTACCAAAGACAT
The DNA here is from genome assembly GCF_000001405.40 of Homo sapiens. Classification (NCBI taxonomy): domain Eukaryota; kingdom Metazoa; phylum Chordata; class Mammalia; order Primates; family Hominidae; genus Homo; species Homo sapiens. The sequence continues at coordinate 105,786,864 of NC_000023.11, forward strand.
TTTATACATTTGTCTCATCAGTTATCATCATTACCCTGTAAGGTAAATAATATTACCCCATTATACAAATTAGGATGTTGAGACTCAGTCTCTGTTAAGTAATATTTTCAGAGTTACAAAACCAATTAGATTGGATGGAGAGAAGAAAGGAGATAAGGGATGGAACAACCCTGCTGGAAGAGTGTCAATCACTCTAATCTAATCTCTATGAGGGTCAAGTGCCTCAAGCTTCCATGCAGATGATTGTGAGATCTTGCATAAATGTCAGCCATTGTATAAGTATTGTGATTTTGGCATATTATTATGTCCTAACCTAGCCAAAAAAGAACTGAGAAACCAAAGAGATTCTACAAGCTGCTAATTGACTGGTAGAATATCAGATGGATTGTAAATTTGAGAGTAGCATACGTGACTTACTTTTTTATTCCCAAATGTACAGTGATAGTATGCATCCCAATTGCCTTGGGGTGGAACGGGGTTTATTCTCTATAAGCTGATCAGGATATTTAAACTGACACATTGACAATTTGCACAGACAAATGCAATGAGAAGGAAATAAATGTCTATCGATGAAATACCTATGACCTTGATTAACTAAACAGCTGCCCTAAAAGACTCAGCAGAGTGGGCATCTGGGAAAAGAGAAAAATGATTTCGGTACATGAGTCTTGTCCTGTAAAATGTTAGAGTCATCTTTGTAACCAAATAGCAAAAACTAGTACTTAAAATTGGTTTTCACAAAGAAAGTGAAATTATAGTTCTCTAATGAGATCAAATTCCCAGATCCTTTTCTAAACTAACTAACCCCTTGCCACCTAGATGCTTCAAACCACTCTGGTCTCTTAAGGTTCCTGGTTCAAACTTTCATTTCCTTTTGCCTCCCAGATCCCATTGTGACACCCTGCATAGTTCTATCTTGATATTTTCTCCATTCTCTGACTTATTTTATCTACCTTTCCTTTGCCTTATCTTCCTCCCATTCTTTTTTTTCCTCTGCATGACCCTCCTATGACAGTAGGGAACACATCACATCTAGTGACAGAAGGAAGGAAAAATGAAAAAAACCTCACTCATGTTACTTTTACCCCCATATCAAGTCCATTCAACCTAAAATGTGTCCATTGTTGTACCCAGTGAGCATGGTCTGGGGCCTAAATGATTCCTCAGTTCTGGTTAAACCTGACAGGATCCTTTTTAGAGAATAAAGGTCTCTGGAAATTCCTTGGGACATTTTAAAGGGGAAAAATTTTAAAGCCCCCTAATCAATCTGCCTATATACTCCTGCATGTTAAGTTTCCCATCTCCACTTAGTTGTTTGCAGAAGCCCTCAAATTTATCTTTGAAAGCTGGATTGACATATAAATTTCTAACGTTTATAAGCATCACAGAAAAATGTTTATAATTGGGCTACAATGTAAGAAGTCTTAGCTTTGCCTATAACTTCTATGACATGTTCTTTACTCTTTGCCCCACATTAGTAATAAGACTATGTTTTTAGTAGAATTTTGACAGCTCCTTAATTCTGGCAGAGCATAGGTGAGGGTTCTAAAAGACAAGAAATCTTGAGTATATACAGGGTACTTGGAAAACAATATAACTAAGACATGAAAACCTCACTTCTGAATTATAATTACAGGTGAGGTAATATCAGCAAATTTATGTGCCTGTCAAGCATTTTAAAACTAAACCTTGAAAGATAATTAATATTTTAAGGCCCACATATGGAAAGCCCCAAGCTTTGTTGTAGCTAAGTCCCACTTTGCTAGGAAATGGCCTATCAACTCTGCCTAAATGCATTAAAATATCAAGAGCTATTCAAAGCCAACAGAAATGTCAGCATGTCGAGAAAAGGTTATCAGAAGTTCCAATGCATTTATTTGGAAGCTTTCCATAGGGGTGCACCGTAGTTCCTATAATCTTAACCAAAGAACTGTCAAAGTCAGCTTCTTCCAACAAGTGTGCAGTTCACAAGTGACTCACAAGGAAGACTTAACAACGCTGCAGATTCCAGTGTAAATTTACTTGCCTTTGTAGTCATCATTATAACCAAAACATAAATTCCAGACAAAGGTAATTAGGAGAACTTGCCATTTTGAAAAGATGGGATTTGATAAGTAGGACAAAGTAGATGTTCTACTTAGACAAAGTTTTCTTTGTGCTTTTAATAGTCACCTATAATGGGACCAGTGTACGCTGTATTAAGTACCTACTATGTTTCAAGCACTGTGCATGGCTTTTCATATATCATCTTATTTAATTCTCTTAATACTCCTGTTAGGCAGATATTATCTTTGTTTTATGGGAGAAGAAACTAAGGCCCACAGACATTAAATCTCTGGTTCAGTGATAATACACAGCTATAAAGTGACAGAATTCAGATTCAAATCCAAGACAGCCTGACTACAGAACCAATGCTCACACTGAGAAATTCTCAGCCAAAAAGAAAGAACCATGAAGTTTTTCTCTAGCCTCTTGAGAAAGAGAGAGACAGAGACAGAGGAAGGAGACTGAAAGACTTACTTTTAGAATAATATTTGTGTGATTCTCAATAGCAAAGATTTGGAACCAACCCAAGTGTCCATCAATGATAGACTGGATTAAGAAAATGTGATACATATATACCATGGAATACTATGCAGCCATAAAAAAGATGAGTTCATGTCCTTTGCAGGGACATGGATGAAGGTGGAAACCATCATTCTCAGCAAACTATCACAAGGACAGAAAACCAAACACTGCATGTTCCCACTCATAGGTGGGAATTGAACAATGAGAACACTTGGTCACAGGGTGGGGAACATCATACACCGGGGCCTGTCATGGGGTGGGGGGCTGGGGGAGGGATAGCATTAGGAGAAATACGTAATGTAAATGACGAGTTAATGGGTGCAGCAAACCAACATGACACATGTATACCTATGTAACAAATCTGCACGTTGTGCACGTGTACTCTAGAGCTTAAAGTATAATAATAAAATAAAATAAAAAAAGAGTGAGCAGTAAAGACTCAAGGAAAAAAAATTTTATGTGATTCTTTATTACAAAATGCTTTTAAATACATTCTCTTTTAATTCCCACAATAACCCATGAGTCAAGTGATATAATTACCAACAATAAACTCAAAGCTAAATAGAAAATCCTTTAGAAGTTAGTTATTTCTAGAATGTCCATGTCCTTTTCTCTTTCCATTATATTACATTCTATTTCTTGTAAAAAGTACCCCTCCCAGTTAGCACTCTGTTTTTCAACTTGCTTCTTCCCCTTTTTGACCACTTACTCTCATTTATCAACCGTCATTAAAAGTGCCACCCAAGAAGCTTTGGAAGGAGACTGCCATGACCTGAAAGGTGAGAAATTGGAAACTACAATGTAAGCCTCATTATTGTAAAGTCTATTGATTAGGGGGAAAATGTTAACCTTTGAACAGAGGTAGTTAAGCTCTCCTATAGCTTTTCACTTCAGTGAATTAAGAGACTAGCAGACAGATCAAATTTCTTTTGTTTGAGACGAAAAGAAAAAATTAAGAATCACTATTAGTCCATGAATGCTTTTTAAAATGTCCAAAAGGTAGCTTTCTAAAACAGAGTAAAATAAGTTTTCTCAGTTTCTATCTGAGTGCCTTAACCTATCCATAAACAAATTCCAACCTCATCTTCCTATACAAAATTAGAAACCATTTGGGGAGATTTAAATGGCCTTCAGGTGAGAATCCAACTGAGTTTTTTGAGAAGAGGGAGAAAAAATCTAGCAGTAAAGACCCCCAACATGGTTTTCAAAATGAGAATAGAGGAAAAAAATGTCAAGTAAGAACAGCAACATCAATAATGTAGAAGCCATTGAGATGGGCAATTTTTAATGCAATATTTTTCCAGACAAACAGAATTAGCCTATTTGGGTGTGATTTGAATTAGAATGAATTGACAAAATTATTAGAATTATCCAACCTGGGTTTCCAGTTTGCTCCCCAAACCCCAGAAATATTCAATATATTTTACTCCTCCAGTTTTTACTGTTAAAAATTTCCTTATCCTATGCTCCATTCCTTTAAGTGGCCTGTTTTCTATGAGATATAATCTGATAAATTCAGTTAAGCTAGAGAATTAAAGTCTCAGGATGGTTTATTAACCCCCAGGTATATTTTAGCAAAAGATTTCAAAAAAGACTTAATCCAAAGGATTTAAAGATAATCTGTTGGTGGGAATTTCAGAAACTGGCCCAGGCCGACTAGAGAAAAATTGGGGTCAGGGAGGGATTCCACACCTTTCAGTTCACATTATAGAGGCCTATACATGTGATGTTCCTGCTATGAATGTATACATTGCTGAGAAATAGGGCCATTTTAAAGTTGACAAACTATAAAACAAAATAAATACAATAATACAATAGTATTTTAAGGACTGCACTAGGTGAGAACTTACAGGTTCAATATTATTCAGGGTTTGAGAGAGAAGAGAGATGTGAGAGAGACAGAGAGAAAGAGAGAGAGAGAGATTTTTCCCAATAACACAGATTTTTCACCTCCTGTCCCTGACAACTCATTTTTTGGCACCTGCAGAGAAAGAGCAGAAGGAGTATCTAGAAGTAAGGAACTATGAGTGGGCAGATTAAAGATCAGAGACCAGTCTGAATGCCATCAAACATATAAGCACTGCTCCTTCAACTTGACTCTTCTCAACCTATACTCACCCAAACCCTTTCAAGTACTGATCTCCCTATCACTGGGCATAGGTAACTGAAAGAAAAATATGGCATGAGTTTCTAGATAAAAATACAAAACAATAATGATAATATTTATTCCAAAGAAGTCCAAGATACTAAATCAAGAATGAATGAATCAGGCTTTGAAAATTAAGGGAAACTTCTTTGCCCAAGAGGACCAGGGTATTAACCAGAATGTAGAAAACACATAGCACCCATTTACATAAATGTGCTTATCCTTAAATGGATGTTCTCATTGACAAACCTAAGTCTCTTATTTCACTTCCCAAGGCCAGCTAGCTAGCCATGTGTAGGTATCCATATACAATGGGGGTTATCACGACCCATAATTTCCTCATAAAATTGCTGTCACCACACTGCTAACAGCCAAGTGACCAAATAGTTCATATAGAAAGTGATATTGGTGGCAAAATGCAAACAGCCAAATAAAAATGAAAAAAGTTAAAAGCTCTCAATTTAAGATGTAAATAAAAACTAATAGGGTGACTTTTTTTTTTCTATCAGAATGTCTTCAGAAAACGTTTAGACACCATTGTGATATATTCAATTTATATGTTTTAGAGAAAAACAAAAGACATATGATTAGGGAGCAGTTTCACTGCAACTTGGTTTATCCTGATCCCATATAGTACATATATTATATAATAATAGACTTGGCTCTTCAATGTCAGTGAAAGTTCATAACATGGACACCAGAAGACAAACAGCTATATGTCAAAGTGAAATTGCATTAAATGAACCTGAAAGTTCTTTTTATCCTTTAGAAATCAATAAAATGTAGTATTTGTCTTAATGAGCTTGAGGGATTTCTTGTTATGGCAAAATCGTTTGCTTTGAAGACACTTTAAAAATATTTAGGCTAGATGTGGTGGCTCATGCCTGTAATCCCAGCACTTTGGGAGGCTGAGGCAAGCGGATCACTTGAGGTCAGGAGTTCAAGACCAGCCTGGCCAACATGGTGGAAGCCTGCCTCTACTAAAAATACAAAAATTAGCCAGGCGTGGTGGTGGGCACCTGTAATCCCAGCTACTCGGGAGGCTGAAGCAGGAGGATTGCTTGAACCTGGGAGGCGGGAGGTTGCAGTGAGCTGCTATCATGCCACTGCACTCCAGCCTGGGCAATAGAGTGAGACTCCATCTCAAAAAAATTATATAATATTACCTAATTTTTAAATTTGAATTTATAAATTTAAAATATTTAAATACTATTTGAAGAATTTTAGCCCAAAACAGAAAAGTTCAATAGTTGAGGTCCTCATTTGCATAGTTTAAATTGAATTCCAAGCTGAGGGCATAGATCCAAGGAAGCCAAACCCTAGTACAATAAGCCTTAAAAAAATTGTTTGTTAGACAACCTTGTGCAAAAAATATATATATTGTTGAAATTTGTCCCAAAGGGAAATGCACTGTGTGAGTGTATGTTTGTAAAGGTAATCAGAAAACCTCCAATGAACAGCGTTACTTGAGAAATAATGTCATGATGTTGTGGGACAGGCTTTGAGCATGGAGGCTAATCTGGTGAGGAAAAGGTATATATACATTCTTAACCAATTACTTAAGCAAGTAGAATCCACAAAACAAGAAAAGTAGACTTGAGTACAATTTTGGATTCTGCCACACCACTGAGCAATATTTATTCACTTGCAAATGGTGCTAATAAATCAAAAGTTATTATCAAGTTGTATGCAGATTTAAATATCATGAGACATGTGCTAGTAATTGTCTGGGGAAGAATATTGTTCTCCTTTTTCCTAAAAGGGAAGATTTAGCAATTGAACCAGCCAGTATTATTCATGAATAGTATTTAAAAATCATATTTACACGCATTCAGTAATGATATAAACTGAGAGACATTGGGCTTGGAAAAGCTGTTCTTTATCATTATGAACAGTGAGTGGAATACGCAGTCTAATTTGTGGTGTCTTTACAGGGATATCATGAAGATACCATCTGTCTCCTTCCCACTTGCCCATTACCCCCACAAAATCTCCCTCATCCAGCTTGCTGATACTTAAATTTCCCAGTTATTACTTTATCTTTTTTGTCTTATGGCACTATAGTAATTGGTTAAGAATACAGGCTTGGGAGTCAGTGAAACTTGTGTTCCACTCATATTTGTACCACTAATCAACTAGGTGGCCTTGGGGAAAATTACTGACTGTCTCTGGGCCAATTTTTCTAAAAATTTATAAAATGAGAGTGATATTATATCTTAGTACATTTTGTATTGCTATAACAGAGTATCTGAGACTGGGTAATTTATAAAGAAAATAGGTTTGTTTAGCTCACAGCACTGGAGGCTGGGAAGTTCAAGAAGCATAGCAGAGAAGCAGAAGGGAAAGGAGACGTGCAAAGAGACCAAACCTCACTTTACAACAACTTGCTCTCTCAGAAACTAATCCAGACTCCAGAGAAAGACATTAATCCATTCTAATGAGCTAATTACCTCTTAAAGGCACCACTTCCCACCACCACCACATTGGGGAGCAATCCTCCACATGAATTTTGGTAGGGACAAACCATATTCTAATTGTAGCATACTAATAATAATACCACCTTACTGGATTATCAAAATTAAATGAGATAATGTAGGTAGCACAGTGCCAGGAATAGACTAAGTTCACTATATCATTGGCCTTTGAACAATGCAGGGGTATTATATACAGTATTCTTACAATACAGTAAGCTAGAGCAAAGAAAATGTTATTAAGGAAATCACAGTGAAGAGAAAATATATTAACTAGTCATTAGGTGGAAGTAGATCATCATAGAGGTCTTCCTCCTCCTCATCATCACATTGAGTAGGCTGAGGGGGAGGAGGAAGAGGAGGGATTGGTCTTGCTGTCTCAGGGGTTGCAGAGATGGAAGAGGTGGAAGAGGTGGAAGAGGAGGCAGGAGAGGCAGACTCAGTAGGTATAATTTTTACTGAAACAAATCCGCATGTAAATAAACTCATGCAGTTCAAACTAGTGTTTAAGGGTCAATTTTATATGTTAGCTATTAGTATTATTAAAATTTAATCACACCCATGGATAGCAAACATATCATATTTAGCTTTATCAGTCATTTTCTGATGAGTTTAGCAGTTCCTTTCCTCAGGGTAGTTCTTGAGGAGGTAAAAATGCATAGAAGACCCTACGATATTGAGGAGATTATATTTGATGAGGGGAGCACCTCCAGTCTAGGTGAAGGGAGGAATGCATGAAGAACAACAAAGAACCTAAGATATCTCCTTAACCACACATGTCTGCCATGCTAAGGCCCAGCCCTTCCCTCTTTTCTCAGATATTTGTTAGCTGCTTAGGCAAATCAGGTTTATGAGAATCAGTTAACTGGATGGAACTGCAAAACTTCTGTCCTCATGATGAAAGTGTTCAAATATACATCTAAAAAAAGAAGGAATGTATTGAAAGCTACATTTAAAAAAGGAAATCAGAGGTGAGCATTTTACATCTCACAGTAGGTTAAAATATCTCTCCTGATGAGACGCTCAGGTGACCTCTGGCTTCCATGACATTTTCTTTGGCAAAAGGGAAATGCAAGCAGTATTCCATGTCTTATTCCATTTGCCTTGCATTTGAGGGGTGACCTTATTTTACTGCCTCTCTTTGGTCCCAGAGAAGCTGGATGTGGACTGAAGTAATATTATCATCCAGATGAATAACTAGTATTTCCTTCAAGCTGACTTCAGGGCAGAACCACTTTGTAAACATCTGACTGGTCCAGTCATAATTCTTAAACTTGAAAATCAGATCAACCCCTCAAAATCATCACGTGCTGAATGTGGATATCCATAATTGACAAGCCATGTGACTTGAGCAAGTTGCTTAAGCTCCCTAGGCTTTAATTTCTTCATATATAAAGTGGGTTAGTAACTAATTGAAGATTAAGTGACACAATGGTCCCAAAGCTGTTAGTATAGTATTTCCTCACTAATGGTAGCAATTAGTATTCTTGACGAGTAGCATCATGGTATAATGATAAGAACATGGATTTCAGAGGCAAAAACTTCAATTTTTAATCCCAGTCTCTTATGTTACCTTGAGCAACTTATTTAACCTTCTTGAATCACAGTCTATCCATCCACAAAACAAAAATAATAACATAGAATAAAATGACATGAAATGATATGTGTAAAGGGTCTGGTTCAGAGAAAACGTTCAATAAATGCCAGTTCCCTTCCCTTCTGCATTTAACCAGCTGCTCTTTAATGTCTAAGGAGGATTATTCCTTTAATCAAAAAATTGTCATTTAGAGAAGTTTCTCTCCACCCAAATAAAACATTTGTGTTTAGAATCTGGCAAACTGAAGTACAATTAGCAGACAGTATTCTCAGATAAATGTCCCCTTTTCATTGTGACTTTATATGGCTACCTTATATAGGGGCAGTCCCCTTTATTATTATTCTCTTTCTCAAAGCCTTTTTATAATTTTTCTGGCACTTGTCAAAAGAAATACTTATTTTTTTTGTTTATTTGGCGAATAATTGGTGCTCCATATATCATATATATTCCTTGAATAAATGAATCCTACTTCTTTCCCAGCAAATAAAATGTCATCTGTGACCTTTTTCTATTTGTCTTTGTACATCTGTGCCTAGACATATTGCAGAGAGTGGCCTTATTTTGCATGCTGAAATAATAACTTTCCCTGATTCCCCAATTACTTGTATTTACCTTTGGAAACATTTTCCAGGGTGACGGACACTTTGGACCCACCATGACTAGAAAGACATAGGCTTTGAACTTATTTTAAGGTAGTACTGAGAAGTTTGTATTGAACTATTTACATACACTCTTTTTGCCCATCTTATGATAACAGGCATATTTACACCACAGAGTTGATGATGGTTAGTACTGAAGCCTACAATTCTGGAACACAACAAAGCTAAAAGAACCACATGGAAACTACACCCATAATTTTGATCTTATTAACCACCACCCCCTCCACCACACACACATTTATTCAGATGCTAGATTATATAGAGCATATATATATAGTATATGCTATATACTCTAAAAAGCCAAACCCACGGGTACTAAGAGATAGCTTTGCCATTTTCCTCGCCAAAGGGAAATTCTGGCTCAATTCCTGATCTTAAAGTATAGACTAGCTTGAAGGACGGCTCATCCCATCAGCAACCAGCAGGTGTGGAAGATGAGACAGTCCCATTCTTAAGTAGTTATCTGGCTTCCCAGAGATTCTTCTGACAAAGAAAAAAATCTGGAAAACATCCACTGTTTTTCTCTCATCCAAACCTTTAGAAAACCCATGATTTTATAGTATTTTGGTGATCTGTAAATACTTTTGAAAAGACTAATTACCGGGGGAAGAGCCAAGATGGCCGAATAGGAACAGCTCCGGTCTACGGCTCCCAGCGTGAGCGACGCAGAAGACGGGTGATTTCTGCATTTCCATCTGAGGTACCGGGTTCGTCTCACTAGGGAGTGCCAGACAGTGGGCGCAGGTCAGTGGGTGCGCGCACCGTGCGTGAGCCAAAGCAGGGCGAGGCATTGCCTCACTTGTGAAGCACAAGGGGTCAGGGAGTTCCCTTTCCGAGTCAAAGAAAGGGGTGACGAGCGGCACCTGGAAAATCGGATCACTCCCACCCGAATACTGCGCTTTTCCGACGGGCTTAAAAAACGGTGCACCACGAGATTATATCCTGCACCTGGCTCAGAGGGTCCTACACCCACGGAGTCTCGCTGATTGCTAGCACAGCAGTCTGAGATCAAACTGCAAGGCGGCAGCCAGGCTTGGGGAGGGGCGCCCGCCATTGCCCAGGCTTGATTAGGTAAACAAAGCAGCCTGGAAGCTCGAACTGGGTGGAGCCCACCACAGCTCAAGGAGGCCTGCCTGCCTCTGTAGGCTCCACCTCTGGGGGCAGGGCACAGACAAACAAAAAGACAGCAGTAACCTCTGCAGACTTAAATGTCCCTGTCTGACAGCTTTGAAGAGAGCAGTGGTTCTCCCAGCACGCAGCTGGAGATCTGAGAACGGGCAGACTGCCTCTTCAAGTGGGTCCCTGACCCCTGACCCCTGAGCAGCCTAACTGGGAGGCACCCCCCAGCAGGGGCACACTGACACCTCACACTGCAGGGTATTCCAACAGACCTGCAGCTGAGGGTCCTGTCTGTTAGAAGGAAAACTAACAAACAGAAAGGACATCCACACCGAAAACCCATCTGTACATCACCATCATCAAAGACCAAAAGTAGATAAAACCACAAAGATGGGGAAAAAACAGAACAGAAAAACTGGAAACTCTAAAAAGCAGAGCACCTCTCCTCCTCCAAAGGAACGCAGTTCCTCACCAGCAACAGAACAAAACTGGATGGAGAATGACTTTGACGAGCTGAGAGAAGAAGGCTTCAGACGATCAAATTACTCTGAGCTACGGGAGGACATTCAAACCAAAGGCAAAGAAGTTGAAAACTTTAAAAAAAATTTAGAAGAATGTATAACTAGAATAACCAATACAGAGAAGTGCTTAAAGGAGCTGATGGAGCTGAAAACCAAGGCTCGAGAACTACGTGAAGAATGCAGAAGCCTCAGGAGCCAATGCGATCAACTGGAAGAAAGGGTATCAGCAATGGAAGATGAAATGAAAGAAATGAAGTGAGAAGGGAAGTTTAGAGAAAAAAGAATAAAAAGAAATGAGCAAAGCCTCCAAGAAATATGGGACTATGTGAAAAGACCAAATCTACGTCTGATTGGTGTACCTGAAAGTGACGGGGAGAATGGAACCAAGTTGGAAAACACTCTGCAGGATATTATCCAGGAGAACTTCCCCAATCTAGCAAGGCAGGCCAACATTCAGATTCAGGAAATACAGAGAACGCCACAAAGATACTCCTCGAGGAGAGCAACTCCAAGACACATAATTGTCAGATTCACCAAAGTTGAAATGAAGGAAAAAATGTTAAGGGCAGCCAGAGAGAAAGGTCGGGTTACCCTCAAAGGAAAGCCCATCAGACTAACAGCGGATCTCTCGGCAGAAACCCTACAAGCCAGAAGAGAGAGGGGGCCAATATTCAACATTCTTAAAGAAAAGAATTTTCAACCCAGAATTTCATATCCAGCCAAACTAAGCTTCATAAGCGAAGGAGAAATAAAATCCTTTACAGACAAGTAAATGCTGAGAGATTTTATCACCACCAGGCCTGCCCTAAAAGAGCTCCTGAAGGAAGCGCTAAACATGGAAAGAAATGACCGGTACCAGCCACTGCAAAATCATGCCAAAATGTAAAGACCATCCAGACTAGGAAGAAACTGCCTCAACTAACGAGCGAAATAACCAGCTAACATCATAATGACAGGATCAAATTCACACACAACAATATTAACTTTAAATGTAAATGGGCTAAATGCTCCAATTAAAAGACACAGACTGGCAAGTTGGATAAAGAGTCAAGACCCATCAGTGTGCTGTATTCAGGAAACCCATCTCACGTGCAGAGACACACATAGGCTCAAAATAAAAGGATGGAGGAAGTACTACCAAGCAAATGGAAAACAAAAAAAGGCAGGGGTTGCAATCCTAGTCTCTGATAAAACAGACTTTAAACCAACAAAGATCAAAAGAGACAAAGAAGGCCATTACATGATGGTAAAGGGATCAATTCAACAAGAAGAGCTAACTATCCTAAATATATATGCACCCAATACAGGAGCACCAAGATTCATAAAGCAAGTCCTGAGTGACCTACAAAGAGACTTAGACTCCCACACATTAATAATGGGAGACTTTAACACCCCACTGTCAACATTAGACAGATCAACGAGACAGAAAGTCAACAAGGATACCCAGGAATTGAACTCAGCTCTGCACCAAGCAGACCTAATAGACATCTACAGAACTCTCCACCCCAAATCAACAGAATATACATTTTTTTCAGCACCACACCACACCTATTCCAAAATTGACCACATACTTGGAAGTAAAGCTCTCCTCAGCAAATGTAAAAGAAGAGAAATTATAACAAACTATCTCTCAGACCACAGTGCAATCAAACTAGAACTCAGGATTAAGAATCTCACTCAAAACCGCTCAACTACGTGGAAACTGAACAACCTGCTCCTGAATGACTACTGGGTACATAACAAAATGAAGGCAGAAATAAAGATGTTCTTTGAAACCAACGAGAACAAAGACACAACATACCAGAATCTCTGGGACACATTCAAAGCAGTGTGTAGAGGGAAATTTATAGCACTAAATGCCCACAAGAGAAAGCAGGAAAGATCCAAAATTGACACCCTAACATCACAATTAAAAGAACTAGAGGAGCAAGAGCAAACACATTCAAAAGCTAGCAGAAGGGAAGAAATAACAAAATCAGAGCAGAACTGAAGGAAATAGAGACACAAAAAACCCCTTCAAAAAATTAATGAATCCAGGAGCTGGTTTTTTGAAAGGATCAACAAAATTGATAGACCGCTAGCAAGACTAATAAAGAAAAAGAGAGAGAAGAATCAAATACACACAATAAAAAATGATAAAGGGGATATCACCACCGATCCCACAGAAATACAAACTACCATCAGAGAATACTACAAACACCTCTACACAAATAAACTAGAAAATCTAGAAGAAATGGATCAATTCCTTGACACATACACTCTCCCAAGACTAAACCAGGAAGAAGTTGAATCTCTGAATAGACCAATAACAGGATCTGAAATTGTGGCAATAATCAATAGCTTACCAACAGAAAAGAGTCCAGGACCAGATGAATTCACAGCCAAATTCTACCAGAGGTACAAGGAGGAGCTGGTACCATTCCTTCTGAAACTACTCCAATCAATAGAAAAAGAGGGAATCCTCCCTAACTCATTTTATGAGGCCAGCATCATTCTGATACCAAAGCCAGGCAGAGACACAACCAAAAAAGAGAATTTTAGACCAATGTCCTTGATGAACATTGATGCAAAATCCTCAATAAAATACTGGTAAAACGAATCCAGCAGCACATCAAAAAGCTTATCCACCATGATCAAGTGGGCTTCATCCTTGGGATGCAAGGCTGATTCAATACACGCAAATCAATAAATGTAATCCAGCATATAAACAGAGCCAAAGACAAAAACCACATGATTATCTCAATAGATGCAGAAAAAAGCCTTTGAGAAAATTCAACAACCCTTCATGCTAAAAACTCTCAATAAATTAGGTATTGATGGGACGTATTTCAAAATAATAAGAGCTATCTATGACAAACCCACAGCCAATATCATACTGAATGGGCAAAAACTGGAAGCATTCCCTTTGAAAACTGGCACAAGACAGGGATGCCCTCTCTCACCACTCCTATTCAACATAGTGTTGGAAGTTCTGGCCAGGGCAATTAGGCAGGAGAAGGAAATAAAGGGTATTCAATTAGGAAAAGAGGAAGTCAAATTGTCCCTGTTTGCAGACGACATGATTGTATATCTAGAAAACCCCATTGTCTCAGCCCAAAATCTCCTTAAGCTGATAAGCAACTTCAGCAAAGTCTCAGGATACAAAATCAATGTACAAAAATGACAAGCATTCTTCTACACCAACAACAGACAAACAGAGAGCCAAATCATGAGTGAACTCTCATTCACAATTGCTTCAAAGAGAATAAAATACCTAGGAATCCAACTTACAAGGGATGTGAAGGACCTCTTCAAGGAGAACTACAAACCACTGCTCAAGGAAATAAAAGAGGATACAAACAAATGGAAGAACATTCCATGCTCATGGGTAGGAAGAATCAATATCGTGAAAATGGCCATACTGCCCAAGGTAATTTACAGATTCAATGCCATCCCCATCAAGCTACCAGTGACTTTCTTCACATAATTGGAAAAAACTACTTTAAAGTTCAAATGGAACCAAAAAAGAGCCTGCATCGCCAAGTCAATCCTAAGCCAAAAGAACAAAGCTGGAGGCATCACACTACCTGACTTCAAACTATACTACAAGACTACAGTAACCAAAACAGCATAGTACTGGTACCAAAACAGAGATATAGATCAATGGAACAGAACACAGCCCTCAGAAATAACGCCGTATATCTACAACTATCTGATCTTTGACAAACCTGAGAAAAACAAGCAATGGGGAAAGGATTCCCTATTTAATAAATGGTGCTGGGAAAACTGGCTAGCCATATGTAGAAAGCTGAAACTGGATCCCTTCCTTACACCTTATACAAAATGGATTAAAGACTTAAACGTTAGACCTAAAACCATAAAAACCCTAGAAGAAAACCTAGGCATTACCATTCAGGACATAGGCATGGGCAAGGACTTCATGTCCAAAACACCAAAAGCAATGGCAACAAAAGCCAAAATTGACAAATGGGATCTAATTCAACTAAAGAGCTTCTGCACAGCAAAAGAAACTACCATCAGAGTGAACAGGCAACCTACAAAATGGGAGAAAATTTTCGCAACCTATTTATCTGACAAAGGGCTAATATCCAGAATCTACAATGAACTCAAACAAATTTACAAGAAAGAAACAAACAATCCCATCAAAAAGTGGGCGAAGGACATGAACAGACACTTCTCAAAAGAAGACATTTATGCAGCCAAAAAACTTATGAAAAAATGCTCATCATCACTGGCCATCAGAGAAATGCAAATCAAAACCACAATGAGATACCATCTCACACCAGTTAGAATGGCAATCATTAAAAAGTCAGGAAACAACAGGTGCTGGAGAGGATGTGGAGAAATAGGAACACTTTTACACTGTTGGTGGGACTGTAAACTAGTTCAACCATTGTGGAAGTCAGTGTGGTGATTCCTCAGGGATCTAGAACTGGAAATACCATTTGACCCAGCCATCCCATTACTGCGTATATACCCAAAGGACTATAAAGCATGCTGCTATAAAGACACATGCACACGTATGTTTATTGTGGCATTATTCACAATAGCAAAGACTTGGAACCAACCCAAATGTCCAACAATGATAGACTGGATTAAGAAAATGTGGCACATAAACACCATGGAATACTATGCAGCCATAAAAAATGATGAGTTCATGTCCTTTGTAGGGACATGGATGAAATTGGAAATCATCATTCTCAGTAAACTATCACAAGAACAAAAAACCAAACACCGCATATTCTCACTCATAGGTGGGAATTGAACAATGAGAACACATGGACACAGGAAGGGGAACATCACACTCTGGGGACTGTTGTGGGGTGTGGGGAGGGGGGAGGGATAGCACTGGGAGATATACCTATTGCTAGATGATGAGTTAGTGGGTGCAGCGCACCAGCATGGCACATGTATACATATGTAACTAACCTGCACAATGTGCACATGTACCCTAAAACTTAAAGTATAATAACAAAAAATAATAATAAAATAAAATAAAATAAAAAAGAAAAGACTAATTACCTTATATTGTAACTCACCAAAATCATCAGGGTCCATGATTTCTGATGGTTGTGCACATTTACATTTACTCCCTTAAGCAAGGAGTCCTAATGATTCAGTCATTCAACAGATAAGCACCTACTATATGTCAGGCACTGTGGTAAGCACTGGTGAGCACCACTTTTGCTCTCATGGATCCCCCTGTCACTAATGTTTAAAGGGATCAGGAAAGAAAAAAAGGACATGCCTTGGAATGTACTGCAATATCTAAGAGCTTTTTAGTAACGTTGTCCATTGTTGAAATCATTGAAAATAGTATAATCCTTCAATCACTCTTAATATTTAAAAAGTTGCATATTTGTTATTTTTATGAGAGTTATTAATTATTGTGTAGAAGAGGCCCCTAAGCTGTTGGAGGATGAATATGTTATAGAACAAATGTTGGCAAAGTAGACAAATCTTTGGCATTGTATGTGAAGCAAAGGAGAGCCAGGTTAAAAAAAAAATAAAAGAATCTAATAAATACAGGCTTGTTCAGTGAATGCTAAAATATTTGAATGGATCTTTAGAAAAGGATTACTTTCACCAGATAAAATCAATACATATATGGTACTGAATAGACAAATAGATCCAAAAAAGGCTCATACGTGTACCTGAATAACTGACCCATATTGAGTTATTAAAGGGAAAGTAGAGTGGTTGGTTAAGTCCTTCAATTATGTGACTGATAGGCTCTGTACCCTTTGAGATGGCACAGATTAGAGATTGGCAAACTAAGGCCCCACAATGCCAAATCTGGCCCATCACCTATTTTTGTATGACCCACAGCTAAGAATGATTTTTAAATTTTATAAAGATTGAAAAAATCAAAATAAAAATAATATTTCATGACACATGAAAATCCAAATTTCAGTGCAAATAAAGTTTCATTGGAATACAGCCGTGTTCATTTGTTTACATATTGTCTCTGGTTGCTTTTATGCTACAATGGCAGAGTGAGGTAGTTACAACAGAGACTGTGTGACTTACAAAGCCAAAAATATGTGCTACCTGGTCATTTACAGAAAATGTTTGCTGACCTCTGTCATAGACTGTAGTAGCTTTGAAGTTTCACAGAATTTGGTTCAAGTCCTCACTCTGCCTCGAGCAAATTACTTAATTTCTGTGAGCCTCAATTTTCCCAGAAAAGTGGAGATGTTAATAGTACCCTCATGAGATAATAAATGTAAAACATTAGCGCAGTGCCTGTCATGCTTTAAGCATTCAGTAAACCTATTACAAATAATCTCTAGGTTTGAGACATATGCTGGGAAATATGGACCATGAAAGAGTCCTAGGTGGCAGTTCTGATGGTTTTATTTCGATACATCTGACCAGAAGCTCTGCACTGAAATCAAGAAAACATCACTATTTGCTGTTCTTTCTTTTAGCCCAAATTTAGCATTAGGACCATGTTTTCAGTAGGCTGCTAATCTTCACAATGATCTCCATAAAAGCATACTACTACAATGGTAATTTAATTTGTAAGGGATGATGATTATCATGTTAGTCTGGCTGGATGGGGTGCAAAAATAGCTACTTTTAATTTTAGTTGGCACATTGGCAGTATTAATTGCAAGTCTTCTCATCGGTCTACCAGAGGGCTGAGGTTAAGTTATACACCAAAGAATAAGGTGGAAACAAGAATCTTACAGTCAGATAAAATGAAATGAGTGACAGGCCGTAGTATAATAATACATTGCTATATTTAAATAATTATTACCACCATCATCACCTCCTCCTATAATCCCACACAATTGAAAGAAAAAGATAAAACGATTCAAGATCATGCAAAATGATTTAAGCACATGCAGTTGAATAACATATAACTTTTCTATTTGGCTTTACCTTAAAATCAGAAGAACAAGCCAAACTGATACATTGTAAAATACTCGCCATAATCAAGTAGGCTTATAATTCATGAACCAAGCAGCATGGAAATCCCATTGCAATTAATGGAGGAAGAGGAGGAAGAAGAGAAGAGGGAGGGGGAGAGGGAGGGGAGGTGGGAAGAGAAAAGAAGGGGAAAGAGAAGAGAGGAGGGAGAAAGGAAGGAAGGAAAGAAGAAAGAAAGAAGACTGGCAACATCTGTTGGAGCAAAAGTATGGATATGTGAATATCCTTGTAAATTGCTGTTGGGAATGTGTTTCCTACTAAACATTTTAGAAAGCAATCTGGTAATTGCTATTAAAATTTGAAATGCACACATATCTTTTGATCCAGAAATTGCAGTTTTGGAAATCTGTACTAGATAATAAAAGCATCAGTACATAGAATACGTCTATACAATAATTTTGAGGTATTATTTATAAAACAACTAAAACCTGGCAACTACTTGAAAGTCTGATATATTGGATGAATAGTGATATAGGATATAGCCTGTAGAATATTAGGTAGTTATTTAAAACAATGAGCTGGATCTTTGCATGTTGATCAGGAAAGATGCCCATGAAAATTGGAAAATGAAAAAAAAGCAGGTTGCAAGGTAATATATATAGGATATCTCATTTTTATTTATTATAATTTAAGTTCTGGGATACATGTGCAGAACGTGCAGGTTTGTTACATAGGTATACACGTGCCATGGTGGTATGCTGCACCCATCAACCCGTCATCTACATTAGGTATTTCTCCTAATGCTATCCTTCCCCTAAACCCCACCCCCAACAGGCCCCAGTGTGTGATGTTCACCTCCCTGTGTCCCTGTGTTCTCATTGTTTAACTCCCAGTTATGAGTGAGAACATGCAGTATTTGGCTTTCTGTTCCTGTGTTATTTTGCTGAGAATGATGGTTTCCAGCTTCATCCATGTCCCTGCAAAGGACACAAACTCATCCTTTTTGATGGCTGCATAGTATTCCATGGTGTATATGTGCCACATTTTCTTTATCCAGTCTATCATTGATGGACATTTGGTTTGGTTCCAAGTATTAGCTATTGTGAGTAGTGCTGCAATAAACATATGTGTGCATGTGTCTTTATAATAGAATGATTTATAATCCTTTGGGTATCTACCCAGTAATGGGATTGCTGTGTCAAATGGTATTTCTGGTTCTAGATTCTTGAGGAATCGCCACACTGTCTTCCACAATGGTTGAACTAATTTACACTCCCACCAACAGTGTAAAAGCGTTCCTATTTCTCCACATCCTCTCCAGCATCTTTTGTTTCCTGACTTTTCAATGATTGCCATTCTAACTGACGTGAGATGGTATCTCATTGTGGTTTTGATTGGCATTTCCCTATTTACCAGTGGTGATGAGATTTTTTTCATGTTTCTTGGCCACATAAATGTCTTCTTATGAGAAGTGTCTGTTCATATCCTTCGCCCACTTTTTGATTTTTTTTTCCTTGTAAATTTGTTTAAGTTCCTTGTAGATTCTGGATATTAGCCCTTTGTCAGACTGATAGATTGCAAAACTTTTCTCCCACTCTGTAGGTTGCCTGTTCACTCTGATAATAGTTACTTTTGCTGTGTAGGAGCTCTTTAGTTTAGTTAGATCACATTTGTCAATTTTGGCTTTTGTTGCCATTGCTTTTGGTGTTTTAGTCATAAAGTCTTTGCCCATGCCTATGTCCTGAATGGTACTGCCTAGGTTTTCTTCTAGAGTTTTTATGGTTTTAGGTCTTATGTTTAAGTATTTAATCCATCTTGAGTTAATTTTTGTATAAGGTATAAGGAAGGGGTCCAGTTTCAGTTTTGTGCATATGGCTAGCCGGTTTTCCCAACACCATTTATTAAATAGGGAATCCTTTGCCAATGGCTTGTTTGTGTCAGGTTTGTCAAATATCAGATGGTTGTAGATGTGTGGCATTATTTCTGAGGCCTCTGTTCTGTTCCATTGGTCTATATATCTGTTTTGGTACCAGTACCATGCTGTTTTGGTTACTGTAGCCTTGTAGTATAGTTTCAAGTCAGGTAGCGTGATGCCTACAGCTTTGTTCTTTTTGCTTAGGTTTGTCTTGGCTCTACAGGCTCTTTTTCGTTCCATATGAAATTTAAAGTAGTTTTTTTTTTCTAATTCTGCAAAGAAAGTCATTGGTAGCTTGATGGGGGTAATATTGAATCCATAAATTACTTTGGGCAGTATGGCCATTTTCATGATATTGATTCTTCCTATCCATGAGCATGGAATGTTTTTCCATTTGTTTGTTTCCTCTCTGATTTCCTTGAGCAGTGGTTTGTAGTTCTCCTTGAAGAGGTCCTTCACATCCCTTGTAAGTTGGATTCCTAGGTATTTTATTCTCTTTGTAGCAATTGTGAATGGGAGTTCACTCATGATTTGTCTCTGTTTGTCTATTATTGGTGTATAGGAATGCTTGTGATTTTTGCACATTGATTTTGTATCATGAGACTTTGCTGAAGTTGCTTATCAGCTTAAGGAGATTTTGGGCTGAGACAATGCGGTTTTCTAAATATACAATCATGTCATCTACAAACAGAGACAATTTGACTTCCTCTCTTCCTATTTTAATACCCCTCATTTCTTTCTCTTGCCTGATTTCCCTGGCCAGAACTTCCAATACTATGTTGAATACAAGTGATGAGAGAGGGCATACTTGTCTTGTGCCAGTTTTCAAAGGGAATGCTTCCAGCCTTTGCCCATTCAGTATGATATTGGCCATGGGTAGGTCATAAATAATTCTTATTATTTTGAGATACGTTCCGTCAATACCTAGTTTATCGAGAGTTTTTAACGTGAAGGGGTGTTGAATTTTATCGAAGGCCTATTCTGCATCTATTGAGATACTCATGTGGTTTTTGTCATTGGTTCTGTTTCTGTGATGGATTACGTTTATTGATTTCTGTATGTTGAACCTGCCTTGCATCCCAGGGATGAAGCCAACTTGATCATGGTGGATATGCTTTTTGATGTGCTACTGGATTCCATTTGCCAATATTTTATTGAGGATTTTCACATCGATGTTCATCAGGCATATTGGCCTAAAATTTTCTTTTTTTTCTTTCTTTCTTCTTTTTTTTTTTTTTTTTTTTTTTTTTTGGTGGTTGTTGTGCCTCTGCCAGGTTTTTCTATCAGGATTATGCTGGCCTCATAAAATGAGTGAGGGAGGAGTCACTCGTATTCTGTTGTTTGGAATAGTTTCAGAAGGGATGGTACCAGCTCCTCTTTGTACCTCTGGTGGAATTTGGCTTTGAATCCGTCTGGCCCTGTGCTTTTTATCGTTGTTGGGCTATTAATTACTGCCTCATTTCAGAACTTGTTATTGGTCTATTCAGGGATTCGACTTCTTCCTGGTTTAGTCTTGGGAGGTTGTATGTGTCCAGGAATTTATCCATTTCTTCTAGATTTTCTAGTTTATTTGTGTAGAGGTATTTATAGTACTCTCTGATGGTAATTTTATTTCTGTGGGATCAGTGGTGATATCCCCTTTATCATTTTTTATTGTGTCTAGTTGATTTTTCTCTCTTTTCTTCTTTATTAGTCTGGCTAGCAGTCTATCTATTTTGTTAATCTTTTCAAAACATCTCCTGGATTCATGGATTTTTTGAAGGGTTTTTCATGTCTCTATCTCCTTCAGTTCTGCTCTGATCTTAGGTGTTTCTTGTCTTCTGCTAGCTTTTGAATTTGTTTGCTCTTGCTTCTCTAGTTCTTTAAATGTATATGTTAGGGTGTTGATTTTAGATCTTTCCCGCTTTCTCCTGTGGGCATTTGGTGCTATGAATTTCCCTTTAAACACTGCTTTAGCTGTGTCCAAGAGATTCTGGTATGTTGTCTCTTTGTTCTCATTGGTTTTGAAGAACTTATTTATTTCTTTTTTTTCATTATTTATTTATTTTTTATTTAGGTCATCAATTTTTTTTATACTTTAAGTTTTAGGGTACATGTGCACAATGTGCAGGTTTGTTACTTATGTATACATGTGCCATGTTGGTGTGCTGTACCCATTAACTCGTCATTTAACATTAGGTATATCTCCCAATGCTATCCCTCTCCCCTCCCCCCACCCCACAACAGACCCCAGTGTGTGACATTCCCCTCCCTGTGTCCATGTGTTCTCATTGTTCAATTCCCACCTACGAGTGAGAACATGCGGTGTTTGGTTTTTTGTCCTTGCGATAGTTTGCTGAGAATAATGGTTTCCAGCTTCATCCATGTCCCTACAAAGGACATGAACTCATCATTTTTTATGGCTGCATAGTATTCCATGGTGTATATGTGCCACATTTTCTTAATCCAGTCTATCATTGTTGGACATTTGGGTTGGTTGCAAGTCTTTGCTATTGTGAATAGTGCCGCAATAAATATATGTGTGCACGTGTCTTTATAGCAGCATGATTTATAATCCTTTGGGTATATACCTAGTAATGGGATGGCTGTGTCAAATGGTATTTCTAGTTCTAGATCCCTGAGGAATCGCCACACTGACTTCCACAATGGTTAAACTAGTTTACAGTCCCACCAACAGTGTAAAATTGTTCCTATTTCTCCACATCCTCTCCAGCACCTGTTGTTTCCTGACTTTTTAATGATCACCATTCTAACTGGTGTGAGATGGTATCTCATTGTGGTTTTGATTTGCATTTCTCTGATGGCCAGTGATGATGAGCATTTTTTCACATGTCTTTTGGCTGCATAAATGTCTTCTTTTGAGAAGTGTCTGTTCATATCCTTTGTCCACTTGTTGATGGAGTTGTTTGTTTTTTTCTTGTAAATTTGTTATTTATTTCTACCTTAATTTAGTTATTTATCCAGTAGTCATTCAGGAGCAGGTGTTCAGTTTTCATGTAGTTGTGAGGTTTTGAGTGAGTTTCTTAATCCTGAGTTCTAATTTGATTGCACTGTGGTCTGAGAGACTGTTTGTTATGATTTTCATTCTTTTGCATTTGCTGAGGAGTGTTTTACTTCCAATTATGTGGTCAATTATAGAATAAATGTGATGTGATACTGAGAAGAATGTATATTCTATTGATTTGGGGTGGAGAGTTCTGTAGATGTCTATTAGGTCTGCTTGGTCCAGAGCTGAGTTCGAGTCCTGAATATCCTTGTTAATTTTCTGCCTTGTCAATCTGTGTAATATTGACAGTGGGGTGTGAAAGTCTCCCACTTTTATTGTGTGGGAGTCTAAGTCTCTTTGCAGGTCTCTAAGCACTTGCTTTATGAATCTGTGTGCTCCTGTATTGGGTGCATATATGTAGGATAGTTAGCCCTTCTTGTTGCATTGATCCCTTTACCATTTTGTAATGCCCTTCTTTGCCTTTAATCTTTGTTGGTTTAAAGTCTGTTTTATTAGAGACTAAGATTACAACCCCTGCTTTTTTTGTCTGCTTTCCATTTGCTTGGTAAATATTCCTCCATCCCTTTATTTTGAGCCTATGTGTGTCTTTGCACCTGAGATGTGTCTCCTGAATACAGCACACCAATGGATCTTGACCCTTTATTCATTTTGCCAGTCTGTGTCTTTTAATTGGGGCATTTAGCCCATTTACACTTAAGGTTAATATTGTTATGTGTGAATTTGATCCTGTCATTATGATGCTAGCTGGTTATTTTGCCCATTAGTTGGTGCAGTTTCTTCATAGTGTCGATGGTCTTTACAATTTGGTATGTTTTTGCAGTGGCTGGTACCAGTTTTTCTTTTCCATATTTAGTGCTTCCTTCAGGATCTCTTGTAAGGCAGGCCTGGTTGTAACAAAATCTCTTCAGTATTTGCTTTTCTGTAAAGGATTTTATTTCTCCTTCGCTTATGAACCTTAGTTTCACTGGATATGAAATTCTGGGTTGAATATTCTTTTCTTTTAAGAATTTTGAATATTGGTCCCCACTCTCTTCGGGCTTGTAGGGTTTCTGCAGAGAGATCCACTGTTAGTCTGATGGGCTTCCCTCTGTGGGTAACCCGACCTTTCTCTCTGGCTGCCCTTAACATTTTTTTCTTCATTTCATCCTTGGTGAATCTGACGACTATGTTTCTTGGGGTTGATCTTCTCAAGGAGTATCTCTGTGGCATTCTCTGTATTTCCTGAATTTGAATGTTGGCCTGTCTTGCTAGGTTGGGGAAGTTCTCGTGGATAATATCCTGAAGAGTGTTTTCCAACTTTGTTCCATTCTCCCCATCACTTTCAGGTACACCAGTCAAACGTAGGTTTGGTCTTTTCACATAATCCCATATTTCTTGGAGGCTTTGTTAATTCCTTTTCATTCTTTTTTCTATAATCTTTTCTTCACTCTATTTCATTAAGTTGATCTTCAATCTCTGATATCCTTTGTTTCACTTGATTGATTTGGCTATTGATACTTGTGTATGCTTCAAGAAGTTCTCGTGCTGTGTTTTTCAGTTCCATCAGGTCATTTATGTTCTTCTCTAAACTGGTTATTCTAGTTAGCAATTCCTCTAACCTTTTTTCAAGGTTCTTAGCTTCCTTGCGTTGGGTTAGAACATGCTCCTTTAGTTCAGAGGAGTTTGTAATCACCCACCTTCTGAAGCCTACTTCTGTCAAGGTGTCAAACTCATTTTCCATCCAGTTTTGTTCCCTTGCTGGCAAGGAGTTGTGATCCTTTGGAGGAGAAGAGGTGTTCTGGTTTTTGAAATTTTTCAGCCTTTTTGAGCTGGTTTTTCCTCATCTTCATGGATTTATCTACTTTTGGTCTTTGATGTTGGTGACCTTTGGATGAGTTTTTTTTTGTGTGTGTGGACGTCCTTTTTGTTGATGTTGATGCTATTTCTTTCTGTTTGTTAGTTTTCCTTCTAATAGTCAGGTCCCTCTGCTGCAGGTCTGGTGGAGTTCGCTGGAGGTCCACTCCAGACCTTGTTTGTCTGGGTATCACCAGTGAAGACTTCAGAACAGCAAAGATTGCTGCCTGTTCCTTCCTTTGGAAGCTTCGTCCCAGAGGGGCACCCGTCAGATGCCAGCCAGAGCTCTCCTGTATGAGGTGTCTGTTGACCCCTGCTGGGAGGTTTCTCCCAGTTAGGAGGCACGGGGGTCAGGGACCCACTTGAGGAGGCAATCTGTCCCTTAGCAGAGCTCGAGCACTATGATGGGGGATCCACTGCTCTCTTCAGAGCCGGCAGCAGGAATGTTTAAGTCGCTGAAGCTGTGCCCACAGCCACCCTTTTCCCCAGGTGCTCTGTCCTAGGGAGATGGGAGTTTTATCTATAAGCCCCTGACTGGGGCTGCTGCCTCTCTTTCAGAGATGCCCTGCCCAGAGAGGAGGAATCTAGAGAAGCAGTCTGGCTACAGCAGCTTTGCCGAGCTGCAGTGGCCTCCATCCAGTTTGAACTTCCCGTTGGCTTTGTTTACACTGTGAGGGGAAAACCACCTACTCAAGCCTCAGTAATGGCAGATGCTCCGCCCCCACCCCCCAAACTCCAGCTTCCCAGGTCGACTTCAGACTGCTGTGCTGGCAGCGAGAATTTCAAGCCAGTTGATCTTAGCTTGCTGGGCTCCTTGGGGATGGGATCTGCTGAGCTAGGCCACTTGGCTCCCTGGCTTCAGCCCCCTTTCCAGGGGAGTGAACAGTTCTGTCTCAATGGTGTTCCAGGAGCCACTGGGGTATGAAAAAAAAAACTCCTGCAGCTAGCTCAGTGTCTGCCCAAATGGCCGCCCAGTTTTGTGCTTGAAACCCAGCGCCCTGGTGGTGTAGGCACCCAAGGGAATCTCCTGGTTTGCAGGTTGCGAAGACCATGGGAAAAGAGTAGTATCCTGGCTGGAATGCATGGTTCCTCATGGCAAAGTCCCTCAGGTCTTCTCTTGGCTAGGGGAGGAAGTTCCCTGACCCCTCGTGCTTCCTAGGTGAAGCGATGCCCCTCCCTGCTTTGGCTCACCCTCCATGGGCTGCACCCACTGTCTAACCAGTCCTAATGGGATAAGCCTGGTACCTCAGTTGGAAATGCAGAAATCACCCGCCTTCTGCATTTATCTTGCTGGAAGCTGCAGACCAGAGCTGTTCCCATTTGGCCATCTTGCCAGCCTCACCCGGGAGATCTTATTTTTATTTAAAAGACCTTTATTGTGAGTTTGTATATGTTTGTAAGATCATACAAAATTGTGTCATAGCTAGTAAGTATGATTACCTCACAGGGAATGAGACAGCAGGTGCAAAGGTAAACTAGTAAGTTTTTCTTTATACACCTCTATTTGACTATTACCCTGTTTATAAAATGAGGTTTTACTACTTTTGTAATTTTTAATAAAATTTGCTTTTTCTTTGTGTTTGCATTTCCCTGATTACTAGTAAAGTTGAACAAGTTTTCTTATACTTATTGGCTACTTATATGTCTTCTTCTGTGAATTGCCTGATCATTGGTATTGCCCATTTTTCCATTAGTTAGTTCATAAATTTGTAGGTGTTCCTGGGTAGTAGGGATATTAAGCATTTGTTGGTCATATGTGTTGCAAATATATTTTCATGTTCATTGATTCATTTTAGTTTTCATGTGATCAAATCTGTGAATCTTTGTTTGTAGCTCTTAAAAGAGTAACTTACTCCTATATGTCCTGATGTACATAACATATTAAGTAAAATAAGGCAAGTTGCTGAATGATATGTATAGTTTGATCCTCTCTTCCTATTTTGAAAAATAGGGGAAATATGTTTGTGTATATTTGCCTATATTTGTATTAGCAAATATAAAGCTATGGAAAGATAAAAACCCAAACTGTTAACATTAACAGTGGGGTGAGATGGGAGGAGGCAATTTATTAACTTTTTCTTTACACATCCTTGTATCATTTGACTTGTTACAAGTTTGTATAACTATTGTAATGTTAAAAATTCCAGTAAAGAAAAAAAGTCTTAAAGAATAATATTGCTGTAATTTCATCATCCTCCTTGGAGGAGAATGTATATCATGTAGGGCAAGAACTACCCTCTCACAGATTCCCCTTGGAATCACTAAAAGAGAAGTAATTGATTGGATATGTCCCATAACTTATGGTTGGGTGAGTAGCACAATCTCTCAGATACATTCCCAGAGATTGACACAATACCCACCCCCGGTCTCACACACACACACTATCTGACCTTGGAGACTCTTCTCAATGCTAAATAACACAAAGAGAAAAACGGAGATGGAAGTAGATATTTGCAGACCGTAATGATAGTGCATTTTGCATAGTAATGCATAGGAGTGGGAGAGGGCTAAGGGGAGACGGAAGGAGTGGTAGCAATGTTTGCATTGCTCAGTACTTGCACCACATACAAAAATAGCTAGCTATGCCTTTGCATTCTAACCAAGTGTCGCATTTGTTCTGTGACCTTATATAAAACGTACTTTCCTGGGTGTGACTTAAGAATAGTACATGCCCCTATGTTGGAAACAGAAGAGCAATGCCCTTTGAAAAGAATAGTAGTTGCATAATTTCTCAGAATTGGAAAGGACTTAGAATTGCTTTAGTTCTATCTGTCTTCTAATCCATGAGTTTTTAATGCAAATCTGGTGCAGATGATCATCTAGTCTATGCATGAACTATTTCCAGTTAGAACTCTCTCCTTTAGAAAGCAGCTGTGATAATTGTTAGAATATTTTTCCTTTAGTTGCTCTGAACAGGGATAATTGTTATAATACTCTTCTTTAATTACTCTGAATTTTACCTTTTTATAACCCCTATCCATTGATCCTTCTTCCTTGTGACTTCCCATTAAAAATATGTGAAAATAGCTACTCTGTCTCCTAAGCCTTCCCCTCCAAAACTCTACATGGTACTCATTCTTCAAAACTTTCCAATTATGTCATGATTTCTGAATTATTCACCATCCTACTACTTTGGAAACTATTTAATTTGTTTGAAATGTAATATTCTGAAATAGTTACACCTCTTCAAATGTCTGCCTAGTATAGAGTGCAGTTAAGATGATTGCCCTTGATTTGGATATTTTACTGGTCTCTCTGGTGTCACTGTAGCACCAGATTAACATTACTTTTCAAGCTAGGTTTCTCACATCCCATGCTTACAGAATCAATTGCTTGCTTTTTTTTCTTTTCTTTTCTTTTCTTTTTTTAACTTAGCTGCAGAGTTTCACACTTATCACTGTAAAATGCCATCTGGTTGGTTTAGGCTAACAATTCCAGGCTCCTGCATTATCTGTTTCTCTGAAGAATGGATCTGCTTCTTTAATGCTTCAGCCCATGCCCAGAGGGAATGCAAAAAACCAAAAGCAAAAACAACAGGAGGAACCAGGCAGCCATAAACAAGCATGAACTGGCCTTCATCTATGCTTATTCCTTGATCCATGTCAGTTTGGCCCCTGCCTCCTTTTCCTAACCCCCTGCTCATTCATCATTCTAGCTTCCTGTCAGCTCCAGTCTCATCTCTAGTTTTATCTTCTCAGCTTGTCTGCTTTGCTGCCTCCCAAGCCTATATGCCCAATTTATTGCTTGTCTCCTCTACCCTGTTCTGGCCTTGGGACCCTTTCCTTTGAACTAACCCTAAAAACTACCTATGTTTCAGCCCAATCACTTCCCTAGCTCAACTCCCTTCTTGCTCTGACCTTGGAGTGCCAAACCCGGGAAAAATACTGTCAACATATAAATTAATAATTGTTCCCCATTGGGGTTCATCAACAAAAGTTATGTTCATGTCTTTCATGTTGTCACATAAAACATTGATAAGTAAGTTGAACACTGAGCCAAGGACAGAAAATCTGTACCACATTCCTTTTAGAGTATCTGTCCTTGGTTTTCTATTTCTTTTTTTCTCTAAAGTTTAATGAATCTGATTTTTTAAATTGTACAGGGTTGCACTAACTAATACAATAGCCACTAGCCATATGTCTATATAAATTTAAGTTTCCTTTGATTAAAATTAAAAATTCAGTTCCTAAGATGGCATGTTTCAAGTAGCCACACAGTTCTAGTGGCTATAATAAATATATGATATAGATATAAAACATTTTCACCACCATAGAAAATTCTATTTGATTATGCCCAACATAACCTTATAACAATATTGCAAGTACTCTTCATTTTGCCATTGATTCATTAGTTAACTGTTTTGTTCAACTAGTCATGAATATGTCTATCTTTGCTTTACATGCTCACATTTTTCTATCTTGCCCAAAAGGATATCATAAAATCTTTTGCTGAAATAAAAATACATTGACCACTGTAATACCCTGGTCTAATTGCTGAGAATGCTTTTTAAAAAAACATTTTTTTAAGACAGGGTCTCCCTCCAGTCGCCCAGACTGGAGTGCAGTGGCATGATCTCGGCTCACTGCAGCCTCGACTTCTCAGGCTCAGGCAATCCTCCCACCTCAGCCTCCTGAGTAGCTTGAAGGACAGGCATGTACCACCACTCCCAGCTAATCTTTTCTTTTGTATTTTTAGTAGAGACAGGATTTTGCCATGTTGCCCAGGCTGGTTGAGAAACCCATTTATTAGGTGTTTATTGCCTTTTAACATATCACCCCAAAATTTAGTTGGTTAACACAATAATCTTCTCTTATAGCTCAGGTTTTCTATGGGTCCGAAATTTGGGAGTGGCTTGACTCAGGGTCTGTCATGTAGTTATAGTCACATGTTGTCTGGGAATGTTTTTATCTTAATGTTTCAGTGGAAGTGAGAAATCTACTTCTAGAGTGGCTGACTCATGTGGCTGGCAAGTTGGTGTTGGCTCTTAGCATGGGCCTCAGTTCTTCTCTACGTAGGCCTTAACAGAGGTCTACCTTAGTGTCCTCAAGGCTTGGCAAGTGATTTCTCCTAAATCAATCTATCTGAAAGACCTAGCCAGAAGTTTCAGTTTCTTTTATGACCTAGCCTTATGAGTCAACACTATCACTTCCTCCATATTCTATTGGCCACAAAGGGTCAGTCCTGATTCAATGTGGGGGGAGACCACACAAAGTGAATAACATGATGACTGGTTCATTGGGGGTTGCATCGAGGAGGTTACATTGAATTTGCTATCACCACCCAAAATAGGAAATGATAGCCAGGCATGGTGATGGGCACCTGAAATCCCAGCTACTTGGGAGGCTGAGGCAGGAGAATTGCTTAAACCCGGGAGACAGTGGTTGCAGTGAGTCGAGATCACTCCACTACACTCCAGCCTGGGCAACAGAGTGAGACTCTGTCTCAAAAACCGAAAACAAACAAACAAAAACAAAACAAAATGAAACAAAACAAAATCAAACTAGGAAATGAGCTAGTTTGCCATGGCTCATTATTAGTGAACAACTACTTGCTCCTGGGAAGCATATTTCAGGAGCCATCTGTATAATATTGTGCTACAATTTCCCCTAAAAGCAACATTAAATTTGCTGATATACACTGTCTGGAATCTTTTCTTCCTGTTTCAAAATTTGAGTATTTTGGTCGAGGGAGTATTGGTCAGGTGGTATATGATTGGATGGAGAAGGTAGAGACTATTATTACCTTCTTCTGCATTCACTTTTGACTTTTTTGACTTGTAAAATAAACATATATTTATTTTGTAATTTTTTCTAATTAAATAATATAAGATATAATATGCTTTCTATCATTATTACTTTCTCCTCCACAGTGTTGTGATCTGTAGTTAAGAAGTATTGCCCATATAGTTCTTGTCATCAGTCTGTAACGTACACTCATAACAATATTACTTTTGTTTCCTCTTTCCATTTTATCCTCAATTGAAAGGATATCTATCCTGCTTAAGTGATATATTCCTTTCTACATAGATGGATAACTTCTTAACATTCAGTGCTATTCCTCCTTTGCTACTCTGGGCTTTTTCTCTTTTAAAAGTACATATTCTCTAGTTATGGATTGCTAGTTGCAACTCCTACTTTGTCAAGCCTTAGTGATTTATGGAGATTATACACACACAAACACATAATTCAAGTTTACTGTGTTCTCTAGATGTGCATTCAGGGACAGATTTGAGTTTTGTTGAGTCTGAAGCTTTTATAATTTGAGGAGCCCACATCAAAGTAAGGAATATAAAATTAGCAATACAGAATTACTAGGGCCACTCCTAGGGCATTGGAAGTGCAAGTGAGAGGCCTTGAAGCTTAAGCTTCATTAGTGTCACAGTAAATAAATTTCCATGTGCATCTGTGCCAGGTGAGGAAGAATGGGTAGCCTGAAGTTGCTGGGCTGGGAATTCCTGGAAGAGGATGGTATGGCCTCCAAAGATAGGAAACACTAAGAAAAAAAAAAAAGGAAGCCTCTTTCCAACTTCAGAAATCTATCTGACTTTTGGCCTTAATTTCCCTGTTTTAGTTGTCTTCATAAAACAATTGTCTTTTTTTAGAGTAGCATTCCAGTTTTCAATAGCAAGAAGACCCGTGTTCAGCTATGCTGAGGGTTTCCAGGGCCTCATTTTAGAAACAAGCATAGCTCAAATCATGCTGAGCTTAAGAGCATTCCATGACAAGCAACAGAAGCTTTTCAAACTATGGTCAGAAGGCACATTTCATGACCTCTAGCTTGAGAAACATTAGGTAGCTTGTTGCTTTGTCCCCAGAGAAGTGGCATGTAAGAAAAATCAAAAGTAATGGTGCCAGGAGTGTTACGAACTGTGGTGGAAATCCTACAGTTTGCAAAGGTGTCTCCAAAAAGAAGAAAGAAAACCTCAAGAAGGTCCTTTAGCCTAGTGGTTCCCAAAAGTTTCCTCCCTCTACTAGGAGGATCTTTCAGAGAGGCTACCCAGCCACTCACAAGTATATTGGAAGATATTGGACCTGAAATGTTTGGAATCACAGATGTGGGACTCTTCTTTCCAAAAAGATTGCTATATAACCTTATGTCACCATTCCCACCCAGGGCCCTCTGATGTACACAGCAAGCTTGTGCTAAGAGAAGAACTAATTTTCATATATGAGGTGTCAAAGTAGAGGAAAACCAGTAAATGGCAGACCCTTTTTGTATGCTTGAAAATTTTAATAAAGTGTTTTATGAGATGTTAAACAAATTTAAATAAAATTTTTGAATAAGTGTCTATTAAGGTAAATATTGCCAATCTTAAATGTGTAAACGAAAAAAGAAACAACCAAGAATATTTTGAATCTATATTTTTCATAATACACACATGCCCTTGCAGTGTAATTTCTTCAGATTACGTGATTAGCAACTTACATAGCAAAATGAATATGTGGTTCTTTGTGTACAAAGATGGAAGTACTGACTTTGGAGTTGTTTTTCCAGTAAAAGGGATGCGAATTGGCAAGGCAGGAGGCGCTATTAAGGGCCAAAGAGCAGACAGATGCATCCTGATCCTCTAGGGTATCAAACCCATGTCCTTGGCACTATGTCCATGGTACTCCTACCAACTGGGCTACTGTCTGTAACCTTGCCATGTAACATCTCAGTTCTGTTAAGCACGATTGCTCACAAACACAGCCTCCTTCAAGTCCTTACTGAATATGGTTTGTTCCCAGCCAAAAAAACTCACGGGAAGGAATGGGAATACATTTTAATTTTTTAGCATTAAAAGTTGCTGTTTTACTTTCTGGAAGTTTCTTAGCTTGAAAAACCGTGATTTTGCGCTCTGAGGTGATCCACTTGGTGATATCTGCTTAAGCAGTCACTACCTACTCTTAGGCTATGACTGGGTTCCATTTCTTTTTATAAATCCTGTTATTTCTGTTAGGAGGGCTTGAGGGCTGAAAGGGGGAAGGGGGAACTGGATAGCTCAGGGGCCTAGCTAATGCCATCTGATCTCTCTTACCCCGAGGCTTTTTTGCATTTGGCTCCTCTTCACACAATCTCAAAATATGCACCGCACCGGCCCTTCAACAGTCATCAACAAGTGGACTCTGGAGTCAGACTGCCTGAGTTGGAAGCCAGGCTCTTCCAATTACTAGCTGTGAGGCTTTAGGCAAGTTGCTTCATCTCTCTGTGCCTCAATTTCCTTGACTAAACACTTGGGGGCAATAATTTAAAACCTAGAATAATTGTCAACAAAATTAAATGAGATAATACATGCAAAGCACTTAGTCTGGTGCATACAGTAAGCTCTTAATCAATTTTAGCTATTAAAATATACCAACAATTAAAAGTTCCAAAGGGCTAATGGCCTTAAGATAACAGAATGGATTGGAGAAGAAGGGGATGGTACAAATATGGGACGTGTAATGTTGGCAGAGAGATCGTTTCAGGGTAAAACAGTATCTGAGAAATTCCTTGACCATGGACAGATTAGGGTTATTTTCATAAAGTTTGAAGTCAGGAAAGAGAGAGAGAAATAAGAACATGTTGGAAGGAGGCAGGGAGATGATGGTTAATAGGGTGAAAGGAAAAGAAGTCCCGAAGTTGGAAAACAAATGCCCTATTTCAAGGCTGTGCTCGGGTCACAGCCCCATGCCTGGAGGCCATCTATTTGCCTTCTCTTCTGCTAGAGGAGCTGACCTTCCCCAAGCTGGCCACAAAAATCCCCATAATGCCAGCTTACAAGGTAAAGTTTCCATGCTCTTCCATGCCTTCTTTCTCCCTTGAAAATAACAATAAATTTAAAAATCTGTAAGTTCCCTGTCAAGTTCTGGTCAAACACGTAGTTTCCCCTCCCCGCACCTGGGGAGGGGGGCGGTCCCAAGAGCCATGTGGCTAATCCCTATGGAGTCTCCAAGTGGCTAGCCTCCCACAGAGCCTTGCAACTAGTGAGCCCAATGATCTAGCCTGGATTGTTTTCCTGGCCTGGACTTGCCCTTTAGACAGGCTAAAACGGTCTTTGCCATTAGGGGCCACGGGGCATTTTCCCCCACACCCCACGTTCAGCAAATCGTATTGTTAAAAAAAAAAAAAAAGTTTTGACTTATGAACAGCTCTTCCCTTTAGCAAAGATTCTCTTCAGAGTTCCTTTAAATGTTGTATTTTTTGACTCCGTGTCTTATTTCTAAAAACTAAATGTGTATGTAAAAGTGTAATTTTCTGTTAACTAGTTCACCTGCCCTTCTCTAGTTAAGAAATGTTAATTTCAGACTCACATTTAGGAAGATTCAGTAGAGTTTTACTGATCATCCAGGAATTCTTAAAGTGTGTTTTAAAACGGTTTATTTTGTGTGGTAAAATTGTCAAGATTTGAATTATTGGAAAGTGTAATAGCTGAAAGTGTAATTTCAAATATGTATCATATTTGAATTATCGAGAAAATTCGATCCAGCACACCCGGGTTTGTTTTTGGGGGAAGGTAGTGGTTGGTTTTCTCTGCAACCGTTAACAGAGAATTTTCTTTATTTAGCGAGACCCGGTTCCTCACACAGGCTGTGGCCATTACACAGCTCACTGAGACTTGAAAGTTAAGGAATGTAAAGAGGTCAAACTCTGGCATTGAAACAGACAGGAAATAAACAAAATCTACCAATATGTAAAGATATTACAGAAATTAGAAGAATGAGTCAGAAATGGAGAGCTCTAGGTCAGTGGGAAGAATTATTCGTATAAATCTTCTTAGAAGAGGTAGGTAATTATTAATCAAAAAATAAAGAAAGAAACAGGAAACAAGTCCCCCCACATCGCTTTCCGACCCCGGAGTTAGGGTGCGCAGAATGCCGTCTGGGAGCTCCAGAGAAAGTAAGCAGTGTCGGGACATTTACTAAAGTGCTCTCTGCAGAGCATGAGTTTAGAATGCGGTTAGTTTATGCACCGACTCCCCTTCCCAGGAATGTTTCAAGGGGCTCTTTCTCAAAGCTGAATCACGTTTGTGAGATTCTTTTAAGCCATATGTCAGTCCCCCAGCGCTTTAAAGGAAAACGGAAGCAAACAACTTGGGCACTTGGAAAAGTTTTGCAATGAATGAGCGAATGAATGAAACCCGGCCGGAACGCTGGAGGCTGGAAGGGATGCAGGAATTTTCTCCGCGCGCTGCGAATACGGCATATGCAAAACTTAGGACCCAGGGCAGGCCGGGCTTTGGAGACGAGTCAGTCTTACTCAACCCTGCGCACCTGAGAACAGGTGCTGTTCTGAGTGAACGACTGGGACCTGGCACGAACTAGCCTGGGGCCAGAGGAGATAAGGCCTGCCGGGAGAAGAGTTCCCAGCGGCTCTGTCCATTCTGCTCTTGCCCTCGGCTAATGGCTTTGAAGGCCAAGCTGTGACAGCCCCGGGGCGTACTCGGTGCCTTCCTCTGTTCAAATAGGTGCTCGCCTAGGACTGATTCCCAACCCATGGCAAGTCATTTCCTTCTGTAACTCGGTAGGTCTTTGCAAGAAATGGAGCGATAAAATCAGAGGGACAGAAAGAGAAAACAGCCAACTAGAAAAGTCAGAAGTGTTTCTTGGGAAGTCTAGGGCGCGGGTTGTTTGGACTGTGGCAGGGCTGTGGGGCCCAGACTGGGAGCGGCGCGGAGCGAGACCGGTTTTCCGGGGCTGGCAGCTGCCTGGAAAAAGTTTCCTGTGGAACACTCGCCAGCGGGGGCGGGGGCAGGGGCGGCTGGCGCAGCAGTGGACGTGGGAGGGGGCAGGAGGGCCGGGGGAGGCCGCGAAGGGCCTGCTCGCAAACCGTTATAGTCCTTCAGCACCTCCCTCGGCCGGTGGCCCTCCTAGCCTGCCTCCCCGCCGGGCGGCTGCCCACCTGGCGACGTGACGCTGCACCAATCCCTTTCGAGCTGCTCCCGGGTCCCCTCTCCTTGCACCGCCCCCCTCCCCACCCTGAAAGAGGCGCACCCTGACGGGGCAGACACAGCGCTCTCGACACGGAGCACCCTTCTAGCTTCTTCGTCTCCAGGACTGACGCTCAGGCTCCTCTCTCGCCTTAGCCCAACTTGCTTTCCCGCCTCGCAAACTCCGGTTTCCCTCCACTCCCAACTCTTTTCACTACACGTTTCCCCTCCTCTATCTCCCACGCCACGAACCCCGATCCCCAGACTCCTCTCTCCCGCCCTCCTCCTTCCTCTCTCCTCCCTTCAACTCTTCATCCGCTTCCACCTCAGACTCTGCGCGCACCCAATTCAGTCGCCCGCTCCCGTTCGGCTCCTCGAAGCCATGGCGGGACCTGGGGGCTGGAGGGACAGGGAGGTCACGGATCTGGGCCACCTGCCGGTGAGTAGAGGACGCCCGTCGCCCCCCGAAATGCTCTCTTTTGGCGGGTTCTGCGTACCAGAGGGAGGGAGCGGACGCCCTCAAAACGGGCTAGACCAGGACTTCGACGGGTCCCCCGGGCGCGGAAGGGGATCCTGGGAGCCGGCATGCGGAAAAGGCGCCCCCTGGGCACCGGGACCGCACCAAACTCCAACGAAAGGCAAAGGCACGGGGCGGTGGGAAGGAGAGACAGAGAAAGAGATGGCAGTGGGGTGCTGCGGACCCTAAACAGCGGGGCATTTTAAATATGTGACCCGCCTTGTCTAGCGGAGCTCCAGTACCTGTCCTAGCCCGCTCGTTCCAACAGAGGTCAAAAAGTGCAACGTCGGGTGGCTTCCTGAGAGTACTCCTCCTTCCTGTTATCCCGCCGCCCCATCGTTTGCTGCTTCTTTTGCCATGGGAGATGCTTACTTGCGGGGTGACCTTTACTTTAGGTGACAGCGACTAGAAAATTAAGGCGTTTGAGTCCCACTTTTCTTATTTTCTAATACACTTTCTAAAACCTTATTCTTGCCAGGGCAATGTTCCTGATTTAGTGTTGTGAGAGTGAAAGAACTCGACGCCTTTTGGGGAAGGAGTGAATTCTGCACACTCGATTTTTTTTTTTTTTAATATTGTGTTCCTTACCCAACCAGATTTAGCTTTTTCTTGTGGTTTTCATTTGTGGGCTCATCTTTTCCCGAATGCCCAGCTTCCCTCTAGAGTTGTAATTGATTGGTAAGCTATTATCGCCGTCGTAATTAGTAGACTTATTATTTTGGCAGCGCAGTTTATTTCATTGGCATCTGGTTTCTGGCTAATATTGGATCCCACCCAAATCCGTGTTTCAAGTTCCCTTTTTAGATTGGCATTTCACTCGCACCCTGTCTTGAATGCAAAAGGCCCCTGGATTCTCCGAAAGGG
This sequence comes from Homo sapiens, assembly GCF_000001405.40. Classification (NCBI taxonomy): domain Eukaryota; kingdom Metazoa; phylum Chordata; class Mammalia; order Primates; family Hominidae; genus Homo; species Homo sapiens. The sequence goes on from NC_000023.11 coordinate 105,823,845, forward strand.
AATAAGCAGGCACCGCGCTGGAATGATCACCAGGCAACTGTAGTTCAGGGCAGTGGCCTGCTTGCTTTGAAAAAAGCTAAATATTAACCTTAAGGTTATAGGACTATTCAAAGTCGATTGACTTAATTTTACACATATTTGGCATTTAAAGAATGTGTTTTTGATTATGACAGAAGCCTGCCTCCCTCAAAAATAGGGCATTCCCAAAGCCTTCCCTATATAATTTTACATTAGATGCTATATGTGGAGAGGTAAGGTGGTACACATGGGTAACATTTTACCAAATTGTTCTCTGCCATTTAAAAAAAATCAGTGCAAACTTGAATTACAGATATTAGTGTTGCAATTATTTATGCAGCTTCATAAAATATGTCACAGAACTTTTTAAAATTAAATCTTTTCTCATTCTGCATGCACCCAGAATTTCTTCCTTTCAGTGTGCATACATGAGATTTCCGGAAAATGGAGGCCTCAATTGGTGGTTTCCTTTCTAAGCAGAACTTTCATATTCAGACTAGATTTGCACCCAAGTAAAAGTATAAAACCAAGGAATAAAATGTTACCCTTCCTCCAACATTCTCTGCCTATGATTGGGAAAAGAGAAAAAAAGCAAACTAGGGCAGATATGTGAAACTGTTGCGGGCAGGTGGGCAAACTGAAATAAACTCCCTTCTAAATATGACTAAATGGGTGAGTGGTAAAGACGTCATAGAAATGATAGGACAGGGAATTCCAAACCCAAGGAAAAAAAGAAGAAAAGGTTTTACTGCCACAAAAAAAAAAAAAAAAATGTGGGGAAATGGCCCAGACTACCTGACCCGGTCATGGCCCTGGGACATAAGAATTTGGTGGAGCCCAGGAGATAAGAGGAAAGTCTGCAGTCTTTACATTGCAGTTCAGTGGAATATTAGTTTCCTGGAGGTTGGTGGAGTGGGTGTGTGAGGAGCGTAGAAAGATAAGATTGGTTTTTAATGTAAGGGGAGTAGCGAGAAGATACAAAACTTCAGGACATTGATGCTTGGCCTCATTTTCCAGACTTAATGAAAGTCTCATAAAGTCCTCAGATTCTAACAATTTCTAAATTTTATACATTAGCCATTTTGTCTCATGTGTGGGTTTTCACTCTCTGAGCAAATTATGCATAATTCTCCCCTGTCCTCAAACACCCTGATTCAAACCCTAAGAAATCTAGCAGAAGAGCAGTAGCATGCCCTTTAGAATTTTCTTTACTATCAAATTTTTAGTCATGGAAAAGTTATTGTTGCTTTGGTCACTGAGTTATATTTTTCAGCGATTTGGGGTTTCTTTACATTTGATTTATTTTCTGACTTTTTGAAGAAATAAAACCAAATGAAGAGGTGAAGAGACATCTTAATCACTTGTGTTGAAGTTTGCATTTTGATGCAAAGTAGAGTTGATAAAGCAAGTAAAGAAACCTTCATATGATGGTATCCCTTGCAGTAATTATCCTCAATAGGACATATGTGGAGGTCAGAAAATTGCCATCTGTAAACACCAAGTATACCAATTTGGCAACAGCCAGACAATGAGGGAAGATTCAAACATTGGAGTTGCAAACTGAGAAAAAACATTCAGAATGTGGAAGAATAAATAAATATGACTCTAGTTTAAGATTGATACATTATGTCCTTTGCAGGCCTAGCCAGCTAAATGACCACAAGACAAAGACCCTTGAGGGAGGATAGACTTGCTTTACAAATTGAGAATTGAAGAAATTGGTAGGTTATTTGGTATTTTTGTTATTAGATAGATATTATTTTTAAACCTAAAAGAGTAAACAGGAATGAAAGCTAGGAAACAAGAAACGGTGACAAAATTATATAACTTTCAACATTAAAACATTCACTTTTATACAATGATATAACTTTTTCACGTAATGCACTAAAATCAGAGACAAAATAAGAGAGCCAATGTAATTACAATAGATCAATTCCATTATGTTTGTTAATTAATGGGTTACTGTAATTTTCTGATTTTCTATTGAATAAATATTTTCTATAGGTGAAAAAACAAAAAAGGAAGTGCAGAGATTTGTGGTTTGTGTTTCCTTTCTGAAAAGAGAAGTACAAAGCTTTATGTCTTTATATATATCTTTGTAATATATGTGTGTATGTATATTCACCTTGCCCACCAGCAATACCTAGGGATGTGCGTGTATGCCTCTCTGTCTCCGTCTCTCTCTCTCTCTCTCTATATATATATATATACACATACACACACACACATATATACATATATATGTTTGGGTGATATATATATATATGGTAAGATATATATATGATTATATATATATGGTAAGATATATATATGATCATATATATGTGATAATATATTATCATATATATAATAATATGTGATAATATATTATCATATATAATATATATGATAATATATATTTCATATATAATATATATGAAATATATATTATCATATATATAATAGATAATATATATTTCATATATATAATAGATAATATATAGTATATACATTATATATAATATATTATATATATTATCATATATATAATATATATATAATATATATATATTCCTAGTATGCCTGTGTCCTTGAGACTGGAAACTATTTCTTCCTCTCCAAATCTGTCATGTCTTTCACTATGACTATCCCCTTTGCCTTCTGTGCCCAGTATGGTAATGACATTCCTCACGGCTGTGGCCTTGGTATTTGACACTGCCATGTGCAGTCCTAATCTATATTGGGGTCAGGATTAGACAGGCCTTGAGGGGACAGTAGTGGCAGAGGTTATCTGAAATAGCACATGATCCAAAAACTATATTTGAAATACATTAGGCTTATATTTAAATATAACTGCCAGCTCTACCCAGACCAGGCCTGCTATCCACATTTGGTCATGAGAAATTTCCCACTTTACCAAGTTCCTTAGCCCCCTGTTCAGAAGCAGTTTTACCTTCATTTCAGTTAACTATAATTGAAATATTCAGCATAATCCTCAATTACATATATATAGAGCATCACCTCTGCATAACACTGCACATCAGTTTATTTTCTCAGTCTTTTTTCCAGTTTCTAGAGCAATGGTTTTCATATGGTAGTGCACAAGAACAGCGCACAAAAATCAAGAATAATTTGGAGATTTTGGGACCCATGATCAAAAATTCTGATATCGTAATTCCAAGGAATCTGTATTTTTAACAGTATTACCCAGATGATTCTCACGTAGCGAGAGTCTATACAGTCTACAGTTTGAGAAACACTGGGCTGGATGAAGAGATTTCCCCTTTAATGCCACCATGTAAATTGTGAAGCCCATTCCTCTGACTATCTCTGAAACTCACTCAGGCACTCATCTTGCCATATCCATCCCTTTCATGTTCTCTCTCCATAAACTCTTTTCATAAAATTGCTGTTTCTAATATTACAAATAAAAGGAGGAAAGCCTCTGCTGTCTCCTTCAAGGTACTGTGCAGTCTCCTTCTTTTTGCAGCCTGACTGCTGGAGCGTGTTTCCTCACTCTCCTTTACTATCCTAAATTTGAAATTTCTTGCTACTCATGTTGACCATTTTTGGTTCCTTTTTCTCCTTAGTCTCTGCCATATTTGGTTCTGTGGATCAGCTTCTGCTTTGAAATTCTCTCCCTTGACCAGTTAACACTGCTTTCTATTGGCTCTTTTCCTTCCAGTTACTCCCATCCCTGGCTTTTATTAAAATTAGCCATCAAGATGGTCTTTCTTCCCTGCCCTTGAATTCAGGAGACAGAAACGACTCCCCAGAATTTGAGATTTCAGTGGGCAGCCAGACTAGGACTTTTAAACTGCAGGAGATAATTTAGATGCATAGAAAGAGATAACGAAAGTACAACAGGTTTGTCTAACAGTTTATGGTTCAAAAATGTTTTAAGACTTAGATTTTTAGTAATTTATTGTAAGACAAACTAGAAATTAGTTTCTTCTTTACTGACCATTTTGTATACCCAAATGGGACATCAAGACATACCAAACCCCCAAATAATCTCCAAATTGGTATAGCAGTCATAGATACGAACATCTACCTTCTGGTTTTCTTATCTCAAGGTGGCAGGGCAGAGGAAAGGACCAAATAATTATGGAAACCCCTCTGACGTGGAACTTCTATTTTCACAGTGACCAAAAAGATTGTTCCTTTCCAATTCTTCCTTCCTTGGAAACCCAGAATAAACTTGCTCTGACTGTAAGTGCAAAATATATGAGGAATTTGGCGTTGTTAACCTAGTATTAAGCATAGTCCTTCTCCTCTTTTCCCCAATTTAACGTTTAGTCTTGAAAGAGAGTAGCATGGAGATGGGGAACAAAAATAGCATATAGAACTAAAGAAAACAATATAGTCTTAGAATATATGAATACTAAGTTGAGCTGCCTTTAAGAGGAAATTTTTAAAATGTTCTTTTATTAAACATGAGTATGAAAGATGGTTTGGTCATTCGAGAGCAGAAATCAAGTTTCCCAACATAGATATGAGGCCTCCATGAATTTTGACGGGCATTTTATTCTAGTCCATTTCCTTGGTGTCTTTTTTGAATAATTAGGTAACTGTATTCAAATCAGGGTAAAGTATTTATGTTATTGAGGACTAGAGAAAGGAATAAAGAAATTTAAGACTGTGCTCAAAGATTCAAAAATAAAGCTTGTACAGATGTTACAATAATTCTCTAATATATGGTATCTTTTCCAGCTAAAATGCAGCCTTAACTATAGCAAAGAATAGTTTACCAATAGGAATCAGCTAACATGTTTGATTATTTTGACAGATGGCCAAAGACTGTTTCTCCAGAATTAACAATGTCTAAAATAAATCCCTCAATGATATCCATCACATAAATATGCTACAGTGATAAAGTCTTCAAGTCAGTCCCTAGTAACTTTTTTGTTGGCTTTTCTCTCATAAATCTTTCAATGAGTTATAACAAAAGTGATATGCTTAATAATAAGGGTAATATAATGATCTATTTTTACTTCTTAGATCCTAAAAATTATCATTTTAGATAAATTACATGTTCGTTGGGAGTATATTTCTGGAACTATTTCTTTGAAATGATAACTGTGTATTGTGATCTTAACTTTGATGATCATTTTGAAAAACTAAGCTGCTAGGCTGCTGCTTTATCTAACAATGCTTTTATCAATTCAGTGGAAACATCTAGATTTTAGAATGACTGATAGACTATGATTTTTATCTGTAGAATTTTAGAGCTGGGAGATCACCTATCACAAGACTTTTATTTTATGTATGTGAAAACTGAATCCCAGAGAGAGTAAATAACTTACCCAGAGTCATATAGTTAATTAATGGTAGAGCTGGGGCTAAAATTCAAGTCTTCTGACTCTCTGTCCAGTTGAATACTTATTGAATGATGTAATCCCAAAGCTGTGTCATTTTCCTATGACAGTTTTGCTAGATTACACAAATATCACGGCAGTTTTAAGGAGTTTATAATTTCATTCATCTAAGTTGCATATGCTCAATAGTTTTCCTGTTTAGCTTATATTTATCACAGCAATAAAAATGTTTTCAAACAGGATTAAACAACGTTTGTGTATATAAAATAAACTTTCAATAAGGTATGTGAATTTCCAAGAATTTGCCAATGTTCTTACCACTTTGTGTATAAATTGGCATCTACTCATGCCTTATATAAGTTTTGCTAAAATAGCAAAATAGGCTGCTAGACTAAAAGTTCAAACAGTGATAAAATTCAAGAAACCATATTTTGTGGTGAACAATCAAGGAGTACCCATATTTAAAGGTAAGAAAACAATACTTGAAGATAAATATGGAAGCCTCATAACTCTATCCCAAAACATGTTATGTTTTGTTTCCTATGATGCCACATTTAGGGTTAAGCCACAGAAAACGTCACTTTGTGCCATGAACAGGTATTTAGCAGATGCAAAGTTTAACTTTTAAAAAATTGTCTAATTTTCTTAAAATGATGCTCTTTTAATATCATGATCTTGCTTTGTTATTCATATTTAGTGATGGTATTTCTTTTTTAAGAGCTGTTACAGGTTGGTGCAAAAGTAATTACGGTTTTGCCACTATTCTAATGCCAAAACCGCAGTTACTTTTGCATCAACCTATAATTCAAATAAGTAATCTAAACTTTGTATCCAACATCTAGTCATCATTGTTGCATGTTAAATTTTCTGCTTGTCTAGTTATCACTCAAAAGAATAACATCGGCTGGGCGCAGTGGCTCATGCCTGTAATCCCAGCACTTTGGAAAGCTGAGGCGGGTGGATCACGAGGTCAGGAGTTCAAGACCAGCCTGACCAACATGAAGAAACCCCGTCTCTGCTAAAAATACAAAATAAGCTCAGCTACTCGGGAGGCTGAGGCAGGACAATCACTTGAATTCGGGAGGCAGAGGTTGCAGTGAGCCAAGATCACGCCATTGCACTCCAGCCTGGGCAACAAGAGTGAAACTCCGTCGCAAAAAAAAAAAAAAAAAAAAAAAAAAAAAAAGAAGAAGAATATTAAAAGAGTACTTCCATTGCAAATAAATGAACTTATTTCTATTTTATCTTTCTAATTACATCATTAATATGCCTCAGCCTTACATAATTGTGTGCATTTTACAGTTTTATGATAAATAATTACACGACTACTTAATGTCCATACTGCTTATTCTTTTTTATGAATGAGTATAGTCAGTTCAAGGAGATTGTGACATGTCTATTATTTTGGTAAATGACATTTAGGTTCTTCCCATGTAAATTTTAACAGAACAAGGCAGATTGGAAATACCACTTAAGATAGTTGAATGCAGCCATAAAAAAGGTAGAGTTCATGTCCTTTGTAGGGACATGGATGAAGCTGGACACCATCATTCTCAGCAAACTATCACAAGGACAAAAAGCCAAATGCCACATGTTTTCACTCATAGGTGGGAATTGAACAATGAGAACACTTGGACACAGGAAGGGGAACATCACACACTGGGGACTGTTGTGTAGGGGGAGGGGGGAGGGATAACATTAGGAGATATACCTAATGTAAATGACGAGTTAATGGGTGCAGCACACCAACATGGCACATGTATACATATGTAACAAATCTGCACGTTGTGCACATGTACCCTAGAACTTAAAGTATATATATTAAAAAAAAGATAGTTGAATGCTCACCTAATTTCCTAAGAAGATTAACAATTTTTATTTTACTTTTTTGCAGGATCCAACTGGAATATTCTCACTAGATAAAACCATTGGCCTTGGTACTTATGGCAGAATCTATTTGGTAAGTTGACTTACATTATTTATTCATTCTTCATTTTCTAATGACAACAAAGATTGTGAGTCAGACACTGCAAATCACATAATGCCAAAATATGGCATTTCACTTTGAGAGAGAAATCAAATTAGATAGCCCAGTGACACCTGTAAGAATTACTGTTTATTATCACAAAAGTAATGGATTGGCTAATCTATAGTGTACCAACCAACCAAACATAACATCTAAAAATTAGCAGAAAATAAAGTCACCAATGGAAAATTGAAGTAATTCAAATAAGATATACCCAAATAAGATATCACTTGTCTTATAGTATACATCCATACCATTCTAAATACTCACATTCAACTGAAAACTGAATGTTATTAAAAGGAATGTTTTCATAACATTCTATATCATACTGTGTACTTGAGTGTGCACATGTGTGATAAAATTTTCTAAAGAATCTAACAAGAAAAAATCTGAATTTATTTAGTGATTACTTATGGTAAACACTAAGTATGTGCAGATGCTGTGATAGTCTCTGGGAATAAAATGATGAACAAAGCAGATAAAGTCCCTTCTCTTTTGGGGCTTATGGTTGAGAAATGTATGTGAGTAAGTATGTATATGTTATATGTGTTGGGTTTGTTGGGGGAGCCATACATTACATAAGTAAGCACACAAATAACTGTATACTTCTGTATCTGTGCGTTCCACATCCATGGATTCAACCAACATTGTATCAAAAATTAAAAAAATGCGTAATGTACAGACTTTTGTTCTTGTCATTATTCCCTAACCAATAAAGTGTAACAACTATTTATATAGCATTTACATTGAATTAAATGTTATAAGTAATCTAGTCATCACTTAAATTATACTGGAGGATATGCGTAAGTTATATGCAAAAAAAAATTACTGTGCCATTATATATCAGGGACTTGAGCATGCCCTGATTTTAGTGTTCACGGGAGGCCCTGAAACCAGTCCCCCACAGATACTGAAGGATGACTGTAATTGCAACTGTAATATAAGATCTGTAAGAAAATTCTTAGTGATGTAAAAGCATAAAGCAAGGGGGCTTAATTTAGATTGAAATGTCAGTGTTGATCTCCCACTCCCTGGAAAGGGAAAGTGACCGTTAAACTGATATCAGAAGGATAAATATGAGGTAACCAAGAAAAGGTGTGGTTGTGGAGGATGATGTTAATACATTCTAGGTGGAGGCATGGACAGTGTTAAGGGCTGGTTTGGGGATGGGGTGCTTTAGTAGCCATATCACACTGATCAGGTACCTTTCTATTCTCTAATATGGGGAACTGACATTTTCTCAATCTTGTGTAATGTTCTATATAATTGCAGTGTTCTTTTTCCCCAGGCCTGTTGCTCAAAAACCGGATTACTGTCCTTAGGCTGATCCTTACAGCAGACTGATCACAGGTCCTCCACATATAGGTTGTATAGAGGTGTCCTAGTATAAGCCCAGAGGAGAAGGGGCTTCTTTCTAGTTCAGAAAAGGGTGCCTTTTTTCTTGCCAAGTCTTGCAACTTTGGGACTACATCTACCCAGAGGGGCTTCTTTTCTTATTCATCTGCCCAGGTGGGAAAGGAGTATGCTTTTTAAACTTTGCACAACAGCTCCTATAGGGCCTGGTGCTGTGGCTCACTCCTGTAATCCCAATACTTTGAGAGATGAAGGCAGGAGGATTGCTTGAAGCCAGAGTTGAGATGATCCTGGGCAACAAAACAAGACCCCAGCTCTACAAAAAATTAAAAAGAAAAAGTTAGCCAGGTGCAGTGGGTGTGCACCTGTAGTCTTAGCTACTCAGGAGTCTAAGGCAGAAGGATCACTTGAGCCCAGGTGCTTGAGACTGCAGTGGATTATGTTTACACCACTGCCCTCCAGTTTGGGTGACAGAGCAAGACCTTATCGCTTAAAAAATAAAAATAATAAAATAATAAACTAAATAAAGCACCCATAGCATAGAAACTGAGTAGTAGAAATAGCATGTGGACAGGTCTTAAAAACAGAAAGAACCTTGGTGAATATAGGGAACAGAGGGAATGCTAGTATTCATGACCAAATGTTTTCAAACCATTTTGATCATATCTATTAACAGAACCAATAAGCTATAGAGGGTGATATAATATAGACTGAAATATATTGCTTAGGCTACCTCAATTCCATCCTGTACTGAATGATTATTTAATATTTGTGCGATCTAGGTCAGTTTTGCCACCTTATACATAGATACCTACATCTTATACATAGATACCTACATCTTATACATAGACAAAATATTTATGGTACATTTACAGTCTCCATGGCTGTATGCACATTTTAGTTCCTTAGGGTGTGTGTGTAAGTGTGTGTATATACTTGTTCTGATTCAAATGTATAGAGCCACCAGATGTGAGAAATAAAAGCTCAGAGTCATATAAGGTAAGAAGCAAGGTTAAAATTAGACAACACAGAAAGATGGCTACTCATTATCATTCATGTGATAATGAACTGTGATGGCACCAAAAGAAGAAAAGTAAGACGGTAAAAAGGTAAGTTATGCATGTGAATATCCTTTTTTAAAATCAGGGTTTATTGGGATATAATATATATTTGGTAAGATTAACTCTTTTAAGTGTACAACTTTATGAGTTTGGACAAATGCATACAGTCATATAACTGCCACCACAATCAAGATTTTCAATGTACATCTTAAACTAATCACAGTCTAGATTCAAGGAGTATTCTACCTCTTCACTGTGTGGTTTCCCAACTGGTGTACTCTAGGGTTATGGCTGTCAGGCATTTTGCTTTTACATATGCTACAAACCCACAAAACTACTGTACTTTCCCTATACTTACTCTTTTCCCTGTTTTCACTACTACTATTTTTAAAATTTAGCTAATCAATTATCTTTTACAGCAATTAAAAGTCAGAAAGAGTCTTTTATGTTTATCTTCATTTTAACCATTTCTGGAATCTTCATTTCTTTAGTGTAGATCCAACTTTCCCTCTGGTGTGTACAACTTAAGCCTGAAAAACTTCCTCTAATATTTCTTATAGTCCAAGGCTTCTGAGTAATGAATTATCTGCTTTTGTGTGAAAAGTCTTAATTTCTCCTTCATTTTTGAAAGATATTCACACTGTGTATAAAATGTGGATTGAGAGTTATTATTTTTTTCTTTCTCTCAGCAGTTTAAACATGCCAATTTGTCTTCAGACTTGCATAGTTTCTGAAGTCTGCTGTAATTCTTACCTTTGCTCCTTTATATTTTGTCTCTGGCTTCCTTTAAGATTTTTCTCTTTGTCTTTGTTTTTCAGCAGTTTAAATATGAAATGTCTGGAGGTGTGTGCGTGTGTGTGTGTGTGTGTGTGTTGAAAGGATATTTATCTGAGATAATGGTTAGAGATCTTTGGGGTTCTCTTAGCTTCCTGGACATGTGGTTTGACATATTTCATTATTTGGGAGAAATTTTTGGCCTTTATCTTTTCAAATATTTTTTCTACTCTATTTGCTTTCTTCTTCTTTTGGAAATCCAATTTCATATGTGTTAGGCCTTTTGATATTATCCCTCAGTTCTTAAATGTTCTGTTTTGGAGTGTGTCTGTGTGTGTTTCATTCTTTTTTTTCTCTTTGTGTTTCAGTTTTGATCAATTTTTTTTCTATCTTCACTTTCATTGATTCCTTTCTCAGCTGTTTCAAGTCTACTTATGAGAGAGTCAAGGACATTCTTCAACTATATTACTGTTTTTCATTTCTAGCATTTCTACCTGACTCTTTAATAGTTAACATGTGTACTGAAATCCCCTATTTGTTTATTCATGTTTTTCATATTTTTCACTAAAGCATTTCATGCATTAATCATAGTTATGTTAAATTCTCTGTCTGATGGATTCAACATCTAAGTCATCTCTGAGAGGCTGGTTATGTTGATTGCTTTGTCTCTTGAGAATGTTTTTTATTTTACTTTATTTCACAATTTTTGTTTAAATGACATAGTATGTAGAACAGTAGAAATTAAAGTAAATAGTATTTATTTCTTGAAATGGGCACACTTTTTCAGCTAGGTTGTTTATATGGGAATTCACTCAATCTAATAAGAAGATAAACTACATTTGAGTTATGTTGTTGATATGGTTACTCTCAGTTCACTACCAGCTTCAGATTCCTCTAATACCTTGTGCATATGTGGGGGTTGGTCTTCTGGAGAGTTTTTCTTAATATCCCTGTTCTTTTCTCAACTTTCCATATTCCTTGTGTATCTGTGCTTCAAAGAGGTTCTTGCTCCATGCTGTTGCCCTCCCCTAATGGTATACTGCTATTGCTTCTTATTAAGTTCTCATTGGCCTGGTGGTGTGGGCAGGTAGAAATGCTCTGTTTTTCTGCTTCAACCTCAGTCTTGTAAGATCCTGGGCCTCTGTGTCACAGGAGTGAGACTTTCTTAGTTATCCTTTCCCTCTTCTAGTGGTAGGATACTTCTAATTGTTTGGGCCCACAACTAATTCTTGCCCTTCTCCCAAAATTGGAGGACTTTTTTTTTTTTTTTACCTTTCCCCAGCTGCAGTAGGTCTTCATCTTTACCCTGGGGAGAATACACTTTGCTGCCTTTCCCCTAGGGCTTAAGACTTTTATTCATGAAAAGGAAAGGAACTGGACCTGGTTTCCTACCTTTCCCACTGCAGTGGCTTCTCATCTCCATCAGATCTGTACCATAAATCTGTATGTTTGTATAAATTTGTCCTGTGTCTATGGCTTCCAAGGGTTCTATACTCTCATGCTAACCCACATTTGCTCTTTAGCAGTTCACTAAAAATTTGCATGCTTGCAACCAAAATATCTCATGCACCTCATAAATATATACACCTATTATGTGCCCACAAAAATTAAAAAACAAAGAAAAATTTAGTTGAATTCTTTATACCTGCTTCCGTTGTGACCTTGTCTTCCCTCTACAGCCACAGGTGAGCTAATGCTCATGTCCCATCTCTTTTTGCAGGTGCTTGTCTTTCTCCAGACCTCAGCCTAGTTGGTTGCCTTGAGACTTCTCTATAGATTGAAGAAAAGTTACGATTAGCTAGATTATTCAGCTTATTCTTGTTGTTAGGGTGGATGTGGCACACTTTCCAACTTTCACATCCTCATCAAAAGCAAAAAGTCCATGTTAATTCCTTTTAACTGACTCTTCATGAAGAATATACCATATGCTAGATCCTCCTGTACACATTTATAAATCCTAAGAATTTTCTGTGTACCTACTCAGATCCAGAGATAGAGAACAATTTCTAACATCAGATCTTCCAAGTACAAACTTCCTTGTTACAGAAGGTAGATGCTTAAAAAAACTTCATTTACACCAGAATGATTTCCGTCTGTCACTCATTGACTTTACCTCTTTTTTTCTACCTCTAATTACTATAAAAATATTTGGGATGGTGGTGCTATCCACTGACAATACCCTCATGGAAAACAATCTGGGAGTATGTAAATAAACACTTAAAAATGTTTATCCTCTTTACACCAATAATTCAACTTTTGGAAATATATGATAAACATCCCAGACATAGACAAACATGTAGATATACATTGCAGAAGAAAAGTAGCATATTGTGGTGAAAAAAGGGCGTGCTTTGAACCAGGCAGACCTGATTCAGTGCTTACTTAGCCATTAACTAGCTATAACCTTGAGCAAGTCACTTAACCTAAGTTTAAGTTTCCTTATTTATAAAATGGGGCTAATAATACCTACCTTGGGAGGTGCTATAAAATATCAAAACAATATACATATATGTACACATTTGTAATATTTGGAATATGGTAAATACCTGTTAAACGGCAGTTATTGCCATCATTATTGTTGCTATTATTTTTTAAAAGTTCAATTACAATAGTTTAAAAAGATGGAAGTAAATTACTTTTTAACCAGCTAATATATCATTGTCCTATAAAGCAATATTTATGAAGTTATCTAGCAGCATAGAACTATGTTTAAGATCTTAAGTAAAGTATTCCTTATTATATTTGTGCCCCAGTTACAGCTATGTTAAAATATGCAGATAAAAAATGGTGAATTAACGATTAGAATAGTGAGATATTGGATTTTTTCTTTTCTAATGTCTGTAATATAATATTTAAGTACAGAACATATATATCTGTACGTATATTTAACATATTATATATATGTGTGTATTAGACAGTACCAAATGTTGCATAAATAACCTGTACTGCAAAATAGAAGCATGATACCATTCAAAATTAATGTCAGAGTGACTCATAGAGTCCTTTGCTTTTTCAGTGCTGCCAACCACATCCCCTGCTGGAGTTTGTTTTGGTTAAAGTCTCTCCAATGTCTTCCAGCTTGTTTCCAAGGCTTCGTTCCCTGGCAGGTTTCCAGCTGTCTGCTGAAGTCTGTGCACATTGAAATGAAGGCTGAGTCTCACACTACTATTGTAATCCTCTTCCTTTCCTTCTTTTTCCTCTAATTAGATGCCTATCCTCTCACCCTCTCCCACCTCCTGCCAGTTCAAGCCTCACTTGAAATTGTGGGTTCTATTTTTCTCTCTTTTTAGGAGAGAAAGTACTGGTCTTCTCTTTTTTGCCCCAGTAGAGTTAGAGAATATAGTTTTCTCCTCACCTTTAACTGCTAGTCTCATAGTTTATGGGTCGTCATTTTAATTGGAGGAATGTTTAGTATTTGACCATGTGAGGCCATATTAGAAAAAAGAAAATAGGTTGGAACTCATTTTTAATGGTACTTTTTAAAAAAAGTAATTTCCCCAAGAGCAATAGACACAGAAAGACCACAGTATTAAGAAAGAGACCAAGACCTTTAGGGTGGCAAAATTGGAGGTGGCAACCTGACTCTCCCAGTAACTGACAGTAAACGTGTTTCTTGACTTTCTGGGCCCATTTCTTCAACAATAAAACAAATGTATTAGACTCTATAATCTCCAGGCTTTCTTCTGGCTCTGAGATATTGCACCTAGCACAGTGCCTGGCACTCAGTAAAATGTAACCTATTCTTATTCTTACTGTCATCAGCATAATTATAGTGATCCTATTGTCGCTTCTCCACCTTACACAGTAGAAGTTGATTATTGGCTATTAGCTGGAGTAGTTTCACTTTTTACCAAATAAAATTATTTTTAACATGTTTTTCTATTCTTTTCTTCTGTTTTACCACCTGATAGTGAGACCTGATTTTTAGCTCAGTAACTAATAAGACACTCAATGTGAATGTAAAACTGGGTAGCTGGTATATTGGGAAGGTAGGAATGCTTCATTATATATGTTATCTAACACCATTTTGTTAAGGTTAATACTAGTGAGGTGAGACAATGAATTGGTATCCAGAATGAATGAGTTTGCCTTGGCCCTTCATGAGGTCTTGACTACACCCCTAATATCAGTCACCTACTCCTACGTTACCATTTGCAGGTGGTGAGGACAGAAAAAGGAATGGGAAAGGATTCAAGGCAACCATTTCAAGCAAAGGAAAAATTCACCTGAAATAGAGTAAACTTCTACAGTTGGGCATACAGCCTAATTGCCATGTACGCTGATGCCTAGTTGAAACTCAGTTAAATGCTGGTGGAAGAAAGGGACCACCCCAAGTTTCTTATTGTTTTAACACCTAAAAACAGACCATGGCCATATGTGAGCATCCATCCTTGAAAGAGATCACAGGAGTCATCTGTCTTCTTGGTGGTCAGTAGATTAAGTGAGGTATATGAAGGTCACAGTCAGGAGCAAATTCCTGAATTGTTTGCACTCTGAAAGTATACAATTAAATATGGAAATTTCGTTTCAAAACAATGCATCACCCTTAAATTTGGTTTTATAAATCACCGCCTGACACATTGCTTTTATTTGCAAACCTCACCAGACAGTTGAGATTTATGTTTATTAGTTATATTTTCTGGATTTGAAGTTGGTGCAGGGAATGGGAATGGAAAGGAAGGAAAGGAATGTTGTCCTCAAAGTTGATGACATACAATTTATGATATTTTAAATTACATTTCAGAAACACAGTGCTGACATTTGGGTTGCCTAGCCACTAGGCCTATTGGATGGGGGTTTGAGTATTTTTCCTTTTAGGCTGAAATTATACTGTTTATTTGCCTACCAAATGTCTAGCACTGTGAATGCTTTCTTTTTAGGTAGAAAAGTTTCCCTCACATCCTTGCCATTTTGCAAATATAGCTTAATTAAGTCAGCCAACAAATAATGCTTGAGCACCCCTTAAAGCACATAGCACTATGCATTTCATTATACATTGCAAGTTTCTGAAGCAGGAGCTGAAGCTGAAGCTGAGTTGAGGCCACAGGCATACTAGGCTATTGTGTCTTCATAGTACAGTGCCACAAGTCCAGAGCTATGTCTTGGTTCCACCTTCATCCTGTGACATTGTGATAATGTGCCTCAAAAGTAGGGATTGATATTTCTTAAGGAACCCTCAAGCTGCTCTAGCATAGAAAACATTAAATTTACCTATTAACATTGATTTGAATGTGTAAACCATTCTGTAATAAAAATTTAAAAAATACATTTATTGAATGCACAGTATGTCCCAAGTATCATGTTACATACTAGTTGCTAGTTAGAATGATCAGAATACATTTTTTAGGAGCGGTCATTTTTATTAAGTTAGTTTTAGTAGAGATAAGGAAGGAAGTATTTTCTGTATGACCGTGACCGCTTTATTTGAAGAGGGAGTGATGGGTAATGGAAAGGAGTGAGAGAGATTGGAAAAAATGAAAAGAGGAAATTGGGACATAGTTTTTTTGTTTTTGTTCCTGTATGTAGAAAGTCTAATGAAGCTTCTAAAGAATGAGACTCCAAGAACAAGTTTTTCCTCAATAAGAAAACAGGTTGAATATTTGCAATGGGGGTGAAAAAAACAGCATAGGCTAAATAAATTGAGACTCAGGGGACCAAATTAGTGGAAATTGCTGAGGCTTACAGGCCTTGGAGAAAAATGGAATATTTCTATCTTGGCCGTGACAACTCTCCAACTGTGGAATAGAATCCAGGCCTCTGAGTTGCAGGCTTTACTTTTTCTTATTATGTTATACCAAAATTTTCTTTTGCTTCCCAATAAATCTTGAGGGAGGATGAAGCAGTTGGTAGCTGACAGGTATGAAAGGGGAAAGTAAATGTCATGGGATTTTTGCTCCCAAGAAGTCATAATTATTTTTCACAACTACTCTAATCTGCTTAATATGTTCACAGATATATATTGGGAAGTAATTCAAATTATGTATTTGGTGTATTTGGGTAACACAAAATATATTATGTCATTTCTGCAGATGCTTAATCCAGTTGATTGTTATAAAGTTGTTCCAGGAGCAGGAAAAATAAATTTAAATATTTGGAGACAAATACACATTTCTAAACAAAAGCCAAAACTAATAAATTCTTTATAGCATGGTGGCTTTGGTCAACCAGATAAAAACATCCCAATTATGAAAATCTTTATGAAATGTAAGTATAAATCTCCATGGCGAAATAATGCAGTTCCTTAAAAATAGGCATACAAAATTGCCTGATTGCTGCTAAGCTTATATATTTAATGCTATTTTTAATATATTAGTCCTAGGAAAATTTATCTGTACAATATTTTATAAACCACTTTATAGAGTGATGAGGGTGGGTTGGGCAGTGTTAGAAGTAATAATGTACTTTTTAATATATCAAAAAGCAAATTTTGTTTTATTTTGCTTTTGCGTATATATATGTATGTATGTGTCTGTGTGTGTGTGTATATATATATATATACATAGAGAGAGAGTTATATAATTATGGTCAGATTTTCAGAGTAAATTCTGTTAAGGTGGTTGAAGTATCACAAGTTCTTGCTTTAGTTTATCGTCTAGTAGTTGACCACTAAAAACTAGTTAACTAGGTCCTCATCACATTTCATGAAACACTCTTTGGAAAATAGCACTTCAACAGTTGTTACTCTTGAAATAAGAATAGTCCTAACTTGATTTTAGGACTTCCAACATTCTACCATACTTGTGCATCTGTGTCTAAGGTAGTTGTGTGGGTGGTGCCAAAATCGCACTTGGAGATTAATGTGCTGCTGTAGCTCTCTGAGGGTGTCAAAAGAAAAGTGGAAGCTCTTATAATTTTATGATGCTGAGGCTACTCTGAAGGCAGGCTTCTAAAAAGCAGCTTATCAGTAAGACTAAATTAAAATATCAAAGAATATAAAAAGACATAAACAGATTTTTATCCTGCAGTTTTATTTTTTCCTGCTTACCTACACCCAGGTTGTAATAAATTCCTCCTCTACCAGAGCATAAAGAGAGGGAAAATGAAGTGGGAATTTTGTGTTATTTCAATTGTAGAAATTATGATATGACGGTAGTTTATGTGTAATTTGTGTTAGAAAACTAAGAAAGCTCCTTTTGGGTTTGTCCTTCTTAGCCAGAGTCCCTTTATGACTAGGGAAAGAAGGTTAGATTGTTCAGGGTCCCCTGAGGGAAAGAAGATTGATTATATTCTAAGCACTGCCAGTAACATTTTGTATAAATCATTAACTCTGAAGAGAAAACAAAACAAAAATACCACCATGATCTAAAAGGAGAAGTCTAAGAGTCCTCAGAGAAAGACAGCTTTTCTTGACTCTGAGAAATAAAATAAAATAAATAAAATTATTGAGTGTTTGAACTGGGTGAGAAAAAGATGGAGATTTAAATATTAGTCACTTTAGAGATAGTGACCTCAATGTTCTAAAAATGGATAACATTTACTGAGTGCTTACAGCTCATAAGAGCATTATGAGGTAGCTACCATTGTTTTCATCATCCTACCATCTCACAAACGAGCAAACAGGATTCAAGAACCTGAGTTACTGAATAGGTTCACAAAGCTAAGATATTGCCTTGCAAAGTCAGGATTTAAACCAAAATTTGCTTGGCCCGAGGTCTGTATCTTAATCATAATATAGTATATTCAGCTCAACAGATATAAACCAAAGTCAAAAAACATTCAATTAGATTAGCCAATTGAAAAAACAATCTGCCCAAGTGCAAAAATTTACAAGAAACTAATGAGCTGAGGTCGGTAATGAAGATCTTTAATGATGTGTCTCTCCAACATATTTGTTTCCTTCATGATGGGCACTAAGACAGTCTAGTCTTAGGGTCTTTTTCTGGAACGTAATAGATTTCAGAAATGGATGTGGACAAGCAGATAGTCTTTACAGGATACTCAAAGCTGATGACTAAATTTCTACTCAGACTCCTGGAAGCCATGAGAAGGTAGAGAAGTACTTACTGTCAACCTCTTCACTCTCTTCTTGTGGGCAGGGGCCCATCTCTGAGGCAAGGGTGTTTTTCCTGTTTTATTGCTTCTACTGGGAGCCCTGGAAAAGAGGGAAACAACAAAGGATCAATGAAAGTTAGTGCTTTGCTTGTACATGATTGGTTTCTGATTGGTAGGAATTTTAAAAATCAACACATTAAAAAACAATTTGTGTATTTTCTAATGAATGTATTTCTGAAAACATGAGTGAATATTAAAATATGTAAAACTTAGGGGACCCTCATTTGTTCCCTGCCTGAGAACAGAGATCCCAGAGTCTGGGCTGAATAAATTACATGTAGGTCTAAGTGGCTATAGCTTGGAAGGTTAGAGGGTGGCAGAGGCAGAGAGTTAAGCAGGTGGATGGAAACAGTAGGGGTTTGCAGGTGAGGAGGTAAATACAAGGTGTGCTATTTAAGTAAAATTGTTCTTATATTGTTCTCATCAGATGAGCATGCAGGTTTGAACAGAAATTACAGCTTTAAGACTTTCCTGGTGGTTAACCTCTACAAGAATTTTGCAAGCAGCTGAATTCCTCCCACCTTTCCACAAAACAAAGTGTTTCAATGACAGTAGAAAACCAGTTACAAAGCTTGGGGTGGATGCCTAAGAATTCGTTAGTCTTTAGTTCATGAATTTCTTTAAGGGCAGGAACCTGGACTGTTTCATTTCAAATCTACTCTTAGAATACCTAGTAAAGTGCATTGTACATATTAGGCAGCAGGGCATAAGGGATAAATGGCAAGCAGAAATTTCAATGCAGACTGTTTTGTATATTTTCTGTTGCCCACACTCATATACTCCTTTTATTAGTAGTATTATCATTCTACAAGTAGATGTTATGAGAAACATTGGCTATGTCCAAAAAATCTATCTTAATCACCTTTGTGATCTCTTTGGGACTAGCACAATACCTTATACATATGGGTACTTGACACAATTTCTTCTGGAACTAAAACGATATGTGCAAAAATGACCCCGACCCCTCGGAATGACTATTTTTACAGGGGCTCTCTGCAGATGTGCCTTGATGGAAAGGACTGAGTAATGACACCCTGTTAAGCCAATGCTGGAGACAGGTTGGCCTTTCAAAATTATACCACCTAAGTAACTTTCTATTCTGACTATAAAAAGGTGGCACTGTGTAGAGATAAATATTTCCAAAGGATGGAAATATTAGCCTTACTTTTTTATTACTTTCTGCTGAATGAGTCATTTAGGAAGCTTGAAAGAGTATATTTTTTCTCTGGGTACTGTAGTTTGCTGTAGTGTTATTGGCATGGCCAAGTATAAGGATGGCTTCAAGAGAGTCTCATACCATCAGGAAGATGTCTAGAACATGTGTAAATATTTCCTGACTTGGAGGATTGGCAGCTGTTAGAAAGAAAAACACATATAAATAAGAGCCTACAAATGCCCTTGCTTCTTGTGGCCTTCTACCTACAATTCCCAGTTGCTGTAATGGTTTTTTTTAACTACCTTACATTTTAGTAGATTTCAAAAAAAAAATTAATGGCTTGAAATGTTAAACTCTAAAAGCTTTAGTAATGTTTATTTTGCAGGTCCTGCACTCTGTGTGTGTGTGTGTGTGTGTGTGTGTGTGTGTGTGTGTGTCTGTGTGTGTGTGTGTGTGTGTGTCTGTGTGTCTGTGTGTCTGTGTGTGTGGGTGCTTTTTCAGTCCCATGTCCTAGGAAACCACTGCCAGTCTGAACAGTTAGTCACCATATGTATATGCTTGATTTATGCCCTTTCATACTTAACAAAATATTATACTCTATAAGAGTTAGTGGTATATTCCCCTCTGCTGCACTAAGAGCAAGGAGGAACATACATGAGTAGGAAGGTGCCTACTAATTTAAAAGAAGTGTGAAGTAGAGAGATGATACTGGTAGAGAGCAGAGTCTGTGTATATCCCAGCCAGTGCAATGTGAAAATTGGTTTGACTGATTTCTTCACCACCACCACTACTGCACCCACCCCAAAATATACAGACAGAATTAGTTGGTTATTTGATGGAAATTACCAAAATGTTTGTTGGAATCTGGAACACATAGCCTTACTAAAATGGAAAATGAATCTTTTACATTACATCCAAATGCTTTTTGGGACTTCTCAGGCAGATCTGAATGTCTGGATTCAAGGGAGGAAGATTAGTGAAGTATAACTCACTGTCAACCTACTTCCCTGAGGCCCTTCAGATGGGATACCTAGGAATGAGGCCAGAACGTTCCAGATAAACCTCCCCCCATTTCCTCTCCTTTTTTGAATCTGGCAGTGGTATGAGTGATAGGTGAGTTGCATAGGAGAGGGTTTACAGAAATCCATATGGCTGGTTAATGTATACAAGAAAATTTGTTTAAAGAAATAAATAGCAAAGTAGCTATTTTCATAATTCCATTGAGGCTGAGCTGTAAAGCCTTCCTCACTCTACAAAACAGGAGAATTTATGATTTTTAAATAGGCAAAGTATCTGCCTCTCAGCAGCTGGTGTATATAGTAATGTGCTTCCAGCTCCATTGTAAGTGCTCATATCTTTTGAGTTCTGTTGGTGTTGTGAATCATCTTGCCATTTACTTGCATTTTATATATCATTATGCACTTGGTAGAAAACTACAATTCGTGAATTGTATTGTGAATTGAGTTACAGTAACAGAGATTTAGTGCCTGAGGATGTGTCTCTAGGTTTATAGGGAAGCAAAAGCCATTTGAGTTTCTAATGATGCCACTTGCCCTCTATTTGCATTGAAACATGCAGAATGAGATGTGGACCCAAGCAATTTTACTTAGCCTCAATCAAATTTTTTCGTTCTAAAAAAAGCTATGAGGGCAGGGACTAGATAATATTCATTGTTTCTTTTATATTCCCTGCAGTAGCACTGTGCTGAATCAAACTTTGTTGGTTAATTCTATATTTTGTAGTTTTCCTTATTCAAATCTTATATTCCAGGGCCCTGATGACCAGATAGAGGGGTGAAGGAATAGAGCCTGGTAAGTGGGGAAAGAGAGAAATAGGATGCAAGAGACCTTAGAACTAGGGTTGCCAGATTTGGCAAATAAAAATACAGGATGCCAAGTTAAATCTGATTTTGATGAAGAACAAATACATTTTTAATGTAAGTATGTCCCAACAGCATATAGTTATACTAAAAAAAGTTTACTTGAAATTCAAATGTAAATGGGCGTGTTCTTTACTTTATTTGCCAACCTTACACAGAATCAACTTTACCCCCATCACAGATTTGCCACCTGACAACGTCATGTTAAGAAACAAGAAAGAAACTGACTCTCCCACCTGCTGTGGTGTGGCAGAGAATCCCAGATCAGCCTATCTAAGAAGCTGCCAAAGGGTGGGGAGGAGGTGGTCTTCTGGTCCCAGAACAGCTGCTACTCCTCCCTGCTTCTTCTGGCAAATGTTTTGTAGTGCTTTCAGAGCTTCATAGGAATGCGGCTTTGCTGGCAGCTGTAGGGATCATTGACTCCAGGTGAGTAATTCTCTCCTCATTGAGGGGCTGGGTCAAGAAAAAAAGAAGAGTTTTCTCCTTGACATGCCAAGGAGAGCCTTTGCCTGCTCAGTCCCCTAGGCTGTAGAAGAGAATCAAGGTCACTCTGGGTTTATTTTTTCCTACTCCATAAGGGAAAGGGCTCAGGGCTGGTGACTTGAATTGATTAGTCACTCTCCGGTTTTATTATACCTAATATAGGCCCAAGCCCCTAGTGTGATTGCAATCAATGTCAATCAATGATATTAATTTTTTTGGTGAAAGACCTTATGTTCTTCTGTTTCACAGGCCAGGCTATCACTGGCTTTAATCTATAGATTTCTCACAGAAAGACCGTTTGTGTCATTTAGAGCCCCATTGCATGCGGTCCATCTCTGTGATTTTTAAGTTAAATTACTCATTTTATCTGTGGTACTGAGAAATTTACCTTAAGGAAGGATATGTAGGACATGAATGGTCAGTGTGTGGAGTGGAATTGAGGCAGACTGCCGGCAGAACTGCTTAAATTCAACTGTCACATCACCCTGCTCTTAATTCTGTTAACATAGCCCAGAGAATATACTGTTTTTTTTTTCCATTTTGTAAATAATGTTCTTCGAGGATAAATAACAATCTGCAAAGGAATAACACTTCTGTAGATCCTAAAAAGATTACAAAAGAGGCAGCAATACACTGTAGATCTCCAGGTGATGTAACATTGTTATTTATGTCCTCTCTGAATTTGCTAAGAGTCTTAGTGGAGACAGAGATAGAGCCAGAAACAACGTCACCATCTCTCAGCCCTCGGGAACTTCATTTGCTGTACCTTCTACCATCATCAACTCTCTTTCTAGTTCTTCAGGAAAATTAGTTTCTCATTAAAAAGTGAGGGAGACTATTTGCTGTAATGTATAGATACAAAATAAATAAGTCTTAGATTCTAGCCAATTACAATTCAAGATAACTTTAATTAAGAGCTTATTGTATACCAGATACTATTCTATATGCTTTATAGGCATTAAGTCATTTGATCCTCATAGGAATCCCATGAGGTAGTTTTTATCAATGTTATTCTCATTTTGTATATGTAACTGAGGCATAGTGAAGTTAAATAACTTGTCTAAAGTCATGCAGTAAATGTCTGAGCCAGGTCTGTAATGAGATATCCCTGGCCTGTAAAGCCCTCACTTTTAACTGTGCCATATAAAACTACAGGAGAATTGTTAAGTTTTAAAAAAGCAGTACATTTGTACATGATATACTCAAATCAGTGAGGAACTGGAAGGTAGTTCCACCAAGCCCCCAAGGAACATTTATAATGAGGATCCAATGTCTACAACTCTCCCAGTTCCAGTACCATTATTGTTTTCCTCCAGTCTGTGTCAAAGAGACTTTCTAATGAAAACAGAGAGAATTAATGAATTATATTTTCAGTCATTTGACAAAGCCAAATTACATGGCATGTTATATGGGGAATATTAGAAACTACTTGAAAAAATAATTAGCAATTCATGAAGTGCCTGTTCTGAATAGTAAATATTTAAGAAAGATTCAATTAAATTTTCTAGTAGCTAGCTTTTTATTACAGAATCAGTTTTATGTAAAATATTTCAACAGCAGCATGCCCAGTGCACAATATAGGTTTTGGAACCAACCAGAACAGGAATAAATTAGACATGCTATTGATATTGTGCTACACAGTTTCAAAAGGGAAAGTTCTCTCAAAAAAGCTAGACAGTTGAAGCATTTAAAAGACTAATCGCTTTGACAAGAGCCCTGACCAGGAAGGTATCAGTTTAGGTTCATGGAATACATTCTAGGTCATCAGCTAAAAATTCATGTAGAGACTTATTTTCACAAGTTTAGAGTATGCAGCTTCCATCTTTCTATAATCATGTCATACTAGTCCCCTGCCATGCCACAGTGGGAGCATGTGCTTTGGCATCACATAAATCTGATTTTAACTCATGGCTCCATGAGGTGAGTGACCAGGGAGTGAGTTGCCTAACTTCTGTAAGCCACAGTTTCACAAAACTAATGGGGACAATAAAACACATTATGCAATGTATCTCTTATCATCCTATGAAAAAACAGGCAAAAGTTTTTTATCAATATGGAGACCAGTATTAAAATGTTATTAGCATTGCAAGTGGACAAATTGGTAGATGAATATCTTTAATACAAAGTTTATTTTAATATTCACTACTCTGAAGCTGAGGCAGATGAGGAAGAATCAAACTTTACCACAGGACAGAGCTGATAGGACTCCATTCAGGTCGTAGGTCAATCCGTTATTTATAGATAACAAAACTCAAGCCCTGAGAGGGGAAGTGACTTCCTTTAGGTCAAATAA
This sequence comes from Homo sapiens, assembly GCF_000001405.40. NCBI lineage: Eukaryota > Metazoa > Chordata > Mammalia > Primates > Hominidae > Homo > Homo sapiens. The sequence continues at coordinate 105,848,237 of NC_000023.11, forward strand.
CTAAAGATGTAGAGCATCCCTTTGCTATAGAAATAACACGTCCTTCTCCGTCCCTAACTCACTCCCACTCACTCAAGGTTTCCCAGGTATTACCTAATACTCTAATTTCCAGGTAGTTATCCTCTAAGTATCTTACTTCTTTCTAGGAATCTGAAGGTGAAATATCTCATTACTTTTCCCTCTCACATAAGATTGTGAATAATTAAAATGGTGGTAATTCTGATTGATAGTAATAGCTATTCTTATTATAACAGTGAAACTATAATATTTTTCAAATCAGAAATGATTCAGATGTACCTACAGAATCTTATGAATGACAGCTCTGAGTAAATGATATTATTCAATTTAAGTTAAGGAGGCTTATTGATGTTCATCAAAATACAAGGAGAAAAATATCTCATAAATCAGCCTTAAGTTACTGCAGCCTCTAACAAATGAACCCTCTATGTTCAGTTCACATCAGCCCCACTTCACATCTCTTTTTCTTATTTCATTTTAATTTTACATCTCACCTCCTCATTCTTGCTTTAGATTCTGACAATTTCAGTGTGGTTAACAACTGTGACTGATAGGAATCTTTTCAATATTTTTGGACAGAATCTGGAGATATGTTAATGATTTATTAGTTGATTTTCCAGAATCTGTTTCCACCATTCTTATCTTCATATGCTTTTTATTATTATGTAAAATTTTGATAATTTGTCCCTGGTATATTAGATGGTGATGAACATTTGAAAGCACTGAATCAAATGAAAGCTTAGCCTTCCTGCCTTGCCTTAAAATATCTCTCTGTATTGTGCCTTATGCGGCCCTGTGTATTAGTCTGTTTTCATGCTGCTGATAAAGACACACCCAAGATTGGGAAGAAAAAGTGGTTTAATTGGACTTACAGTTCTGCATGGCTGGGGAGGCATCCAAATCATGGTGGGAGGTGAAAGGCACTTCTTGCATGGTGGCGGCAAGAGAAAACGAGGAAGAAGCAAGAGCAGAAACCTGGATAAACCCATCAGCTCTCATGAGACTTATTCACTATCATGAGAATAGCATGGGAAAGACCGGCCCCCATGATTCAATTACCTCCCCCTGGGTCCCTCCCACAACATATGAGAATTCTGGGAGATACAATTCAAGTTGATATTTGGGTGGAGAGACAGCCAAACCATATCATACGGCCCCTGGCCCCTCCAAATCTCATGTCCTCACATTATAAAACCAATCATGCCTTCCCAACAGTCCCGCATTAACCCAAAAGTCCGTAGTCCCGTATTAACTCAAAAGTCCACAGTCCAAAATCTCATCTGAGACAAGGCAAGTCCCTTCTGCCTATGAGCCTGTAAAATCAAAAGCAAGTTAATTACTTTCTAGATACAAGGAGGGTACCAGAATTGTTGTAAATACACCTGTTGCAAATGGGAGAAATTGGCCAAAACACAGGGGTTACAGGGCCCATGCAAGTTCAAAATCCAGCGGGCCAGTCAATTTTAAAGCTCCAAAATGATCTCCTTTGACTACAGGTCTCACATTCAGGTCACATGATGCAAGACGTGGGTTCCCATGGTCTTGGGCAGCTCCGCCCCTGTGGCTTTGCAGGGTACATATTTATTACCTCCTGACTGCTTTCACAGGCTGGCATTGAGTGTCTGCAACTTTTCCAGGTGCACGGTTCAAGCAGTCAGTGAATTTACAATTCTGGGGTCTGGAGGATGGTGGCCCTCTTCTCATAGCTCCACTAGGTGATGCCCCAGTAGGGACTCTGTGTGGGGGCTCCAACCCCACATTTCCCTTCTGCACTGCCCTAGCAGAGGTTCTCCATGAGGGCCCCACCCCTGCGGCAAACCTTTGCCTGGTGATCCAGGCATTTCCATACATCTTCTGAAATCTAGGCGGAGGTTCCCAAACCTCAATTCTTGACTTCAGTGCACCTGCAGGCTCAACACTATGTGGAAGATGCAAAGGCTTGGGGCTTGCACCCTCTGAAGCCACAGCCTGAGCTCTACATTGGCCCCTTTAAGCTATAGCTGGAGCGGCTGGGACACAGGACACCAAGTCTCTAGGCTGCACACAGCACAGGGACCCTGGGCCCAGTCCACAAAACCACTTTTTCCTCCTGGGCCTCCAGGCCTGTGATGAGAGGGGCTGCCATGAAGGTCTCTGACATGGCCTGGAGACATTTTCCCCATTGTCTTGGTGATTAGCATTTGGCTCCTTGTTACTTATGCAAATCTGCATCTGGCTTGAATTTCTCCTCAAAAAATGGGTTTTTCTTCTCTGCTGCATCATCAGGCTGCAAATTTTCCAAACTTTTGTGCTCTGTTTCCCTTTTAAAATGGAATGTTTTTAACAGCACCCAAGTCACCTTTTGAATGCTTTGCTGCTTAGAAGTTTCTTTGGCCAGATACCCTAAATCATCTCTCTCAAGTTGAAAGTTCCACAAGTCTCTAGGGCAGGGGCAAAATGCCACCAGTCTCTTTGCTAAAATGTAACAGGAGTCACCTTTGCTCCAGTTCCCAACAAGTTCCTCATCTCTATCTGAGACCACCTCAGCCTGGACTTCATTGTCCATATCACTGTCAGCATTTTGGGAAAAGCCATTCAGCAAGTCTGTAAGAAGTTCCAAACTTTCCCACATTTTCCTGTCTTTTTCTGAGCCCTCCAAACTGTTCCAACCTCTGCCTATTACCCAGTTCCAAAGTCACTTTTTGGGTATCTTTTCAGCAATGCCCCACTCTACTGGTACCAATTTACTGCAATAATAGTCTGTTTTCATGCTGCTGATTAAGACATACCCAAGACTGGGAAGAAAAAGAGGTTTAATTGGACTTGGACTTACAGTTCCACATGATTCTGGAGCAAAGTCAGCAACATTGTGAGCAGAGGTAGCAGCAGGCCTGGTCTTGCTGCCTTCTGATGGAACAAAACGCCCTTATTTCTGTATTTCTGTGGTTCTTAAGTAAGGGTGCACACCAAAATCTTCTGGAGGAATCATTTGAAAATGCAAATGCTCATGACCCACCCTAAAAGATTTGGATTGGGAACCACTGCTTAGTTGAATTTGAGATTCTATGTGTAAACTAGAAATGTCAGAAAGGGTTTATTACTTTTCTCAGATGGTGAAAAAATTACGCATATGTATTGGGAAGGAAGAGATTGGACTTAATGTGGTGTGATTTGCAGGAAAGATATCTCAGACCAAAAATATGTTCCACGGACCAGCCTTCCACATTTCTCAAAATTCCAATTATTAGAGTCATTCTTTTGGACTTCTTATTAGAAATCACCTGTTCAAGTCTATATTATAAATTAAGTAATGCATTAAACAACTAATTAATACTTTAGCACAGATAAGAGTGGGTCTCACCTTAATCCCAAGGGAAATGAGGCACATGGCAGGTAAATTATTTTTGATGAGTGTGAGACAGTTGAGAGGAGAGTTTTGTAACAAGGGTAGTGGTTCCTTAACAAAGCAAAGCGAGATGTAGCACCTCTGTAAAAGGAGAGAACCCTAAGGGCACCATGGGAGGGGAGGGGGTTGAAGGCAAGGTACACTTCTGCCAGAGGTTATCCAATTGCCCTTGATGAAGGGAGCCTGCTTTTCTCTCTTACAGGATCAAGTCTCTCTTGGTTACAATGACCCTCCACTGACCCTGGTTCATTTAAATGCAAAGCAACAAAAGGGGAAAGGCTGGAGGGATTTAATCCTACCATTTAGGCTACATAGTATTAAACAGCTGATTGATTTGGCCCATTCAGTGAAGAGAAAGCACACACTGTATATTCAAAGCAACTGTTCGAGTTTATTTGGGAAAACAGTTAAACCATATTAGATAAATGGAGAAACGACTTTCTCAATCTTTTTTGCAAATGCCATTTTCTGTTTGCTCACCTGAAACTTAGCCAGAGTTGTGGAGCCTTCTAAGTCCTCTGGTGGATAGGAGAAGTGACTTCGGGTCAAATATTATCAGAACCTTTCAATATGTTGAGAATGTTGAAGTGGTAGCAAGCACAGGATCCTAGTCTGAAGGGAGGATTGAGGGGATAGGGAAAATAGTCATGTAGATTTGGCTGTTTTAAGTTAACTGACAAATAGGGAAATGGTGAAAGTTCTGGTCATGGCTATAAAAGAAGTTTTGGTACTTGGGACATTAGCAACCACGAATTCTACTATTCCTTTTATCTCTCTAGATTTCAATAAAGCCCATTTGTCCACATATCCTTAGAGCAGCATATAGTTAAGAGACTGTGTTCCCTTAAAAATGTGGTTTTGATTAATCTGCCTTTGGATTATCCAGTTGCTCTTTGGTTGGATAACTTGAGCCTTGGCCTTCATTTTTTTTCTTTTTTATATTTGGCCATCTAATAGAGGGATTAAAGCACATATCAGATCTAAGCAGCAGGATTTGAACAAAGCCAAATGCATGAACTCTCTTTCTTAGTCCTCCCCCTTTAAAGTTAGCATCCATTCCTTAAAACAGTACCAATGTTTTCAATTAAGGAAGCCAGTTGAAGTGGCATGAGTGTGCACCACTTTCTTAAAAGAAGCTCAGAAGCCAGAACAAAAGTCTTGGCAGATAATATAGTGGAATTAAAATCTAGTCACTATAGATTTACTGGAAATCTGCTCAAACCTCCCCAAGCCCCCTATATCTTAACAGTCTTGATGGCAAAGGAGGATGGAGTGACTTTTTAAAAATTTTTGAATTTCTTATTACACTCTCGTGAACTTCAAATCTGTCAGCCAAGTCATGAAATTAGTTAGGTTTTTTCCACCTCCTCTGGCTTACCAGTTTCTTCCTGTAAAGTTCAGTGCCATGTCCCTGTCGTCCTTGGAATGACTCATTAATCTTTCTTTTATGACCTTTTGGTATGGTTGATTCACAGATTCTACTTTCACATGTTAATTCCCTTAGCATAGTGGTTCTCAAAGTTTGGCCTCTTGACTAGCAGTGTCAGTATCACCCAGAAACTTGTTAGAAATGCAAATTCTTGGGAGCCACTCCAGAAATAGTAAGGCAGAAACAAACCCAAGTAGGAGTACTGGTTGGGGGAGCAGGCAATCTGTGTTTTAACAGATTAGGTATTTCCGATGCATGCACCAGATTGAAGAGTCACTGCCTCAGTTATAGCCCATCCTTTGAGGTGCTTCTTTGTTGCTTCATTGTGCATATTATCCTCACTTAGAACCAGGCACTAACATGAGAAAATCACGTTTTCATTGGAGTTTCAAGGTGGTTTGGTGACATTGATTCCTGACACTGCCCCACCAACCATGTGTGCACACGCGCAAGCACACACAGACACACACACACAAATTTAGGAAATAAAAATATTAATCATTACTTGAATATTCCAGGAAGGGGATAGTGAGCTGCATATCTCTCTCCCACTGGGTGAATCCCAGGAAAGGGCAAAATTTCCCCATGTCAGGCATATAAGTTTATATAGATTATCCTTCAGATTAAGTTCTTAGGATATATAGATTTGAGGAAGGTATTTAAGACTTTCCTTCACAATGAAAATATACTGTAAACTATGAAAGCATGTCTTCGCAAATTAATATAAGCAAATATCCTGAGTCTTCTACTCCCACACCATAAATCCCTAAAAGTTTAGAAATACATGTAGAACTGGTTTTGATTATAGAATTAGGTACTTTTCCTTGTTTTGCATATGTATCCTGTTAGTGAACTGGAAACTTAAGCTATTTGTTCCTTACATCTTAATACACAGTAGAGTAGCATTTTGGGGGCTGCCTTCACAAAGTTCCTTTTTGGCAAGTTGGTGATGGCAGCTTAGTACAATGGTTTGGAGTACTGTAACAGCATTCTGCAGTAAATTTCCCAGTGCTGATGGCTTAGAATTTGCTAAATGTTTCTGCAGAACTTTCAGATCTGGAAACCTGGGCAAGATTTCTCAGAAAGGGCAGAAGTTAAGGATGGTGATGTAGAAAGTTGTAGGATTCCCTCTCCTGATAGAATTTACGTAGTGAGATACTTTGCAGATGATTTGAGGACCTTTGTTAGTCTGCTGCCAAACAGACTAACTGGTCTCTTCCAGCCAACTTGGTCAATTTAATAATAAATAAACCTTGTCAATCCAGTTGTTTGACTAGGTTGTAAGTTAACTCTTGGTTATTTAAAACACTGGCTGATTATTTCACTGAAGACACATAGCCTCAAGATACAGCCTAAGTTTGATATATTCCTATTAAGAAAGTGAGGAAATATTAACATCTACAAGCCACTTGCATACAATTTTATATATTTGGTCAATGGACTTCAGATTAAACATAATTATTTGAGTCACAGGAAGCAAACATTTATAAGTTAGTATATTTCACCTACATTTCTTTTAATCTGAGCCCAAGTTGACTGAACCCAGGTTCGCTGTGTTCTGGTCCATAATATGTCAAGTGGATATGTCAGGTGATAAATGTTCTTCTATTCTTTCTGAGGCTGGGTTTCAGTATTTACAAGGGAATCCTCAGTTGTAATTGGCTCCTTTTATTCTTATTTGAAATAAATAAAACCTAGATTACCTTGGGAAGCTGAGTAGTGTATTACCGTAAGCATGAGCTTTGGAATCGCTGAGACCTGGATTTTAACTTTTAACTCTGCCACTTTGTGTGTGACCTTAGGCAAATTACTTAAACTCTCTGAGCCTCAGGTTTTCTCATCTATTAAATTAAGCATGATAATACTTACCTCACAGGACATAGTGCCTGGTACATAAGAAATGCTCAGTAAATGTTAGCTATCCTCTTGCAGGCAAAGGACTTAAGTTGCATTTGAGAATCTAATCTTAATTAAGAGGCATAAACATGGAGTTGCACCAGTGACCTGGAGGAAGTACCCTGCTTGCCTTTACCAGGTCAATCATGAGCTGTGGGTATAGATATCACATAAGATGTTGAACAGAGGGGAAGAGAGGGAAAGGGCCTTAGGTTGCCTCTCTGTGTTCTGATTTAATAACAAGTCCAAAAGGATTTTTTATTCAATAGAGGAAACAATACTAAATGGTAAGATGGAAGTACATAATTTTAATGGAAGAAGTAAAAACTAGAGTTAGGAGAAATAGGAAAAACTTCATAATTGAACTAGAAGAGCATAAAGAAATAATTGTAATACAATACATACTGTAAGAAATCTTATTAAGGAGCTACAAGTGACAGTGGGAATGTGAGAGAGAAAGAAGGAGAGACATATTGAAATTATTCTGATTGAGAAGATTCGGGGTGAGGCAGTTTCTGAAAGCTTTATCCTTAGGGCCTCTCACCTCCTCTAGCTGGGAGACAAGTCTGCATTTGCAGCATACATAATTGATTATCTCCTCAGGTGATGGTCTCATAAATGATTCTCTTTATCTCTAATTTATAAAACAAAAGAATGAAGTGAAATTATTGGCAGTAGGGACCTATAGATATTTGGAGACAGTAATATTTTAAATTTTGCTCTGACACTGACAGAAAGATGAGATCCACTAAACCACTGTAGATGCCATATATTATGTGAAAGATAAAGTATGTAAGATATCAACTCATGCTTCACTTTTTAAAACCACTCTAAAGTACCTTACATTAAGTGTACAACAAATTTTCTAAATAAACTAAGGATCAGTAGGATAGTCTCTTTATAGTTCTTAGACAATCAACAATAGTTATAGTTTTCCTGTAAGGAAAATAATTTTTACCTTACCAATTTCTTTTCAAGTTTGATGTTTATCAACCACACTCAAAAGGAAAATTTGTGGTTGTAACATTTTTATTGCTTCTATTGATCAGTTTCCTGTAATCGTTCCTTCTTTGATTAAAAAAACTCTTCTGACAGTTTTGCTAAATCCTTTAATTTATATTTTATGAAAATATATCTAAATATGTTATTTAGTTACATTAACAGTTGCTTACAACAAACTTGACAACCAAGACATTTAAGAGAAAGCTCTGTGAGGAAGTGCCTATGTACCTAACAAAGAACTCTCATTAGAATCTTTGTCCTTAAAGGAATTCTAAATTTTGGGGCTGTGTTTGTTCTTCACTTTTGCCACTTGATCTTCAATGGTATGTAAACAGTCTGTAATAAAGTGACACTAATGCTCCTTGAATGTCATGAAAAATCTCATTTTAGTTTATTATGTCATAGGGTTAGTGCTCATGTATGTAAGATGCTAAACATCTGAATATTTGATAACATTTGAATGTTATAGCATCATATTGTTATTGCCAATGTGCATGCTATTTTAGAATCTTTATGGATGCAACAGCAGCAGAAAGCAATATCAATATTTAGTATGCTTGTAGGTCATTCCAATTTCAGTAAAGGAGAAGAACATAATATACCAGGCTAAGGATACCACTACCACAGGACCGCTGACTGTTTAGGGACAGAAATAGGGACCTCAAGACCACTTAATAAAGATTAAAGGGCCTGATTTTCTTAGGTACAGCAGTATCTAAACTTCTCTATACATATATATGAGAATGTTTCGAATAGATGCTAATCAAATAGATTTGATCAGTGAGTGGGTTTTTGAGGGTCAGTTAAGAAAGTTATTTGACCCAACATGTAGTGAAAGGAAGTATTGTATAATGTTTTAAAAACATGGGATCTGGGGTCAGATTTTCTGGATTTGTATCCTGATTGTGCCACTTAAGTATCTCAGGCATGTGACCTCTCAATTTTTTCATCTGCAATGTGGGCACAATGATACTCTTTGACCTATGGGATAGTTGTGAAAGTTAACTGAGTTTGTCAATGTAAGAGGTTCCTAGAACCTGTTACATAATAAGTCATCCACAATTTTGCATTTATATTTATCACTGTTATTAGTTACTTGAGTCTAATGGCTCTTTGTCCTGGAGTAATTTTGAGACAATAACCAGCATATTGAAGAAATTTCAATTGATTCATTTTCTTTCTTAAACAATCATTATTTTTTATTGCTCTATTCTACTATTAAGAAAATAGTATTGCTGTATAATCTCTGATTAGAATCACACTCCTCTTAAAATATGGGCTATCAGTTAAGAAGCAAAAGGTTGGTACAGATCCATGTTCCACATTACTCTTTTAGCCAGTTACCCAGCAACCAGATGCAAACAATTTATAAATTAAACCCCACCTTTTGTCAGAAGATTTGAGGCAATTTGTAAAGTTAATATGCATTGCTGAGATCGAGGTGAGAGATCAGAAACCAATCAGGAGAGGAATAAAGATAACGATCCCAAGAATCTAAGATGCGAAACTGAATTCAGTTGAATAATAAAGATCAGATTTTCCTGGCATCTGAGGCCAAATAAACAAATACCCAAAACCTATGATAGTATTTATATTAATTTGCAGAGAACCTTATTTCTTAAAGAAAAAAATCCCCCCCTTTTTTTTTGCAGTCAGATCTTGATTGGTTAAGCCAATTCAAAGGGACCCTTAATTTACTGGGGGCTTTGTTACACACATAGCTAATAGCATGACTAAGAAAATAACCAGACAAATTTAAAAAGCTATTTCCAGGCATTTGCAGACACGTGGGCACATATTCAGCAGGGTTTCACAAATCTTCTGTGTCTATAATCAATAGTTAAAACTAACTCTGCAAAATGTGCGCATAAACAAGATTTCCTTTTCATCTTCCTTCCCACTTTTTTCCTTCTCTCTCTCTCTGTATGTGTCTTCTTTCTCTCTCTGCTGTTTGTTTGCTTGCTAGTATCCATCCCTTGCATCCCTGGATTGCCCAGGCCTGTCACCTGAGGAACCCTACCTGATTGACCAAGCTGGCTGATGTATCCTACTGTTCTCTTCTCTATCTTCTCTATAAAGCAGCAAATAACTCTAGCATTTTAGAAAACTTTTCAGCAAAAAATAGGGCAAAAAGTGTGTTTTAGATGCCTCTTGGTTAAGTTAAACCTTTAGTCAAATAGAATTTTCCATTAACTGATAAGTCCTTTACCAGCACAGTCAGTATAATAAGAATAAAGTGCCATCTGATGGGATTTTCTGGGGTAGTGAGACTATTCTTCATGTTGATTGTGGTGGTGATTATGTGACTGCATGTGTTTGTCAAAACTCATAGAAATGCACACTAAAATGGGCAAATTTTACTGATGTAAATTGTACCTCAGTAAACCTGACCAAAAAAAATGTGTACCATCTCCAGTTTTTTTTTTTTTTTACTTTTTTCTATTATAAAGGGAGAGACTTGAAAGATATGTGGATGGATGAATGGATAGATAACCAAAATGCTATAGAGATAGAATTGTGTAGTTATAGAAAAGCACTGAGACTTAGACCCCAGAGGTATAATTTCAGGCTCACTTATACTGCCAGCTGTACTCTCTTCTCAAAGTGTCACCAGTAAGGTTACTTTCCCTTTCTGGAATTTGTTTCTGCCTCTATAAACTGAAAGCATTGCACTAGTATCTGATTAAGCTCAGGCAATTCCTCTGGTGAGGTGGCCTGATTTGGGGGAAGGGTAGGAGGGGGAAGTAGGCAGATTTGCTTGAGTGTCAGAAAATAAATCATCTATCACAAAAACAGGTGGAATGGATAATGTCATGTGAAATTTGAGAAACATCTGTTCGCCTATATTAGTGTCTGGGTCAAGATGGAGCCACCTGGGTTGAAGTGATGTATCAGGTTGCCAAAATCAGTGTCTAGTTGACCCAAGATGATTTGGCCAGTGTAAAACAAGACTGTTATCAGTTTTACAGTTTTTAGGGTTTTTTCACTTTCTTTAATTTCTGGGGAATTGTTATTTTTTGGAGCTAGCTGGGGAAGAGGGAAAGTTAATTAATAAAGTTAATCTCAGTGTAAGAGAATATACTCACCTTAAAAGAGTAAAGATTGCCTTCTAAGAAGAGTAGGTATTATTTTCTAAATATTTTACTGTCTTGCTTTACTGTAATTGCTTGCTCAAATAGATCTCTTTCAGTTAGATAAAAGAGAAAAAACCTGGATCATTGATTGCATAAATACAGAATGGGGAAGAGTAATTTGTTTAGTAATATTGATATGTGCTTTATAACATAACCTGATTATGTTTGGGGGAGCTGAATTTCCACTTCCAAGCACAAACAGACCTATATAGAATAGTAAAATTGCTAAGATGATGATTTTGAAAGAGAAATAATAAGAGCCAAGGTAAACCATGTTCTATGATGGACCTTGGTTGTTTTCATCCTGCAAGGAGCATCAATAAATGAAACCTGCCAGATAAGGTTCTCCAGTGATAAACTAGACTACTCTTATGCCAATGACTTGCCAAATTATTGTATATAGCCAGTATCTGCATGATTTTATGATTCATAACCCAAAAAGGGTGTGTTTAACATAATATGCTGCTTGAACCTAGAAATCAGCAGCAGCTGAGAAATCTACATTTCAGAAATACACTGGAATATGTTCCTCAACAGAGTGTGTGGAAGCCAGGCTTTTAATATATTAATACAATGCTTTTGGAAAATATATCACAGCTATCCCCAGTGAGAGATGACTGCTTTTTAGTGTTCACTTAATAGCCACACATAAATAGAATTCTTTGCACTACCTTATGCAATGCCTCCTCAATCACATGTGTATTGGGGCAGGGAGAGAAAGGGGTGCAGAAGCCTTTTGAGGAGGCAGATGTGCAGTTGGGGTCTCTTGCCATACAGAAAGCTTGAAAAGAATAATAAAACCAGTCAATGGTAATTTTGTAATAGCTTAGATGACCCTGAACCCCTTGAAGGTGAAGTCCTTGACTTAATTTGTTTTTGAAGCTCTCACCCAGTACCTTGCCTTAAATGAAGTATCTCTGTTTGGCTTTGTATTTTTTTATTGCTTGCTATGTGTCGGGCACTATGCTACTTCTTTCTTGTAGGTTATCTGTTCTAATCTCTAAAACAATCCTGTGAGGGAAGGTATCATTATTCCCCTTTTACAGTTGAGAGGTCAAGTAACTTGCCTTATAGTCACAGAGTTAGCTAATGATAAACAGCTGGAATTCAAAGACAAAAATGCTTTTTTACCATACCAGAGCTTGCTTCAGTGTCCAGAGATTGACCATGCATTAATTTGTACCTTTAATATATGAGTATTATTATTAAAATGTATCTTTTCAAAAAATTTTTTAAGACTAGAGGAAATTCATATTTAACATCTCCACAGTCATTATTTAACTTATTTTCATTTAAAAATAACAGCTTTATTAAGATATCATTTATATAACCATCACCTTTTAAAGTATACAGCTCAGTAGTTTTTAGTGTATACAAAAACAGTGCAACCATGATAACTATTTGATTCCAGAACATTTTCATTACCCACAAAGGAAACCCTCTAACCATTAGCAGTCATCCCCCAGGCCCCCTGCCCCCAGCCACTGGCAACCATTAATTTATTCTATGGCATATTCTGGACATTTCACATAAATGGAATCATACAATGTGTGACATTTTATGACAAACTACTTTCTCTTAACATATATTAGGTTGGTGCAAAAGTAATTGCCATTACTTTTATTGGCAAAAACTGCAATTACTTTTGCACCAACCTAATAGTTTTCAGTTTATTCATGTCGTAGTATGAATCAGGACATTATTTTTTCTTATAGCTAAATAATATTCCATTGTTATTGATATACCACATTTTGCTTATCCATTCATTCATCAGTTTTGATGGACATTTAGGTTGTTTCAGCTTTTGTGGCTATTATTAATAATGTTGACATGACCATTCATATACAAGTTTGTGTGGGGATGGATCTTTTCAATCCTATTGGGTATATACCTCCAAACGGATTTGCTGGGTCATATGGTAACTCTATGTGTGACTTTTTGAGGAGCTGCAAGACTGTTTTCCACCATTACTACAGCATTTTCCATTCTTACCAAGGGTATATGAAGTTCCAATTTCTCCCCACCTGCACCAAAACACTCTTCCAATTTTAAAAATTATTATAGCCATTTTAGTGGATGTGGAGTGGTATCTCACTGTGGTTTTGATTTACATTTCCCTAACAACTAATAATGCTGAACATCTCAGTTGCTTATTGGGCATTTATGTCTTCCTTGGATAAATCCATTCAGATCATTTGTCAGTAGAAATCCCTGATAAGATATATGATTTAAAAATATTTTCTCCCACTCTGTGGGTTGTCTTTTCACTTTAATTTTGATGATGTCCAGTTTATCTGTTTTCTTTGGTTATTTGGGCCTTTAATATCATATATAAGAAATCATTACCTAATCCAATGTCACAAAGATTTACTGCTATGTTTTCTTTTAGGAGTTTTATAGCTTTACGTCTTACAGTTAGGTAGCTGATCCATTTTGAGGTAATTTCCGTGTGTGGTAGAAGGGAGGGGCACACTTTATTTTGTTTTGCAGTTTGCCCCAGCTCCATTTGTTAAAAGACTTAATCTTTATCCATTGAATTGTCTTGACATTCTTGTTAAAGATTAATTGCCCATAAATATAAATGTAAGGGTTTATTTAATATATTTTCATCAAATTATGAAAGGTTAATATTGTTAATTGTGCTTACCATGAATTTGATTTAAATTTTTGAATTTCAGCTGGGCACGGTGGCTCATGCCTGTAATCCCAGCACTTTGGGAGGCCAAGGCGGGCAGATCATGAGGTCAGGAGTTTGAGACCAGCCTGACCAACATGATAAAACCCCATCTCTACCAAAAATACAAAAAAAAAAATTAGCCGGGCGTGGTGGCACGCGCCTGTAATCCCAGCTAATCAGGAGGCTGAGACGGGAGAATCACTTGAACCTGGGAGGCAGAGGTTGCAGTGAGCCGAGATTGCGCCACTGCACTCCAGCCTGTGCGGCACAGCAAGACTCTTATCTATCTATCTATTGATCTATCTATCTATCTATCTATCTATCTATTTATCTATATCTGAGTTTCACATAAAACAAGATGGTGATAAGATACAAATTGTGCTTAGTTGCTGTAAAACAGTTATTGAAATAATTTTGTCATCAAGGAAGCAACAGTGAATGGTTTATTACTTTGAAAATAAATATAATTGAGTCTTTATCATAATAAATTAGTATTCTCTACTACAGCCTAACTTTAACTGTGAACTAGATTACTCAAGAGCTAGTTTTGAATAAGGTAATATATAAATGTCATCATTCATTGGCTGCCTTAGATGAAATCTAAGAATTTTTTTACTTGTTAGCCACTAAAATTTCCAATGAGAAAAAAAAAAGCCAGCCAGGAAGTTATCCTACACAAATTAAAGCTAATCATAAGACATTTTGAAAAATAAAAATAATAGGAAAGTCATCATCCATTTCCAAAATGAAGAAATACATTTTCAGGTCTCTGAAGTTCTTTCTTCCTCATGATTTTATTTTGGTTGAGATTATCCAGAGATTTCCTTCAAATAATAGCAATGGACAACAAAATATTTTGGTACTATGATATGGACCATTTGATGTACAAACTATATAGAGAATATATTGGTTTTGAAATGGGTGTGTTTGTGACTTTAACTTTCCAAAGTCAATATTTACCATGGATGCAATTAGTGGCTGATGTTAAAACTAAGGTGACGGGGCTTGTGCTTATTGTGCTCTTAATGGTCTCAGCAAGTTGATTAAATTTGTTTCCAGTGGGCAATACACTTGAGGCAAAGAGGCCCTGCATAGAGTTTAGCAAATTTATACTTTAACAATTCTTAAATATTCCATATCATGAGTGGCTGGTTTGAGAATTAAGATTTTAGTCACTAAAAAGTTAGAAAGTAGCAAGAGAAGTTATGTACTATTTATCTTCTAGACAGGCCTGAGAGAAACAAAAAACAATATTGTATAAATGGTGGACAAGGAATAATACTTAAGCTGTGGGATGGTATGGTATATGATTTTTATGAAACCTCAGCCCAGGCTTTTGCACCAAATTGATTGCATTTTCTGAAACGCAAGAAGTAAAGCCACTGTGAAGACACTAGGGATGGTTTTAAGGATGCTGAAGTTGCAGAAGGTACGAAGGCAGTTGTGTTATTGAATACTATTACTACTGGAGAATAAAGAGTTTTGTTTTAACACCCTTTATTTAGACTGGCCAAACTTCAGACTTTTAGGTTAAATAGTAACAGACACACACACACACACACACACACACACACACACACATACTATTTTAAAGTCTCTGTGAAAAGGAAGTTACCCATTCCCATGTGTTATTTTAATTGTCAAGGAATCCTTGCCGATGTTTAGTTAATAATCTTTTCCACTTTCATTAAAGCCCATTTCCTTTTTATCAGTTTTCTGTAGTCACAGCAGCAGCCATAAATTTCTGAATATTCAAAGATAATATTCCAAGTTACCATTGAGCCTTCTCTTCTCTCAGCTTAACAACACTAATGCCTGCAAACTTTCCTAGAAAGATTCATTTTCCATTACTTTAATCATTTCTGTTATTCTCTGTAGAAGAGTATTCTTCTCTTTTAAAGGTAATAATGCTCAGATTGACTTAAGTGGAGTTTCTTCAGGAGATTTTGCACTTTTTATACATTTTGTATAAGAGAAGGAGCCTGACAATCTCAGAATTCTATCTAAGAGACTTCCATTTCTTACACTGACATTTCTCAGACTGTCATTTCCCATCATCTTATGTGGTAATTTATGAAAATTCTATAAGCAAGGCTTATGCCAAAGCAGTTCCCAAAGGCTTTTGCTGTTGGAGTCAGTTTGGCCATCAACTCATGGGAATGACTTGTTTAAGTCACTTTTTGTAAGAGGATAATCTTCCAAGCTTTATCTTATCCAAAGCAATTCAGTTGCATGAAAATAATAAAAAGTTGTAATTCAGATGGAGACATAAAAATTTGATTTAAAAGACCTTTTTCTATTGCTATGACTTTATTTGGAATGTATAATGCAGAGATATGCTGAGTTTAACTCATATAATGAGAGGCAGAGTGTACACTTGTAAATCTTCATAGAAAGGATTTCACAGCTCTCAGTGCTGCTTAGTATCAAAAATCTAAATGAGATACCAACTAAACACAGATATTTGGCCTGCAATATTGTATAGTACATCTAGTTACCCTGAAAACATAGGGAGAGGTCTTGAGATATCTGTGGGCTACTTCACTATTACAACTTGCCAATTCTGTAAATGGACTCACTCTATTTATTAGGAAAATCTCTCCCTCTTGTTTGAGCTGGAAATTTCTAAATCTTTTAAAATAAAAAAAATTAATGAACAAACTCTGAAATAATCAAATGCACCAAGTAGAGGAAGAAATCAGATCTTTCCAGAAAATCACTGTTTGTTTTAACTGGTAGCAAAGATGGATCAAATTGTAAAGTTAAATTAATATATACATCTTAAGTAAAACACATACACATACACACACACACACAGACACGCACACATATGTATGGTTCTCAATACTTGAATAATTTTATGATTTAATTTGGTGATTAAACTTGTCAGGAGAGAAAAACTAGTTTCCCTTTGGCTTTCTGTAAGGCAAGACTTGGTCATGTCCCAGTTAATTTGGGAGAATATAACTAGGTAATTTAGGGTGTCTGAATTTTGCAGAGACAATAGGTAAACTTCACAGAGTTTAGGCAAAAAGGATTAATCAGATGAATTTTCAGGGGAATAAACTTTTCTCTTCTCTCTCCTCTCCCTTCTCTCCCCTTTTCTCTTTTTATCCCACCCCAACAGTTTGGGCTGGAAGCAGCTTACAGCAAATCAGCACCTTAGCACTCTTAATATCACCCAGTGAAAAGCAGGGTTCTATTCTTCTAGCCATATACACAACTCTTTATGCCCCCCTTCAGGCTCCTGTTGGGGATTGTATTTTCCCTTCACTATTGCCTTTGATGTTTATTTTAAACTGTGAATCTCTCCTGCATTTAAATACTTGTTGCACCCCTTAGCAGCTGCTGAAACGTATTGCAGGGGTTCCACTCTGATGAGACAATTATAAAACAATCTCACTATCTCCTAAGCCCGCACCTGGGGTGGTGGGTTGGGGATAGTGGGGGAGTAAGTAGTGGAGAGTAGCAGTGTATTCCTTAGAGGAAAGCCTTAATTTTGGCAGGAACAGAATCCTCCTTAAGGAGGCCCCTGAGTTCACACTCTTTTGGGTACTTCCCCATGAAGAGTATAGGCATTTTCTGACTTCTCATAGTTCGCAAAGGAATAAATAAGAACAAACTCTAAATTACCACAGTGACAGTGACTCATGACCATAGCACCAGAAAAGACCCTTGGAGCCAGAGTACTTTGGTTGTGTGAATTCCCAGGTGTGGGCTTAGAGAGATAGTGGGATCTTTTTTTGTAGTGGTCTTGCTCAAGTGGAAACCCTGCAATGTTTCAGCAGCTGTTAAGGGGTGCAACAAATATTTAAACCCACACAAGTGGCAAAGGCTGCTGAGCTGCTATTTATGTAAATATTGTAATTTGGGCCTGAAAGGAATTAGATTTTGTATATTAATAAATAAAATTGGAGTAAAGAAATAAATCATCTATCTTTACCACCTTTCTTTGCAGGCCTCTAGCTTGATTTCTGTATCTCTTAAAGACTTATTTAGGATGAAGATATTGGTCATACAGCCTTGTAGGCATTGCTATATCAAGATAATTTTTTCCTCATTTAGATTCTGCCAAGACAGCCATTTGTCGGTCAGCTCAGGGGAAAACCAGTTCAGTCAGTTACTTTGTGTTCAAAGTTTAGCCCAAGGAACACTGCTTAGCCTCAGGAGCACTCGAGGTGGCATAGCTCTCAAAAAATGTAAGAATGTAAGTCAGGTGCATAAAACAAAACAAAGCAAAAAAAAAAAAAACATAAAAGTCAGTACACTTTTTTCATGGATCGGTTTTAATCTCTGTTATGAATTCTCAAATAAGTGTTTTTTCTTACCTTAAATTTATTTTTATTAGTGATAGAGGAGGTTTATTTCATAAATGAAATTAAAAATCTATTAGAATATCAGAACTTCTGTGCATATATGCCTAAAATATACCCTAAAACTAAGTGAAGCTAAATTGATAGAATTACAAAAGACATTGATACTTCCATAATCACAGACTGGAGGACTTTAACATCTGCCTCGGAATGTTATAGATCAAGTTGGCAAAAACCTCCATAAGAATGCAATTAGCAAGCTTGGACCCATGGAAATATATTGAATTCTGAATCAAGAGTTAGAGAATAAACTAAAAAATAATCAAGGTTAGAAAATAAAATGTTTCTTATGTGCTGTATTCTTTTCCAGCACGTAAGGGACATTTTGAAAAATTGATTATAATCTTGGCTGTAGAGAAAATCTTAAATACCAAAGAATCCGTATCCTATAGAACATATTCTCTGACCAAAATTCAATACAATTTAGAAAGGAACAACAAAATGATAACCAAAAATCCTTAAGTGTTTAGAAGTTGAACACATACATGTCTGAGTGATTTATAGGAAAAGGAAAATGTTAATGTGAACTCAAAAAATGTATTTACTTTATTGGATATTTATCTAATGCATTAATACTTTTGATTAAAGAGGAAAATAGTTTTTGGGGCCTCTCACACATATCAAATGATAAGATTAAACAAATAGCATAATAATTCATAAATATTTGTGGGGGCTTTTTAAAAAGTGTTGTTGAGCAAATTAATATAATAGACAAAATTGTAAAAAGATTATTTAATCTATTTAGGACAACATTTTTTTTTCAAGTTCTTTGGTAGCCCTAGATTTTCTATCACACACTTCCTAACACAGTGTGTTGCAGACAGGCATTCAGTGAATTTTTGTTGAATTGGTTGCAGTAGAGGATAGTGAAAACATATACCTTGGTATAGTCTTGATGAGTTAATTAAAAATTATTCTTGCTCAATCAATATACTAGGTTCTCTAAGGTTCTCTGTTAGGCAGCCTGGATGAATATATTGAAGTTGCTTCAATTTAGATTTTAAATTAATTCAGATTGACCTTCCTGATAATACTGCTAAATAAACGAAGCATAACGTAATTGGTTAATCTTTTCAAAAAGACAAAGTAAATCTCAAAGCCACATCCCACAGATACTCTCTTGCCTCGGTCAGATGTGGGTGAAGTATCTTCTCTGGACTCTATAATCTGTCATCTAAGCCAGATGGGGATACATGGTTTTTGAAACTGATTAGCCAGGGTGAACTTGCTAAGGTTATAGATAGACCATCTAAATTTACTTCTAATTCCAGACTAAGAATTAGGTCCCAGTTCCTGACTTATACAAGCCCAAAGTGAAAATAAATTTCATCAAACATATTTTTATCTTTTAATAAGTTTGAGCATTGTCCGAGTAACACATAAATGGTTAAAATAATATTTAGACTGCATTTGTGCCTGCATTTGAATTCACAGAGATATTTATAGGTGAAGCTCTCTCTTCCCTTTTGCATAAACATTAAAATAATTCAATCAGCTTGTTATACCAGATATTTTCGTTATATCTCCCAAATATTAGCAGTTTGTTCCATAGGATTTAATCATGGTTCCATCCAGAGGCTTATTATTATAGCAGTAATTTATGGCAATGAAATCAATTTGAAAACATACAGAACCTAAGAACTAACAAAATGTAGTTGTTATGTGTGAATTAAAATATAAACTGAGAATTTGAAAATATTCAAATAACTAGAATCTCTCTAATTTGGTAGACTGCTGACCTGGATTTGTGAAACATTTTCAATAGGAAAATCTTAAATATCATTCTAATACTTTCAAAGACCTTGTAATTTTCACTTGTACTCTTACTGTGAAAATTGCCACATTGTCTCTTGCATTGTGGAGGTTTGTGTAACTTTATTATCTATATTAAAAATTCCTTAAAAATAAAAACTATAACTAATTTTTATATTTCCTTGCTTTCTACATATCATATAGGTAGTATTTAATAAATACTTACATATGCAGGTAGTGTGAAAGGGTTAAAGAGCACCAGGGTCTTGGGCTTAGTCTTGCCTCTGCTACTACCTCTATGCCTTTGGACAGTGGGAATCAATGAATTTGGAAAATTAGTGGTGGAGAATTCAGCAGAAAAAAATGGTGAAACTATTTGAAGGAGGAAAGAAAAAAGTCAAAGTTGTGAGCAAGGTAAAGTTGGTTTCTACGTGCTTCCATGATCCTTTAGATCGCTTTCCTTCCTTTCCTCCAAATCTGGGAATTGTCATTGCTACACATACACACTGCTCCCTCCACGTACTCCTCCTACATGCATGCATACACATATACACACATTTATTGAAACAACCAGATAATTGTTATAAATATGTAGTTTTATCTAGACGATTGCCTTAGTCTTCCATATTGCCTCGCTAGATTTCACTTGCCTACCTCAGTGACTTTTATGTTTGGGTAGCCTTAACTCAAATCTTCCTGTAGTTGGATTCTATTATTCTGTGCAATAGTACCATTCTACTTTTATCATGTTGCATTTTTCAGCTTGGCATTCTTTGAGTGGCTATATCCACCATACTTTCCCCCCATCCACTTCCCCCGCCCCCCACCACTCTGTTCGCCACACAACTGTAAGGGATATATTGAGGGGTTTAACTCTGAGACTTTCAGTTGATTTCACACTCTTCATATTTCATTTCTGCAGGCTTTAGGTAAACAGCATGTCATAGGCAAATCCAGCATTATAGTAGCCAAAATGTTCTGAAATTCCGACTGCCTTGGTAATTCCTTAGAGTTAAAAAACACTCTCAAAAAAGCATTAAATTTAAAAACTCAAGTTCGTAATTAAAAAAAACACACACACACACAGCCCCAGTTAAAATGCACATGTTGTACCATGATGAGAAAAGAGGTCACTGGATAAGATCTTTGCAATACATTAGTATGGGAAGATTAGCTAGTGCTTTGGCTTTGCAAAGGCCAAAGCCAGATGCTGAAGGAATGGGACAGCAGGGTGGAATGTTGAGGAAGGGAATGTGTGAGGCATGGAGTTTACCCATAAAGGTCAATTCAAGGCAACAGTCTACATGTAAAAGTAGTTTTCAGTCAACTTAGGGGCTACAATGAGGACTCATACCTTTTGAGGGTGGCAGGGCCTGGAAGTTAGAGGTAAATTGATATTGATAGAAGATGTCCTTTTGTTCTCTCATGTCTATGTTTAAAAGCATTGACTAGACCCTAAGGGCCTTGTACTATCTTAAATGTAAACTATGCTTTTTTCCTCATCATCATCTTTCTCCAGTCTTTTTCTACTCCCTGCTGCTTCTCTCATTTTCTCTTCTATTCTTTCCTTTTCTATTTTCCCTCCTCCTTGGCATTTCCCTTATTCTTAGTAGCCATCCCAGTCAACTTCAGTGCTTCTAAAGTGCCTTTGAGTACTACTAGTTACTGCTATGGTTTGCAGAGACAATTCAGTTTATAAAGACTTTTTAAAAAATGCATCAACATCCTCTTCACCTCATCTTTATATTAAGGGCTGTTGTGTTTGTACCTCTGTGGACACACCTGGAAAAGTTGAGAATTCCATTTTGACTGTGTAGATTTTAAGACAAAGTTGCTTCTTTTGGTTGAACCCCTCTTCTCAGTCATCACCCATCTGTCTCAGTGCTTTTCTTTCAACTAGTTGTGCTGTTTGATAGAATTGGAAACACTGCAGCTTACATCTGTCTGAGCAGATGGAATGCATTTTGCATGAGTGTTAACTGATTCATGCATTACATAAAGAAAGCAATCTGTGTTAAAACATTGTGACATTGCAATAAAGCACTATCTGCTGTATGCTGAAACCTGTTTGCTTACGGAGGGTTTTGTTGCTCTTGCCATACCCTCACCCACTGCCCCATGGTTAAGCCCAGACAAACCTTAAAAGGAAAAGGTATACAATCTACCATAGTGGGAGAAAATAGTAACTGAAAGAAAAAAAATCCTGAATATGTAAGTCATTCCAATAGATGAGTTCTTTTTTATTTTTGTAGTGTATTGTCATTCGGAGGGAAAAAAAGAGAATGTCATTGTGGGGAAGCTTCTTACATGGAGAACTAAATAGTCATCAATCACTTGATCATGCTTTCCATATACTTTGGTAAACAATGCTGCTTGGAAGTGTTATCAGAGGGTTTGAAATAGTGTGGGCCCTAGTCTCATGGAGTTCCTATGTAGTTTCCTCAGCATGTGCAGTTATAGCCTGTGACTTTAAATTTGAATTAGTGACCAGCATTGAAGGTTTTATGGTGTCACCCATTTGTAACAGCAAGCTTCAATGGCTTTGTACTTTTGTCCCCTGTAGATCTGGCTTGCCACATAGCAGTATGTTGCAGTCTTTCCTTAGTTGCCTACTAGTAGCTATTCATTTATTTCCTGCAAATGTTGTATGTATCCCACAGCCAAGAACACAGAACTTTATTGTCCATTTTGTACAATTCGTCATTTGAGTGCTATAGCGTAATAGAGAGCAGCTCTATGTGCAAATGATGTTACTATGTATTTTGACCTATTGTTTCCCTGCAGGAGTAATAACAAGGGCAATAAAACTCAGTCAAAGCTGCTGTATAAGCACACATAACTGCCTCAAATTACAGGGCACTTTCAAAGCTACAAAGCCACTGAAACTACGAAGGCTGTCTTCTGACTCCTTTCACAGTTCTAATAAGCATGACCATGACTGTCCCAGATTTCTGGAAGGGGAAAAACATTATTCTGTTGGATTATTCTGGTGATTCTGTAGCTTTTTAGCTACAAAAATCTGTTTCCATACAAATCCTTTGACTACATGTAGCAAAGGTTTGGGTAATTTAGGGGTATGTTAAGAAAAAAAAATGTAGAAGTAAAGAACTTAGAGCTAGCTCTCACTATCACATGTCCCCATAGTTGATATAACTACAGAGGGTATCAACTGCAAGTATTTAGTGAAGATTTCAGAGTAGTAGCCACAGGTTAGGGGAAGCATGGATGAACATTAAGTAATGTTACCTGACAAACTTTTGTCAATTTGGCAAGAGCCTTGGCACTTCGATTATTTTGTGAGCTCATGCCCTCTGACCGTGACTAGCTTCTTCATTGAGGCCCTCTGACTGAATAGAGTTGTGAAAAATTTTGGGTGGCATCACAGTGCAACCTAGGGTCAATGAAAATACCATTTACTTATGGACAAAGAATGGCCCTTGAGTTCCTGGAGTACTTAGCCACAGTACTTTCACAGCCTTTGTCAGGGAATTCCAGCATATCATGGAGCCCACTGGGCTTTGGGCTCCCTCTAACTCTTCTCCCATATTGTTTGGTATATAAATTATCTTTGTACACCCCACCAACACACACACACACACACACACACCTCTGCCTTTGCAACTCCTTCCTTATTTAGTGCTCCATGTTGCAATTGACTTGGTCAGTTCAGCACATATGTGCTGAGTGCCTATGATGTGCCAGGTACTGTGCTAGACCCTAAATTTAGAGAGGAAAGTTACCCTTAGGGAGCTGCCAATCCAGTAGGGGAGATAGATAGGCAAATAGATTCGGTGGCAAAAGGAACTTAAGATGGCTCAGGAATATAAAGTGCCAACTGATCATGTAAGTTTCATTTATGTTGCTAAAACAGCTTGAGTGCAAATTTACCCTCGTGATACATGTGAAGATAGGACATTTCTCCATAGAGGTTTAAAAGTGACAGCAGTGTCATAAGCAATATTTATAAAGTCTAGTAATAATCTCTTTGTTACTATTCTTGAAGGAAGAGGCGATCCTGTTCTTCCTCCCCCATTAACATGCAATGTTTGACCTGAAAGTTGTAGCAGCTTGATTATAGAAGCCTTTGTTGATCTTAAAGTGTCAAGGTTAAAATAGTATTTATTCAACTCCAGGATCCATCTGCTGAAAGTCAGAAATATCGACTCCTGCCAGTTCTGAGTTTTCTCCAAAAGGAAAAAACCACACCTAAGAAGAATTTCCCAAATTTGATACACTTAGGTGTATCAAAACTTTGTAATGATGGGATGCTTATACAGATATCAAATAACAGACTCTCTTCAGTGTCCTTTGGCAGCTAAATGACTGTCCCTCAATCTAATGTAATGAGTACAGCCTGTGGCCTAGCAGTATATACAAGGCTTTATGGGAGTTAATAAGTGTGAAGCTTAATAATCTTGTCAATTACCAAATAGCGCCTGTCAAACATCTAAACATCATTGATTTGCTTAAACCTTCTTAAAACAAATCTAAAGTTGATGTCTGTAAAATAACTTTGAGGATCTCAAAAACAGGCTACATCTCCTCTTTGGGCAATTGTTATTATAGTAATAAGTAAATCTTCCTGATGGATAAGATGTGAGATGGAGAGTAATTGCCATGTTCCCTTATATGTCCCCAAACCTATCCTCCCACCACTACTACCAATCTGTGGTAGATCCACTCCAATCTCAGCCACACCTCCAAACCCTGAATGTTCTGATCCCATCTGTCCCTTTGGGCTTGTTGAGCTTGACAATGGTGATGAAGACTAAGAAGGAAGAAGCAAAATGAAAACTTTCAAATACTAACCAAATCACCATTACTTCCCATCTCAAGCACTGGTGAAGGAAAGGCCTTGCTTAGAGACATTGATAAGGACTCGTTAGCCTTTCAAAGTCCTTTCTAGCCACATGTCTTTGTTTTTCTGCATGGACCTGATGCTGACAAAAACCATCTTGTCAGCCGTGTTGTCTTGTCCCTCCCTGGCACAGCATCAAGTACTCCCAGGTGCTGTTTACAATCGCATTCTCCGTGGCCTCGAAGGGTCACTTTGTTTGCTATGAGAAAGCTGGCATCCAAGCAAATGACTAGAAGGACAAAATTCTATGAATGAAAAACGAGGTTACAGAATGGACATGAGTGTAGTAAGTGCCTCATGGCCTTCTGCCACCAGAAAACCGATTGAAAAGAACGAAAGAATGCCCTGGGGGATTATGTGGTTTTGATTTGCCAACAGAAAGCAAAGCAAATAACGGGAAGGACTACGTAGGAACTGCTGAAGGATCAGCAGTCTTCCTACAACAGTTTCTTTAACTGCATGATTTTTTTAAAAATTAGCCTAATCAAGATTACAAGGCCATCAAGGACTGTCCTGTATTCTTTCCAGAGAAAAACATGGTAATTAACTGCTGCGGAATGGTGGATTTTCCCAACACAGCTGTCACAACTGCTATTTTAAATCATTTGTTATGGTTTAAAATGTGTAATCCCCAAGAAATTGATCATTACTGCAATTCAATGCTGGTTTTTCAGTGCCTTAACAACCCTGGGCTTTGCATCAGACCATTAAATAACAAAACCCAGTCATAAAGTGATAAACTACTAATGGCTCATCTCAGTGATGACTTCTGTCTTCTATTAAACAAGATTTTATTTAAAAAAATTTTACACTGAAATTTCTGGCATGACAAAAACAGGTGCACTCTTGCATTCTCTCCTTTTCATCTGTCTTCTCTCTATGACATTTCCCCCTTTTTCCTTTCTTCCCTTCTTTAGTGTCTGTGCCTTCCTGCTCAGCATTACCTCATAGCCTTTGCTCATAATGTCCCATCCACTGGGCCCAACCTCTGCTTCTGAATCTGTTCAAATGCTATGCCATCTTCAGGGTCCATTTGACATTTTACCTCTTCTGTGAAGTCTTCCCAGTTACTCTATTCATCATTCACTAAACTAGTACTCATTAAAAGGGCCTTATGTACCAGCTATGATGCTAGGCACTAGAGATACCAAGGTAAAATAAATATATTACTAGACTTTAAGGACTTTTATGTTTCACCTGATTTTATTGATAGAGTGACTAAATCCTTGATACAGTGATGTGCTTGATAACTACGCTTTAATGCCCTATTGTTTTTTTTCTGACATTTTCTGTATTTAATAAATTTGTCCACATACCTTACTCAATACTGTCAGTGTGGTCCAGATTTGAGAAGACTAAGCTCCACCTAGGGCCATCACCTGGTCTCTGCTCTACTCCTACCCTTCTCTCTCATCTCTCCCCACACTCCTACATCTATCTCGTAGATCTGCTTACAGAAATCATAGTGAGTAACTGGAAGAACCACTTACCTCTATCTGAGCATGCCCAAAGGCAGAGGACAGACTTATAAAACAAAAGTGGAAATCTTCAAATGCTGTGTGCCCAAAGGAAGTAGGGGCTAAAGACTATGGTAGACTTGTTGATCAGTTAGAAGTCAGCAAATTTAAGTCTCAGGTGACCAAGACACTGACAATTCATAACTCTTCTTTACAATTATTGGGTAACCTGTATTTGATTCTGGGTCCCCAGTGTAAAAATTGACCTTGCTTCATTACTTTTGAGATACAACTAAATTTGGGGAATTTGGTGTCGCATGAATGCAAGTCCTTTTGTAAAGTAGAAATGTTTTATGACTGTTCCTTTATTTGCTTTGTTATGTTTAACAAGATTTTCCTGCATTGGTTTTTGTTAAAAGCAGGCACATATACCTCTTAACAATGCCCTGTATGTGAGCAGTATCTTAAATTCAGGGACATGCAACATATTCTTTTCGTAGGACAGATTTGAAATGCTAATATTAATTTTAGAGTCATGAAGAACAACAGCACCGTAATAAACTAGGTTTTTCCCAGGGGAAGTGGACTAAATGATGCTGCTTATTTGATTATCTAAGTTAATTAATTAAGAACACAAATCCTTGCCAAACTGAAATCAACACATTAAGGGATATGTATTCTCCCTGGATAGTTTGAAATGATACTGCAAAAAGAATATACGTTCATCTTAATTACTATATTTTGGAATGCAACCCCAGAAAACAGATTTAGTTGTGTCAGCATAAATTAATCAGGGAAGTTTTTTAGGACTTTATTTAAGTCCTTCACATGGTAGCATATATTTTTTCTCTAGAACTGTTTAAACATACTGTATTTGAGATCCAATAATTTATGTTAATAACTAGCCTTTGCATTTGGTTCTATTCTCTAATTGTTTCTGGTGTATACATCTTACAAACTATAAATTTCTCCAATAAACTGTGAATAGAACAGTTTATCTTTCCAACTCTCCATCCTCTTCCCCTTTTTAAAACTTCATTCACTTTTTGAAATTCCCTGCTCACTCATGGTCTCATGGTTTCCCTGCTCTCCATTCCAGAAACCTGCTTCTTTCAATATGGCTGAAGAACAACCCCTTCTGGAACTCCTCAGGCTCCAGCCTTTTCTTTACTCCACCTTCTCATTCCATCAGTACTTAACTGTTCATTGCCACTGTTTTAGTTACCTCATCTGATAGTCTAACTCATGCTTAAATGTTAGTGACAAATTAATGTGTCCTTCTCTTAGCTAATATTGAGTTTCATTATCTTAATAACATGGAGGACAGGACTTAATAAATAATTTTTATACCTTGTTGTAGGTTGTGGAGTACCCGGAAGTATTTTGAATAGTTGACCTATTGCCCCCCAAATCAATAACTGAATTATTATTTATTATTATTATTATTATTAACTAAACTTGAATGCGTGGAATGAGTTTGACAACAAGACAAAGAGTTTTCTTAAGTGAAGATGATAGACTTCTTGATTCTAAATGCCAATAGACTTGAATCTAGAGTCAAGAATGACTACAAAGCATTGTTACTACCTATTGTCTTCTGTTCCTCAAATACGAAAGAGCCTATGAACTTATACAAAGTATTTAAGCAGCAGTTGCTTTTACGATAAGAATGAGAGCTAAGAGAATTTTTTTCTCCTAGCTCTGTGATGCTTGAAAATTATTTAAAAAGAAAGAAATGCTGTCATTTGTGACAACATGGAAGAACCTGGAAGACATTATGTTAAGTAAGATAAGACAGACATAGAAAGACAAATAATGGATGATCTCACATATCTGGATTCTAAAAAGTTGAACTCATAGAAGCAGAGAGTATAATAGTGGTTACCAGAGGTTGGTGGCAGTGGGGGACAGGGGATTGGGGAGATATTGGTCAAAAGACACAAAATTTCAGTTAGACAGAAGAATAAGTTCAAGAGATCTGTTGCACATCATGGTGATTATAGTTAATAACAATATATTGTTATAAATATATTTACTAAAAGAGTAAATTTTAAGTGTTTTCACCACAGAAAAATAATAAGCATGCAGTGTAATGCATATGTTAATTAGCTCAATTTAGCCATTCCACAATGTATTCATATATCAAACCACCTTGTTATAAACCATAAATATATACAATTTTTATTTATCAATTAAAAATGTAAAGGTC
This sequence comes from Homo sapiens, assembly GCF_000001405.40. Classification (NCBI taxonomy): domain Eukaryota; kingdom Metazoa; phylum Chordata; class Mammalia; order Primates; family Hominidae; genus Homo; species Homo sapiens. The sequence goes on from NC_000023.11 coordinate 105,876,427, forward strand.
ATTCTTTGTACTCAAACTCTAGTTAATGAAGCATTATTAATCTTGTGGAGCTAGTGGCTCCTGTATGATACTCCAGATATTACTGATAGGAAAAACAGCCCAAAAAATCCACATTTATAATTTACTACTGTTCTTGTGATTTTCCTGAATAATATTCACTGAGGTTAAAGGCAATTGTGAGATTATTTAACACTCAATGTAGAATCTAAAACTAAATTTCTTTCTTAACGTTCTAAAACTAAATTCCTTTCTTAGTGTTCTTTTGTGTGTTTAACACAAATGTTGTTAACGTAATTTGCCATAAAACTCACATTCTAACTGAAAAAGGGCACATCCTAAAAACTGGATTCATAGGTTCTAGTTCAGCATCTCATTTATGACAAGTCCTTCAGCTAAGATCGCAAAACAGCTTCTGTATAATCAATGAACCACAAGATGGCACCACTGAACAATTAGCTTATCTCAAGGTGGCTTCTAGGTTCTCTAGATAGGTGCCCAAGAATAGTGTTATACTTCTTCAAAACGAACATCAGTCACTTAATCAGTCACTTCTGGTGAATAGAGTATGAAAGGGAAAAATAACAACTTTATAGTGGAGAAACCTGGCAGGTTGTTACCTTAACCAAGTGCTCAAGGTTAATATCACCATTGATCAACATGGAGATATCATGTACCCCTGATATGATGTGATGAAAAGGGCATTTCACTTCTGTGATATCCTTCCCAAAAATTCACATAACCTCAATCTAATCATAAGAAAACATCAGCCAAACCCAAGTTGAGGGATATTCTACAAAATACTTGACCAGTACTCTTTAAAAGTGTCACAGTTATGAAAAACAGGAAAGACTGAGGACTTGTCACACACTGGAGAAGTTTAAGAAGACATGATAGCTAAATAGAATGTAGGATCCAGGTTTGGTTCTAGAAAAAGGACATTAGTGAGAAAACTGGGAAGTCAGAATAAGTTTTAAAATTTAGTTAAGAGTATTATACCAATATTAATTTCTTCATTTTGACAATTGTAGCATGGCCATCTAAGATGTTAACATTGGAAGAAACTGGGGAAAGGATATACAGGAACCCCCTGTGCTATCTTTGAAACTGCTCTATAAGTCTAAAATTATTTCAAAATAAAATTTTTGAGGAGTCAAGGTACAGGGGGAACTCTTCTGAAATGCTCTCTTAACAGTAGCACATTTCTATGATCTATTGTCTGTATATGCCAGACTTCTATGGAGTCTTGTAGAATGATTTGGCATATTAACTCAGTACATGGTTCCGAGACCTGGAGTTTTATTCCTCTGTAGGTTCAGTGAGCATATTTTTCAAACCCAATATTAGGACACATTTTCTGACGAAATAACTTCATTCAATTTTCAAGTGTGAATAAATCACAGATAATGAGGGTAGAACCAAGCTGATTTTTTTTCTGTTTTATGGCCATGGTTGGAATCTTTTAATGACATTCAGTTGTCTCACTAATATGTCATAATCTATTGATTTTAGACTTCAAAAATTTTGTATTTTACTTATCATCAGTTAAATAATGTATGGCTAATATTTTTGATAACCTGATAAATATTTTGTATTGCCCAAAATAATAGTGGCTCATAAATAATCTCTTAGAATCAAGGAAGGAAGCATTGTAACTTTTTAAAGGGATGCATGCAAATCAGTTTCCAACATGTTGTATTTGTGCATACAGATGTGGAAAAAATTTTACTAGCAAGTGTTCGTGTGAATAATTATGAAAACAATGCTTCCTAAGTTATAAGGACTGAATAAATAAAAATATTAATATATAATTCCTCCCAGAGATGTAAATAAATTTGAAGGGTATCCAACATACTCAATAATTTTTATAAACTCGGTTAAGTTCAGGTGTCATTACAATCCTACGAAAAAGAACAGTTTAAAACTGTTTTATTATAACTGTCCAGCAAAAGTAATCTGACTCCATCCAAACAGGCTGCCCCAATTAAGACAAGTGACAGAAGATAACACAAGCTCATGTTCTTTTGAAAAATTTAAAAGAAGCTAAGGAGGTTGCAAAAATAGTGCTTTTTGTCTGATAAAAGAGAAAATTGTTTCTAGAACTTGATAGTATTACTTCATGGATTGATCCTTACAAACTCTGCCTCATTTCCACTTCTCATGTAAATCTGATTTTGCCTTTGCATTTGTTTCCCAAGACTTTAGGTTAAACAGACAGGTCTTGATCTTGGGTTCCTACTTTTCTCTGGATCAATCAATAACCTGTAACTTTTTCCTTTCCTTTAAAAATTCTAGTCTTCTGTGGCTGGCATGCTCCGCCCTAAACTGCTCACCCAATTCTGGACATTTCCTTGTGCCTTGATTACTAGTCTCTGAACCCTATCCCAAGTCAAGCACATTACCTTGCTCAGTTTCCGTCTTTCCTGCCTTGTGTACTAGTTTCTTAGGTCAGCTGTAAAAAATTGCTACAAACTGGATGGCTTAAAACAAACAAAATGTATTCCCTCACAATTTTGGACATAAGAATTCTGAGTTGAGGTGTCTGTTGGGCCATTCTCTCTCTGAAGTCTCTAGGGAGGAAACTGTTCCTTGTCTCTTCCTGGCTTCTGGTGTTATCAACAATCCTTGACATTTCTTGGCTTGTAGTTGTATCACTGCAATTTCTTCTTGTCTTTTACATGACTGTCACCCCTTTCTGTATCCCTGTGTCTCTGCGTTCAAATCTCCCTTCCTTTCGTCTTATAAAGAAACCGGACATTGACCAAACAAATCCATATGACCTCATCATAGTTTGATTACATCTGCAAAGACCCTGTTTCCAAATAAGGTCACATTTTGAGGTTCCAGGTGAACCTCAATTTTCGAGGGGACACTGTTCAACCAAGTACAGCCCCCAGATCAAACCTTCTGCTGAGAAATATCAGATAAGGCATTCTATTTATTACTCATAGTAATGTTATACTGATTTTTTCTATGACTACAGTTTGGAATATGTCTAGAAGGTACCAGCCACAAAATAGGAGATCTGATTCCAAACCTATGTGTTCACCTTTAAAAATTACAAATCTGTAGCTTATACTTGCATTTAGGGTAAGATCTAAGCTCTTATAACTCATCATATTTTCAATAAGAGAGAATTTTCTAGAACTTATTCCTTTTATAAATATTTTTGGTTCATATGATTCAGGACATATTAAACAGTTTAGAGGCTGTTGAATTAATTATGAATCACTCACACTAAGTGATCATTATGGAGATAATGCATGGCTAATATTTTTGCTAACATGATAAATATTTTGTGTTTGAAGAAGAGTCCAGTGGAAAGATGTCTGCATAGTATCACATAATCAATTGAAAAAATGTTTAGTACAACAACTCGTTTTCTGCCATCTTCAATAGAAAATTTTCACTTAGATTAAATGAAAATTTTCATTTAGATTAAATGCTTTGGTGCCATGCAAACCTAGATTAAAGACACTAAGTAAGCAATAACTTTAAATAGGCAATTATGTCCACTAGTTACTACAGATGTAAACAGCCAAACTGTTCCATAACCTTCGTCGAGTGTTTTGAGTGGGATGGTGATTTCTTTAAAATGTTGATAATTTAATATTTCTGTTTTCTATATAATACTATATATTTCATTTGTATATATTTTATATTTTATAACATACAATGTATTCGACACTAATTTTAATATTTTCTACTTTAATTGCTTCTTGATAGCTGGATTACCTAGCCAGCATTTGATATTTATCACTATCCTGTATTTCAGGGACTTCATGAGAAGACTGGTGCATTTACAGCTGTTAAAGTGATGAACGCTCGTAAGGTAATATTATAAATTGCCTGTATTCTCTTCCCTTAGTGGACTGTGTTCCTGGGATACACAACTCAGAAAATATTGTATTTGTTTTTAAATCATTATTTTATATAATAATTATTACATCAATCTGGATTTATTATAGTTATCATTTAATATTACTTTTATTCATTAGTGTATTATATCTATTACTTTATTATATATCCACATAAAACAATGCTTCTTTCACAGCAGAAGTTCCACATATTTTGGTATTCTATAACACTGAGGAATATATCTGTACTCCTCTCTGTTTCTAGTTGACTATTTGTTTCCAGGGATAGCAAAGAAGAGATTGCTTCTAATATTGGGTTAATCCTGCTGTGTTCCATCATATTATTTTCCCTCTCCAATGATTTCCTCTGATAATTGAGGCCATTAGATTCTCAATGACAGGTAGAAGGAAGAGACTTATCAGAAATGCACATTTTTCATGTATTTTCTGACAGATGAGCAAAAGAGACAGTTTAATTGGCACCGTTCCTGGTAACATTCATAAAGTTGTGTCACGGTTCATAACATATTGGCATAGAATTTGCTAGCACTGATTTCTGTTCTTTTTCTTTAACGTGAGTGCCACACTTTCTCAAGATAATATTATCATAAACATAGAAAAGGTCAAAAAAATTTTACTTCACTATACCCTAAAGGGAAATTTGTGTTTGAAAAGCTATACACATTGACTGAACTGTTGTCAAGGCCATAAACTGTGCTTTTTCCAATTTGTGCAGGAAGTGAATTGCTGAAACTGTTTAAAGAGTTGTGTGCTTCCATAGCACATGTGTACCTATGTAACAAATCTGCACATTCTGCACATGTATCCCAGAACTTAAAGTATAATAATAAAAAAAGAAATGATAGCTGAATTAAAAAAAAAAGTTGTGTGCTTTTAGTTTTGCCAGTAAATGTCAAAAGTTGCAAACCAATGTGAGTTTCGAGGGATTTTGATGTTTTGTAGATTTATTTTGCCCTACAATCCATGGCTTCCAAATAATCAAACTTCTACTTTTTGAGTGATACTCTCTAAAATACTTATTTTCTTGTTTTAACTTAAGAGACCTTGACATACTTTTAACCTACATTTCAGATACTCTGACTTTTAAAATATTTAAAAATCATGTTCAACCCATGGAAGTTTAGTGTCAATTAACTGGTTTTGTAAGGAGGATAAAGCACTTTACTAATAACAAATTGTAATTTTCCCATTATTACAGCAGTTAAATCTACTACCATGAATTTGTTGCCAAATTTCTGTATGTCATAAGAATTTGGTTTTTTAAATTAAAACTATTGGAGAAAATTGAGAGAGGAATAATGTTATCTTACTTTTCCATTGAGTGCTAACGTAGCTTAAAGTACTTAAGCATAAATCATTTTTAGAGTGTACCAGTACATCTAATAACATTTTATTCTTGGTTACAGACCCCTTTACCTGAAATAGGAAGGCGAGTGAGAGTGAATAAATATCAAAAATCTGTTGGGTGGAGATACAGTGTGAGTACTAAAAGTTCTCATTAATACCCAAGTAGTCTTTCCTTTCATTTTCAGCTTTTAACTTATCCCTTTGCATTGTGTCATTATCTCTAGAAGACTGCTACTAAAAGTGTTCTTGCCTGAAAGTGATAACATATTTATATCTTTTAATATATTCACTTAGATTCAATCATCATATATGAGCACTAGCATATATCAGAGAGTAGGAGATAGGAGAAAAGGGCCCTTGAATAGGAATGCATTGACTGTCAGTGAGGAATTGCGTAAATTTACAGAGCATAGAACCCTCTGGCTGAATAGCAACAAAAAAGGAGGTGATGCGATCTACAGCAAATTTTGCCTAAAATTGGCCTTGGAAAGGTCCTTTTCACACGTTTATCATGACATTCTGGACTAATTGCTTTTCCTCCATTGTGATTCTAACAAACATTACCATCGTGTTTGAACCAAATGAGGAATGCCCCACGTGCCCACCCCCCCGCTTTTTGTAAGAGCAATAGCAGGCAGAAAACAAACCAACCACTTAGCCTCAAGGTCTTCAGACATCTGGTACCATACTTGAACACATGAAAGGATATGAACATGTTTTCTATGTGCAGCTTTTTGGCTTACCTTCAGAGCAGTTTTTCTGATACCAACAATTCTCTGGCTCCAGAATAAAACCAACCAAAGATAATCTCTCTTTTTCAGTAGATATTGGTGATCTATAAAATATTGTATGGGCCCAAAAGTTGAATTTTTGCTCTTATCAATATAATGAATTGATATATTTTTTCCTACTTTTCTCTCCTGCAGTCAGCTATACATGAGACTCAAATATTTCTAGCATTTTGTGACTTAGTAAATATGTCTCAGGCACATTAAAAATAACCCTTTTACTAACACAATCACATTCAGAAACTTTCTAGTTATATTAGAAAGATATTACTAAACAACCTCATGACTCATCTATTAAGTACTAGGCTCCTGTTATGTCTATAATTCATGTTAGGAGACTAAGCATATCCAGAGGACCAGCTAAAACAGATAGTATCATGCTTTTGTAGCTTAGGAAACCGCAAAAGATAAGGTATGGAAAATATGATTATTTTATTAATTTTGGTTTCATCAAACATTTGTGCTAATAAAACTTTTTTAAAGACCTGTCCCAAACCCTCTCTGGCACACTTTCCTTAGAGAAAAGGATTTTGATTCTAGAATTGGATGAAATTACAAAGGAAGTTCTGGCATCCTTGAGCTGCCTCCTCTTGACAAAACGCAGGGTATTCAGGCCAGTCTGTGATCAACTGGCCCTAAGCCAGGAAATGCTGTAGCATCATATTACTGGAAGATGTGTGAGAGTTTTAAATTACCCACTTGGTCTGATGGATATAATGTACTTATGTGTTTCTCACAAGCTCAGCTTCCTGTTAATTCAGAGTGGCAAACACACTAACGCTTCCCAAACATATCTGATCTTCATTTATTTGTTTTGGGGGAGTTTACATTTATGTGGGCAACCCACTCTTAAAAGGTTTTTCTAGTTGGGGACTTTGAATTATCTGATTATGTATTTTAGTAAGAAAAAATAACTGCTAGCTAATCATCCAGTTAGTATCTCTAAATTATCTTGAATCCTTTAGGATAAAAAGTATGTGACTTGCACACACATCTCTTAGATGCCAGGGGTTTATGGAAATAGCAATAATATGTAAGTCCAGAAACATGAGTTCAAATCCCAAGTCTACCACTAAATAGCCAAAAAGTGCTTGGGAAAGTGGTTTACCTTTCTATGTCTCAGGTTCCTCATAGAAAAAGAGACATCACAAATGCAACTACATAGCTGCCCAGAGCCCAGCGCATCTCTTGTTCTTTCCAGGACACATAAGCTTTCTAACTCAAAAAGAAAAGGAATCACCTTAACATCAAGCTACCAAACTAGTGAAATAATTCAGTCTTGCCCCTGCTTCTCTTTCACTTGTTCTTTGTATTCTTAACCTCCTACCATCCTCTCATTCCTATTTATTGCACTACTTATGAGTTCATATTCCTCTCAGCAGAACCTTGGCAACTTAATTGAAACTGAGAGTGCGTACGCACAAATATTCTATAATAGCTAGTCCCTGTGGTTTGCTAGTCTTATGCGGTGCCAGGTATTGTTACTATTTCAAAGGAGGGCCACATCACAGGGGAAGCAGAAAGTTTAAGGATCTTACATGACAAGAATTAAAGCCACAGGATTTTTACCTTTCTAGAAAACAGATTAAGATAATTTGAAGGGAACTTATTAACTGAACTTTGCTGGGAGGTTGGGATGAGACTCTAGCCTGAGCTTTCATGCAATTCTCATACCACAAGTTGTCATGACTTTATTACACAAATAAATAGAAAGAGGGAACCTATCACTGAGATTTTCAACTGCACATATCAGGACCTATCCTTTTCCCCCATAAGACAAATAGGTGTCTAGAGATTTATTTTCCAGTAGTTGAATGTTTATAGGTAAATCCAGTGGAAAATCCTTGGGAAATACTAAAGAATGTTCTGCAACTGCCAGCCATTTTCTCTGACATTGCAAACTTTTTTTTTTTTTACGAGATATAAATACCGGGCATTTTAGGGGAGGAAAGATAATTTATAACTAAAAGTTAAGTCAACTTAGAGACACTACAGAGCCTAGTGCACTGCTTTATATTTATGTCATAAGTATTTTTAAAGCCTAGCCACATTATACCTAAATATAGAAAGTAGTTGCCTATTTTTCCTGCTGGTTCTTAGAGAATTAGCTAAGAGAGAAGGTAATAACTGAGTTATGTTTAGTTACCAATTCATTTCAGCTAAGAGACTTATTTCCCTATATTTCAGTCATTAAGTCAGGATAGTTTGAGGAAAATGCTGGGGAGAACTAAAGAAAATTGGTGGTTAATCCCTTAATTATTTTCCATGTCAATTGTCCCTTTCCTAGGTCATTGCTCAAAAGAGTTAAGGAAATCTTTTTTTTCACTGGATTTCAGAACCGGAAGTCTTTAATTCAAAAGTTTTTTGTTTGTTTGTTTGTTTGTTTTTGAGACAAGGTCTCACTCTGTTGCCCAGGCTAGTGTGCAGTGGCACAATCTTGGCCTCCTGGGTTCAAGTGGTTCTCCTGCCTCAGCCTCCCCAGTAGTTGGGATTATAGGCATCTACCATCATGCTTGGCTAATTTTTGTACTTTTAGTAGAGATGGGGTTCCACCATTTTGGCCAGGCTGGTCTCAAACTCCTGACCTCAAGTGATCCACCTGCCTTAGCCTCCCAGAGTGCTGGAATTACAGGTGTGAGCCACCACGCCAGGCCAAAAGTCTTCTTTTCTTTACACTCTACAAATATATTTCACTTTCAACAATAAGAATATTTCTTAATAATTTTTATAAATTGAACTATTATAGATGAAATAGGAGAGCTTTTTAATTTACAATCAAATAAAATTTAGAGCTACTATGAATTCAAAGGAGGTCAGTGAGGAATCCATTTTTCAAGTACAGAATCACTTCCTGAGTCATCTCACATCACCTTCAACTTTATTATGTATTCAACTATTTTGTATTCACCGTTGGTTGTGTCATTCACATATGTGAATCTTATTTCCTGATGTGTAATTTCCTTTAAGTTAGGATCATAATACCTAAATGCACAAACCAATTATATTTTCATTGAAAATTTTAACAATTTAAGTTGTCTTTTTGTAAGTTAACATTTTAAGATATTTTTCTCAAGTGTATTGCATCTGTATACACAAAAGTGTAATTGTTTTCAAATTATTAAGAAGCAAAGAGTTTTTTCTAGATTGGCTGAGAAATAAGAGTTACAGAAGGAATATCAAAACCACTTGGCTATCATGGTACAAGCAGACATCACTGAAACTTTGAGAGAATTGCTTTCCATGTCACTCCACTATAATTAATATGCTGGGAATGAAGGAGGCTGATGTTTGTAGATTACGGTAAACAGTGGAGGGAAGTGTATAGTTCTGATAGCGCTCGGAGTAATTCAAAGAAGTCAAATAACAATGATATTTTGTGATAATACATTGCATTTATAGAATTTTTTTCAAAGATTTCAAAGAACTTTATATATGTTATCCCATTTGGTCCCACTAACATTCCATGAAGATAGGTAATGGCTGCTATCTTCCATCATTCTTTTAAAATAAATTGAACTTTAGGAAGATTAAGTGAATTTCCTACTCTGGGCTATCAGTGCTAAACCTCGGTGTCCTAATGCCTATGGTAGGTGTTTTTTTCTGACTGACATCACACTGTCTTCTGCTAGAGCTGTCTTGAAGCTATATATTGTACCTCGGTGATCTCATCTAACCAGATGGCTCCAATTATCACTATATAGATAATTCTCAGAAACAATACTTCTAGACCTGACTTGTCCCCTGAGTGCCAGACCCATATATCCTTTCTGTGCAATCTTGTGCAGCCATAAGAAGGAAGTGCATTTGTTTATTGATATGGAAAGATGTGCTTTATATACTGATTAAAACATGAAAATTGCAGAATATTAAAAATAATAAGAGCTTATTTGGATTTTTTAAATGACACACACACACATATATAAATGCATAATGATATGATCAACACACACACATACACATACAGACACACATGTATATATACATAATTATATATTATATATACAGATAATTATATATATAATTATATTATATATAATATATTGATAATTATATTATATATATTACATATTGATAATTATATATATATACGTGTGTGTGTATGTGTGTGTGTGTGTTGATCATATCATTATGCATTTATCTCTGTCATAGCTCTAGCTACTGCATTATCATATACAAATGTCTGAAAGAATATACACTAAACAGTTAATATTGCTTGGGGAAAATGTTCAGTGAGAGTAGACCCCTTACATATTTTATTAGTATATTTCTCTATATTTGGTATGCATGTGCCATTGTTGTGATTAATAAAAATAAATTATCGAAAAAAATAAAAATAAATAAATAAAATGTGAAAAAATAATAAAAATTTTTAAAAGATCAGCACAGAACAAACCAATACCTTTAAAATGTAAAGGATTACCAAATAATCAAGATAGTATGGTACTGTCCATCCACATGCAAAATAATGAGGTTGGACTTTTACTTTATATAAAAGTTAACTCAAAATGGATCAGACACCTAAGTATAAGAGCTAAAACTATAAAATGCTTAGAAGAAAACAAGGATAAAGCTTTGTGACCTATGATTTGACAGTGGATGCTTATATATGGCACCAAAAGTACAAGCAACAAAACAACAAATTTATAAATTGTGCTTCATTAAAATAAAAACTTTTGTGCTTCAAAGGTCACTATCAAGACAGTGAGAAAACAATCCACAGTATGAGAGAAATTATTTGCAAGTTGTCTATCTGATAAGGCACTTGTATCTAGAATATATGAAGAGCTCTTACAATTCAGTAATAAAATGACAACCCAGTTTTTAAAAGGACAAAGAATTTTGTATTAGACATTTCTTGAAGAACATATCGGCAATAGGCACAGGAAAAGATGCTCAACATCATTAGTCATCAGGGAATTGCAAATTAAAACCACAATGAGACACCACTTCACACCCACTAGAATGGTTATAATAATAAAACAGAAAATAGCAAGTGTTGGTGATAGTGTAGAGAAAGTGGAACCCCTGCATACATTGCTCTTGGTAATGCAAAATGGTAAAGCCAATGTGGGAGACAGTCTGTCATTTCATCAAAACATTAAACATAGAGTTACTTGACATGACTGTTCATAGAAGCATTATTCATAATAGCTAAATGGTAGAAATAGCCCAAACATCCCTCAATTGATGAATGGTAAACCAAAAGCAATGAAACATTGTTACATGCTACATATGGATGAACTTTGAAAAGAACTAGTCACAAAAGACCATGTTATATGATTTCATTTATATAAAATGTCCAGAACTGATAAATCTACTGAGACATAAAGTGGATTAGTGATTGCTTAGAGTTGGGGTGTGTGTGTGGCAGAATTGGGGGATGATAACTAAAGGATATGGGGTTTCCTTTTGGAGTGATAAAAATGTTCTAAAATTGATTGTGGTGATGATTGCACAACTGTATAAATATACTAAAAACCATTGCATTTTGCACTTTAAATGGGTGAATTTTATAGTATGTGAATTATATCTCAATAAAACTGTTACAAAAGAAACAACAATATAATGACTCCACTCAGTGAAAATTTTATACAGTGGCCAGTGCCGCTGGTCCAGGGACCATACCTTAAGAACCACTGAACTAAACGATCTTCAGTTTACCCTTTTTATTCCCCCAGACTCCAGGTTAACCAGAGGTCTTCATTCACTGACCATTTTAGTTGAGATTTTATTATAAATTGCTGTTGGATATAATTAGTTGCCATAGGATTCTCCTTCATTGATATACTGTACTTTAGGGACTTATAGTCATTGATTGCACAGTTTAGGAGCTTTGCTGTCTATTCTTATTCCATAGGATGAGGAAGAGGATCTCAGGACTGAACTCAACCTTCTGAGGAAGTACTCTTTCCACAAAAACATTGTGTCCTTCTATGGAGCATTTTTCAAGCTGAGTCCCCCTGGTCAGCGGCACCAACTTTGGGTATGTTTTTAATTACACTGTTCTTATTCTATAAGAATAAGTTTTACCCAAGGATGTATGTTTTCATGAGTTATCACTTTTGTGCATCTACAGGAAAACTTAGCACACAACTGTTAAGGTAGTATGGTGTATTAATCTGGTCTCACAATGCTATTAGGTTGGCGCAAAATAATCGTGGTTTTTGCCATTAGACATACCCGAGACTAGGTAATTTATAAAGGAAAGAGTTTTCATTGACTCACAGTTCCACATGGCTGAGGAGACCTCACAATCACGGCAGAAGGCAAAGGAGGAGCAAAGTCACGTCTTGCATGGCGGCAGGCAAGAGAGCATGTTCAGGGAAATTCCCCATTATAAAACCATCAGATCTCGTGAACTTATTCACTGCCATGAGAACAGCGTGGGAAAGACCGGCCCCCATGATTCAGTTACCTCCCACGACATGTGGGAATTATGGGAGCTACAATTCAAGATATTTGGGTGTGGACACAGAGCCAAACCATATCATTTCATCACTGGCCCCTCCCAAATCTCATCTCCTCAGGTTTCAGAACCAATCATGCCTTCCCAGCAGTTCCCCAAAGTCTTAACTCATTTCAGCATTAACTCAAAAGTCTGCCGTACAAATTCTCATCTGAGACAAGGCAAGTCCCTTCCATCTATGAACCTGTAAAATCAAAAGCAAGTTAGTTACCGTAGATACAATGTGGGTATAGGCATTGGGTAAATATGCCTGCTCCAAATGGGAGAAATTGGCCCAAACGCAGGGGCTACAAGCCCCATGCAAGTCCAAAATCCAGCAGAGCAGTCAAATCTTAAAGTTCCAAAATGATCTCCTTTGACTCCATATCTCACATCCAGGTCATGCAGATGCAAGAGGTGGGTTCCCATGGTCTTGGCCAACTCTGCCTCTGTGGCTTTGCAGCGTACAGCTCCCTCCTGGCTGCTTTCACGGGTTGACATTGAGTGTCTGTGGCTTTTCCAGGCACATGGTGCAGGCTGTTGGTGGACCTGCCATTCAGGGTTCTGGAGGACAGTGGCCCTCTTCTCACAGCTGCACCAGGCAGTGCCCCAGTGGTGACTCTGTGTGGGAGCTTCAACCCCGCATTTCCCTTCTACACTGCCCTAACAGAGGTTCTCCACGAGGACCTGGCCACTGCAGCAAACTTCGGCCTGGACATTCAGGAGTTTCCATACATCTTCTGAAATCTAGGCAGAGGCTCCCAAACCTCAAGTCTTGATTTCTGTGCATCAGCAGGCTCAACACCATGTGTAAGCTGCCAAGACTTGGGGCTTGCACCCTCTGAAACAACAGCCCAAGCTGTACCTTGGCCCCTTTTAGCCACAGCTGGAGTGGCTGGGACACAGGGCAACAAGTCCCTAGGCTGCACACAGCAAGAGGACCCTGGGCCTGGCCCATGAAACCATTTTTTTTCCTCCTAGGCCTCTGGGCCTGTGATGGCAGGGGCTGCTGTGAAGATCTCTGACATGCTCTGGAGACATTTCCCCATTGTCTTGGTGATTAACGTTTGGCTCCTTGTTACTTTTGCAAATTTCTGCATTTGGCTTGAATTTCTCCTCAGAAAACGGGTTTTTCTTTTCTATTGCATAATCAGGCTGCAAATTTTCCAAACTTTTATGCTCTGCTTCCTCTTGAACCCTTTGCTACTTAGAGATTTCTTCCAGAAGATACCCTAAATTATCTCTCTCAAGTTCAAAGTTCCACATATCTCTAGGGAAGGGGCAAAATTCCGCCAGTCTCTTTGCTTAAACATAACAAAGGTCACCTTCGCTCCAGTTCCCAACAAATTTCTCATCTCCATCTGAGACTATCTCAGCCTGAACCATATTGTCCGTATCATTATCAGCACTTTGGTCAAGGTCATTCAACAAGTTTCTAGGAAGTTCCAAACTTTCCCACATCTTCCTGTCCTTCTGAGCCCTCCAAACTATTTCAACCTTTGGCTGTTACCCAGTTCCAAAGTTGCTTCCATATTTTCAGGTATCTTTACAGCAGTGCCCCACTCTACTGACACTAATTTATTGTATTAGTCTGTTCTCACGCTGCTCGTAAAGACATACCTGAGCCTTAATAATTTATAAAGGAAATTTATAAAGGAAAGAGGTTTAATTGACACAGTTCCACATGGTTAGGGAGGGCTCACAATCATGGTGGAAAGCAAAGGAGGAGCAAAGTCATGTCCTGCATGGTGGCAGGCAAGACAGCATGTGCAAGGGCATTCCCCTTTATAAAACCATTAATCTCAAATCTCGTGACACTTATTCACTATCACTAGAAGAGCACGGGAAAGACCTGCCCCCATGATTCAATTACCTCCCACCAGGTCCCTCCCATGACATGTGGGAATTATGGGAGCTACAATTCAAGATGAGATTTGGGTGAGAAACAGCCAAACCATATCATGTGGCAAAATATACTATGATTCCTGGAGATGACAGTGATAAAATATGGGAAAATAACTTAAGTGCCTGGCAAGGGGATTACTGGTGGGATGGGGGAGGACTCAAATGAATACTGGAAATAGTCAACATAAATATTTTCAAATATTTTATGTAATTACTATGGTTGCTATTACAGAAATTACCCAATGAACTAATAAATAATGACTGGATAAGGATAAATTCTAATTAGCACTTGACATGAGCATATGGGTGCATTTTAAGTTTTTGCAAAGTATATGCGCTTATGGATAAACATAACTCCTAAGAAACTCTTTTCCAAATGGTAAGTTGACTTATCCTTTTCTTAGTCATTATGCCTGGTGTATCACAAATTCTAGATCAATAAGATATAAATTGTAGAGGATAAATGGAACCTATGCTACCTAAGTCACAGTTACCAGAATTTTTGCTGCCCTCCACTGTGGTAAAAATAGTTAAATCACAAGAAAATCAGTTTTGGTCAAGGATGTCTTTATTAAAAATTGAATATTTAGAATATAAGGTGGGGTTAGTATACACTTGAATCTCTATACTTGCTGCATTTCCATTCCATGTCCAAGTTAGTAGTATTTTTTCAAAATAATGACTAAAGCTTTTCAGTATCTTCAAGTGGCAATAAAGTATTCTATTACATTCTAAATAATGGACTTCAGAAAATAGGACAGTGGACATTATAGAAAGGTTTTCAACAAGGGGTGGAATTGAAACAGTGGTTCTCTAAATTTGGCAGCCATCAGAATCTCCCAGAGAGCCTGATAAAACACCTATTTCTGGGCGTCACTCACAGAATTTCTGATTCAGTAGATTTGGGGGTGTGGGTCCAAAAAATTATCCTTCCTAATAAGTTCATATGTGATGCTGCTGCTACTGCTGGACTGATCACCACACTTTGAGAACCACCAAATTTATAGACCTTCAGCTTAACTCTGTTTTCTCTCAGATGTCCAGTTAACATGCATCCTCTATTCTCTGACAATTCCAGTTGAGATTTTAGTAAATATGGCTGCATAGTTTAGTTACTGAGGAATTTTTTTTGGCATATACCATTTGTCTTTTTTATATATTTTCACTTACAAGTTTTTTTTTCCTCTTGATAGTATAGCAAAGTGTGAGAAATTTTGCAGTCTCCTTACTGGATATGTATTAGTACTCAGTTCATTCAGGCATTCAACATATATCAATTGAAAACTATCTATTTGTCAGGTGTTGTGCTAGATGCTGAGGATAAAATGGTAAGCTGAATAGACATGCTCCTGACCCAGTGGTGCTTACAATCTATTTGCAAAGACCAGCGTCAATCAAATAATCACACACATAAATGTATAATTGGTCAGAAGAGAAATATCATGGCTGTCTGTGGGTGAATAACAAACCTTAATTAAGCTGGGAAATGAGAAAAACTTCCTTGAGGAATAAAAGCTTGAACTGAGATCTGAAGGATGAATAAACATTTAATGCATAAATTATTTGTGAAGATAAGAATTTTCATGGGACACTTCACAAATTTTGGCCTATATAAATCAGAAAAACAAATAGGAAGTAAGTAAATAGCTTAATAATGACCATTAATAAAGAAGTGTACGTACCAGGCACCATGCTTACAAAGTTAGGAAAATTACTGAGAATGTCTTACATTCCTTTTATAGTTGAGCTCTTCTGACTCACATAATATAAGCAAGATCTTCCAGGGTTTATGTTAGTTGAATGGCTTTAATTCTGGTTTGTCATGGTTGAAAATGAGGAGTTACCACAGTGTACATGTTGTGCCCATTCAATATAGTCAATGCTTAATTCTCCACGTGAAAATCAACTTTTTGTGGCTTATCTGTTTTCGTTTTGTTTGGCTGTCTCTTCTTCTTTTTGGTGAAAGTGTACTCAGGTGAAAGACATGCAATAATATCAATGGTGAATAACCGTAAATTAGGGGAGTAGTTTTCTGAAAAGAAGATCTTAATATTCCACAGGAAGTAAGGTAGACTTTTTGAATAGTCATGATTTTGAGTTTATCCTTTTGCTTCCATTCATCTATGGTGATAATTAATTTGCACAAAGTTAAAAAAAGACATTTTGCTCTTTTGATAAAGTATTTTTGAAGTGGGCAGTAATACATAAACCTGTACTCAAAGAAAATATTGCTAGGATAATTATAATAGTTATATGCTCTTGTACATCACTCTTTAGTTAACTCATATTACCTGGATGAAAATTTACTAGTTGGGCCCTCAATTTATATGTGTCAAAAATAAACTTTCTGAGAAACTGAGTTTATTAATACAATAAAATCTGAATGAAATATTATTGAAGATATTAGTTTTAAAATAGGTTTTCCTTAGTAGCAATCCCATTTGGATGAAATTATCCCACAGGAATGCAATTGACAAATTCCACCTTGGAGTTGTAGCTTGCCAGTATCTTGAAGAAAATAGTTTGGAATTTGAAAATAAAAACAAAACAACAAAAACCAAACCTAGCCTTAATGTTGAAATGTAAACTCTTTTGAGACCCTCCATATTTTGCTTCTTCACCCCTGATTAAACTGTTTCCTTGACCATCCTTTCCTTCCCATTCCAGTCGTCACTTAGGTTTGTTCCTTGCACAAACTTCTTTCTAAAAGCATGTGTTTATTTAGTTTTCCATAAATGGAATGTTCTTCCTTTTAAGCATATACAAACACCACCTATCCTTCAAGACATAGCTCAAACCCCAACTTCCAGTTAAATATCTCTGGTGAAATACCTGGCTTCTCTGCCTCCACAAATCTTTGGTTTTAATCCAACTCTCTCTAATTTCGCTAGCCTTTGGAGTCTTCCATCAGACAATTGAGGCAGTACTTGCAGTGCCTTAATCTCTAAACATTACATATAGATACAAGCCATATGGACTAAAACTCTCCAGATATTTTCAGAAAATTGGACACTAATTTTTTATACTTTGCTGGCTTTCCTGCAGATGGTGATGGAGTTATGTGCAGCAGGTTCGGTCACTGATGTAGTGAGAATGACCAGTAATCAGAGTTTAAAAGAAGATTGGATTGCTTATATCTGCCGAGAAATCCTTCAGGTGAGTCTTCATACAGTCATTCTCTTCTGATCTTTTAAGAACCTGGGAGTAATATATACAATGCACCTTATACCTGCTCACATCAGATAGTTTAGGTATTCCAAACATAACCTGTGCATCAGGATATCTGAAAAGGCCAAAAAGCTTTTGAGAAAGCCAATTTGCAGCTGACGCCTTTAAATAAGCTGGGTAACAAACTCCTTTGAAATCATGGCCTTTAATACCTCTGTCGGATTAAGACTACTGTGTTCAGTGGATCATGGAAATGACCACTTGGATTATTTATTATGTTGTTATTATTTTAGAGTTCTTTAAACAAAAACATAGCACAAGCATCATAGATTAAGATGAAGATGAGTCAGAAGAAGTCAGTATTTTATGGAATGGCCTCAAACCAACTGTAGCCTTTTGGCAGACAAACATTTTCTTTGATTACTGCCCCCTTTTTAAATTTCTTTATTTTCCACACCCAGTTGGATGAGAGCAACAATCTTCTTGATGTACCAAATTCCATCTTTTGTGACTTCAGTTCTTAGGGTCATCCAAGAAGGATATTAACAGAATTGAACAGTACTACTCATACAATGTTAGAATGTCCTTCCTGTCATTTTGGTTGGATTCACTTGTGATAATAGTGTAAATGGTTGAGAGTTCAAACTCTGGGCTGAGTTTACATTTAGTTTACTAAGGATAAGTTTTATTACTTGGAATCTGTTACTTAATATTTCCAAGGCTCACTTTCCTCATCTATATTATAAGGGTGATATTAACACCTTCCTCAAAGGGTTTCTGAGAGGAATTAGTAATTTACTCCATGTAAAGCACTTAGTACAATCCTTGGCAAAGAATAAGGGCTCAATAAATGTTAGCAGTTTTATTGTTACTTTATTATGAATCTCCAGTTAGTGTCTGAGGCAGTCTCACTACAGCTTAACATTGCATACCACATCATGGGTTAGCCAGGTCATGGGTAAATTTTAGTGGTGAATGGGCTAGAGCCAAAGTGTTAAGCCAACACAGATTACAAATGCTGTAAAATGAATTTCCACATTCCCCTAAATTCTCAGCCTACAAAGCTGACTAGAAAATATTTTGGACTAAACAAATGGTTGGGTAAGAAATAGAGCAAAACTATAGCTGAGCTGTGATATTCAAGATGTCCAGATCTTTACTCTTATGGCTAGTTGGAAATACGGAGGCTAAAAAGGAAGGTAAAGTGGCCCAATGTATACAAACATTACTTTTGGTGCTCTTTTTTTTCGTGGGTGTCCTGATTTATTTTCCTTTCCTTATAGCCAAAAGTCATATTTCTGGGAACGGGTTGTAGTGATTCCAGCCTAAAGAAAGAATTGTGTCTGAAACATCAAAATTAAGCTGTTTCTCTTATCAAAAGTTTTTCCAAAAATACTAAGAACTGTACCAGAAAGAAAGAAAGAAAGAAAGAAAGAAAGAAATATATACTGATGTGGCTTTTTAAAAAATATATACAGGGCTTAGCTCACCTTCACGCACACCGAGTAATTCACCGGGACATCAAAGGTCAGAATGTGCTGCTGACTCATAATGCTGAAGTAAAACTGGGTAAGTTTATTCTTATAGTATTTTAAGTCCAAAACATCTTAATGGAGAAAGCTCCTTTAAGATAACTATGCTTTCTATCATGTCCCTGCCAATATCCTCTACTTATTTGAGCTGGGTTTTCCCTGCCTGCAAAACCAGTCAAAATTTGAAAATTTGTTTGGGAGAGGAGGCGGGGCAAAAGAAAGAGGATGCACATACCTGCTTCTTTGAAATCATGTAGATAAAACAACTTTTGAATTATAATGGGGATTTACTTTTTGGCCATCGCTTTACCCTCTATTAGAAATAGCTATTATATTTATTTCAACAATTGAATTGAGTATTTACCATGTGCAAATTTCGATGCCAAGGGAAGGGATTTAAAAAAATAAAAAAATTATTTCACATGACAGAGTCATATTTTCTCAAGAATATCAAATAACTTTTAAATTATGTAAGGATGAATTGCTTCTTTGGATTTTTTCAGATATGTAAAGAAATGATATTGATCAGAATCGATGCTCCAATAATATGCAAGTCAAGTTCAGAATTATAAATCAAAAGACTGGAAGTACCTAGCTTTCTATGCCAGAATTCAGAGTTATATAATTTACTTGAAAATAACCACACATACTTTCTGATTTTCTTGTCCTTAAGCTCATAGGGAACAATATATTGTACCCTTTAATGTGTAAAATAAATATCAATAGTTTTTAGAATAATACCATAAAAATCATGTCAGTACATTGTAGTGGCAGATAATCCCATGGATATAGAGGATAAGTCACTTGCATTATTTTTCAACAGTTTGTAAACATGTGTCTGAACATGACCTTAAGATATTTCCCATTTTCTTGCTAAATAGATAGAACAAGAGTAGAGATTTTGTTCATTCATTAGGAACATTTTTCACTGAACATTTGTGGAAGAAGCATGAGGTAGTAATTGTTTATTCTTGGAATAAGTGAAAGTAGTTTCAAGAGAGTGTATTATTTCTTTTGTGTCTGTCTAAAAGCTATAAAGCTAGAAACACAATTTTAAAATACATAAGGAGAGGCCAGGTGCAGTAGCTCATACTTATAATCCCATCATTTTAGGAGGTCAAGGCATGAGGATCACTTGAGACCAGGAGTTCAAGAGGAGTCTGGGCAACATAGCAAGACCCTATCTCTACAAAAAAAAAATGTTTAATTAGCTGGGCATGGTGGTGCGCACCTGTGGTCCCAGCTACTCGAGAGGCTGAGGCAGGAGGATCACTTGAGCCTAGGATGTTGAGGTTGCAGTAAACTATGATTGTGCCACTGCACTCTAGCCTGGGTGGCAGAGAGATACCTTGTCTCTAAACAATAAATGAATAAACAATGAAAATGTAAAAAATACATGAAGGGCATACATACTTCACATTTAAATACGCAGGATAGATAGTTAATCACAAGGCTAAACACTGTGTTCGCATATAGAGCAACACTGTCATATACTTGTGTCAAGTTGCTGGTCAACGCAAACATTTACAGCACAAAAGAGAAATTGTATGTAAATGAAAAACCACTGAAATATCTGTCACAATGTCCATGCACTAAAGTTCATGTACCTTCCTCTGGAGGAGAGACCTTCTACTGCTGGATTAGAGTTTAATCAGATTTACTTTACATGTAGTCCCTGTACAGTTTGTTCTAGATTTCTCAGATTATCATTATTTTGAAGTAACACATTATAAAATTTAATCACACATATTTTGCACTTAATTCTTTTACAATTTGTTTTAAATTTTTAAGATTATAGTTGTTTTTAAGCAACATAGTATAAGAAGAAAGTTTCAGAAAGCAAACCTAATGACAGCCAAAGGAACTGATAGAAGGGAAAGAGATGGAAAAATGATTATATTGCAGTTGCAATTGCTCGATAATCTTCATATTCCAGCCTGTAAGGTCATGAAAGAAAACTTTAAATTATGCCATTGTTGAGGTTTCATCTCGTCTTGGCTTTCATTTCTCTTTCTCTTGCTCTTTTTTCTTTTCTTCTATTAATCAGTCTTCTAGTCTTTTCTCCTTTCATTTTCTCCTCTGGATATGTGCCATATAGCAACTTATGGCCTTCCTAGGTAATTCTTGGCCCCTAATGCCAGTTCACAGGGATAGTGAGAATGCTGGGCAATTATTTAACCTGTTTCTTTTTAAAAATCTAGATAAAAACATGGCACAACACCCAATGGTGATCTTCACAAATATTGTGGACATTTTTTTGTTGTTGTCGTTCTTGTTAGATCCTCTAAAACTGCCTTAAACTCTTAGGTTTTTCTTTTTCCTTTTTCTTCTCTTCCCCTAAATTCCTGAAGCTTCTTTTTAGTCAGTTTTGTTCGCCATCCTCTGGATTCCTGGAAACCATTCTAAATTAGAAAATCTACTTCATTTTTCATCCCTGTTTTATTTTTTCTGGAATAAATAACCCCAGCCTACTTCAGCCTTTTTTCTGTTTCTGAGGATACCATACCAAATATTTTCTTATAATGTATCCCACAGATGAATAGAAGACTGAACTTTTATAATCTAAGCTAAGATGTAGATACCACAGTAAATACCTGCATCTGATTCAAAAGGTCTATGTAGGAATTTAAACTAAATTCTAGCAGAAAAACTCATTTTTATTTATCAGTGTGATAGAGCCTTCTCATATCATGTGTGAGGCTTCCTGATCAACTGCTAATAAGTTTTAGATTTCTTTGTTCTTGCTTATAGTTCTGGTCTTCCTCCAGCTTGGTTCCCAGGTCCAAACACTACATATGTTATCATTTCGGAGGTTCAGAGTGTCCCGACAGAACATTATTTTTAATATTCATGGTAAACAATCAGCCAAACCTACTGTAGATTTATAATAGCACTGCTGAGTCTCATTCCAAAATAAATAGCAGGAAAAGCTTATTTCCCAGTATTCCTGGAGTAGACTTCATGGTAAAGTTTGCTAGGCTGGAATGAAAATCTGTTATCCATTGTGGCTTTTGTATCAGCTTTCCAAGTTAAAGCAATAACTTATTAAGCTTTTTTCTCCTGATTGATTATTTTGACATATAATGATTTTTGGCAGTTGATTTTGGAGTGAGTGCCCAGGTGAGCAGAACTAATGGAAGAAGGAATAGTTTCATTGGGACACCATACTGGATGGCACCTGAGGTGATTGACTGTGATGAGGACCCAAGACGCTCCTATGATTACAGAGTGAGTGTGAGAATTCAGCCAGTGGAAATTACAATTTGGAAAGGATTTTTGATTAACATTTATTTTTAATGATAAAACAAAAAATAAAAAGCAGGCAGCTCCACATTTTACATTAAATGCTAGTAGGAAATACAAGCCTCTATTTCGGTAAGTGGTTTGATTATATTCATAAAATAATATTTTCTGAGAATGTGGACAAAGTATATACCACTGAGAGTTACCTGCATTTGAGGCAGAATGTGTGGTTTATGTTGCTTGCAACCTATTGGTAAAAATATTATATAATGTGGATTTATATGTATATAAAAATTTAACTTCCAGGAGCAAAGGGCATTGTAAACTTAAAAATGAATAAATGTAAAGCCAATTATTAACCCCCACAGTAACTTAGCTCCAGAAAAGACAAAAAATAATTTGATTACTCAGGGTAATGGAGAAAATCCTTGGCATGTTTCACTTCCAAAACCACAGAAAATCAGTGTAATAGACAAATTAAGTAACAATTCATGCTATTTATTAAAATTTCCACTGAAACTGCAATTTGAACAATATACATATATCCATGTACACATTTCAAAAGGTTGATGTGGAAAGAAAACTCTGCATTTGCTATAGACTGGAAAAACCTCACTCACTCTCCACATAAGTCCAAACAATTAATTGTGGTCTCCCTGAGTGGAACCTAGGACTCAAAACTTGAAGTTGATTAAGATTCATCTCTTTTCCCTTTCCTTAAGTGCCCTTTACATGATCTGCAAAATAATTATTTACTGAGAGTCTATTATGTTCGGTGCTGTTAGGAGCTACGAAGACTATGGAAGCATGTTCTTCAAGTGGCTTTTTATAAATAATGCTTTATAATTGTATACTTTTTGCAGTCTTCCAAGGACTTTCACCTGTATTCGTTATTTATTTTTAGTTTTTAGCACCATGTAACTGAAAGAAGTCTTAAGCATAGACTATCACAACTCAAGCTAAGAAATCTATCAACTAGGGTTCTAAAAATCCAGTTAACCTCCGAGGCCGCAGATCACCTGAGGTCAGGAGTTCGAGACCAACCTGGCCAACATGGCGAAATGCTGTCTCTACTAAAAATACAAAAAATTAGCCAGGCGTGGTGGCAGGCACCTATAATCCTAGCTACTCGGGAGGCTGAGGCAAGAGAATCGCTTGAACCCAGGAGGCAGAGGTTGCAGTGAGCCGAGATTACACCATCGCACTCCAGCCTGGGCGACAGAGTGAGACTCTGTCTCAAGGAAGAAAAAAAAAGAGAATTCAGTAAACCTGTTTAGGAGTCATTTAGCCAGCCGTTGTATCTCTAGCCCTGTGCCCTTTCCACACTCTGAAGAAAAAAAGTACTAAACAGTTGGTAGTGAAGAGAATTTTCTAGAGTCTTTTTCTAGTCTTAGTTTAGTATATTCCAGGAACTGCTGAAGTACACACACACACACACACACACACACACACACACACACACACATATCAGTCCTATGTAAGTGTATGCTATTGTTATCACCATTTTACTTAGAGTGGAATTAAGGCACAGGGAGTTAAAACATTTGCCCAAGATGATACAACTGGTGGGTCTATGTAATAAAATGTCTTTATGGCAAGTTTCTTTTGGTATTTCAGGTAAAACGATAATATCAATGCATCCAAGATGAACTTTCCTTGAGCTTAACTCCATTCCCTATCAACCTGTTGTGTAGTGAGGTACTGGCTGGTCAGTAGCTCAGATTATGTCTTCCTATAATGTCACTCTATAATAAAGCTTCATTATGGGAAACCCATAAAAGAGCTCTGGCATTGACATCCACACCCCCAGCTAAACATTGTTTTGAGATTCTAAATACTACCAATTTCCTATTTTTAAGTGACTTTTTTGTCATCTTTGTCTTTGCAGAGTGATGTGTGGTCTGTGGGAATTACTGCCATTGAAATGGCTGAAGGAGCCCCTCGTGAGTAAAAAATGTTTGATATTTGTTAAAGATTAGGGAAATGTACTGTACAAATCATACAAATCTCTCTCTGTCGAAGAAGATGAGATTGCCACTTGTACCACTCAGCTTTCACTGGCCACACAGGTGTCATACTATGTGCCAAACTACGAATGGTGGCCTTTTCAGTGATTACCAAATGCTTTCTTCAGAATAGCTAGATGTGGGTATATAAATCAGCTTGTACTTTTCTTTCTTATAATATCTTATTTTACATTGACTGAGTGTTGTTTCCATTTAGTCTCAGTAGTATTTGGTCCTGACAGTCCTGAGCAACCAGAATAAGGATTCTGGTTGGCGTTCCAGTCTATATTTCCTGGTGGAATATTTAGATTCCAGAACATTTACAGTCACACAGTGCTACTGCCTCAGGCTGTGATAGTTGAGAAAATTCTCCAGCATTTCATTGAAATTGAGCTAATGTCAAGAAGTAAGCCTGTTTTTTTTTTCCTCTGGAGTCAATTCAACTTACCTTTGTGCCCTCTTTACTCCTTTCAGCTACCTCAGCGCCCATTTCATCTTCTTTTCTCTACCTCCCCATCATTTAAATGACCTGTTAGCATCCTGTTCTCTCAAGGCACTGCTTTCTGATAGGAAAGTAAAAATGGAATGTAAACTGGGTATAAGTGATTGATAACCATCTAATGTGTGACTCCAGAGCATGGCATATTTGCTGTCCTTAGTACCTAAAATCCAAAAGTATAAATGACAATGCATCTTTGGTATTGTTGGATGAGAAGTGTAAAGTAATGCCTTCTGGGGTATGGGGAGGGTTGCTTTGCTTTCCCCTCTCCAAAGCAGATCCTATAGGTTCCCATGTTCTTGTATGCTCTATCTGCAAAATGTCCACCCATCAAGTTTTATGAGCTTGAACTATCTTAGCATTTTGTTTCAAGGCCAATGAGAGGAATTTCAAGAAATAGAAATAATGGTAACATAATTGTTGAAAATTCCTGGTATCCCTTGGAATATTAAAGAGGGGCTGGGATAAAGCTAGGACACCTGTGGAGATCATGTTGCTTCTTGCCTGTATTATAATGCCCCCAAATCAGCAAAGTACCTAAGTTGGGTGAATAAAAAATTAATAATGGAAAATGTTAAACAATAAGAAGATTACATACGACACATATATAAAATTGAAATTATACTGAGGGGATGTGGACTATTCCTCATCATCTCCTGATTATTTCTGTTTTGGAAACATACTTAGATTATGTTAAATTGAGCAGCAGCAACTAATATTTCATATTAGTATTGATGCATGGATTTGGTTAGGATACATGCCTGCATTGAGTAGTATCTTTTTTCCATTGTTTCTGAATGCTCCTCACCATGCCTTTCCGGGAAACCAACTTTCTATGTTTTCCAGTTTGTACTTCCTGGGTCACCTTCGTTTGTTTCACTTTTTTTTTTTATTCCAAAATATTAAGTTACGGGAAAAAGTATTGCTGAGCAAACTCACAGGAGTGCAGAGAAGGAGTTTTGCACAGATTACACAAATGGCAAGCTTCTTACAAAAGATAAGTGAAGGCCAGGAGATTTGGAACTCACAAAGGGAGAAAATAGGGCTGGCCTGCCTGGGTCAGTAATTGGAGTAATACAACTTTGGTCAAGAGCAGCCCTAAATAGCCTCCCTACTAAAACATTTCTCTTTTACCGGTGTCCTTTGTTGCCTGGAATATTAATTTTGTATGGAAATAATTGTCATCAGTTTAACTGCAGAAATCCTCCAGGTTATGATAATTATTATCTCATAAGGGATGGCCTTCCAAAGTGACAATTATCTGATAATATCCTCTGAGTTCCAGATAACAAAATTCTCTTCCTTTGGTCTTCCTTTGGTGAGTCTTTTCCAGAGAAGTAAAGAGAGAGAAAGAATAACTTCTCCTTGATAGGATGCCATGGGGCATAGGTTCCCAAACCCTGGGCCACACAGCAGGAGGTGAGCGGCGAGCAAGTGAGCAAGCATTACCACCTGAGCTCTGACTCCTGTCAGATCAGCAACGGCATTAGATTCTTCTAGGAGTGGGAACCCTATTGTGAACTAAGCATGCAAGGGATCTAGGTGGTATATTTCTTATGAGAATCCAACTCATGCCTGCTGTTCTGAGATGGAACAGTTTCATCCCCAAACCAACCCCCTACCCCTAGGTCCATGGAAAAATTGTCTTCCACGAAACTAGTCCCTGGTGCCAAAAAGTTTGGGGACCACTGTTGTAGTGGCTCTAGAAAGAGAGAACTGGACACTTGTAAACCAGGAACCCCTTCAGTCCCTAGTTTCTGGGTAGGAATTCAAACAATACGGGGACCTTTATACCAAGGCCAGAACATTTATAATAATCATCCAAACATCAGAGTATCATAGGTTAATTTTGAATAGATGTGGTTTTTAGTCTCTATCTTTTATAGAAAAGATAATCTGTGCCTGGAGGAGAAGCGGGATAGGATCAATAGTTAAGCCTGACACCCCTTTCTTGGCAAAGCTGTACACTAGTCAACTTGCCTTAACCTGGACCATATTTTCCCCTATTTTTGCATTCTCCTTGATATTGTAGATCATTTTAAATATTCTCAATGATGCTTCTTTATAGTCCTACTTCTATCCCTTGTAGTGTCACTCTCTCATACCCCATGTCTGTCTTTACCTGAGTGCATTGTGGCTCAAATCTACCCCATCCCATCAAGAGGCTTATTCCTTCAATATTCAGAAGATTCCCTCAGATCTCAACATGTGTTAAGAATAAATCACATTATTTAACCTAATTCAGACTAAGCCCAATTTAATATGTGTCCAACCCTTCAAGAGATAATGTGATTTTTAAGGGAGGCTTGCTGTTTCAAAGGAATGAGCCTCTAATGATGAACATTTAGGTAGTGTTATGAGATATAGGTTGGAGGGGGCAGTTACTGACATTCCTGAAATTAGACTATATAGGAAACCATAAACAGCTACTGTTGACATAGCTCTTGTACCCACCCTATGCTCCATTCCTTTGTGAACTTTTCCTTTCCGTTAAAGAAAACTTACCTAGTCTGTGTCCTAGCTCTTGACCCCTGAAGATGTTGTCAGTGGACTAACTGTTGCCCAGATGTTAATAAATGACAACTGCTTAATATTGTACCAACTCCCTTACAATAAGTTTAAAGGACAGAAACTGGAGACTGATTGGACATAGTAAAAGAATAAAAAGGGTTAAATATGATCCTGATACTTTGTACTTGGAGCTAATTCTGCCTTCAGTTATAAAAATGCATCTTCTATTAATTTATACCCATGTAATTGAAAACAAAGCTTGGCCTTTAAACAATTGCCTTTGTATAGCCCTAATAAAATCACTCTGTGGAGTTTTTGTCTACTACTATGAAAGGCCAGTTTGTCACTTTAGGTATTTCTGAGGATGCATTTTGGGAGAGAAAGGATGGCTCTATCAAGAGTCATTAATATCAAATTATCCTTACAAGAATGACACACTTGTAATGTTAGATGAAATTGACACTGTGGTTCTCCATTGGGGATTTTTTGCACTGCCAACTTTCTTTAATCAAAACACAAGAGGAAATAAGTGAGACATATTTAAACACTTATAGAAAAAACCAAATTTCCCAAACCAATGAGGTAATTAATTTATATAGCACATATTGGAATAGGTTTTTATTTTTATGCCTGTGTGTATGAAAGAGAGAATGAATGTCCAGTAATTTGGCACAGTCTCAAAGTGCCATAGAGTTAACATCTTTGTTATAATATCAATAGCTGATATTTATTTAGCATCTACTACATGTCAGATACTTTTGAGGGGATTTTAAAAATTATTTAAAAAATTTTTGTGCATACATAATAGATGTATATATTTATGAGGTAAATACACTTTTACTTGTAAGTTTCTAATTAATCCTCACAACAATTCTTTGAAGGGATTCCTCCTGCTACATTTCCTGTTTTTCAGGTGAAGAAACCAAGATACAGATAGGCTAGGTAATTTGCCCAGTCACAAAGGTAGAGCTAGGTTTGAACGCAGATGATCTTACTCTAGGGGGTGTATTCTTAACAGTTGCACTATACCTATTTTTTTTTTCTAGAACTCTCAGCTTCCAAAACAGATGCTTCTAAGCTTTCTAGACTACTAAATCATTGTTCTTTAAATATTATTGTACTAAGCTAGTAGTCTGGTTGAATTTTTCAGTCTGTAATTACATATTCCAATTTTATAACTAAATACCTGCAATACAAAAACATAGAAGTGTGCTTGTTTCACTTTCAGTTAACTTTTCTAGATATAAATTATCAACTATACATTTCAAATATTTTGTCTAGTTTATTATTAATTTATCCTACTTGGTGATAGTGAAACTTGAGAATCTTATATATTGCAACATTGCATTAAAACGAGCTTTTCTTTTTCTTTTGAAATACATTCTTTTGTATCTATTTGTCCCTTAGTGTCTACTCAACATAATATGTGAAAGATCACTGAGAATCCCCTCTGGAATAAGGAGTGTGTTCTTTAGTTACCCTTCTCATTCTTTCTAAATTTATCTATTTCCCTTTGCAGCTCTGTGTAACCTTCAACCCTTGGAAGCTCTCTTCGTTATTTTGCGGGAATCTGCTCCCACAGTCAAATCCAGCGGATGGTAAAGATGAATGTCTTAATCTCCTAATTACATTGACTTGACATTTTTATGTTAGCAAAGAAGTTTTAATTCATTTGGTCAGTCCTGCTGCACCATCCTGGTTGGACAATATTTCCTAAAGTCTAATATCTTAACTGGGAGGTCTAAATGACCAGTTTTCATTAAGAGGTAGCTAGCCAACTATAAATAAGTAATATCCTCTATAGTATTTTCTGATGATATTACTGTACTGCCATTAATGGGCATGTTCAGTTGTTTCCCCAGTAATGGGATGAACTGATGGCAACTATTTGTGAAGTTTCTTGTGTTGCTTATATAGGCAGTCAGTTATATGCAGCCCTGTTGATTAGTACATTAAACCAAACACACACAGACCTAGAGCAGAAGACTTGTTTTCCCAGGGCACTTACATGCCAGCTAAACTTGGGAATCCTTCTCTCTGAAGCTTGTTGATCTTGTACCTGAAACTCTTGCTTATTATTAGTTTTTATTGCTTTCCCTGGTAGAAGTGGTGACTGTGATTTGATTGTTAACATTCTGCATTGGAATTCAATTTAACCCTTTCCATGGATTCAGTTTTTATGGCCACATCTGTTTTCATGGGTCATTTTACAAGATTAGTTAGTCCTGGTGCTTTTAACATCCTATTTTTGGATCATTATATTCATTCCTCTGTAGTTAAAACTGCATATAGTCAAATGAAAAATACAGAGTATGACTGCTGTGGGCCGATCAATCTAGTCTTGCAGACTACATATATCACATTAACCATTTAATCATCATATCTGCACTTGAGTTTTTACCAGGTACATACAGTTAACTCATTGAAACTTCTACTGTAATTTAGATGGAATATGCTATTGACTCTTGCTTCTTTTTCTGAGGTCTAAATGGCCTCACTTTATAACGTATGTTGCCAAACTGCAGGATATTTGGCAATTGAGAAGACAATAATACCTAAAGGCAACTCTCTCCAAATATGATTTTCAGAGAGGCATGTGGGTGGTGGTGGGAAGAGGTCTGACAGGACTGAGAACACTTTTTTTTCCTCTCTTTGACTCATTTTTTAGGTCCCGTAAGTTCCACAATTTCATGGAAAAGTGTACGATAAAAAATTTCCTGTTTCGTCCTACTTCTGCAAACATGCTTCAACACCCATTTGTTCGGGATATAAAAAATGAACGACATGTTGTTGAGTCATTAACAAGGCATCTTACTGGAATCATTAAAAAAAGACAGAAAAAAGGTAGAATCTGTTAAGTTTTATTTTACTGAAATGAATATTCAGAGTTTATTCATGTATTGTTTCCAGGAAAAAGTAATATTTGTTTAAGACTTAGATTGAAAATAAAACTTCTGAGGCCTTTGATATTTAGTTTTGCCAATAATATGCCATGTGCTCTTATTTAATTTTCTCTTGCGTGTGTGTGTGTGTGTGTGTGTGTGTGTGTGTGTGTGTGTGTGTATAGTTACTAATTCTTGCCAGTTACACCTGGCAAATGTTCATATTTATGAAGACCTTGAAAGCATCCAATAAAGTTTTGTGATATGCCAATTTTAAGTAACTAACTAAATAAAATAAATAAAAGATAAAAGGTAACAAAATGTATATCTTGCTTTTTTTTCAGCTGGTATTTTGACTCTACAAGAGATAAATGGATTTGTAATTAACCATTTATTCACTGCTAATTTTGAAGTAGTATTTGTGCACCATACAAAGCTTGTTTTATGTACTAAACTCCAAATATAAAATATAATTAAAGGAACTGATTTATACAAATAAACATAAACTTCTGTCTATTAATAAAAGTGAACTTCTATTAAAAATGGCAGGATTTGCAGTGAGCCAAGATCATGCCACTGCACTCCAGCCCGGGTGACAGAACAAGACGCTGCCTCAAAAAAATAAAAATAAAAGTACCAGGATGGATTTTCACCAAGTCCAGAAGAAGCCCCTGGGAAGTCCTAACTTTATATATTATATTACATATTCCACATTTGATTTTGCGGACCATAGGCAGAGTTGAGAGTAACAATGGAATGTAAAAGGGAAAACTTGAAAAAGCAGGCATCCTCAGATCAGCTGTGGGATTGATTGTAGTGGGGCTTGTTGTATCTATACATGTATCATGTTTTGAGGCAAGGAGCAGCAAGAATTAATTTATTTACCTATGGTAATGAAGTTATTCAGCCAACTTTACAGAGGCCAGCCAGTTTCAAATGGGTTCAGGAAAACCACACATCTATATGGTAATTTGCTAATTTCCAGAATTGCAAAATTTCCAAAATGTTACCTGTAGGAAAAGTTCCATTTATATGGAAGTTACACTAAAGATATAAATATAGTTGCCCTGAACATTTTAATATAGGAAATTCAAAATAAAACTCTTGTTTGTAATCTTCTATATTTCAGTAGTCACAGTACAGCTGATGATAGGAAAGAAGCTGAATGTTTTCAATGTGTTTAGTGTAAAACACAGAATTAAGAATTTGCCTTCTCATTGAAAAGACCAAATATCAACCTCAAGCCATAAAGTCCTTACATCTAGAGCCCACAGCTGTAAGCCATGCTCACCACTATTTAGAGTTTCTCTTGTCTCATTCTCCCTTTGTCCCATTCTCTCTTCTTCCTCTTTAGAATTGCAGAAATCAAGTTGCTAAATTTTCTCTGTTCAGAGAAATTAATCTGCATGCAATAGCTATATTGTGCTGCAAAAGTGGGCCTAGAAACTAGAATATGGTCTACATCACAAACCAAGTACTTTTGAAGGGCTACCTTCTTGCCCTTGTAATTCACTCCACATCCTAAGAAGCAGAGGGAACAAGGTGATTAAGTGGATAACATGCTTATCTGCTGACTGTTTATGCATTATGTTTTTCTCTTTTGTAAAAAAAGGAATACCTTTGATCTTTGAAAGAGAAGAAGCTATTAAGGAACAGTACACCGTGAGAAGATTCAGGTGCGTTCCACAAATTGCATATATAATTTGATGATAGCAATTCACATAAGGCCGTTGATTCCATACTGTTGCCTTTGGTTCAGAAAGACTTAATTCTTTCTGATACAACAAATAACAAATCTCTGTTTTTAAGAGATATTGAGTGAAAATGTGAGAATTCTTTATTACTACCCAAAGACTCCTTAATATCTGGCAAGTGAAGATCAAGTAGATATCATATTTCATTAATAATTGAATACATTAGTAATACAAATGTTACCTGCAGAATATTTCAGACATCAAGGGAATGATTTCAGAAAGGTTTACTGAAGGTATCTTCATTGCAGAAAATGTCCATCTTTTAAAGTAAAAACAATGCCCCTGAATGGCTCCATTCCACTAAAAATTCTAATTGTATGCCAATCATTTGTGTGTTTATTTTAGAGGACCCTCTTGCACTCACGAGCTTCTGAGATTGCCAACCAGCAGCAGATGCAGACCACTTAGAGTCCTGCATGGGGAACCCTCTCAGCCAAGGTGGCTACCTGATCGAGAAGAGCCACAGGTCCAGGCACTTCAGCAGCTACAGGGAGCAGCCAGGGTATTCATGCCACTGCAGGCTCTGGACAGTGCACCTAAGCCTCTAAAGGGGCAGGCTCAGGCACCTCAACGACTACAAGGGGCAGCTCGGGTGTTCATGCCACTACAGGCTCAGGTGAAGGCTAAGGCCTCTAAACCTCTACAAATGCAGATTAAGGCACCTCCACGACTACGGAGGGCAGCCAGGGTGCTCATGCCACTACAGGCACAGGTTAGGGCACCTAGGCTTCTGCAGGTACAGTCCCAGGTATCCAAAAAGCAGCAGGCCCAGACCCAGACATCAGAACCACAAGATTTGGACCAGGTACCAGAGGAATTTCAGGGTCAAGATCAGGTACCCGAACAACAAAGGCAGGGCCAGGCCCCTGAACAACAGCAGAGGCACAACCAGGTGCCTGAACAAGAGCTGGAGCAGAACCAGGCACCTGAACAGCCAGAGGTACAGGAACAGGCTGCCGAGCCTGCACAGGCAGAGACTGAGGCAGAGGAACCTGAGTCATTACGAGTAAATGCCCAGGTATTTCTGCCCCTGCTATCACAAGATCACCATGTGCTGTTGCCACTACATTTGGATACTCAGGTGCTCATTCCAGTAGAGGGGCAAACTGAAGGATCACCTCAGGCACAGGCTTGGACACTAGAACCCCCACAGGCAATTGGCTCAGTTCAAGCACTGATAGAGGGACTATCAAGAGACTTGCTTCGGGCACCAAACTCAAATAACTCAAAGCCACTTGGTCCGTTGCAAACCCTGATGGAAAATCTGTCATCAAATAGGTTTTACTCACAACCAGAACAGGCACGGGAGAAAAAATCAAAAGTTTCTACTCTGAGGCAAGCACTGGCAAAAAGACTATCACCAAAGAGGTTCAGGGCAAAGTCATCATGGAGACCTGAAAAGCTTGAACTCTCGGATTTAGAAGCCCGCAGGCAAAGGCGCCAACGCAGATGGGAAGATATCTTTAATCAGCATGAGGAAGAATTGAGACAAGTTGATAAAGTAAGAATTTTTGATATTTTTACTCTGAGTCAAAAATGAAGAGAAAATGTGATAGCTCATGCGGATGTTTTTTCTCAGTAAAACCAAATGAAATAAATATTCCTTGTGTTCTACAGAAGATATACTAAATAATTTGTACTTCAAATAAATTTTCATGAAATTTCTAGATAATTGTAACTAAATATGATAAAAATATTTTTCAGTATCTCTACTGAAATATAGCTTTAATTATTAGTTTTCTGTCTATTATTCTTTAACCAATAAAGTGTCAACGAATGCACATTAAAAATTACTATTTTGGATCTTTAAAAATTACTTTCATAGCTTAAAATTTCAAAGATAACTCATCAAAAATAAGCACAAAACAAAATTTGCTTTTGTTACTCTAACCTTTAAGTTAGTTTATTCTTTCTTCCAATAGAATGCCAAACTATACTATTTGAGTGAATTACACTCATTTTTGTACTACAGGATGTTTAAATCAAGGTTAAAATGAGAAGGCAAAGCAGTTTCCAAAATATTTGGTATATGGTTACCATATTTATGACTTGTTTCACTAATTTGCTGCCCGTTTTACATAATTAATCAATTATGTGGCCTCACAGAACGTGAAACAATTTACAAATTATTCTCCGTGTTAGAAGACCAACAGGTTCGTATGCCCACTGCATAGTAACAGACCAATTACACATGCATCAAGAATGCAGCAGAAGAGTTTAATGATCAGCAGGGCATGGAGTGAGGAGGTGGGGAGGAGACCCTCAAATCCATCTCCTGGAGGAGTTCTGGGATGGGGTTTTTAAGGGGATTGTAGAGGGTGAGGTGCTGGATAATTGGAGTTGTTGATTGGTCAGGGTAAGGTTGATGGTCCTTGAAATCATCAGGATGTGGAAACTGCATTTTTTGATGAGTCAGCCTCTTGTGGGGTCCTTCAGACCAGTTGGCGTCAGTGGGGTCCTTCAGACCAGTTGATTGACAATAGTTTCACTGGTATGCAAGACCTGAAGAAATATCTCAAAGGAAAAACAACATTTCATAATGTTCAAGTTGTTATCTACAGAGCAGTTAAGGGGAATGATGATGTTGCAACAAGGTCTACGTGAGTCTAGGAAAATAGGCAACAAACATCTATTGAGGAAGGAGGTCAGAGAGCAAGCTGACCTAAAGATTAATGCTAAACGTGCTGCAAGCTTGGTATATTTTTGTTTCTTCCCCTCTCTTCTTCTGTGATTAATTTTATAAGTTAATAAGGGTGGTTTCATCTGTACCCTTTTGAAATGTGGAATACAGTGTGTTAAACTCCATTTTATCTAAGAACAGTCACTAAAACGTAATTGTTTCAAAAATCCTTTAATAAAAAGTGAATATAATTTTACTGGAGTTATTGAATTTAATCTGGTGGATTCTAAACTGATAATGAAGAATTATGGGCTTGATAACAAATTAATGAGGTTAGATAAGGTTAGGGGAGCAGTTGTTTTCTAATACTCCCCACATCCATTTGTGTAAAAGGAATCATTGTGATGATCCTAACTTATACCCTTTTATCCACATCTATTTACCCAATAATAATCATTGTAATAATTACAAATGAATTTTATCTGAGTATCTAGATAAGGAATTCTTTGAGTTTGTGCACATTGAGCCAATTAAACAAATGCTAATTTGTTGACATGTTTAACATGAGAAAAGGTAGGAGCAGCAAGAGAAGCAAGGCCCAAAAGGGAAAATGGATGTCTAGTTCTCAGAGAAAAAGGGAACTATAAGGAGCAAGAAACTAGATGGAGAAAAGGGAGGTTTAAGTCTAGAATGGTGACATTTGGCAAAAACTAGCTCATCTAAAATGCTAATGATTATTCTCGATGAACCCTAGTAATCAATTAGATCTAATGGGTTTTGCATTTATGAATAAGACTTTTATTGATCTCTGAAAGATTCAGTGATACCAGCATGGCACACACTTATTGTCATTTATTGTTTTAAACATATATGTGGAAAGCCATTCTAAAATTTTTAAAAGTCAATAAATAATAGTTACCAATCTCATGACTCTAGGATATTGTACAAGCATTTATATCTTTATATGTGGTCGTTGAAGAAAATATAAAGGAAAAGAAAATTATTGATAATATAGTCAAAGTCACAGATCTTCATGATACCTGAAATTTTATTAGAGTTGAGAGACATAGGTGGGTGCTTTAAGTCACCAGCAGGAAACAAAAAATGCATTTTTATTAATCTTTCAGTTGAAGAGATAATATTGATTGGATTAAAGGGGAAAACAGTTTCCTAAAGTCCTAGATCTCAATTAGGGAGAAATATTTGCACCACTGTATTACAGATCTTCCATTGCTCAGGAAGACCAAACTTTGGTTATAATAGCTTGCTAAATGTGACAGTTAGTTTGGTGTTATGAGTCAATCAAGTTTTAGGCCAGAGATTCTTAACCTGGACCCTGTAGATGAACTTCAGGAGGTCAGCAATCCACCAGAAAATATATGTAATAGGTATGTCTATATGCAATTTTCTGTGGACAGTCTATAGCATTTCTCAGATTCTGAAAGGGATCCAGAACCAAACACTATTAGAAACTACTGGTTTAAATCATTTTTAATATTTGGATATTATTCTTTTAAATTGTGTATTATTTTAAATTATATATTATATAATACATATAAACAATTCAGCATTAAGATGATGAAGTTGTTCCTATCACTTGCATTTTAACAACAATTAAAACAATTACTTTCCTTTTTGTTTCAAAGGACAAAGAAGATGAATCATCAGACAATGATGAAGTATTTCATTCGATTCAGGCTGAAGTCCAGATAGAGCCATTGAAGCCATACATTTCAAATCCTAAAAAAATTGAGGTAAATTTTTCAATATGAGTTGTTGTGACATTAGTAAGAACCCAGAACAGTGGTTCTTAAACTTTTTGGTCTCAGTGTCCCTTTATACTCTTAAACATTGAGGACCTCAAAAAGCTTTCATTTTTTACATGGGTTGTATCATTTGATATTTAATTTATTAAAAGTTAAAACTGAAAAACATTTAAAATATTAGTTCATTTAAAAGGAATGAAACTATTACATGTTAACATAAGAAACACATTTTTAATGAAAAAACTGTATTTTCCCAAAACAAAATTTTAGAGAGATTGACATTGTTTTACTTTTTTGTAAGTCTCTTAAATCTATCTTGCTTAATGAAAAACAGCTGGATTCTCACATCTGCTTCTGCATTCAATCTGTTGCCATGTGTTGTTTTGGTTGAAGTATACGAATAAAAGCTGGCTTCTCACATATAGGTAGTGGGAAAGAGTCAATTTTCATAGATTGCTTAGATAATTGAGTAAATTATTGAAT
Organism: Homo sapiens; assembly: GCF_000001405.40. Lineage (NCBI taxonomy): Eukaryota > Metazoa > Chordata > Mammalia > Primates > Hominidae > Homo > Homo sapiens. The sequence continues at coordinate 105,913,251 of NC_000023.11, forward strand.
AATGTACCAAAACTAGAGAAGTGGAATCTAAAACCATATCAATGAAATGTTGTATATTCAGTTAATAATAAAACTCATTGATCTATCTTATGCTATGAATAGATGTTTTGCTTATGCATGATTTTTAACTTCATGCATTGATCAGTTGGAAAATACTGGTTCACTTTGTATATAGATCTTCCCAGACATTTACATGTTTCATTATACAATATCAAAAAACAGCATTTGTTAATGTTACCATCAAGTTCATCATAAAAGTTACTGAGTGTTGTTAAATTGTCAAGTGCTTGGTGGGAGATATGTTTGAAAATTCTAATTTTCCTTTGCAAGCTCAAATTTTATCATTGCTAAATTGTGGCATCATTTTTTCCCCTTAAATTGACAGGTTTACTTTATTCATTAAAAATAAAATGTCTACCAAATACCCAGAGTTTAAATAATCATAGTTTGTCAGTCTTTCTTTAAGCAAAAATATTGTACATTAAAAATTCTGGCAGTTTCGTTTTGTAACACAAACACAAATATTTTTCCTTGATTAGCTCTGGTCTGGAATGCAGTTTGTGACAGGGTCTGGGACATTTAATCTATGTTTTGTTTTGTTTTGTTTTACAATTATAAGAATAATTAAGTTAGTCCTAGTGTCCATTTTGACTTCTGTTTTCATGAGTATATTAATAGTATCCTATTTAGAACATATATTGGTGAGGCCGGAGTTGTAGGTTTTCTTGTCTAGAAAAGGTAGCATCATCATCATAGCCAGTATTCCTAATAGCCAGCCATCTAAAACAATCTTTTTGTAGATTGTTTTGAACAATCAAGTAGATTAGGTGAGTGTGTGAAGAACTCAAACTCTTGCCTTATTGATGGTGGGTCAGGAGCCTCATTGTTGCTCCTAATCAGCACAAGATGTTACACAGGAGTCTACTATGAAGTCTTTTATGGACAACTCTCATTTTTAAGTACAATTCCCCTAATACTAACAGTCCTCTGAAGTTAATAACAAAGAGTATTGTTTTATAAGTACTAACCACTGGCAGAAGGTACATAAGCCAGACTGTATTATATAATTAGAAGAGGCAATATGTCTTTTTCTTTGCCTTATTAAATGACTTTACTCAAACTCACAGGTAATAATTATTACCTTAAACCTGACACTTTAAGCAGGAAATGTAATGAGCTGTGTCTGATTTGAAATACATCATTATCTTAGTATATGCTATTCTTACTAATCATTTTCTTCTCCCCAGTTTTGAAATTAAATACAGCCAATTTATATTAGGAATTATATTTTTTATTTTTGGCCGTTACCTATTTTGAGTAATTTTTGCCTCCAGTAGTGACAATAAACTTCCTAAGATCAGCTTCATAAGCCAAAAGTCCCCGACTGGGTCATATGATACCAATTATATGAAATGAAAGTGGAAAAAAATAGGCAGATACTTACCCTCACCTACTTGTCTCTCGGAGTGTAGAGAGAGCCTTGATAAGCCACTTCATAAAGAAAAAATAGTTTACTAAGGCTACTCTAGTTTCTAGAAAGTATAGAATGAGTTTATCAGCATGCATATGCTAGATTAAAAAAGTAACACTCTTAAATTTCCTTTTTAAAGAATCTAGTATGACTGCCTTATTGCATGTCAGAATGACCTATGTTTTGGGCAGCTAAAACTTCTTTGAGTAGAAACCTGGTGATACAAGTCTTAGTGAGGCAAGGCAACATTCCCTGGCCCTGTCTACCAATGTTGGCAGAAAGTAAAATTCCCCCATTGGTGGAAGCTGGCTTATTATATGCACCCTTTCTTGAGTATTTGGCTATATTCAATGATTGTATGATTAGTAAAATGCAAATTAATCTATTTAGAGTTGAAACAGTACTTGGAACACTAATTATGATAGTACAGTCAAATTGTAAAGCAGAAAAACATACTTTCTTACTTTCTTAAAGATGGGACACTTTTGACTAGAGAGATTTTAATGAAATGTATGTATGTGTGTGTGACAACTTTTGAAAATCTAGGGTTAGCTTAAAAGGATGAGTGTATAAGAATTAGAACTTAAATTCTGAGTAAGAAGTTTAAACTTGATATAAAAAGCAATGTGATAACATGGAAAGAACATTAAATTAGAAGTTGGGAGACCTGCATTCTGATTTTAGACGTTCCTTTCACTTGACATAAAATTCTTAGAAAAGTCATTTTCCCTCTTTAGGCTACAGATTCCTCAACAATAAATTAAGATTTTGATTATATGAGCTCCAGAATCTGTTCCTATACTAAAGATCAAATATACCATCAGAAATTATGGTTAAGCAAGTCTAATGTTGTAAGTCATTATGAAATAGAATCTGTTTATTAAAATCATATTTTATAAGTTAGATTTTAGGAAAATATATATGAAGACAGGCATTTTCCCACAAATTAAGAGCTCAGTACAATTTATGATCAAGAATTCTACTGAAGTATTGCATTGTGTCTTTAAGGTTCAAGAGAGATCTCCTTCTGTGCCTAACAACCAGGATCATGCACATCATGTCAAGTTCTCTTCAAGGTATGTGTCTTTGATTTCTATATTAAAATTATTCATAATTATCAAATGGAAAATTAAAAATTATTTCATTGATAATACACTTTGTGAAGTCAACTAAAATATCCGTGACAACATCATCACCATTGACTTTATTGGCCCACATTGAAAACCTTAACTGCAATGATCCATTACCTATATCTTTCATATTTGGTCATACTGCAGTCTCTGTGATATTTAGTTTGCTAAATAGATGGCAAGGTTCACAATTTTAAAAAGAAACAATAATAACAAATACTTTGACAGTATTCAATTAGTAGTCGATGATAAAAAGACATGAAATTTCAAGTGAATTTTCACACATGTGCTGCATGATAAAACACACACACCAATTGTCTTTAACTTCAGAAGCTAATGCCACAGAATGGGTAAGCCTAAAAATGTCCTATAGTCAAAATCAAATCTAAAACTCAATATTATATAAATAAAATATCATATATAATATTGATACCAGTCACTGTATTTTTTAATCTTTGTAATATTGGTGATCTTCAATAATTTTCAAAGATCACGTTCCATATGTCAGATATTGTGTGCATTCTGTTATATTTGAAAACTAAATTTTAAGGTAGATTTTTTTAAGAAAATCTCACCCCCTCCAGCCCCAACTCACAATAGAGAGAACTTAGCCTATATTGATTCATTTAGTCAGTAAATATTTATTGAACACTCACTATATTCAAGATATTGGACAGTATGGCCAGATGGCGTACAGTTAATGTTATGTAGTATATATTTTCTTGCTTCATTACTTTAAAAAACCCATACAATTATGTCTTCAGATTTAACTGGAGTGCAGAAATCTTGAAAAATTGTAAAGCAAGACTGCGAACTTTCTTTTTCTCTGCACTCAATGAATGGATTGTCATGGTCGAACTGACCTCAAAGGAAAGAAACCAGTTTAGTTTTGAGTAGTTGGTTTTGGTATCATGGAACATGACTTTAATAAAATCCAATATATAAAATCCATACTTGGTGTTAAACTCAGAGTAATTGTTCACTTTACAAAAGGATTTTGAATTTATGAATAACAAATACGTTGCCTTTAAATATAGTTAAATTTAAAAAGTTAACTTAAATGAAACTCAAATCTTTCCGGAAATTTGGGGCCATGGAAAAAAGTTTGTCTATTCCAGACCTAAATCAATAACCAAAGTCCTTCCCATATAGAAATACCAAAATAACTGTAAAATTTAGCAGCATTAGTCCAAAGAAACTCTCTAAATATTCTTTAAATTTGAATAGTAAGAACGAAAGTGCTCTATTTTTCTGTCAGTGTAGCTATCTAAATCCGGAATGGGACGTTAAAAACATTAATTTCAAGCATTTAAAATCTGGATAATAACAATAGAATATATGACATAACAGTAACTTGTTTATTATGTTAAAATACTCACATACACTATAAGGTTATGTTTATTGCTGTGTTACTCAGGTAAAATATTGTCTGAATGTTAGCTTTAAAAGCTTATAGAAATTTTTAGAAATTAATATATATATAAAGGAAACATATACTCTATGAAAACATATTTTTCTTATTTTGGAAATCGTTACTCTATTCTAGACAAAATAGCAAGTTTGGGGGAGAATGGAAACTGGAAATTATTACTCAAGTTATACTTCTTTTTCAGTTTGATATGTACCCATATATTTAAACAAAACTTTGTGTTGGACTTTATGTTGAGTTGTACATTCCCTTTATGAATGTTAGGACATGGCACATGCTTTTCTGTCTTTTCATTAGCGTTCCTCAGCGGTCTCTTTTGGAACAAGCTCAGAAGCCCATTGACATCAGACAAAGGAGTTCGCAAAATCGTCAAAATTGGCTGGCAGCATCAGGTGATTCAAAGCACAAAATTTTAGCAGGCAAAACACAGAGCTACTGTTTAACAATTTATATTTCAGAAGTCAAGAAAGAAGAATTTCAAGAAGGAATGAATCAAAAGTGTCAGGGAGCCCAAGTAGGATTAGGACCTGAAGGCCATTGTATTTGGCAATTGGGTGGTCAGTGGTGGCCTTTGAGAAATGGAAAATAATTTTTCTGAATTTTCTTCTTTTTGTTGGGTAGTAGTTAGGAATGTGTCTAAGAAGGCGGGGGGAGTCAGCTTTATTAGGTTTCTATACCACGTAAGAAAAGTATGGTAAAGAAACTTGAGAGAGACCTCTCCAGCAGGCTAAAATTTATAGGTAGCAATTAGAATATTGTATGGAGGAGTTGTGAGTGTGTGTTTCATTTATCAGTTGGTTACTTCACCTCTCCAAAATAGGACAATATCTGATAAATATCCCTAAATGTTACAGAGTGATGGTTTTACTCAAAATACATGAACAATTAATCTATCAAATCATAGAAAATAACTTCAAAAGTTGTGATGTGAATTTCAAAAAAGTATTTTAAGATGTGCTTTTGAGAGAGTTTAAATGAATTATAGATTTATGAAATATTAGGATAAACAAAGCCAAAAGTTGTGCCATGGATCATGCAATCTGGCATTATCCAGTTTTAAGCAATCCAGGTAAGTTAAGCAAGGGAAAAATGGCTGATTGAGTTGCTGATATGTAAAAATATAGTATACTGATTTTATTAAAATGTTAATAATAAAAATGATACAGATGTACTTCACTTTTTGAAAAGTGAATATTTGAAGATCAAAACTTAAAACACATTATTCTTCTTAAGTGACTCAGATTATGGCAGAGTTCTTTTAAATAGCACTGTCTCCTCATACACAAATACTATGTTGTGAAAATTAGATAAGCCTGAGTGAAAAGCAAATTTTTAAAAATTTTTTCCCAGAGTCTTTTCTTTCTGGCTTGACTATGGCTAATTTTGCTAATACAGGGCAAACAACTAAAAATTTAAGGTTTATTCATGTGGCATCTTTGAAATAAGGAAATTCTGGATTAGATCCCAAAGCAGTCATAGCATTGATAGAAGGGAGAAGGCATCTGTGCAGATAATAGCTAAATGTCTTTTCAGCTCCAAATTTCTTTTATTTTATTGTTTATGCTACATAGACCATTTGATATTCTCATGAAATTATATGCTTCATTATGGAGGAAATCTCAGAGCACCTTACTATAAATTTGTCTCAGAATCTTAGTGCACTCACTTGAACTTATTTGGTCTACTAACATACCAAAAGACTTAAAAGAAAATGGTTTCCTGAAAAAAAAAAAAAAAAAAAAAAGCACAAGTACAACAGTGTCAGAAGATGGGGACACAAATTTTAGCATGTGTTCAGTGTAATGTTCTCAAAGGACAGCAGTATTTGCAAATATATGTCTTTTGGAGTTGGAGTATCTATACTTTGGCTATGTATACCAAGACTGAAAATAAGAGGGACAATAGTATTTATCTTGAAAATCTAAGCACACAAAAACATTAAACAGGGACCTGAGTTTTCTCTTAGTGAAGCTTTTTCTAAGTACACTCACCCAGACCTGAATTTTGAGCCTGTTAAATATTCTCACCAGATTTTAATCACAGGGGTTATTTACCATACCACAACTCAATATTAAAACCTAATCTCCAAACCAGATACATTTGTATTTTAAATGGAAATATTTACACTATAGAATTGAGCTGTTCAATGTGGTAGCAACTAGCCTCATGTAGCTATTAAAATAAAAAGTAAAATGAAAATTAAATAAAATTTAAAAGTCACTTTCTCAGGCACACTGGCCACATTTCAAATGCTCAGTAGTCATGGGTGACTAATGACCACTGTTAATGGACAGTTCAGATACAGAAGATTTCTATCACTGCAGAAAGTTTTGTTGTACATTGCTGCTATAAAAAGGTTCCCAGCTTTATAGAAACGGGTGTTATCTCTTTTCAGTAGTTCACTCCTCAACTGTATTGAACTACATCTGGATATATCATTGGGTGGAAATATGTGGGGGTTAAGATTGAAGAATGTAAATTTGTTTGAGTTCATTGTAGATTCTGGATATTAGCCCTTTGTCAGATGAGTAGGTTGCGAAAATTTTCTCCCATTTTGTAGGTTGCCTATTCGCTCTGATGGTAGTTTCTTTTGCTGTGCAGAAGCTCTTTAGTTTAATTAGATCCCATTTGTCAATTTTGTCTTTTGTTGCCATTGCTTTTGGTGTTTTAGACATGAAGTCCTTGCCCATGCCTATGTCCTGAATGGTAATGCCTAGGTTTTCTTCTAGGGTTTTTATGGTTTTAGGTCTAACGTTTAAGTCTTTAATCCATCTTGAATTGATTTTTGTATAAGGTGAAAGGAAGGGATCCAGTTTCAGCTTTCTACATATGGCTAGCCAGTTTTCCCAGCACCATTTATTAAATAGGGAATCCTTTCCCCATTGCTTGTTTTTCTCAGGTTTGTCAAAGATCAGATAGTTGTAGACATGCGGCGTTATTTCTGAGGGCTCTGTTCTGTTCCATTGATCTATATCTCTGTTTTGGTACCAGTACCATGCTGTTTTGGTTACTGTAGCCTTGTAATATAGTTTGAAGTGAGGTAGTGTGATGCCTCCAGCTTTGTTCTTTTGGCTTAGGATTGACTTGGCGATGCGGGCTCTTTTTTGGTTCCATATGAACTTTAAAGTAGTTTTTTCCAATTCTGTGAAGAAAGGCATTGGTAGCTTGATGGGGATGGCATTGAATCTGTAAATTACCTTGGGCAGTATGGCCATTTTCACGATATTGATTCTTCCTAGCCATGAGCATGGAATGTTCTTCCATTTGTTTGTATCCTCTTTTATTTCCTTGAGCAGTGGTTTGTAGTTCTCCTTGAAGAGGTCCTTCACATCCCTTGTAAGTTGGATTTACAAGATAAAAACAAACAACCCCATCAAAAAGTGGGCGAAGGACATGAACAGACACTTCTCAAAAGAAGACATTTATGCAGCCAAAAAACACATGAAAAAATGCTCATCGTCACTGGCCATCAGAGAAATGCAAATCAAAACCACAATGAGATACCATCTCACACCAGTTAGAATGGCAATCACTAAAAAGTCAGGAAACAACAGGTGCTGGAGAGGATGTGGAGAAATAGGAACACTTTTACACTGTTGGTGGGACTGTAAACTAGTTCAACCATTGTGGAAGTCAGTGTGGCGATTCCTCAGGGATCTAGAACTGGAAATACCATTTGACCCAGCCATCCCATTACTGGGTATATACCCAAAGGACTATAAATCATGCTGCTATAAAGACACATGCACACGTATGTTTATTGCGGCATTATTCACAATAGCAAAGACTTGGAACCAACCCAAATGTCCAACAATGATAGACTGGATTAAGAAAATGTGGCACATATACACCATGGAATACTATGCAGCCATAAAAAATGATGAGTTCATGTCCTTTTTAGGGACGTGGATGAAATTGGAAATCATCATTCTCAGTAAACTATCACAAGAACAAAAAACCAAACACCGCATATTCTCACTCATAGGTGGGAATTGAACAATGAGATCACATGGACACAGGAAGGGGAATATCACACTCTGGGGACTGTTGTGGGGTGGGGGGAGTGGGGAGGGGTAGCATTGGGAGATATACCTAATACTAGATGACGAGTTAGTGGGTGCAGTGCACCAGCATGGCACATGTATACATATGTAACTAACCTGCACAATGTGCACATGTACCCTAAAACTTAAAGTATAATTAAAAAAAAAAAAGATTGAAGAATGAACTCTCCTCTTGAGGGTTTTGGCTAGTCTATCATCTTCTAATAAATACACTGTCGGGCTTTTTTTTCTACTGGTCAGTATGTGAGGCCAGTGGTACTCCCAGTCCTTCCTACTCTTGATACATTTTTTTAAATGTATCTACCTGGCTATCAGTTGGACTATGTATCTTCTTACATAGATAGAGATATTTGGTAAGTGTACACTTAATATTGAAAACAGAGCAGCCATGTAAGTCTACAGATGGAAGAAAACTTGAACCCCTGCTAATACCCCTGAAAAGAGAATTTAAGATCCTGGCCCCATGAGAATTTTCAGGTGATACTTCCTGAATGGAATCATAAAAATGACCAAGAAAAAAAAAAAGAAAAAAAACCAAGGGATTTAACTGATACACTATACATATGAAGGCAATGGCTGTAATCACCATTGTTACTAATGTGTTTTTGGCATTCCATAGAATCTTCTTCTGAGGAAGAAAGTCCTGTGACTGGAAGGAGGTCTCAGTCATCACCACCTTATTCTACTATTGATCAGAAGTTGCTGGTTGACATCCATGTAAGTTTCCATCTTAACACATTAATGTCTATTATTTTTTATTTTCCATTTATTTTGACTTACACATTCTCATATTCACTTGAGGGAAAGGTTAAAGAGTTTAGTTTTTTAATTAACATTTTAAGGATAGATTCTCATTGCTTTGTGAATACATAGAACACAAAATCTAGAAATTAAAATTGAAATGGGAAAACATTTAATCAATCAGAGAATATTTTATTTTCACATTCTTGTGTCAGTTAGAACATGTCTGGGAGAGTAGTGATAACAAGCTGTTTGTAAAACCTAATCTCAGATTGAGGGGTACAGGTTAGATGTCCAACTTTTAATAGCATTCCTTGAGTGATGAGGCAATGCATAAATATAAAACATTTAGTAAAAAACAGAGTGTCCTCTGACTGCATAAATAAAAAGTCTTCCAGCTCTTTGTGAACATGTTTAAATTGTTCTAATGCAGATTTTAAATTGTCCTAATGCAATGTGCTTTCAGATTATTCTATTTCAATTTTGAATTACCTCTATGCTACCGTACACACATCCCTTCCAGATTGCCCAAAAGTTGTTAAATGATACATACCATACTTAAAAGATGGATTTAGATTAATTTGCACTTTGGAAGTGTTTGAGATACTTTAAGACAACCCATGGCACGTAAAACCTGAGCTGGTAAATTAACATATCAATTTCAAGAGCTGTGTGTTAATCCCAATGTCAGGGGATAAAACAAAAGGGAAAAGTTACCATTTTTAAGGAGCATCAAATCTCCTGTTCTCTCCAGCATCAAAAGCAAGTGTCCATTCCTGAGCTGACAAGTATGGGTATTTTTTTTAAGTGAGTAAATTTTGCCCTATGTGATCCAGAAAGGCCACTAATAATCACAGTCTGATGTTTGGGTTTTGACATCTCATCCTCACTAAAATTTTGGCTCCATCTAATGAGTGAACATCCTTGTTTCAGTTTAAAATATATTTCAAAATGTTGTCAGCTTGGAAACTTTCCAATCTAGAAGAAAATGAAAGCTACTAGAGGCTACATTAACCTTTCTTGTGCACACAGGTTCCAGATGGATTTAAAGTAGGAAAAATATCACCCCCTGTATACTTGACAAACGAATGGGTAGGCTATAATGCACTCTCTGAAATCTTCCGGAATGATTGGTTAACTCCGGCACCTGTCATTCAGCCACCTGAAGAGGATGGTGATTATGTTGAACTCTATGATGCCAGTGCTGATACTGATGGTGATGATGATGATGAGTCTAATGATACTTTTGAAGATACCTATGATCATGCCAATGGCAATGATGACTTGGATAACCAGGTTGATCAGGCTAATGATGTTTGTAAAGACCATGATGATGACAACAATAAGTTTGTTGATGATGTAAATAATAATTATTATGAGGCGCCTAGTTGTCCAAGGTTGGTTTTTTTGAATTACTTATACTCTCCATGTTTTATGACTGCAGAGCTATTTGCATTTTTGGTTTATTTTCAAAATTTATTACCAAGAGAGTGACCTAATTTCACTTGCATTTTAGTAAATAGTTTGATTGTCAATAATGTATTTTAAATTGTTCTAATGCAGAACATCTAATTTTGTGTCATTTGTGTATTTTAAAATAAGCATTCAAGTATTTATTAGTTTCTTTATAACTGGAATTGTCTAGATGCTTATGTTAAAATTACTGCCACTGAATCATCCTACTCTATAAAACTATACTGAGTATGAGAAAGGACAACAAAGAAAGTGTGTAACTTAACAAGCATAAGATGAAGTCTTGGTATTTGCAAACATAGCTATTCATTTCTCAAACTTTTGTGATATCACTATATATATATATATATATATATATATATATATATGTGAAATTTAAGATGATCTTTATCTGTTTAATTGGTGGAGAAATTACCAAGAGCTCTTTTAATTTTTTCCAACCAAAAAAGTCTATCAAGAATTCCATTATGAAATAAATTTACTTTTAGAATTACCACAGGCACGTATGTTTAATTTTGTTTCCTATGCAAAAAGAGAGCATTGGCACATTTTGTTAAGCTTAGTATTTTTAGCAATTAATTAAATAACTTAGTTCCACAAGACATGAGGTATGTATTGCTGAACTTCCTTGGTGGGAGTAGTAGACCAATGGAGTTCTATAGCAAAGCAGTCAGTACACATGTTAGAAAATCAAGGCACATGTTGAAATGAACACAAACTAGATATACTGCAAGAAGAATTAATCATGTTGTGGTTGAGCTAAAACATAGGCTTAATCATTCATGTGTCTGTGAAGTTGCTAATGCATGAAATAGTATATATTTAAGAAAAAAACTACATATTCTTGCTGTTAACCTAATACACGCACCTAACAAAGAATACAAGTTCTCTTCCCTCTGCCATCCAAATGCATCTGAGAAATTGGTGGTGGCTATGGCTTTAATCATTACATAAGACTGAGAAGACATAGGGGCATTTTTATGTTCTTTATCATACCAGTAGTGTTCACATAGAACAAAGACAAGCCTGGGCATGGTAGATATGTATAAGACACATCCTAATTCTGTTGTACTTGCTAACTTTCAAATGTGTTTTTATTGCGTGACTTTCTTTCATTAATTGGAGCTTGTTGTCAGGGCAAGCTATGGCAGAGATGGAAGCTGCAAGCAAGATGGTTATGATGGAAGTCGTGGAAAAGAGGAAGCCTACAGAGGCTATGGAAGCCATACAGCCAATAGAAGCCATGGAGGAAGTGCAGCCAGTGAGGACAATGCAGCCATTGGAGATCAGGAAGAACATGCAGCCAATATAGGCAGTGAAAGAAGAGGCAGTGAGGGTGATGGAGGTAAGGGAGTCGTTCGAACCAGTGAAGAGAGTGGAGCCCTTGGACTCAATGGAGAAGAAAATTGCTCAGAGACAGATGGTCCAGGATTGAAGAGACCTGCGTCTCAGGACTTTGAATATCTACAGGAGGTAATGCACCATTTGAAAAGCAGATTGAACTCCTCTCATTGCGAATGTGTTTCTTCATGGGACATGTAGCATTTCTAGCCATTCCAAATAGATTTTCATCATATACCCCAAGGCCTTAAACATTTTTAATTATAGGTTTGTAGGTGGATCCTTATTACCTCTAATTTGGGTGGTTCCTATTTACTTCCAAAGACAAAAATCTCTTATTTGTTTGCCTTTATTACTCAGATCACATATTTGAGGTAGTGTCTCTTGACACACACTTTTTAAAAATATTTTAAAAAATTAATTGACACCTAATAATTGTATATATTTATGGGGTACAGAGTGATATTTTAATATATACAATTTGTAATGATGACATCAGGGTATTTAGCATGTCTATCACCTCAAACATTCATCATTTTTTTTGTGTGTTGGGAACAATCAATATCCTCTCTCCTAGCTATTTGAAAATATGTAATGAATTATTGTTAATTATAGTTACCCTATAGTGCTATAGAATATTAGAACTTATATCTCCTATCTAGTCATGCATTTGGATCCTTTAACCAGCCTTTCTCTATCACTCTCCCGTACTCCTCTTCCCAGCCTCTAGAAACGACTATTTACTCTCTAGTTACTTGAGACCAATTTTTTAGCATTTGCATATGAGTAAGAACATGTGGTTTTTATCTTTCTGTTCCTGGTTTATTTCACTTAACATTGAGTCCAGGTTCATCCATGTTGCTGCAAATCACAAGATTTCATTCTTTTTTATGGCTAAATAGCATTTATTTCTGTATATATGTCATGTTTTCTTTATCAATTCATCTCTTGATGGATGCTTAGGCTGATGCCTTATTTTGGCTATTGTGATTAGTACTGCAGTAAATATGGAGGTGCTGATAGCTCTTTGATACACTGATTTCCTCTTTTTTTGAGATATGTACCTAGTAGTGGAATTATTGGATCATATGGTAGTTCTATTTGTAGTTTTATAAGGAACCACAATACCATTCTCCATTGTGGGTGTAGTAGTTTACATTCCCACCAACGGTATATAAAAGTTCCCTTTTCTCCACATCTTCACCAACATTAATTTTTTATGTTTTGATAATAACCATTCTAACTAGGATGAGATAATATCTCATTGTGGTTCTGATTTGCATTTTCCCGATGATTAATTATGTTGAAATTTTTTTTCATCTATCTGTTGGTTATTTCTAAGTCTTTTGAGAAATGTCTATTCAAATCATTTGTCCATTTTGTTTATTATACTTTAAGTTCTAGGGTACATGTGCACAACGTGCAGGTTTGTTACATATGTATACATGTTGGATTATTTGCTTTTTTCTGTTGAGTTGTTTGAGTTTCTTACATTCAGGATTTTAATCCCTTGTTGGACGAAGAGTTTGCAGATATTTTCTCTCATTCTTCAGGTTGTTTCTTCACTTTGTTGATCATTTCCTTTTCTGTGCAGAAGATTTTTAGTGTGATATAATTCTATTTGTCTATTTTTGCTTTTGTTGCCTGTGCTTTGGTCCTATTCTTTTTTCCCAAACCAATGTCCACAAGCATTTTCTTATATTTTCTAGTAGTTTTATGGTTTCAGATCTTACATTTAAGTCTCTAATCTATTTTGAGTTGATTTTTTTATAAGGTGAGAAATAGGGGTCTAATTTCAGTCTTTTGCATATGGATATTTAGTTCTCCCAGCACCATTTATTGAAGACATTGTTCTTTCCCCAGTGAATATTCTTGATGCCTTTATCAAAAATCAACCACAATGAGATAAATGAATATGTGGATCTATTTATGGGTCCTTTATACCGTTCCATTGGTATGTGTGTCTGTTTTTTGGTTGCTGTAGTTTTGTAGTATATTTTGAAATCTGATATTGTGATGCCTCTAGTATTATTCTTTTTCCTCAGGATTGCTTTGGCTATTCTAGGTCTTTTTTGGTTCCATGCAAATTTTAGGATTTTTTTCCTATTTCTGTGAAGAATGTCATTGGTATTTTCATAAGGATTGCATAGAATCTGGATATTGCTTGGGATAGTAGGGTCATTTTAGCAATATTAATTCTTCTAGTCCATGAGCATATGTTGCCTCTCCTTTTGTGTGTGTGTCCTTTTCAGTTTCCTTCATCAATGTTTTATAGTTTTTCTTGTAGAGATCTTTCACCTCATTGGTTAAATTTATTTCCAAGTATTTTATTTTGTAGCTACTGTATATGGGATTGTTTTTGTGATTTCTTTCTCAGCTAGGTTATTGTTGGTATGTACAAATGTTACAGATTTTTCTATGCTGATTTTGTATCTTGCAACTTTACTGAATTTGTTCATCAATTCTAAGAATTTTTTGGTAGTGTCAAAGGATATTCTATTTATAAGATCATGTCATCTGCAAACAGACACTCTTTGACTTCCTCTTTTCCAATTTGGATGTCTTCTATTGCCTTCTCTTGCCAAATTGCTCTGATTAGGACTTCCAGAACTAAGTTGAATAAGAGTGGTGAAAGTGGATATTTTTGTCTTATTCCAGTTCTTAGAGGAAAGAATTTCAGCTTCTCTCATTCAGTGTGATGTTAGCTGTGGGTTTTTCATATATGGTTTTTATTGTTTTGAGGTATGTTACTTCCATACCCAAACTGTGGAGAGTTTTTATCACGAGGGAATGTAGAATTTTATCAAATGCTTTTTTTGGTATCTTTTCACATGATCATATAATTTTTGTCTTTGATTCCATTGATGTGATGTATCATGTTTATTGATTTGCATATGTTGAATCTCCCATGTATCCCTGGGATAAATCACACTCAATCATGGTGTATAATATTTTTGATATGGTATTGGATTCAGTTTGCTAGTATTTTGTTGATTATTTTTGCATCTATCTTCATCAGAGATCTTGGCTTGTAGTTTTTGTTTGTTTGTTTGTTGTAACTGTTGTGTCCTTATCTGGTTTTGAGATCAGAGTCATACTGACCTCACAGAATGAGTTTGGAAGAATTCCCTTCCCTTCAACTTTTTTGGAATAGTTTGAGAATCGACATTAGTTCCTCTTTAAATCTTTGGTAGAATGCAGCACTGATGCCATAGGGTACTGGACTTTTCTTTGTTGGGAGACTTTTTATTGCTGATTCAATCGCATTATTCATTATTGGTTTGTTTAGGCTTTCTATTTCTTCTTGGTACAATCTTGCTAGGTTGTATGTGTCCAGGAATTTCTCCATTTCCTCTAGATTTTCTAATATGTTGCTGTGTAGTTTTTCATAATAGTCTCTTATGATTCTTTGTATTTCTGTGGTATCAGTTGTGATGTCTGCTTTTTTGTTTCTGATTTTATTTGGGTCTTTTATACTTTCTTGTTAGTTAATCTAGCTAACGGTTTGTCCATTTTGTTTATCTTTTCAAAAAGCCAAATGTTCATGTTGTATTTCTTCTGTATTGTTTTTGAGTCTCAATTTCATTTACTTTTGCTCTGATTTTTATTATCTCTTTATTTCTATTAATTTGGGGTTTGGTTTGTTCTTGCTTTTCTAGTTCATTGAGGTGCATCATTAGATTGTTATTCAAAATCTTTCTACTTTTTTAATGTAGTCATTTATTGCTATAAACTTGTCTCTTACTACTGCTTTTGCTGTCTCCTATAAGTTTTGGTGTGCTGTGTTTCTATATTCATTTGCTTCAAATAATTTCTTAATTTCCTTCTTATTTATTGGCTAATTGATGTTCAGGAGCATATATTTTTAATTTCCATATATTGTTACAGTTTTGAATGTTTCTCTGGTTATTGATTTCTAGTTTATTCTATTTTGGTCATAAAGGATACTCAATAATAATGTTGATTTAGAAAAATGTTTTGAGACTTGTTTTGTGTCCCAACATATGGTCAGTCTTAGAGAATGTTTCATGTGCTGATGAAAATAATGCATATTCTGCAGCTGTTGGGTGAAATGTTCTATAAATGTCTGTTAGGTTCATTTGGTCTATGCTGCAGTTTAAATCCAATGTTTCTTTGTTGATTTTCTGTGTAGATGATCTGTCCAATGCAGAGAGTGAGGTGTTGAAATTCTCAACTATTATTATATTGTAGTTTATCTCTCCCTTTAGATGCAATAATATTTGCTTTTTATATCTGGGTACTCTAGTGTTTGGTCCATAAGTATTTATAATTATTATATCCTCTTGCTGAACTGATCCTATTATCATAATATAATGTCCGTGTTTTTCTCTTTTTTACATTCTTTGACTTTTAACACCTGTTTTATCTGATATAAGTGTAGCTATTCACGCTTGCTTTTGATTTCTGTTTACATGGAATATCTTTTTCCATTTCTTCATTTTCAATCAGTGTGTGTCATTACAGGTAAGGTGAATTTCTTATAGGCAACATATAATTGGGTATTTTTATTTTTTTATTTTTATTTTTTTTACTTTTTAACTGTTCTACTAGTCTATATGTTTAATTACAGAATTTTGTCTGTTTACTGTCAAGTTTATTATTGATATGTGAACACTTACTCCTGTCATTTCGTTAATTGTTTCTGGTTTTGTGTATCCTTTTTTTTCTATTCTCTTATTGTTAATCTATGTTGTTAGGTAATCTTTTGTAGTAATAAGGTTTGATTCCTTTCTATTTCACCTTTCTATACCTGCTTTACAAGTTTTATAATTTCATGTTTTCATGATAGTTGTTATTGTGTTTTTCCTTTCAGATGTAGGACTCCCTTAAGCATTTCTTGTAAGACCTCTCTAGTGGTGATGAATTCCTCTGCTTTTTGCTTATCTGGAAGAGGCTTTATTTCTCCATTTCTGAAGGATTGCTTTCCTGGTGATACTATTTTGGGCTATCAGGTTTTTTCCAGCACTTTGAATATATCATCCTATTCTCTCCTGGCTTGTAAGGTTTCTGTTCAGAAATCTGCTGTTAGTCCAATGAGGATTTCCTTATATGTGATAAGACTCTCCTTTTGCTGTTTTTAGTATTCTCTCTTTGTCACTGACTTCTGACAGTTTCACTGTGATTTTCTTTGGGAGGACCTTTTTGAGTTGAATATATTTGATAACCTTTGAGCTTCCTGAAACTAGATGTTCATATCTCTCTCCCAAGACTTGGGAATTTTTCAGCTTTTATTTTATTAAATAAGTTTTCTACATCTTTTCATCCTTCTGGAACCCCCATAATTCAAAAATACATCCTCTTAATGTTGTCCCATAAGTTCTATAGGCTCTCTTTATTCTTTTTTTTTCTCTTTTTTCTTTTCTGCCTGAATCATTTTAAAAGACATGTCTTCAAGTTCAGAAATTCTTTATTCTGCTTGGTCTAGTCAGCTATTGAAGCTCTGTATTGTATTTTTTAATATTATTCATTGAATTCTTTATCTTCAATATTTCTGTTTGGTTCTTTTTTAATGATACCTATTCCTTTGTTGAATTTCTCATTCAGATCATGATTTTTTAAAATTTCATTGATTTGTCTATCTGTATTCTCTTGTATCTTGCTGAATCTCCTTAAGATCATTATTATTAATTCCTTTTCTGGCACTTCACTTTTTCTTTTCTGTTGGGTCTGCTACTGGAAAATTATTATGTTCCTTTGAAGGTATCATGTTTCCTTATTTGTTAATGTTTCTTGTGTCCTTGTGTTGATATCTGTCCATCTGATGGAGCAATTGCTTCTTATAATGTTATGGAGTGGCTTTCATAAGGAAAGACTTAGTCCATAGATGGGTCCTGGGGTGTTGGTTGGGTTGGGTGCATTGACTTTGGTTCTGGGTGGATGCAGCAGTGTGGTCTCTATGCTGTAATATACATTAGCAACGTTTGCTAGTACCTCACTGGCCCAGGCTGCAAAAGTTTGTGGCAGAGGTGGCACACCTTTGCCAGGGGTGGGCTTGCCAGGCTGTTTCTCAGTCCAGAGGCAAAAGTGCACATGCGGTGGGTTGGGTGGCTCAGGAATTTGCCCTCCAGTGTTGAGCTATCAGACTACTTCTCTGGGCAAGAGTGTGGTCACACAGGGTGGGAAAGCTAGCTTGGGGTCTGGCTTACTGGGATC
The DNA here is from genome assembly GCF_000001405.40 of Homo sapiens. Classification (NCBI taxonomy): domain Eukaryota; kingdom Metazoa; phylum Chordata; class Mammalia; order Primates; family Hominidae; genus Homo; species Homo sapiens. Next base: position 105,931,074 of record NC_000023.11, read on the forward strand.
AGTGCTGCTGAGCTGTTTCTCTGGCCAGGGTTGCAAGTGCACAGCAGTTAAGCCAGCCTAGAGTTGGCTTCGCCAATGTGCAGTACTGGAGTTATGGCTGACCTTTCCTGGGCCCAAGATCTGAGCAGTCAGGGTCACAGCATTTCAGCCATCAGTTGGGGCTTGGTGAAATGACAGTGGAGCTGCAAGACTGGAGAGGCACAGTGTTTACTGGCCCCCAGAACATAGTGTATTTCAGCAGTGCCTCTAGATTCAAGATGGCACCAGGCTGCAGCAGCTTAGGTCATGGGTTGGTGGGAAATGCACAACTTTTGCTCCTTATCTGGAGCAATGCAGACACATGAATTTCAGGCACCTTCCCAAACTGAACTCAGGGCTTGTGAGGACTATGAGATTCTCCTGTAGTAAGTACTACAGTTGTCTGTGGTGGCAATTGGGGCTGATGAGAGTCTTCTGCTTACCTTTTCCCAATAAGGAGAATTTATTCCGGGCTCTGAGCTGATCATGGTAGGGGAGATGGGGCAGCAGAAGCAGAGTACCTCACTTCCCTCTCTTTGCTGCCATTTTGAGATTCCATGCTACACAGTGACCTCACCACCCCATCACTGCACTCCAACACTCTCCCTCAGACACACCAGTTGAACTCTGTTTATTCATTCTCTTTGTCCTTTTTTGTGAGGGGGACAAGCACCAGGTGCCACCAATAAGCTATCTTACTGACATCACTCCAACTGGAACCGATTATTTTTTTCTGAGTTTTTTTTTATTGTAGTAAAATATGCATATCATAAAACTTACCATTTCAACCATTTTTAAGTGTACAAACCAGTTGGATTTATTACATTCAGAATGTTGTGGGGTTGTCACCACTATCCATTTTCAGAACTTATTTTTTTTACCATCCCAAACAAACTAAACAATTAAGTCTTGTTTCCCCCCTCCTCTAACCCCTGATAACCTCTATTCTACTTTTTTTTCTTGGTGACTTATATAAGTGGAATCATACAATATTTGTCCTTTTGTGTCTGGCTTATTTCACTTTTTAGGTTTTCAGAGTTTATCCACATTGCAGCATGTATCAGAATTTCATTCCTTTTCAAGGGTGAATAATGTTTTATCTTATGCATTCACCACATTTTGTTTATCCATTTATCTACTGATGGAAACTTGGGTTGTTTCCACCTTTTGGTTATTGTGAAAAGCGCTGCTGTGAACATTGATGTACAAGTATCTGTTTGAGTCCCTGCTTTCAGGTTTTTGGGGGGTATATAGCTAGGAGAGGCATTGCTATATCATGTAATCAGGCTATGCTTAACTTCTTGAGCAACTGATAACATAAAATTTTAATTCAAGAAATATACTGTGTTTAGACAATGATTTTGTCATTCACAAAACATTTATTGACTTTATAAATAGGTTTAAAATATTCAAGTAGTTCACAGATGCTACATCAATAGAAATTATCACACATAATATTTTCTGAACCATGTGGTATTTGAACTCATTCTTGAGAAATGGGGAGTATCTGGATATCTGAAAACACAGGTGGAACTCCAGACAGAAAAAAGATTATGCCAGTCTACTCCCCTAGCCTATTTTCTTGTCACACAAACTGGCTTTGGAGATGCCATGCTCTTTCATGAATCAGCGCTCCTGTGCAAGCTGTTTCCTCTGGAAGGCTGCCCCCTCACCTCTTCTCTGCTTGGTAAATTAGTAATCCTTCATGGGCCAAATTAAGTATCAACTTTGACTTCCCAAGGCAGAGTTATATATCCCTTCCTTTCTACTTACAAACCTTTTGTCCATAGTTCCAATTTAGTACTTATGGTATTATTGTTAGTTATTTTATTTTTTTGCTTTCATACTATATTGTGAACTCTTAAAGGAAATAATTATGTCTAATCCTTCCATGATTATTTGTCTACCAACTCACCCAACTTCAGTGTCTAACCAAGGACATGGCATATGATAGGCACACAGTAATTATGGAATAAATCAATAAAGTTTGAAAAGAAAGAAAAAAAGGAAGGAAGGAAATTTCCTGGATGGTTTCTAATGGGAAAGCAGTGTCAGTGGGAAAATATCTATGTCTGTCTATCTATCTATCTATCTATCTATCTATCTATCTATCTATCTATCTATCTTAATTAAAGACATTAAAACAGGATGTCCCAACATAAGTTTCATAGCAACCCTGGTTATATCCAGTTATCTCAAGGAATGTTTTGGAAATTTATAGAGGAAGTGGATCTTCCTTTCATTTTAATTTAAAAAGGACGTGATGTCATACCATGTTTTTGTGGTTGAAAAGGTCATAAAAACCAGTCTTTTGCAGAATAGCACAGCTCTCTCAGTGCCAAGAATCACTGTTTAGACACAAAGATGAGCTTATCAACAGAATAACTTACCAACAATAGTTGACATATTTTCCCACAGGACAGGGCATACCACATAAATTGTCACATTTCGTGGCTTTTATCCTTGAGTATCTTCTTTGTAAGTTAATGGAAGCCAGCTACATTTTCAGTGATGCATGTTTACGCTCTTGGATTTGTGTTGGTTGATTTGCCTTCATTTTCTTTATCATTTGAAAATTATTTATGCAGGTTTTTCATGCTTTCAGTTTTGTGAAGATACCTTAAAGCAGTAGAACAGACACCCCCACACTGTGCTTTATATTTTTTCAAGAGGCTGTTTGGCATAGCATAGCTGGATGTATGCTTTGGAATCAGACAGACTTTGGCTTCAAATTCTGCTTCCCCTACTTACTAGTACTATGACTGAATACATTATTTACTGTCTCTAAATTTTAAATTTGTATAAGTAAATTGGAGATAATTATACTTACTTGTTGGGCTATGGTAAGGATTCACAAAGATATCTAAATATCATGCTTAGCACAGTAGCTGATACATGGTAAAAATTCCACAAATGTTAGGTCTCAAATTGTACAGTTGGGAACCTATAGCTCCTTGCTTTTCTCCTGTACCATCAGTCATCTCAATAATAGGTTAGTTTTCTCCTTCTGATGACATTGTTGAGTTTTTCTAGTAAATGTGGATTTTATAAGAATGTAGATGTTATAGATCTTGCATTGTGTTTTTCAAACGACCCCTCACTAGGCATATTTCTCCCACTGTTAACCTACTAATGAAATAAAAATTGGTTTTTGGACTTCTTTTAGGAGCCAGGTGGTGGAAATGAGGCCTCAAATGCCATTGACTCAGGTGCTGCACCGTCAGCACCTGATCATGAGAGTGACAATAAGGACATATCAGAATCATCAACACAATCAGATTTTTCTGCCAATCACTCATCTCCTTCCAAAGGTTCTGGGATGTCTGCTGATGCTAACTTTGCCAGTGCCATCTGTGAGTGTGTTCAATGTAATCTCTAAATGCTACTATCTGTTCACTTATTAAATAGTGTTTAACCACTGCTTCATGATCTGTTAGGAATCAAATTATTCTCACATTCACTTGAAATAAATTCAGATTGATATATGCTTTTAAAACATCTACTCTTTACTGAATCTTTATGGTACCTAAATTTGAGCTACAATTGAGAAATTGAGTCCCTTATATGGATTTATGTGTGTTTTCTAATCACAATAACTTAAAATATATTCGTGTTCAACAATGTATTTTAGCCATCACGATTTGTGTTATCTGATGGTTTCAGAGTTACTGAAACTATACTTCCAGTAAAAAATAAAATACAATAAAAGGAAAGAAATTTATTTGTTTTTTTATTTTGAAATAAGATCTCGCTCTGTCACTTAGGCTGGATTACAGTGGCAGGATCATGGTACATGGTAGCCTCAACCTCTGATTCTTAATGATCCTCCCACCTTGGCCTCCCAAGAGCTGGGATTACAGGTGTGAGCCACGACATCTAGCCAAAGAAAATAAATTTGGCTAAGTCGTGTCTCATTTGCGGAAACACTGTAGCATATAAGGTGTACAGAGGAGTAATTTAAAAAAAATTTTTCTATAACTCCATCAGGTGCAGATTTTTCTTTAAAAAAAAATTCTGTAACTCCATCATGCACAGAACTAGTAATTTCCCTTATTATCTTCCCCTTACATCTTTGCAGTATACGCTGGATTCGTAGAAGTACCTGAGGAATCACCTAAGCAACCCTCTGAAGTCAATGTTAACCCACTCTATGTCTCTCCTGCATGTAAAAAACCACTAATCCACATGTATGAAAAGGAGTTCACTTCTGAGATCTGCTGTGGTTCTTTGTGGGGTGAGTTTGTTTTGTTTTCTTAAAGAATATATTTTTATGTAGCAAACCTGTGAAAATCATAGACATAAAATATTTGCTTACTCTTACCAAGTCATTACAATAAAAATATATTTATAGTAGTTAATTTGCTCAGAATTGGTTTTGCTGATTTTTTTTTTCACTCAGTGCAGTTTGATGTTTGAATTGACGGCCCCCACCTTTGTATTCTATTTCTTTTAAACCTGAGTTAACTTGGATGGCAGGTGGATCACGAGGTCAGGAGTTGAGACCAGCCTGGACAACATAGTGAAACTTTGTACTAAAAATACAAAAAAATTAGCTGGGTGTGGTGGCAGGTGCCTGTAATCCCAGCTACTTGGGAGACTGAGGCAAGGAGAATTGCTTGAACCTGGGAGGTGGAGGTTGCAGTGAGCAGAGATCACGCCACTGCACTTCAGCCCGGGCGACAGTGCAAGACTCTCTCTATATATATTATATTTATTATATTTTATATATATATATATATACACAACTGGACTAGGTTATGATTGTTTGAAAGTTTAAGTTTCGTATTTCTAATTTAGGGTAGTGTTCAACATGTGATACTTTATGAGGTATTCCAAGAAATATTTCTGCAGGATCTTGTTTTTAAAAAGCCTTGGAAATTTGTAGAGAAAGTTCCTTCTATAATGTCTTAACTCTGATAGACTTTTTAAAATCCTTTTTTTCAGAAGAATTATAACCACATTGGCAATGCTGAGACAATATTTTACCGCAAGCCAATCTGAATCATAAATGAAACAAAATAAATGAATTCAAGAAAGGGAGAAATCCAAAGTAAATGCCAACCTCTGTCTTGCAATTTCATAGATTTTGCTTAATGTATGATTGAACAAAGGACAGGGTTTTAAATTAAAAATAGAAAAGGGTAACAAACATTGTAATTATGTGGATTAAAGAATTTTTAAAAATCATCTCAAAGTTCTGCTAATTTAGTGTGTCAAACAACAAGATAGCATGAATATTTCAGTCTGGCAACTACCTAGAAATGTAGTTAATGTCTAATAATCCATTCTTATAACGTGTAATTTTATATTTTGAAAAATAAAAGATTATAGTAAAAATTGGCTATACTTCTTCCTCCTTCTCTGATTCCCCTGTGAGAAGAAGATGCAGCTCCTAAACATGCCATTGGCCATGAGTTAGAGAACTGATTAAAGACAGAGTGAGAAAATGAAGGCAAAATCACTTAAGTTTTCTCCTTATGCTCATGGAGCACAGGTATGCTCCAAGTGCAAGGAGGACTGTGAAATTTTATCTTGTTACATTACTTGGCTGGTTATTTCCTATGTCACTTTATGGTGAAAAGCTCCCATAGTAGTTTGAAGTGTAATTTAACTTTGGTTCTGTCTTCTATTTCAGTCCTCTTATTTGGTCTTTAAACAGTGCTTATATTTGAACAAATAGAGCCAGTCAACAAATAAAAGAGAGTGTAGAAATTGAGATCCATGAAGGCAGGAACTAATTTCATAGGCATTTGGCAACGGTAAATTTTTAATATATGCATGAACATAGAATCATTCAATTTAAAAACAATTATTTACATATAATTATTTTAAAATCATTCAAACATTTACTTATGTTTAGAGATGAGAAATGAGCTGAATTGAACTCTTTGTATGTGCTAGACTAAGAATGTTTAATGATAATTTTCAAAAAGGTTGATTGATTTTGATAAAGTTCAGAACACTACTAAAGGGTGCTAATATATCCATAAATTTCCATTTGTGAGATGGCATACCAGATGCCAGCCAGTGGAATACTGCCAGAGGGAATTATGTTCTATATTTTTATGTATTTCATTGAAATTTGTTCTGTTGGTAGAGAGTACATAGTTACACAGTATGAGGTGAATATAGCCTAAACTGATAAGTCATCTTTACATAGATCAGCATACTGGAATAGCAAAAATAGTAATATAGATGCAATTATGAAAAATAATATGAGGTGAATATAGCCTAAACTGATAAGTCATCTTTACATAGATCAGCATACTGGAATAGCAAAAATAGTAATATAGATGCAATTATGAAAAATAATCTGAGCTAATATAGCACTTTTTATATATGAACAGGAGTCAATTTGCTGTTGGGAACCCGATCTAATCTATATCTGATGGACAGAAGTGGAAAGGCTGACATTACTAAACTTATAAGGCGAAGACCATTCCGCCAGATTCAAGTCTTAGAGCCACTCAATTTGCTGATTACCATCTCAGGTTTGTTTAAGAACTAAAATTAGCTGAGTAATTATGCAGATTAATTAGTCTGCAAACTGGGTTAAAGACTTTCTCAGGTTAAAGTGTTCCTAGAAGAGCACTTTAAATATAACCTTTAATTGGGACACCAGACTTTCCTACTTATATTATCTTATCTATTTACAATTTAAAGTAACTTCCTTTTATTGTAAAGTACCTAACCTAGGTTACTGATAAGAAAAACCACAACATTTGCATCCTTGCATGTTCTCTCCAGTGCAGCCTCCTACAACTTCAGATTTCTAATTTTCATCCATTCATGCACAGGACTGCATCAACATCCACCATGTCCCGTTCTTGTGAGGTGTTAGAAGCAACAAAGAACAAAGTGAACAATAATCAGATACAAAAGAGAGTTGTCCTTAGTATATAGCCTTATCACAAGGGCCTACAGGTAGAGTTTGTAACAAGAATGGATCCCCTAAAGATCTTTACACCTTTTCCAAATAGTAGTTAAATTTCTTAGTTTTGGTCAGTCAGAGCCTGAAACTTAGAATACAAGAAAGCAAGTAAATGAGTGTTAAGAGTGATCGTGATTACTAAACAGCATTTAGTATCAGGAAAGCACCAACATTAAAGCTGACTATAGGCAAAAGATGACTGACAAAAGAGAGAAAAAGTAAGAAAATATGGTTTGTCTATGTGAATAAAATGATGCTAATCACAGACACTTATATGAGTTTATGTATTTTATTATATATAACATGCTTTATATATAATTAGTGCACAAATTGCCATGTTGCACACTAATGATTTTGTGTTATTCCTAAAATGATTAACTTTGCTTTACATTTTGGTTAGAGGAGAAATCCCTTTAGAGGTATGCTCAGACTTCATGATTTTTTAAATCATGTTTTATAGTTAGTTGCTTATAATTGTTTAAGGTACGTAGAAGTAATATTTATTTTTTGAAAACATCTGGGTGGCTTATAGACTACATATCTGTATAACAGATTTCTTTACTTTTTATCCAACTTCCTCTAACCCAAATATGTTCTTCTCTAGTTCTTGAGCTTCTCTCAAATGTGGAATATTTTTCCATCAAACAGTACTGAGAACATCAGTATAAGAAGGTACTCAGTAGTTTAAAGCACAAATTTATTTTACCATTTAAGAAATAGAATAGCGGTAGTGTTTTAGTCCATTCTCATGCTGCTATAAGGACATACCTGAGACTGAGTAATTTATAAAGGAAAGGGGTTTAATTGACTCACAGTTCCACATGGCTGGGGAGGCTTCAAGAAACTTACAATCATGGCAGAAGGGAAAGCAAACATGTCCTTCTTCACATGGCAGCAGCAAGGAGAAGTGCAGAGCGAAGGGGGGAGAAGCCCCTTATAAAACCATCAGATCATATGAGAACTCAATATCATGAGAAAAGCATGAAAGTAACTGCCCCATGGTTCAATTACCTCCCACTGGGTCCCTCACTCAACACATGGGGATTACTATTTGGATTAAAATTCGAGACCATATCACATAGATGTAGATATCTGAACCCTAACACTGCTTCAAAAATGTTGTGTAAAAACATATGAAAGACTAATCACATAAGTAAGAATCCTATTGTTGGGCCTAGAAATCATGTAATAATAAACCATAAAAATGACAAAGAAAAATGATTATAAAGTCACTATATAGGGGAAAAGAAATGTGTGATTTTTTCATGGCCTGTGTTTCCTGACTGAATTGTAAGAATTTGATGAAATTTACAATTAGGAAATTAATATTAACGATAAATTTAGTTGGAGGAAAATATAATGAAACTGTTCAACTATTTTACAAGCATGCTGGAATGACAGAACACAAAGATACCCATATTGCTGTCCCTGAATACCTTAACAGTCAATATTCAGCCACCCCTCTCGTACACACACACTACCAGGGACAGCTTTTAGGTCTCTGAACTCCAGAGGAGTTATGACTTCATGAATAGCCAAGGTACAAATGAATGGATGGTAATTATCTTGCCTGCATAGTGGAAGGCTTAACTTGTCCCAAAAAAAGTTTAGATCCCCTTCTGAGAGGCACATAGGTAGATACTTTGACTATCTCTTGGAATTGAGAGACTAAAATAATCTGTCATATTTCCAAATCCTGAATGGGAGATTCTGATGCAATGCAGTTTTTTTTAAGGTGCTTTTTACGTTAATAAAGATATTTTTAAAAGGCAAAATATCTTTACTTTTTTTTCTTCTAATATATGAAAAGAAAGACTGATTTTAAATACTGTATATTTTCTTATCTATCAGGTCATAAGAACAGACTTCGGGTGTATCATCTGACCTGGTTGAGGAACAAGATTTTGAATAATGATCCAGAAAGTAAAAGAAGGCAAGAAGAAATGCTGAAGACAGAGGAAGCCTGCAAAGCTATTGATAAGTTAACAGGCTGTGAACACTTCAGTGTCCGTAAGCCACATTTCATGTTTACTACAGCTATATAAATTTTGCATCCTTTCATTTGGTGAACTACATAATTATGAAAGGCAAAGCAGAGAAAGGAAACAATTTGCAGTTTCAAATACAGACGAGATCAGGGACGTTCAGGGTGGTATGGCTATAGACAGCAACTTCAAATCAAAGAAGAGTAAATTTCACTGACACATCTTCCAGGTCTTCTATGTTACAATCTTGATTTTTTTTTTTGAGAAAACATTGACTGACTAAAATAGTTATTGATGTTAGGTTTGGTTTACCTCCTCACCTTACTTTCTTTCCCAGTCACCCCGAATATTCCAGATAAACCGATTTTTTTTTCCTGCCTTTATATAGCTTCAGCTATATAAATGGTCTTGATTTATCTTCACAAACTTGGGGAGATGCATATGATATTCTCTTTCTTTGGAGCAACAGTAAGATTGAATCCCTCCTAATACTGTCCAGGAAACTTAATGATGAGTCAGAAAGAAAATTCTGTGATCTGCTGGCTCTCACTCCCACTGTTGATATTAATGAATATAATCACTAATTGTTTTCCATCTGATTAGAATGTTTTCATATACCCTGTATCTTCACAACCATCCACTGTGAAAGGATGTAACAACCCTAGGGGTTCAGAATCCTGCTCTCAGCTATAAAAAACCGTGAGCTAATGTCATCCCATTCTGTTCTATTTCTGAAGCAAATCCCCCTGTACTCTCAGCCTTCTTTTGCTTCTTTCCCTCTTCATTAATTGCCTCTTCAGGCAGAACTGGTGGCATAGGTGAGAAATAGCTGGAATCACATTATATAAATTGCAATGGGATATTTCTGTCCTGACTGACCATTATTGTTCTGCATATAAAGTGACTTTCTCAGGGTAGGTTTTTGTATGTGTGTGCATATGTACACATACACCACTAAAGAGGGAAATGAGTACCCAGATAATTTAAGCATTAAATAAATACACTAGTTTCTTCCAGGTTTAGGTATCACTACTTCCCTCCAAATCATATTATGCAAATGTGATAGTCCTACAGGTGAAAGATATCCCCAGATGTTAACTCAGGAGTTTATATAGCAAAACTACCTCCTCCTAACTTGTAAAATATTAGTTCAGTAAGAGATAGTCACAAAGTTACTCATATTGCAAATCTGTGCTCTTTGTGAGGGGTGGACTAGTTAAGTTTAGTTTTCCTGGCTGACCCCATTCCAGTCCACCTAAGCTCTCAGAACAGCAAAAAGCATTTGTCCCACTGACAGGTGGAATTAGTAGCATCTTCACATAGGAAGACAAGAACAAATCATACTTGCCTGGTATTTTCATAGCCTTCCAAGATCCACAAGACAGTGAACTGTCACCAATTACTACCCTATATTAAATATATAGGAAGTGTTTTCTTAAGAGAGAATATTTTTTATTATTGGAGGATTAGTAATCATGCTCCTTTGACCTACTTGGGAGCAATGCAAAAGAAAATGCAAGAGTAAGCTAGACCCAGAGAGAGACAGAAAGAGAGAGAGAGAGAGAGAGAGAGAGAGAGAGAGAGAATGCGTAGGGATGGCAGAAGAAATTGCAGCCAAGAAAGGGCTTTATAGCACAAAGTATAAATCTATCGGGTAAGACAACATATTCCATAAGAACCAGAAGGGCTAATCAAGAGCAAGCATATACCTATTTATACTTTTTAATTTACCTTTTAAAATAACCCTATTGAAATAATGTACATACCATGAAATACACTTGTTTAAAGTGCACAATTCAATGGGTTTTAGGAGGTCTATAGAGTTATGTGACAATCGCCATGATCTAATTTTTATCATCCCCAAAAGAAACCCCATATTCATTAACAGTTACCCCCATTCCATCCTTCTTTACTTCCCCCTCTACCACTCACAGTCCTAGGTATCCATTGATAAACTGATAAATGGTTACCTAGGACTTTCTTTCTCTATTGATTTGCCTCTTCTGGACTATTACTATAAATGGAACCATATATTATGTTGTGTTTTATGACGGACTTTTACTTAGCATAATATTTTCAAGGTTTGTCTATGTTATATATAACATGTATCAGCAATTCCTTTTTATTGCTGAGTAGTATTGCATTGTATGGATATACCACATTTTGTTTATCCATACATCAGTTGATGGACATTTGCACTCTTCCCACTTTTTGGCTATTAAAAATAATGCTACTACAAACATTTCATACATCTTCATATGTGGATATGTATGGTTTTTTTCTCTTGGATAGTATCGTTACACTGTTTTTCAAAGTGGTTGCACCGTTTCACATTGCTATCTGTAAAGTATGAGAGTTCTATATTCTCTATATCCTTGTGAGCACTTGTAAATATCTGTTTTTTTATTCTAGCCATCCCCATGGGTGTAAAGTGGGATGTCATAAAAGTTTCAATTTGCAGTTCCCTCATGATTAATGTTGTTGAGTATCTTTTCATATGTTTACTGACCATTTGGAGACATGTCTATTCAAGTCCTTTGCCTGTTTTTTAATTGGTTTGCTTATCCTTTTGCTGTTGAATTGTAAACATTCTTTAAGTATTCCATATACTAGAGTCTTTTTTTCTTTTGAGGCAGAGTCTCGCTCTGTTGCTCAGGCTGGAGTGCAGTGGAGTGATCTCAGATCACTGCAACCTCCACCTCCCAGGTTCAAGATATTCTCCTGCCTCAGCCTCCCGAGTAGCTGAGATTACATGTGCTTGCCACCACACCCAGCTATTTTTTATATTTTTTTTTTTAGTAGAGATGGGGTTTCACCATGTTGGCCAGGCTGGTATCGAACTCCTGACCTCAAGTGATCCACCCACCCTGGCCTCCCAAAGTACTGGGATTGCAGGCGTGAGCCACTGTGCCCGGCCCATATACTAGACTCTCATCAGAATATGATTTGCAAATATTTTCTCCTATTCTGTATGTTGTATTTTCACTTCCTTGATAGTTTCCCTTGGTGCCCCAAATTTTTAATTTTTGATGAAGCCTAATTTATCTTTTTTTTCCTTTTCTTGCCTTATATTTGGGTGTCAAATATCAGAATTCATTGCTATATTCAAGGTCATCAAGATTTATCCCTATGTTTACTTCCAAGAATTTTATTGTTTTAGCTATTACATTTAGGTGTTTGATCAATTTTGAGTTAATTTTGTATATGGTGTGAAATTTGGACTCCAACCTTATTGTTTTGCATAGGTATATCCGCTTGTCCCAGCACCATTTGTTGAAAAGACTGTTTTTTCCCTATTGAATGGTATAACACCATTGACCATAGATGTATGGGTTTATTTGCCAACTCCCAATTTTATTCCATTGATCTATATGTCTCTCCTTATGTTATTTAGTACCATACTGCTTTGATTACTGTAACTTGCAGTAAGCTTTGAAATTGGAAAGTGTGAGTTCTCCAACTTAGATTTTCTTTTTCAACATTGTTTGGCTATTAGGAGCTTCTTAAGATTCCACGTGAAATATAGGATCAACTTTTCCATTTCTTCAATAAAAGGCCATTGGGATTTTAATAGGGATTGCATTGAATCTATGGAGACAATTTTGGACCGTATTGCTATTTCAACAATGTTAAATCTACCTATCTATGAACAGGAAAACTTTTTCCATTTATTTGGGTCTTCTTTAATTTCTTTCATCAATGTTTTGGTGTACAATTTAGAGTGCTCTTGAAGGCGAATATGTATACTCCATAAAACTATACAGTAATTTTGTTACCTTTTTGTGGGCATCAAATTGTAACCAAGTAGCTTCCCCAAAAATATACTGTCTGTGCTCTTAAATTGTGGTTATGGCATTTTTTATGACAAATACAAATACTTGAGTGTTCTTGTTAACTGTGGCATCGTTACTTTTTTGTGTTTTATCATTATAGTCCAACATGAAGAAACAACATATATTGCAATTGCTTTGAAATCATCAATTCACCTTTATGCATGGGCACCAAAGTCCTTTGATGAAAGCACTGCTATTAAAGTGAGTGAGCTCCTTTTTCTTTGGATTATATGATTTTTTATTTTGAGAAGAAATTGTGAACAGAATCGTACCTTGGAATACAGATGCAGAAGTATATACCATTCTTCTATAGTTAATGAAATTTTGTTGTTAGTTTGCTTGCTTGTTTGTTTGTTTATTTTTTAGATACAGGGTCTCACTCTCTCACTCTGGCCCAGGCTAGAGTGCAGTGGCATGATCATAGCTCACTGCAACCTTGATCTCCTGGGCTCAAGCCATCCTCCCACCTCAGCCTCCCAAGTAGCTAGGACTACAGGCATACATCACACCTGGTTAATTTTTTAATATTTTGTAGAGATGGGGTCTCACTAATGTAACTTGAATATACCATGTCAGTAATTACTGTTTAACCCTTTTTTAGACAATTCACAGGCATCACAGCAAGGGAGAATGCGAGGGAAATCCCTGGCCCCTCCCCTTATAGGACCTCCCCACCAGCGCCTCACTCCCAATTCCTGTAGTCAATATGAAGACCTTCTCTTTCAGAGCCTCAAACACAGGCTTTGGGTGCCACCCCAATAAATTGAAGCTGAGAAAGTCCCTGTTTTCTCTTAGTGGGGGATAGAGAGCAGAGGGAAGGTAAAGAAAGGTATGGTAATGATAGAGGGGGAACACCCTTGGAGGAAAAAGGAGGGAAAAGAAAGCCTTTGCTCCAGTTACCATGGCCACAATATGTGGGTATGGGAAGGGGTTGGATGAGTCTATATTCTTTCCAAGCTGGAACTCTAAACACATTTCTCTCTCTATCTATTAATATTGTGAGACATGGTGGTTAGGCTTACCAGTACTCTTTCTAACTTTATTACAGTTTGGCTGAACTTCTATGGATAGGCCACATAAATAAACAATTGAGTGTCTTAAACAACTAACCTTAAAATGAGGGACTGTTTTTATCTAGAGTAACTTACTTATAATGCTCCAGAATTCTACTTAAATGGAATTATTTTGTATTTATTCCATAGTAATGAGGGTTGACTAAAGAACTGGCAGCATTCTATCATGTCCAGTAGCTTCTAACCTAGGATGTATATCAGAATTAGCTGGAACATTTGGTAAAGGTTTAGATCTCAGACCCAACACCAGGCTGAATTAGTGGGTCTGGAGTAGGGTCTGGGAATTGATATTTTTAGCAGATGTTCCAGGTGATTTTTAACTAGTTGATCCATAGACAGGTTTTAACAAAGCACTGATAGGGACCCATCCTGACAGACGCAGCAAGGTATTCATGAAATACTTTTGTATCTTAAGTCAGGATCTGTTTACATGGTATATTTTGTAAGGGAACACATCACATGTATACAATAAAGATGAGCAAATTCTTATGACTACCTGCCAATGTCTATTTGCATAATAACTATGTTCTTCTATAAATTATACAGATGACTGTATATACAGTCTGAGTCAACCCTAAGACAAATCACGTCACATCCCTGATCTGATCTCCCTAAATTGGGCCTTGGTTCAGCTGTCAGTATTTGGATATGGGTTTATTCTTGGGTGTCTGCTGATTGGTCAGAGCTGCCTGGTATGGAGCTGGAAAGCGAAGAAATAAGTACCAACAGTCTGTCTAGCCTGATACACAGTTCTTGTCCAAGTCCTCACTGCAGTTCTTGACTCCCACCTCACAACTACAGTATGTTGAATCCTGTGATGCTCAGTCCTCTACCGTGATCTGATCTTGGCAATGAATCCTGTTTGGCCTTTTGTTTTGGACTAGAAACCATAGGAGCCTAGAGTACATACCCAGTATATGGTAGGTTAACATGTCTGGCCCTTTTCATTCCCTACCAAGTATGCATTGATCAATCAGCAGACTCTGAAGGAGACTACATGTCCTATCAAGCCTATATACGAATACTGGCAAAAATACAGGCAGCTGATCCAGTGAACCGGTTTAAGAGACCAGATGAGCTCCTTCATTTGCTGAAGCTCAAGGCAAGGAACTTGAAGACAGCAAACAGAATGCAGGGTCATACAAGGCTCTTATGATCATTGCCAATCTGACCTTTGAAGAGAAACTCAATATTTTGAAGCTATTGAACATAATTATTTCTTTGTTGTAATAACAGGTCTAAGAAAAACTGTAATACACAGGTCTCTAAATACAATATGCCATTTTAAAAATCCACCTGGGTTTTGTACACTTATAAACCTGACAAAAGAGTGAGGGAATTTTTGCCTTAGTTAGAATGTCATTTTTGGCCTTTTGGCCATATTTGGTTTTATATTCACAGGTATTTCCAACACTTGATCATAAGCCAGTGACAGTTGACCTGGCTATTGGTTCTGAAAAAAGACTAAAGATTTTCTTCAGCTCAGCAGATGGATATCACCTCATCGATGCAGAATCTGAGGTTATGTCTGATGTGACCCTGCCAAAGAATGTAAGATAACACCTTCAGATTCCTAGAAATTATTGTATACCACCATTTGAGTTTTTCCAACTGTCAAAACTCTGAAAGGTTTAAAAATATGATTAGTAATGTCTATACCGGAACTGAGACATAAAAGGTAAGTATAGAGTGCCAGAAAGTGGTCTTGCATAAACAAAAAACACTGATGATTCCTTAGTTTAGAAAGCTGAGTATATTCTGCAGATAGATTTTGCTTGTCTTGCCTAATTTTTTTTTATTTTTAATGAATAAAGTTTACACTTAAACTCTGGACTTCTATTGCTACATCAGAAGACCAGATAGCATCAGTGCCACATTACTATCTAGCCATTATCAATTGGAATGTATTCATTCATAGCTCCTTTTAGATGGGATATGTGCTCTACATTCTCTACCCATTTATGTTTATATATTTATAATAACTGACCATAAAGTGTATTTGATTTTGCAGTACTTGCTTTAGTTTTTCTGCACTTCACAATGCATTAACAAATTTTTAAAAAATACAACACCAGTATTGCAGCATTATTATGTGTATTCCTATTCTTTATTATATTACCTCAACAGTGACATAACAGCAAATTATCATAAAATGTTCTCTTATCTGGTTAATTATAGTTAGAATTTCTGATCAAAAGATTCAGCATTTTAAAAGCAGATACTCCTCAACTCTTAAATGCTTATATTTTGTGAAATACGGTGCAACACGCCTGTAATCCCAGCACTTTGGGAGGCCGAGGCGGGCGGATCACGAGGTCAGGAGATCGAGACCATCCCGGCTAAAACGGTGAAACCCCGTCTCTACTAAAAATACAAAAAATTAGCCGGGCGTAGTGGCGGGCGCCTGTAGTCCCAGCTCCTTGGGAGGCTGAGGCAGGAGAATGGCGTGAACCCGGGAGGCGGAGCTTGCAGTGAGCCGAGATCCCGCCACTGCACTCCAGCCTGGGCGACAGAGCGAGACTCCGTCTCAAAAAAAAAAAAAAAAAAAAAGAAAGAAATACGGTGCAACATCTAAAATATAGATTGTCATAAAAATATTATACACATCATTTACATAAAGAGTTTGAACATAATGTAATATCCCTCACACACACCATACAAAATATAATTCTACTGTGTCTCAAATTTGATGTTGGCAATGATGTTTGTCCTATTGAAATTTTTATTTAAAAGGAAGGCCTAAACCAACAGTTCTCTGCTTCACTATATTTAAATTCCCAATTTTTAGACAACCAAAGTTTTAGCAGTTTAGCATTATACAAAAAGTCCAGGAGAAAACTTTGATGTATTTTCAAATTACTACAGTTGTGTGATATTTTGAACAGCTCTCAGAATTGTCTCATATGTCTCTAACAAATTACATAAACCAATTGTCAGGACATTAGTGGGGACAATTTTGTAAAACTCTTTTGGTCATATTAAAGATAATTAGCTTATTACTCAGTTGTTGCCCATGATTATATAGAAATCACACTGTTGATAATGTATAAAATACTGAACCAATCTTAGCCAAAGCCACTTAAACGTGAGGTCAAGTTAATTTTGATATAGCTATTGTTGTACTCTTCAGTTGGAGTGTCTTCCGTAGCTTCCTGCATCTCTCTTTTTTTTTTAAATGTTGCGTCAGATAGCTTTTATTAAGAAGCTAGTGCAGTATTGAACTTTGCAGCATTGGTCCATGTTTACACTTATTTGAAAAGTAATTCAGGAATGTTGACCCGCGTGTTTCACATGATTAATAAGCAAGGAAAGTTATTTCCTTTTGAAGCAATTTGTTAGTTAGAGATGAGTTCTTAAAAATCACTTTCTGACCCAATTAGGATACCTTGTGTATATTCAAAAATATTTTTAGCTAAATACTCTAGTGTCTTGACCCATTTAAAGAGAAAGGACTCTAATATCAGGGAGGGGGGTGTCTTCTGAGAAAGAATATAATAAAAATACTATTTTTCCAAGAGTGCTAGATTACAAAAGCTGTAATGATACAAGGGAACCATGTGTGCTAAAGAATATCTAGTTACTTCAGGAATCATCTGAGAAGCATCTGAGGCTGTATGGATTTGCAGCAGTCCAGTTTTTTTCTAAACAGATTTTATTAAGACAACCTTCTTTCCTGCAATTTCTTTTACTCTCTTCCTTTATCTTTTTTTTCTGATTCAATTGCTCATGCAAGTGCCCAGGGAACGCATTAAAATTGCTTTTCGTCTCTGGATCCCCATTTTAGTTATAAGGATTGTTGTTGCTGGGACATGGCCTCAAGCACCTGGCCTGAGTACGCTGGGTTTGGCAAGTATAGTTTCTGACTTTTTTTTTTTTTTAATGTGCTAGTTTGAAGAAACCATAGAGGAACACAATTTTTCATTTGTAGGGAAATACTGTTAATGTGACAATATCTGTAGTTTAAGAAAACTTTATTGCATTGTTTTATGCATCATGAAATTTAGAAATGCTTAGATATTTCTTAGTTTTTCATATTATGTCACCAAATATGTCTTTGAATGTGTATCTTAAGTGCATTTGAAATTATATTAATTGGAAAAGAAATTCTAACTTTTTTGCAAAGGGGGAAATGACTTAAAGTTATATTTCAAGCTGTGAAGACTATTATAAAGCTGTCCCTTGTAAACATTTTAAGCTTAAGCTATTTTTTAGATTAGTTTTCTATTTCTAATTTGAGTGAGTTGGCTGATAAGCAAGTATTGTATATTTGTTATTTGATTTGTACATTAATTACTAAAGTATTTATTAATGTGTTATCTTAAACCCAAGTCTATAACAAGTAGTGTTTCTTCTATTATGATACATAATAATTTGTGAAATGTCAAGAAATCTCTTTGTGTTGGAAATACATCTTTGCTTTTTTAAAATAAGGCTTTCTCCTAATTATAAAGAAGAATATTTAACAGTTATGAATTTATGACATAAAGAAAGCAGCTCTCTTCAAATATTGGATAGCATGCTTATTACTTTGGAAATAGAGGTTTCTCTTCCTCCTTGCTCTTTGAACCTCTTTTGGTCTTTATTGCTCTGCCAAGCTGCTTCGATTAAAGTAGTAGTGATAAAATATTGGACATATAAATCTTTATGAAACATAATTCCAGCCCCTGGAAATCATTATACCACAGAATATCATCATTTTACCTGATTGCTTGGGAATTGGCATGATGCTCACCTTCAATGCTGAAGCCCTCTCTGTGGAAGCAAATGAACAACTCTTCAAGAAGATCCTTGAAATGTGGAAAGACATACCATCTTCTATAGGTATGTATACAATTTATTTCTTCTTCAGGACCCCAGAGAAAATTTACAAGGGTAAAAAAGTGTCCTAAGAAAAGATTTCCTGAATTATTACATTTTCTTAAGACACATAAGATTAGTTTGGGGTTCTGCATAATTATTCTCTTAGTAAGGTGATGCCTGTATTTGTCCTATGCTTAATGAATTCGTGAGAGTACCACAAAGAGACTCATTTTGGTTATCTGAGTTATTTGCAATATTGTATAACTGAAATGAGAGCTAATTCCTTTCCACAAAAATCTATAATTTTGTTTTAACTCCCTTTACTTGCAGACTTTACACAGATATTGGAAATGCTTCTTTTCATCACACTGATTGTGGGGTTTATCTTTATCTTAGGAGACTGCCAACTAGTATAAAAGAGCCAAATACTTCTATTTTTTATAGTCAGTAGAGTTCTATTTTGTGAGTGATATTCCTGTGAAGAATCAAATCATTTAGAAAAGTGACAGATATGACTGACTGGAGTGCTTGTTAGGTACCAACCACGTGGCAACAAAGAAAAATGCCTTTTCACCTTCATCAAACCAGGATATTTTTTTCTTCCTAGCCAAAGCAGGACTGCTGATCTGAGAAATCCAAATAATTTGAGATTCTTGTATATGTTCTGAGGCTCAGTGACCCCAGACGTGATTCTAGATAGGGAACATAATGCATACAAAAAGTAAATATATTAGAGAGAGTAGAATGATTAGCTGGAGGATAGCTATTATAGAAAAGAGAAGTTTAATGGAGAAAATAAAGGAAAAAGGCAGCAGTGTGTGTGTGTGTGTGTGTGTGTGTGTGTGTGTGTGTGTGTGTGTGTGTGGAGAGAGAGAGAGAGAGACTTAACAATTGCATCAGATATTACTAAGTGTTCCCATTTCCAAAACATTGTGTCCCATCTCAGAAAGCAAGCTAGCTCAGTAGCTAGGTTAAGTGGCAGATGTAGGTGTTTTGGGACTAAGGTGGAAATTATGCGATGTCATATGAACTATGTACTTGGACTCAGCAAAAAGCCTTTGCTTTAGGTTTAGAATTTTTAGTCTATGTTGTTGTTGACAACATAGAGACAGAGAGAGAGAGAGAGAGAGAGAGATGGTCTGTCAAATGAGAAGGCAGATGCTTCTGAGATCTCTATAAAATGACTAAATATGATCCTCATGTGGCTTTAAGGACCATTTTGAAAGAACTGCTTTTTAATGAACATTTTTTATATGGGATGATGGCACTTTGCATTGCATCTGCAGAATCCTTCTTCTTTTTTTTTTTTTCATATATAGTCAGTTTAAGGATTGTCCTGAAAACCTGCTCCAATTTCCTCAAACAAGTAAGAACTCACAGAGGTTTTAAAACCACTTTAAGTGACAGAAGATAAATGCTTACAGTATAATTGACAGATTCGGGGCAAAAGAAAGTAAAAATAATGACTCATGTTCTATCCTTTACAGTGGTACTTTTGTGATCGATATGCTAATCAGAAATGGTTATAAGGAAATTCAGTTCAAATAGGAAACTGAACAAACCCTTATATTTATGCCAGTAGACAATCATAAGGGTCAAAGGGATCTTGAGAAGTCATCTGGTGCAGCTCTTGTCCTCAGACAGGACAACTTCTGACCTAAAACAAAAAAAAGCTACTTTAAGTTGCTAGAATTTGAAAGACAGCTACACGTAAAATAAATTACAGTACTATAAGAACATGATACTTTAGTTTGTATATTAAGGATATTTTGAGAGTATGCTAAAGACTGTCATATAACACTGATATTAAGGAGATCAATTACTGTATTATTCTGTCTACAAACAACTGCTTTGTTATTTAAAACTAATTCAGATCCAGATTTCCCCAATTTAAATTTTATGTTTTCTTAAGTTATAATAAATGTGTTCAAATCATTGCTCTCCATTTCCAAACAAATATGTACAGGCTTAACAATTGCATCAGGTATTACTAAGTGTTCCCACTTCCAAATCATTGTGTTTCATCTCAGAAAGCAAGCTAGCTCAGTAGCTAGGTTAAGTGGCAGATGTAGGTGTTTTGGGACTACGGTGGAAATTATGCGATGCCATATGAACTATGTACTTGGACTCAGCAAAAAGCCTGTGCTTTAAGTTTAGAATTTTTGATCTATGTTGTTGTTGACAAAAATATCATTTTTAATAAAGTAGTCACATAGGTGAAGAAATTCAACTCTAGATAGACTAGATCTGTTACTTGTTCCCAACCCTCTGGAGACTGATTTTCCTTATTTCCCTTATATCTGGAGTTATTTTAATTCTAGTCTGAAATTTGACTTATAAAGTCTTCTTCCAGGATAACCATTTTTCTTAGTCAACTTATTCCTTTTATAATAGAAAAAATGAAAAATCAAAGTAATTAATTGAATTCTGATTTTAATCATGTTAATATGAGAATGAAGATGCCTTATTTTGTTGTTTCCTAGACTATTTTAATTTGAGTTTAAAATCTTGATATTATTTTAAATGTCAGGATTTTATTTACTTATGGAATTTTTCCCCATGAAGTACATAAAGAATATTAAATTGAAAGTTAAAAATGTAATAATAGTGCTGTTCCTTGTGTCAAAAAATACCTTGCAGCACCAGCTGACTGACTGTTTACACAATTAGGTTTAAGGCAATTATTGTCATAATCTATATTTGTCACAAAGTATTATAAAATAGAGTCAAAAAAGTTAAAATCTTAATAAATATTTCCTGAGCAGGAAAAAACCTTAAGAATATCAAATTAGCTTTGGTTCTGCTTACAACATGATAATTTATTGAATTGCATTAGGGTTGCTACAGTCATTATTTGAGCAAGTCATTTTTTAACTATTTTAATTTTTGAGAGTCAGGTTTTCATGTACGTCACTGGAGCACAAATATACACCCTTATTAGGAGCCCTTATTAGGAATGCTGTATGTCACTTAGACTATAAAATGAAGAGTGGCTGTGAGTAGATCACAATGTCTACAAATGGGATAGAATTAGTTCTTAGCTTTTTCTATGGTCTTAGAGGATATGAATACAAGAATTAAATAACTGAGACCTGGTAATTAAATGTTGATTACAATGGTGCCTTTAGATAGCCAGTTTGAACACCACTCTTGAGCAGCAAAATGGCCAAACAACTGACTACAGGAGGGAAAAACAGGATGTGCTAACCTGAACTGTAACAATGAGCCTCTTAATAAACAAACATTGACTGTAGTTATAATTTTCTATGATGGCCAGAAAGATTTTGTGTTTTTCTGATTTTTTTTCATTTGTATTGTAGCTTTTGAATGTACACAGCGAACCACAGGATGGGGCCAAAAGGCCATTGAAGTGCGCTCTTTGCAATCCAGGGTTCTGGAAAGTGAGCTGAAGCGCAGGTCAATTAAGAAGCTGAGATTCCTGTGCACCCGGGGTGACAAGGTATAGCTTACACCCTCCAGTTACAGCAAAAATAACGCAACCATTGAAAATGAACCAACAAAAGAAATTTCTGTCCTTTTCCTTCTGGCTATAAATATATTTGTGGTATATTTTTTCAAACTGGCATACTATTGATTAAAAAACAATTTTATATTTTGCAGTAGAAACGCTAATTTGGTAAGTGATGAAATTTGGTTTCAAAAGAAGCTCATTTTGAAAAAAATAAGAAAAAATTCTAGTTATGTCTTAAGCAAAGCTTAGCCATTATTTTATTTGGTTCGAAATCCTTTATTGTCTTTGATTCATAGTACCTTTCATGTTCATATTAAAATGATATTTTTAAACAAAATGCTTGAGCAAATCTGCCTTTTATAGCTTTCAACATAATTCAATAACAGAAGGAAAATGTACTTATGTTTACTGAGCACTTAATTGTATAGTAGGCCTTGTGCTAGATACTTTAACAGCTATCTCAATTGATCTTCACAAGTGGGTGTTATGATGTTTATTTTGCAGAAAATAAAAATAAAATCAAGATCTGGCAATTATTTGTATAATTTGATCAATTTTAACAACTAATTCAAATAGTTTAGATGGAAAATTTCATGGTGTAAGATTATTACCATTCCTACCTATTATAGGAAATAATAGTGTGAAGAAATAGTCCTAATAGGATTAGGAAACATTCATGTTGAGAAGAGATTGCAGAGGGTTTGAGTTAATATCAGAACAGCCAGGGTAAAGCACTGTATGTCAAGCAAAGTTGCCAACTTACAATGTGAAGAGATGAAATGGCAAAAACCTGTGTTTCAGGTCAGCGAGACCTAGAATGCAGTCCTGGCTCTAACCAGGACTAACCAGGTTAGAGAACCTGAGAAGTTTGATTAATCTTTCTGATCCTTAGTTCCTTCATCTCCAAAATAGAAATATTAATAACTGCTTTGGGAACAATTGTGACAACTAGTCATATCTGTAAGCATCTCACAGATTGCCTGTAACATCAGATATGTTAAGTCAAGAATGACTAGCATATCTTTTAAAAAAATTACAATGTTGTCTCTTTATTATGAGGTAAAATACTTACTATGAAATGTAAAATGCTGTTTTCATATACACTTAAAGCCCTGCATCCCCCTCTGTATAGAGCAAACTCTGTAAAGGTTTATGAAGATTTTTATTTAATTGGGTATAAAGCAGATCTTAGAAGAGTTAAGCGAGGGCATTTTAAATTTTATTTAACTCAGTATAATCATATAATTTTTTCTTAAAAGATTATTTGTTTTCTTGATGACTACTAACCGAAGTAACTATGATTGCTGCCTTTGTCTAATAATATTAAATATTTTTAATATTTAAATTTTAATAATTTCAAATATTATCTTTTATCAAGCAAAATGTACAGTTACATACACTGTAAGCTCACAGTATCACAAATTAGAGACTCCCTGCTTCCCTTTGTCACACCTAGTGTATCTTATCATCATCATTATGTCACAAAATCTCCTAAATATAGCCACTGTGGATGTCAAAAGCCTTAGTCCTAACAAGGAGACATTTGTTTGATATTTATGTGCATATTTTGTTATAATTTTCTTTATGGTACAGACCACATTTACACAACATGTCCCTCTCTAAGCCACTGGGTTTAACTCATTTTATCAATCTATTGATGTCCATTTTGCTGAGATAGAAAATTGCATGAGTGGATGTTAAGTGCTCTCACCATAAAAATGATAACCACATGAGGTGATACATTTGTTAATTAACAAGATTTAACAATTCCACAGTGTATATGGACTTCAAAACATCATTTTGTTTGTGATAAAAACATACAGTATTATCTGTCTGTTAAATTTTTTAATATTAAAAAATAATGAAAAGAAAAAAAAAGAAAATTGTACCAAGTAGAAAATTTCAATGGCTTCTTAAATATAAGCAGCAATGGTAAACAACACCTAAATAATTTGTTTCCTTATATTAAAAGAAAAGCCAACTGGAATATAAGTAGATTATTGTTTTAAAAAGCAAAGAATTATTGCCCAAAAATAATCAAGAACTTCAGCAAATGAAGGCCACCTACGAAATTACTAATTTTATTTAACCATATAAATTATAATTATGTAGACTATAGTAAAAGGGTTGTTTTAAAAATGTATAAATTAGACTTCAAACTAAAGTAAACTCATTCTTTCATTTGAAAAACAAACTATTCCACAAAACAGTAAGGCTTAATATCTTAATTAGCAGATGCAGATAAAATTATAGTTATATGAAATATCTGGTTGCAATGTATTAAATATCTGTTGACAGTGTATTTCTTTCTTTTTCAAGCTGTTCTTTACCTCTACCCTGCGCAATCACCACAGCCGGGTTTACTTCATGACACTTGGAAAACTTGAAGAGCTCCAAAGCAATTATGATGTCTAAAAGTTTCCAGTGATTTATTACCACATTATAAACATCATGTATAGGCAGTCTGCATCTTCAGATTTCAGAGATTAAATGAGTATTCAGTTTTATTTTTAGTAAAGATTAAATCCAAAACTTTACTTTTAATGTAGCACAGAATAGTTTTAATGAGAAATGCAGCTTTATGTATAAAATTAACTATAGCAAGCTCTAGGTACTCCAATGGTGTACAATGTCTTTTGCACAAACTTTGTAACTTTTGTTACTGTGAATTCAAACATTACTCTTTGGACAGTTTGGACAGTATCTGTATTCAGATTTTACAACATGGAGTAAAGAAACCTGTTATGAATTAGATTACAAGCAGCCTTCAAAAGAATTGGCACTGGGATAAGATTTTTCAGAAAAAGAAAAACATCGGCAAACTGTGTGTGATTTTTCCAAAGCTATATAAAGAACCAAAGGTTTAGTCAAGAAACAAAAATCTTAAAGATTATTATAACCCAGACTAAGGTTGAACAACCTGCATGCCCAGAGAAAACTATGGCGACAAAGGGGAAAAGGCCACCACTCGTTTTCTCACTGATTCATGCCAATTAAGCCTACAGTTAAAGACCAGTTTTGTTCTTTTCACCCATTTTTAAGCTGGTTTTCTCCTGATAAGAAGAAAGGAAGAAAGCCCCAGACGCTTGGTTTTTCTCAGAACCCCCAAAAGATGTGCAATAGCTGTTGTTACAAACCACCAAATAATACAGTTGTGAGCCTGAATACAGGACTGAACTCCTATACACGTGTACTGTAGAATGAGTATTTTTTAATACCTTAAGGTAGGCGTCAAATTCTACTCCCCAAAGCAGAGATAGATTGATTTATCAAAATTATTATCTGGCCAACAGTGTGACTATCAGACAGCATCAAATATTTGCCCAATCCAAGATTAGACTACACAAAAGCTTCCTTCCAGTATTAAACAAAAAGAATTAAACATAACTATGAAAAAACTTTGCTAATATCTGTGTTTTTCAGATTTCATTTTTTGTAAAATCAGAAATTAATCTAAACATATTCAGTGATAAGTTCATGTGTAACGACTTAATGTTAAAGGTTAAAAAAAAGATTTCACAAAATATACAACTTTCACCATATATATAAGCCTGCAAAATTAGAGTAGTGAAAGTCATGCTAGTCCATCACCCAAATATGTTATAGACGCCATAGACAGGTGATGTTTGGTCACCTATGGTAACTGCTACCTGATGAAGAGCATAATTTCTGCATATCCATCCTCAATACCATGGTAAATTCTGGGGCAATAGAGAAGCAACAGAACTGCCACAAAGTATACCTCAATATAATTCCTCTAGTTCTGCTTCTAAAATCTGAGGACAGTGCTAGTGGGAAAATAATTTTCAAACTACCTGGTTAACCAAAATACAAAAGCAGCTGACTATGTGTGATTTCATAATAGCACATTTCTTGACACTTAGTGCTAGAAATGAAGATTTGGATTTTCCTAACAACTTACATCAAGAATGTAGTGTAGCTCATTATTGAGAATTTAGGAAAGCCTGAATCCATTAATTAAGGAAATAAATGTGACTCACATTTCTTTTACTGTGACACAATAATGTGATCCTAAAACTGGCTTATCCTTGAGTGTTTACAACTCAAACAACTTTTTGAATGCAGTAGTTTTTTTTTTTTAAAAACAAACTTTTATGTCAAATTTTTTTTCTTAGAAGTAGTCTTCATTATTATAAATTTGTACACCAAAAGGCCATGGGGAACTTTGTGCAAGTACCTCATCGCTGAGCAAATGGAGCTTGCTATGTTTTAATTTCAGAAAATTTCCTCATATACGTAGTGTGTAGAATCAAGTCTTTTAATAATTCATTTTTTCTTCATAATATTTACTCAAAGTTAAGCTTAAAAATAAGTTTTATCTTAAAATCATATTTGAAGACAGTAAGACAGTAAACTATTTTAGGAAGTCAACCCCCATTGCACTCTGTGGCAGTTATTCTGGTAAAAATAGGCAAAAGTGACCTGAATCTACAATGATGTCCCAAAGTAACCAAGTAAGAGAGATTGTAAATGATAAACCGAGCTTTAAAGGATAAAGTGTTAATAAAGAAAGGAAGCTGGGCACATGTCAAAAAGGGAGATCGAAATGTTAGGTAATCATTTAGAAAGGACAGAAAATATTTAAAGTGGCTCATAGGTAATGAATATTTCTGACTTAGATGTAAATCCATCTGGAATCTTTACATCCTTTGCCAGCTGAAACAAGAAAGTGAAGGGACAATGATATTTCATGGTCAGTTTATTTTGTAAGAGACAGAAGAAATTATATCTATACATTACCTTGTAGCAGCAGTACCTGGAAGCCCCAGCCCGTCACAGAAGTGTGGAGGGGGGCTCCTGACTAGACAATTTCCCTAGCCCTTGTGATTTGAAGCATGAAAGTTCTGGCAGGTTATGAGCAGCACTAGGGATAAAGTATGGTTTTATTTTGGTGTAATTTAGGTTTTTCAACAAAGCCCTTGTCTAAAATAAAAGGCATTATTGGAAATATTTGAAAACTAGAAAATGATGGATAAAAGGGCTGATAAGAAAATTTCTGACTGTCAGTAGAAGTGAGATAAGATCCTCAGAGGAAACAGTAAGAAGGGATAATCATTAAGATAGTAAAACAGGCAAAGCAGAATCACATGTGCACACACACATACACATGTAAACATTGGAATGCATAAGTTTTAATATTTTAGCGCTATCAGTTTCTAAATGCATTAATTACTAACTGCCCTCTCCCAAGATTCATTTAGTTCAAACAGTATCCGTAAACTAGGAATAATGCCACATGCATTCAATGGGATCTTTTAAGTACTCTTCAGTTTGTTCCAAGAAATGTGCCTACTGAAATCAAATTAATTTGTATTCAATGTGTACTTCAAGACTGCTAATTGTTTCATCTGAAAGCCTACAATGAATCATTGTTCAACCTTGAAAAATAAAATTTTGTAAAACATCGGTTGATGTCATTATTGAAATATACTTATCTAATGCCATGGAATTAGGACTTACTCAAATAATATTCATTTCTTTAAAGTATATAATAATGAACTGATTAGAATATGTTAGGGGTTCAGCTTGTTGTTGCATTTGGAATTCTGGCCAAAGAGGGATATATTAATCTGATTTTAAAAATACCTTCTGGCTACAGTAGTGAAATTAGAAGCTGATTAATTTTCCTCTAAATATATAGGACTTTACACATAGGCATAGATTCACAGGGTATGGGTAAAACTCAAGCAAGTTTCAATGCTGCCTTCCCTCCCATGCCACCCCAGTATTTTCAAGTCCAGAGGAGAGGAAAGGTGAAGCACTCTATCACAGAGTATCTTTCATTTAAGAAGGGTTTTAGTGCAGGCTGATGGCGGAATACAGAAGACAGAGTAATCATGGCAGGTTTTCAAAAGAAGCTTAGTCCTTTCTTTAGGACCAGAAGAACAGAATTTCCCTCAGCAGGTCTTGACAGTGGAGTATTAAAAGTATAATCCCATGCACATCCTGTCATCTTGGGACATTTTGGAGAGGTGTTCATCAGGCTTACTCATTAGAGCCTGTTGGGTATTGTCCTAATTTGGCATGTGTGGCCAGGCATTCTGGAGCTGGGCTACCTGGATCACATAATGCTTATCCAGGTTGTTAAGGGCTGAATTCAAAACGTTTCATTACAATCAAATTGTTTTACTCAACTTTATTATAGGGTACACTGACTTCAGCTACTTTAGGGGACAGTGTTATGAGCGAAGGAATAAAAGTATCATCACAAATTGGAATTAGCTCAGACAGGGTGAGTCCCTAAGGCTGAGAGAGGGCATTATTCTGGGGACTTTTTATCAAAGCATGGGTACAGGGTAGGTCATGACTAGAAGTCATTAGCTATTCGCTATTAGTAACTTGCAGGAGCAGTGGGGTCTAAGGATGTCGATGCTGCAAATCTATTGACTGAATCATTTTTTAACACTGATTTCCATCTGATATAATAGCATTTTTTTAATAGAGCCCTTACCCCTGATTTAAGAATACTCAGGGTCTGAGGGAGCCAAGATGGCTGAATAGGAACAGCTCCAGTCTACAGCTCCCAGCGTGTGAGGCAGAAGATGGGTGATTTCTGCATTTCCAACTGAGGTACCGGGTTCATCTCACTAGGGAGTATCGGAAAGTGGGTGCAGGACAGTGGGTGCAGTGCACTGAGCATGAGCTGAAGCAGGGCAAGGCATCACCTCACCCGGGAAGCGCAAGGGGTCAGGGAATTCCCTTTCCTAGTCAAAGAAAGGGGTGATAGATGGCACCTGGAAAATCGGGTCACTCCCATCCTAATACTGTGCTTTTCCAATGGTCTTAGCAAATGGCACACCAGGAGATTACATCCTGTGCCTGGCTCGGAGGGTCATATGCCCACGGAGTCTTGCTCATTGCAGCCGGGAAGCTCAAACTCGGTGGAGCCCACCTCGGCTCAAGGAGGCCTGCCTGCCTCTCTAGACTCCACCTCTGGGGGCAGGGCATAGCCAAACAAAAGGCAGCAGAAAACTCTGCAGACTTAAATGTCCCAGTCTGACAGCTTTGAAGAGAGTAGTGGTTCTCCCAGCACACAGCTGGAGATCTGAGAATGGAAAGACTGCCTCCTCAAGTGGGTCCATGACCCCCGAGTAGACTAACTGGGAGGCACCCCCCAGTAGGGGCAGACTGAAACCTCACATGGCCGGGTACTGCTCTGAGACAAAACTTCCAGAGGAACGATCAGGCAGCAACATTTGCTGTTCACCAATATCCGCGGTTCTGCAGCCTCCGCTGCTAATACCCAGGCAAACAGGGTCTGGAGTGGACCTCCAGCAAACTCCAACAGACCTGCAGCTGAGTGTCCTGACTGTTAGAAGGACAACTAACAAACAGAAAGGACATCCACACCAAAACTCCATCTGTATGTCACCATCATCAAAGACAAAAGGTAGATAAAACCACAAACATGGGGAAAAAACAGAGCAGAAAAACTGGAAACTCTAAAAATCAGAGCACCTCTCCTCCTCCAAAGGAACGCAGCTCCTCACCAGCAATGGAACAAAGCTGGATGGAGAATGACTTTGACGACTTCAGAGAAGAAGGCTTCAGATGATCAAACTACTCCAAGCTAAAGGAGGAAGCTCGAACCCATGGCAAAGAAGTTAAAAACCTTGAAAAAAAATTAGACGAATGGCTAACTAGAATAACCAATGCAGAGAAGTCCTTAAAGGACCTGATAGAGCTGAAAACCATGGCACGAGAAATACGTGATGAATGCACAAGCCTCAGTAGCTGATTCGATCAACTGGAAGAAAGGGTATCAGTGATGGAAGACCAAATGAATGAAATGAAGCAAGAAGAGAAGTTTAGAGAAAAAAGGATAAAAAGAAACGAACGAAGCCTCCAAGAAATATGGGACTATGTGAAAAGACCAAATCTATGTCTGATTGGTGTACCTGAAAGTGACGGGGAGAATGGAACCAAGTTGGAAAACACTCTGCAGGATATTATCCAGGAGAACTTCCCCAATCTAGCAAGGCAGGCCAACATTCAAATTCAGGAAATACAGAGAATGCCACAAAGATACTCCTCGAGAAGAGCAACTCCAAAGACACATAATTGTCAGATTCACCAAAGTTGAAATGAAGGAAAAAATGTTAAGGGCAGCCAGAGAGAAAGGTCAGGTTACCCACAAAGGGAAGCCCATCAGACTAACAGCTGATCTCTTGGCAGAAACTCTACAAGCCAGAAGAGAGTGGGGACCAATATTCAACATTCTTAAAGAAAAGAATTTTCAACCAAGAATTTCATATCCAGCCAAACTAAGCTTCATAAGTGAAGGAGAAATAAAATCCTTTACAGACAAGCAAATACTGAGAGATTTTGTCACCACCAGGCCTGCCCTAAAAGAGCTCCTGAAGGAAGCACTAAACATGGAAAGGAACAACTGGTACCAGCCACTGCAAAAACATGCCAAATTGTAAAGACCAGAGAGGCTAGGAAGAAACTGCATCAACTAACGAGCAAAATCACCAGCTAACATCATAATGACAGGATCAAATTCACACATAACAATATTAACCTTAAATGTAAATGGGCTAAATGCTCCAATTAAAAGACACAGACTGGCAAATTGGATAAAGAGTCAAGACCCATCAGTGTGCTGTATTCAGGAAACCCATCTCACGTGCAGAGACACACATAGGCTCAAAATAAAGGGATGGAGGAAGATCTACCAAGCAAATGGAAAACAAAAAAAAGGCAGGGGTTGCAATCCTAGTCTTTAATAAAACAGACTTTAAACCAACAAAGATCAAAAGAGACAAAGAAGGCCATTACATAATGATAAAGGGATCAATTCAACAAGAAGAGCTAACTATCCTAAATATATATGCACCCAATACAGGAGCACCCAGATTCATAAAGCAAGTCCATAGAGACCTACAAAGAGACTTAGACTCCCACACAATAATAATGGGAGACTTTAACACCCCACTGTCAACATTAGACAGATCAACGAGACAGAAAGTTAACAAGGATATCCAGGAACTGAACTTAGCTCTGCACCAAGCAGACCTAATAGACATCTACAGAACTCTTCACCCCAAATCAACAGAATATGCATTCTATTCAGCACCACACCACACCTATTCCAAAACTGACCACATAGTTGGAAGTAAAACACTCCTCAGCAAATGTAAAAGAACAGAAATTATGTAGAATTTCTGTTGAACAAACTATCTCTCAGACCACAGTGCAATCAAACTAGAACTCAGGATTAAGAAACTCACTCAAAACTGCTCAACTACGTGGAAACTGAACAACCTGCTCCTGAATGAATACTGGGTACATAACAAAATGAAGGCAGAAATAAAGATGGTCTTTGAAACCAACGAGAACAAAGACACAACATACCAGAATCTCTGGGACACATTCAAAACCGTGTGTAGAGGGAAATTTATAGCACTAAATGCCCACAAGAGAAAGCAGGAAAGATCTAAAATTAACACCCAGCATCACAATTAAAAGAACTAGAGGAGCAAGAGCAAACACATTCAAAAAGCTAGCAGAAGGCAAGAAATAACTAAGATCAGTGCATAAATGAAGGAAATAGAGACACAAAAAACCCTTCAAAAAAATCAATGAATCCAGGAGCTGGTTTGTTGAAAAGATTAACAAAATTGATAGACCGCTAGCAAGACTAATAAAGAAGAAAAGAGAGAAGAATCAAACAGACACAATAAAAAATGATAAAGGGGATATCACCACCGATCCCACAGAAACGCAAACTACCATCAGAGCATACTATAAACACCTCTACTCAAATAAACTAGAAAATCTAGAAGAAATGGATAAATTCCTGGACACATACACCCTCCCAAGACTAAACCAGGAAGAAGTTGAATCTCTGAATAGACCAATAACAGGCTCTGAAACTGAGGCAATAATTAATAGCTTACCAACCAAAAAAAGTCCAAGACCAGCAGAATTCTACCAGAGGTACAAGGAGGAGCTGGTACCATTCCTTCTGAAACTATTCCAATCAATAGAAAAAGAGAGAATCCTCCCTAACTCATTTTATGAGGCCAGCATTATCCTGATACCAAAGCC
Organism: Homo sapiens; assembly: GCF_000001405.40. Taxonomy (NCBI): domain Eukaryota; kingdom Metazoa; phylum Chordata; class Mammalia; order Primates; family Hominidae; genus Homo; species Homo sapiens. Next base: position 105,963,260 of record NC_000023.11, read on the forward strand.
TGGCAGAGATACAACAAAAAGAAGAGAATTTTAGACCAATATCCCTGATGAACACCGATGCAAAAATCCTCAATAAAATACTGGCAAACCGGATCCAGCAGCACATCAAAAAGCTTATCCACCGTGATCAAGTGGGCTTCATCCCTGGGATGCAAGGCTGGTTCAACATAAGCAAATCAATAAACGTAATCCAGCATACAAACAGAACCAATGACAAAAAACCACATGATTATCTCAATAGATGCAGAAAAGGCCTTTGACAAAATTCAACAACCCTTCAAGCTAAAAACTCTCCATAAATTAGGTATGGATGGGACGTATCTCAAAATAATAAGAGCTATTTATGACAAACCCACAGCCAGTATCATACTGAATGGGCAAAAACTGGAATCATTCCCTTTGAAAACTGGCACAAAACAGGGATGCCCTCTCTCACCACTCCTATTCAACACAGTGTTGGAAGTTCTGGCCAGGGCAATTAGGCAGGAGAAAGAAATAAAGGTTATTCGATTAGGAAAAGAGGAAGTCAAATTGTCCCTGTTTGCAGATGACATGATTGTATATCTAGAAAACCCCATCATCTCAGCCCAAAATCTCCTTAAGCTGATAGGCAACTTCAGCAAAGTCTCAGGATACAAAATCAATGTGCAAAAATCACAAGCATTCTTATACACCAATAACAGACAAACAGAGAGCCAAATCATGAGTGAACTCCGATTCACAATTGCTTCAAAGAGAATAAAATACCTAGGAATCCAACTTACAAGGGACATGAAGGACCTCTTCAAGGAGAACTACAAACCAATGCTCAATGAAATAAAAGAGGATACAAACAAATGGAAGAACATTCCATGCTCATGGGTAGAAAGAATCAATATCGTGAAAATGGCCGTACTGCCCAAGGTAATTTACGGATTCAATGCCATCCCCATAAAGCTACCAATGACTTTCTTCACAGAATTGGAAAAAAACTACTTTAAAGTTCATATGGAACCAAAAATGAGCCTGTGTTGCCAAGTCAATCCTAAGCCAAAAGAACAAAGCTGGAGGCATCACGCTACCTGACTTCAAACTATACTACAAGGCTACAGTAACCAAAACAGCATGGTACTGGTATCAAAACAGAGATATAGACCAATGGAACAGAACAGAGGCCTCACAAATAATGCTGCATATCTACAACTATCTTATCTTTGAGAAACCTGACAAAAACAGGAAATGGGGAAAGGATTTCCTATTTAATAAATGGTGCTGGGAAAACTGGCTAGCCATATGTAGAAAGCTGAAACTGGATCCCTTCCTTACACCTTGTACAAAAATTAATTCAAGATGGATTAAAGACTTAAATGTTAGACCTAAAACCATAAAAACCCTAGAAGAAAACTTAGGATAACATTCAGGACATAGGCATGGGCAAGGACTTCATGTCTAAAACACCAAAAGCAATGGCAACAGAAGCCAAAATTGACAAATGGGATCTAATTAAACTAAAGAGCTTCTGCACAGCAAAAGAAACTACCATCAGAGTGAACAGGCAACCTACAGAATGGGAGAAAATTTTTGCAATCTACTCATCTGACAAAGGGCTAGTATCCAGAATCTACAATGAACTCAAACAAATTTACAAGAAAAAAACAACCCCATCAACAAGTGGGCGAAGGATATGAACAGACACTTCTCAAAAGAAGACATTTGTGCAGCCAAAAGACACATGAAAAAATGCTCATCATCACTGGCCATCAGAGAAATGCAAATCAAAACCACAATAAGATACCATCTCACACTAGTTAGAATGGCGATCATTAAAAAGGAAACAACAGTTGCTGGAGAGGATGTGGAGAAATAGGAACACTTTTACACTGTTGGTGGGACTGTAAACTAGTTCAACCATTGTGGAAGTCATTGTGGCGATTCCTCAGGGATCTAGAACTAGAAATGCCATTTCACCCAGCCATCCCATTACTGGGTATATACCCAAAGGATTATAAAACATGCTACTGTAAAGACACATGCACACGTATGTTTATTGCAGCACTACTCACAATAGCAAAGACTTGGAACCAAGCCAAATGTCCAACAATGATAGACTGGATTAAGAAAATGTGGCACATATACACCATGGAATACTATGCAGCCATAAAAAAGGATGAGTTCATGTCCTTTGTAGGGACATGGATGAAGCTGGAAACCATCATTCTCAGCAAACTATCACAAGGACAAAAAACCAAACACCGCATGTTCTCACTCACAGGTGGGAATTGAACAATGAGAACACATGGACACAGGAAGGTGAACATCACACACTGAGGCCTGTTGTGGGGTGGGGGAAGGGGGGAGGGATAGCATTAGGAGATATACCTAATGTTAAATGAAGAGTTACTGGGTGCAGCACACCAACATGGCACAAGTATACATATGTAACAAACCTGCACGTTGTGCACATGTACGCTAAAACTTAAAGTATAATAATAAAAAAAAGAATACTCAGGGTCTTAAGGATAATAAAGCCATTGAGTATTGCTACTTTTTAATTCCAAAAACTGAATGGTGGAACTAATGAATTAAGGTCAAACATGTTTTAGATATCATTGTCACATGTCACATTTTACATTGTTCACAACCATCTCAACTGATCTAAAAATAATAGTTCAAGAAAGAGTAAAATGGATTCTATATGGATTTATATTTTCAGAAGCTAGTCCACAGCCTACTTTGTAAATATATGGATTAACCATTTCTTACAGTTTTGCCACCTCGTATTTCAAAGTGTCTTGTTTGGTGCTTAACATACAGAAGCTGTTCAATAAAAACATGAATTGAGGGGCAGAAATGGGCCCTTTTTGCTTTGCCTGGATTGTTTTTGGTGCTATTGTATCTACAACCACTTCAGACTCAGGAATCCATTTGTTGTTTCATGAAAGTATCATCTGTGTTCTGGTGACCAAAATGTCATGACCTATTATTGGTAATTTCAAAAGATTTTACCCCACAAACCTGAAGTGAAACAAAGGATAGGTCAATATAGACATTGAGTCTTTCTAAATTTTACTTACTTACCTTTATAACAACACATAAGGGCCACTATAACCCTTCAGTAATTACTCGAGGCTCATAAATAATGACAAACATAATTTAGTAAAATAATAGCACAAAAAGTTAACAAGCCATTTAACTGGCTGTTTTATGCAGACATTTGGTTTGAAGGTGATTGTTTTTCTCAAGATCAACTATTTATGTTGTATCATCCCGAGACATATTTAAGGGCATTCAGAGCTTGTCAGTATACTTTTTCATCCAAAATTTTTAATTATGTTCCTATAAACAGCTAGATATCAGGCATTCCCTAAAGGCATGTTTTGTTTTGTTTTTTGTTTTGTTTTGTTTTGTTTGCAGTTGAAAGAGTCTGTCTGATTTGCAGGTAGGTAGATACCTCTAAAATGCATACCAAATGGGATCATCTATCCAAAAGTCTAAAAAGTAAACATGCAACACCATAAAGTTGAGTCTCACATGTTGAAATAGTTGGAAATGAATGGAATGAAATTCAAAGCAAATTGAACTACATGTAAAAGGAAAAGCTTTTCTCCATAGGTAAAATTTAAATTATGTAAAAAGTTGGGGAAGTATGGGCTTCATTTGATATTGTAAAAACTATGAGTTTTACTCCACAAACGAATGTGCAGAATCCAAGCAAACAAAAACAGTTATTTGGATTCCAACACCCATTCCACCAGTCTGGGGGAAATTTAATTTTAATCATTTTTCTTTCATTCACTAGGGTTATAGAAAGGTCCCAGGTATCTTTTATGGATCAGAAAATTCAGGGGTGCCCTACTGGCCTATAGTTTACACTAGTCTACATTGATACATTTATTGCTCACTTAGTTTCTTACAGTGGTCTCTGAGGCATGTGTGGCCATGGAAATATTTGTCAAGACAGGGAGCCCAGACACCTAGTGTTATATTCACTATCATCCCACTACTTCCATGGGAGCTGAGTGGGCATGGGCCCCTGATGCTTTAAAAACCATAGTTCCTGCTATCCTTTCCCATGCCTAGTGAATCTCCTTCTCTCCCCTAAGCTCTTGTATTTCTGTCCCACTCCATTCAATACAAAATGCATTTACCTCTTTCCCTTTTCATTTGAGAATGGCCTAATATAATTGTGCAAAAAAAAATCTAGCAGGAGGTTTTCAGAAAACTTTTGCTTTAGGTTCTACTATGTAACCTCTCTACCCATCTAAGACGAACCCTCCATGAATTGGAGGAGGGGAAATATAGTGAGAACAAATGAAAACCATAATTAATTATGCTGTCACCTACACATGAAAAAAAATCAAGTAAATGTAATCAAAGAAATTAAAACTTTAAAAGATGAGACATTATTGCTATTGATGAGGTAGGCCAAACATTTCTAATCATCTCTTATCATCTCTATAATCTCCTTAGTGCCCTTATTCTTTCTTCTGTGTCATTGCAGCTTCCAAACAATTGTACCTTCTTACGTCATTGTCCCTCCTTTCTCCCTAATAGCCCCCACCTTTGAATTTATTGCTATCAGATTATAATACCTATTATGCCTCCTTGTTGCTGTCCTGTATAGACAGACCCACACCATTCCTTCTTTCCTTGGTCCATTTGGGATGCTATAACAAAATACCTGAGACTGGGTAACTTATAAAGAACAGAAATGTATTTCTCATACTTCCGGAGGCCAGAAAGTTCAACATCAAGGTGCATGCAGGTTTGGTTGTCTGGTGAAGGCTGCTCTCTGCTTCCGAGATTGTGCATTGCTGCATCATCTGGAGAGGATGAACACTGTGACCTCACATGGCAGAAGAGATGCAAGGGCAAAATAGGGTGGAAAGGGTGAACTCACCTTCCCAAACCCCTGTATAAGGCACTAATACAATTCATGAGGACAGAGCCCTCATGGTCTAATCACTTCCTAAAGGCCCCAACTCTTAATATTGTTGCATTGAGTACTAAGTTTTAACATGAATTTTGCAGGGAACACAAATATTCAAAGCATAATACTGTTACAGACCACAGGTTCTTACACTCTCATGTAATGGAAATTGACACGAAGTCCAGCAAGTTTCCTAGTCAAGGCCCTTTTTAGGGGTTTTTGTTCAAATACAAGGGAGTCAGCACTGGAATTAAAGTTATCCAGCTGCCTCCCCAAGTGGGGGGCATTGTGGTGCCTTAAGGAGTGTGACATGCATAATTCATGAGGTAAGTGAACTTTACAACATGATGTGATGGAATACAGGGTGCACAAGTGTAGTAAGGAGTCATGCTAACACATATATCACATGATTACAAAATGGCAGATGAGCACATCTTTGGGTGGAGATTTTAGTATTATAATGAAGCAAAGGCAAAGATCTGTCATCCTTCTGGTCTTGTGCGCATGCAGGTGACAGGGTTAACTTCTTTGAGTGAAACTTATGTCTGGAGGCCATTTTTTTTTTAGACTTTCTTAAGGTCCCTCAGTCAGGGATATGGTGCCTTGAATGAAATTTAGAGGGTGGAGGGAGCACAGCTTACCTTAGTTTTTAAGGTTTTGAGGTCAACAGGGCTGGGTTCCAGAGAAGGCAGGATTGAAAGTTCAGGATTGTCTGGTTGAGGTCCCAAACAGTTATAAGGCCCCCAGTAGTTTGTAGTAGAGGTCTTTGGGGTGGAGGCTGTGCTGGTGCTTCCTTGTTGCAGGTTGCAGGTGTGGGCTGAAGCCTCCACCTGCCATTGCCCATGACTGTGCTATGCCCAACAGTGCTAGTCCAGCCAGCAGTGGTGGCATGGGGCCCCACAGAGCTACGCACCATACTTTGCCCAATTCCTGGCTTTGGGCTGTATCCCCACACCCTAGGGGCAGTTTATCAATCTTGTTTATTTAAAAAAAAAAACTAACTTTTAGTGTCTTTGATTTTTTTTTCTTTTGTTTTTTGAGACAGAGTGCTGCTCTGTTGCCCAGGATGGAGTGCAGTGGCATGATCTCGGCTCACTGTAACCTCCACCTCCTGGGTTCAAGCGATTCTCCTGCCTCAGCCTCCTGAGTAGCTGGGATTACAGGTGCCCGCCACCATGCCCGGCTAATTTTTGTATTTTTAGTAGGGACGGGGTTTCACCATATTGGCCAGGATGGTCTTCAACTCCTGACCTCAGGTGATCTGCCCACCTCAGCCTCCCAAAGTGCTGGGATTACAGGTGTGGGCCACCGTGCCTGACCGCACATCAGCCGTTAATGTTCAACACATGAATTTGGGGGGACATGTTAAGACAATAACATTCGGCCCTGACCCTCTTACAAGTAAAATACATACATTCTATCCTAATAGCCCCAAAACTCATAACTCATTCTAGCGCAAACTTGTCTAAAGTCCATAGTCTCATCTAAATCAGATAAGGGAGAGAATCAAGGTATGATTCATACTCAGGCAAATTCCCCTCCAGCTGAGAACCTGTAATATCAAACAAGTTTTGTGCTTCCAATGTACAGTGTTGTGACGTGCATGGGATAGACATTCCAATTCCAAATGGGAGAAATAAGCAAGAAGAAAGAGGTTGCAGGACTCAACTAAGTCCAAAACCCAATACAGCAAACAAAATTATATCTTAAGGATTGAGATTAAACTTATTTGACTCCATGTTCTGCCTTACAAACACACTAGGGTAGGAGTTGGGTTCTCAGGACTCTGGGGAATCCAGCCTCCATGGCTTTCTTGGGTGCAAGCCACACCATACTTCTTACAGACTGGTCAGGTGCCTGTGGATCTCCCAGGCTGGCATTGTATCCTGGTGGCTCTACAGGTCTTGGGGTAGGCCTGCCCTTGTGGCTCCAATAAGCATTGCCTTAGTGGGGGCTCTCTGTGGTGGCCCCAAACTCACATCTCCACTAAGTTTTTCCCTAGAGGGAGCTTTCTGCAGTGGCCCTGACCCTGAGGCAGTTCTTTGCCTGGATCCTGAAGCTCTCCATTGCATTTTTTTTAAATCTGGGTAGAGGTAACCATGCTTCCGTAGCTCATGTACTCAGTATGTCTGCAGAGCTAGTACTACATGAACTCCACCAAGACTCACTGCCTGCACCCTCCAGAGTAGTCACCCAAGCCATGGCTGGACCCTCCTGAGCCCCAGCTGGGGCATTTGAAGACTTTTGTGCATGAATGCAGGGTGAAGAGACTTGAGATAACCCTAGGAAGTGAGCACTGAGGTCCTACGTGCAACCTGGGCTTCTCCCTAGAAGCCATTCTGCCCTCAAGGCCCTGGCACTCTGGTCCTGTGGTGAACATGGCAGCCTCCAAGATCTCTGAAATGCCTCTGGGTCATCTTCCTATTGTCTTCGTAAATATCAATATCGTGAAAATGGCCATACGGCCTGAAGTAATTTATAGATTCAATGCTGTCCCCATTAAACTAACATTGACATTCTCCACAGACTTAGAAAAACTACTTTAAATTTCATATGGAACCAAAAAGCAACCTGAATAGCCAAGACAATCCTAAGCAAAAAGAACAAAGCTGGAGGCATCATGCTACCTGACTTCAAACTATACTACATGGCTACAGTAACCAAAACAGCAAGATACTGGCACAAAAACAGACACATAGAACAATGGAACAGAATAGAGAACTCAGAAATAAGACCACACACCTACAACCATGTGATCTTCTATAAATCTGTCAAAAACAAGCAATGGGGAAAGGATTCCCCATTTAATAAATGATGCTGGAAGAACTGGCCAGTCATATGCAGAAAATTAAAACTGGGCCCCTTCTTTACACCTTATACAAAAATTAACTCAAGATGGATCAAAGACTTCAATGTAAAACCCAAAAGTATAAAAACCCCAGAGGAAAATCTAGGCAATACCATTCAGGACATAGGCACAGGCAAATATTTCATGACAAAAATGCCAAAAGCAATTGCAATAAAAGCAAAAATGGACAAATGGGATATAAGTAAACTATGGAGCTTCTGCACAGCAAAAGAAACTATCATCAGAGTGAACAGATAATGTACAGAATGGGGGAAAATTTTTGCAATCTGTCCATCTGACAAAAGTCTAATATCCAGAGTCTATAAGGCACACAAGAGAAAAACAACCCCATTAAAAAGTGGGCAAAGGACATAAGTAGGCACTTCTCAAAATAAGACATTCATGTGGCCAACAAACACATGACAAAAAGCTCAACATAACTGATCATTAGAGAAATGTAAATCAAAACCACAATGAGATCGCATCTCAAGCCAGTCAGATGGCCATTATTAAAAAGTCATAAAATAACAGATGCTGGTGAGGTTGTGGAGAAAAAGGAACCCTTATACACTGTTGGTGGGAATGTAAATTAGTACAACTATTGTGGAAGACAGTGTGGTGATTCCTCAAAGATCTAGAGGCAGAAATATCATTTGACCCAGCAATCCCATTACTGGGTATATACCCAAAGGAATGTAAATCATTCTATTATAAAGATACATGCACACATAAGTTCATTGCAGCACCATTCACAATAGCAAAGACTCGGAATCCATTCAAATGCCCATCAATGATAGACTGCATAAAGAAAATGTCGTACATATACACCAGGGAGCACTATGCAGCCGTAAAAAAGAAGCAGATCATGTCCTTTCCAGGAACATGGATGGACCTGGAAGCCATTATCCTCAGCAAACTAACACAGGAACAGAAAACACTACATGTTCTCTCTTTAAGTGGGAGCTGAACAATGAGAACACATGGATACAGGATGGGAAACAACACATACTGGGGCCTGTCAGAGGTAGGGAGAAGGAGAGCATCAGGAAGAATAGCTAATGGTTGCTGGGCTTAATACCAAAATGATAGGTTGATCTGTACAGCAACCACCCATAGCATACATTTATTTATGTAACAAACCTACACATACTGCACATGTACCCCAGATCTTAAAATAAAAGATGAAGGAAAAAAAGATAGCATCTGGCTTTCTTCTATTCATACTAACCTCATCATCAAAGGTATCTTGGCCACACTCTTGATTTTCTCTCCTAAATACTATTTTTTAAAAATTATTTACATGGCCAGTCTGAGAATTTTCCAAATTTTTACATTTGGCTTCTCCTTTGATTAAGAATTCAAATTGTTTTCAATGATCTCAGTTTCTCTCTCTCTCTCTCTCTCTGTCTCCCTCACCTCTTTTTCTGGAACTCTGATGGCACAAATGTTAGCTTTTTGTTATTCTCCCACAGGTCCTTCAGATTTGGTTCATTTTTATTGCATCTATTTTATCTTTATTATTCAGAATGTATAAATTCTATTGATCTTTCTCAAGTTCACTAATTCTGTTTGTGTCATCTTTACTCTGTCTTTGAGCCAATCCAGCATGTTCCCTTTTATTTCTAATATTTAATTTCTATAATTTCCATTTGGTTATTTTTATAACTTTATTTCTTTTCTGAAATTTTCTAGGTTTACATTTAATTAATTATTGAAGTATTTCATAACTGCTTTAAAATCTTTGTCAGACAGTTACAACATTAGATTCATCTTGCTGTTGGTTTCTGTTGATTGTCTTTTCCAAATAGATTACTGATTTCCCTAGTCCTTGATATGACAGGCTTTTTATTGCTTCCTCGTCATGTTGATTGTGTTTTGTGACTCCTATTTATATCTTTTATGTGAGCAGGCAGTCATCATGCCTAGGTTTAGCATGCAGATGCTAGCCAACTTTTGTGGTCTGTGATTATAATGACAGCTTAATTTTTAGAGACTTTGCAGTATTAGTATGATCTTAGTTTATCTGGTGCTGCTGCAGCTCCCACTGCTACTTGTCAGTGGAGTGGAAGAGGTTTCCCTAGGCCTGGGTGCCTGGTGTTGATGGGTGGGGCAAGGGATTCTCAGGCCGTGAAGGTAAACGGGCTTCCCTGGCAAGGAGGTTGCTGTGGCATTCTTTTCCCTGACTGTGGAAGATAAAGAGCACTTCTTTGGCTAGGCTCTTGTCATTGTGGTTATTCATTTACTGGTGCCCTAGTCTCTCTGGGTGGGAAAGGGGAATCTCAGGACTATAGAGGTACAGAGACTTTTAGCCTGAATGGTTCTGATGTTGAAATCCCTCTTCCTGGTGCCACACAGGCAACCAGTGTCTCTGGATAAGGAAGGAGTGTCTCGTGCCCATGGAGAAAAAGAAGCTTCCCAGGCTGGGTTGATTATTGGAGTGGAGCCCCCTTGCTTGTGTTGCTAGGCTTCCCTGGTTATCTCCCAGTGCAGGATTGAAGTCTCTGGCGTATCAGGGAAAGAGAGTTATCTCTACTTTCTGTTTCACAGCCTTTTCCAATACCGTGGGAGGCAAGCACAGCCTGAATATATGGCTGATTTAACACTACCTGTGAGTAATGCTCAATCAGTGGGGGACAGAAACTAACCAAGAAATATTTTCAAACTCTGAACCCTCAGGTGGACAATGCTTGGAGACATTGTACACACTTCTCAGAAGGTCCTGGTGGAATTTAGCCTATAGTAGTGATCCACATGATGTATCCTTTAACTGTCCTTTCTTCCTCTCCATCTCACTCTACAACTCTCCAACTCCTGTTTTCTGAAATTACATCCCAAATAAACTATCTGAATCCAAGTTCTTGCAGCAGGCTTGGCTTTCAGTGGAACCCAAACTAAGACGAACCCAATAAAAAGTAGGCTAAAAATATGAACAAACTTATCATCAAAAGAAATAGTATAACTTAAAAACTTACAAAAACATGTTTGGCCCACTCATAACAAAATAAATGGGAATGAGAACAAAGGTCGCATTTTTCATCTGTCAGATTGGCAAAGGTTACAGATTTTGATATCATACCATTTGTAATGTGCTATTACATATGCTATTGTTGCAATCCCATTGCAAGGCAACTTGAAAATACCTTTTAGCACACACATTCCCATTGACCTAGCGATTTTACTTTCAGAAATAAATACAACAGATATATTCACGCATGTGTACAAGTATATACCCAAGAATGTTTGTTGCAGCATTGATTGTAATAAAGCACCAGACTAGGAGAAAAAACACTGAGTTTCCATCAATAAACAATTGGTTTTAAAATATATGGTGAATCCATCCAGTAGAATACTATGCCATTAACAAAAACAGAGCATATCTGTGTATGTCAATACAGAAACATCCCTCAGATTTATTACAGAGATAATGCGAAGTTCAAAAAAATACACAGTATAATTGAGAATTATATTATCTATATTATCTATTATATTACACAGTAGCTTTAACATTAATAAATATTGCCACTAAGGAGAGAAAGCAGTGCCTGACTGGGGTGGAATATCTAATTTTTATTTTGTATTTATTTGTACTCTTAGAATATTTAGTCATGCACACGTATTAATTTTCAATTATGAAAAAATAAATAATGGGCATTGTTTCTCAATTAGGATTGAAATTAATCTTCAATTTATTTTTTCTTAGATTTATTTTTATTGATATGTAACATACACTATAGATATTAATTGTAATGAATCAGTTATTCACATACACTCATGCATACATGCATGTGTACATGTGTGTGTAACCATCACTCATATCAAGATATTGAACATTCCCAATGCTTCCAATAATTTCTCTCCAACTTCTTTCCATTTAATACTTACCCTTGTATTGAGGTAATCACTATTCTGACTTTTAACACCATTGATTGATCTTCAGTTTAAGTATTGGTTTTAGGTAGAAAAATAGTTTATTATATAGAGAATATACATAGAAAAAGACACATCAAAATGTTAAAAGTGATTATCTACATAGATCTAGGAATACACATGATTTTACTTCTGCTTTATAGTCATCTTACTTGTAATGTGGACATATTAACAATAAAATAATAAAAGCCTCTCTCCTTAAAAAATACCTTTTATAAACTCTGCATGGAATGTTTGGATGTCATTCATCCAAAACTTTCGCCAACGTTTCTTTATCCTATTATTTCAGCTGATTTTTTTTCCCTTTGACTCCTCTACTGTGATCTAATCACAGCTATCAGAGTAGAAAGGGCAGGATAGGGAGAAAAGGAGTTCTCTGACTTGGATACTTGAGATTAGGCTTTCAATGCTGTATGTTTCAGAGGGAACATGATTTTTCCCCAAGCATCAATGAAACTAAAACTGTTTGATATTTGGACTATAGTTCTACTGCACTTGATTATTTAAAATGTTTTACCAAATTGAGAAGATACAAACAGCATTTATTTTTCTACTAGGCTAAGGACAATTTAAAACCACTTAAACTTCCTTTGCTTATGAACCATACAAACCACTAAGTGGAGCTGTAGGCTCAAGTATGAGAAATGTGTGCATGAGTTCAATTATTTTGTGGAAACAGATATAATGAGGTTCTGAGAGTTCACCAAGAATAATGAAAAATTCCAGCTTCATTTTTCTCCTAAAATTTTACCTCCTTGTTTAAAGAAGTATTCAGAACCTGGGATTTTGAAGGGTTGGGTGTGGTCATTTAGAAGGGGTGGGATACATAGAAGCCATTCAGTTTCATTATTTCATTTCATACCATGTTATTTACAACAATTATAGGACCATAGATTATACAACAATTGCAGCATTATAGAACGTTGTCCTTTTATTTAAAATCCTAGCTTTCTGAATTTCATTTGTCATCCCTCTATGCTGCTGTGATCATTGCAAATTTATAACATAACTTTATACACTCGGGGACTGGAAAGAAAAAATGCCTCAAATTTATAGTAGTCCTGTTTTTCAATACAATTTTTGTTAAATGGTTCACATTTATAATTGATAAATCTACTATTTAATTTTTCAACATTTTATTGCCAAAAGTAGTGGTGAAAATGGAAGGAAATTTTGCCTTCCAGGGGGTTAGGCAATGTCTGGAGGCAATTTTGGTTGTCACAACTGGGTAGGGGATGGTGCTACTGGCATCTAGTGGGTAGAGGCTAAAGAGGGGAGTACTTGATCTTTATACCTCACTACAAAGTAGTAATAAATGGAAAAAGAAAGAAGGAATGAAAAAAAAAAGAAAAAGAGACAGAGCAAGGGAAGAAAGGAGGGAGGAAGGGAGAAAAGGAAAAGAAGAAAAAGAAAAAAGTAGCAAGTGAATTGCCCAATGACATCTAAGTTAAAACTCTGCTCTCCTAACTTTAAGGTCATTTCAGAAATTGACATTCTCTGAAAAATCATATAAAATGCCAATTTTTTAAACTTTTAAGTTCAGGAATACATGTACAGGTTTGTTACACAGGTAAACTCATGTCATGGGGGGTTGTTGTACAAATTATTTTGTCACTCAGATATTAAGCCTAGTACCCATTAGTTATTTTTCCTGATTCTCTCCCTCCTCCCACTCTCCTTCCTCAACAGACCCTGGTGTCTGTTTTTCCCCTATATGTGTCCATGTGTTCTCATCATTTATCTCCCACTTACAAGTGAGAACACGTGATATTTGGTTTTCTGTTCCTGCATTAGTTTGCTAGGGATAATGTCCTCCAGCTCCATCCATGTCCCTGCAAAGGACATAATCTTGTTTCTTTTTTATGGCTGCATAGTATTCCATGCTATATATGTACCACATTTTCTTTATCCAGTCTATCATTGATGGACATTTAGGTTGATTCCACGTCTTTGCTATTGTGAATAGTGCTGCAATGAACATACACGAGCATGTGTCTTTATGGGTAGAACAGCTTATATTCCATTAGGTATATACTGAGTAACAGGCCTGCTGTGCCTAATAGTAGTGCTGTTTTTAGGTCATTGAGGAAGCACCACACTGTTTTCCACAATGGTTGAACTAATTTAAACTCACACCAACAGTGTATAAATGTTCCTTTTTCTCCAGAACCTCACCAGCATTTGTTCTTTTTTTACTTTTTAATAATAGCCAATCTGACTGGTGTGAGATGGTATCTCATTGTGATTTTGATTTGCTTTTCTCTAATGATCAGTGATGTTGAGCTGTTTTTCATATGTTTGTTGGCCACATGTATGTCATCTTTTGAAAAGTGTCTGTTCATGTCCTTTGCCCACTTTTTAATGGGATTGCTTTTTTTTCTTGTTATTTTAAGTTACTTATAGATGCTGGATATTAGACCTGTGTCAGATGCATAGTTTGCAAAAATTTTCTCTCAATTTGCAAGTTGTTTTTTTACTCTGTTGATAGTTACTTTTGCTGTGCAAAAGTTCTTTTGTTTAATTAGATCTTATTGGTATATTTTTGCTTTTGTTGCAATTGCTTTCAGCATCTGCATCATGAAATCTTTGCTCATTCCTATGTCCACAATGGCATTGTCTAGGTTGTCTTCCAGGGTTTTAATCACTTTACCTTTTACATTGAAGTCTTTGATCCATCTTGAGTTTATTTTTGTATGTGGTGAAAGGAAGAGGTCCAGTTTCAATCTTCTGCATATGGCCAGCCTGTTATCCTAACATGATTTGTTGAACAGGGAGTCCTTTCACCATTACTTGTTTTTGTCAGCTATGTTGCAGATCAGATGTCTGTAGATGCACAGCTTTAATTCTGGGCTTTCTATTTGGTTCCATTCATCGGTGTGTTTGTTTTTTTCTCCAGTTCCATGCTGCTGTGATTACTGTAGCTGACAGAGCAGGAGCACCATCATCTTGGACAAACACTGACACTTTAAGTTCCAGCTCCCTTTCTAGCCTCATACATTTCAAGGAAATCACTTCTCCTCTAACTACAAGCAGACAGAAAGAGCAGACAGTAAAACACAGATAAGACAGCTCGGGCACAGAGAGAAGTAAGGGGAAAGTCTCTTGCCAAACTTCACTCTCATACAATGGGCCCCAGTAAAACAGTGGGCCGGGCCTTAATAAGCACATTCATTTCCCTTCACGTGCAGATAGGGAAGCTCAAGCAGACTCAGGGGATATGCCTGCAGCTGCAGAAAGATGTATGGGAACAAACACACAACTCTCTCTCTCAGATAAGCATTACAAAGAGACACAGAAGCAGTCTAAGCCTCTGATAATTTCTCCCACTCTGAATCCTTAAAAACTCTTAGTCTGTAAGAGAGCGTGGCTCTGACCTAACTTTACCAGCAGCCCCTCTCAGGTTTGTTTAAAATAAACCTGTCCCTGTTGACTGTAAAGCCACCCTTCATGTTTCACTCCTCTTTTTTTAATTCTTACATCAGGCTTGTAGTATATTTTAAAGTTGGGTAGCATGATGCCTCCAGCTCTGTTTTTTACTGCTTGGGATTGCCTTGGCTACTCAAGCTTTATTTTTTTGGTTCCATGTGAATTTTAAAATATTTTTTGTAGTTCTATGATGAACATCATTTTTAGTTTCATAGGAACAGCATTGAATCTACAAATTGCTTTGGACAGTATGGCCATTCTATTTATATTGATTCTTCCTATACATGAGCATGGAATGTTTTTCCATTTGTTTGTGTCACCTCTGATTTCTTTTAGCATTTTTCTTTTAGATTTTTCTTTTCTGCCTCTATTGAAATAATCATGTGATTTTTGTATTTAGTTCTGTTTATGTGATGACTTGCATTTATTGATTTGCATATGTTGAACCAACTTTGCATCCCAGGGATAAAGCCTAATTGATAATGGTAGATAAGCTTTTTGATGTGCTGCTGATGTGGTCTGCTAGTATTTTACCGAGGATTTTTGCATTGATGTTCATCAAAGATATTGGCCTGAAATTTTTGTGTCTTTGCCAGATTTTGGTATCCAGATTATGCTGGCCTCATAGAATGAGTTAAGGACGAGTCTCTCCTCCTCAATTTTTTGGAATAGTTTCAGTAAGAATGGTACTAGCTCTTTTTTGTTTATCTGGTAGAATTCAGCTGTTAATCCATCTGTTCCTGGGCTTTCTGTTTTTTTTTCTTTTTTCTTTTTTCTTTTTTTGGTAGCTACACTATTTATTAGTGCCTCAATTTCAAAGCTCGTTATTGGTCTGTTCAGGGATTCAGTTTCTCCCTGGTTCAGTCTTGGGAGGGTATAGGATTCCAGGAATTTATCCATTTCTTCCCTGTTTTATAGTTTGTGTGCATAGAGGTGTTCATAATATTCTTTGATGGTTATTTTTATGTCTGTGGTGTCAGTCATAATAACCCCTTTGTCGTTTCTAATTGTGTTTGTTTGTATCTTCTTTCTTTTCTTCTTTATTAGTCTAGCTAGTGGTATATTTTATTAACTTTTTTCAAAAACTCTGCTCCTGGGTTTGCTGATCTTTTGAATAGTTTTTTTCTATCTCAATCTCTCTCAGTTCAGTTCTGATTTTGATTATTTTTTGTTTTCTGCTAGCTTTGAGTTTGTTTTGATCTTGGTTCTCTAGTTCTTTTAGTTGTGATATTATGTTGTTAACTTGAGATCTTTCTAATTTTTTAATGTGAGTGTTCAGTGCCATAAATTTCCCTTTTAACAATACCCTATCTGTTTCCCAGAGATTCTGTTATGTTGTATTTTTGTTCTTATTACTTTTAAACAACTTCTTGGTTTATGCCTTAATTTCATTATTTATCCAAATGTCATTCAGGAGCAGGCTATTCAATTTCCATTTAATTGTATGGTTTTGAGCAATTTTCTTAGTCTTGATTTCTGATTTTGTTGTGTTGTGGTCTGAGAGAGTGATTGTTATTATTTCAGTTCTTCTGCATTTGCTAAGGAGCATTTTATGTTTGATTATGTGGTTGATTTTGGAGTATGCGCCATGTGGCTGTGTGAAGAATGTGTATCTTGTTGTTTTGGGTTGGAGAGTTCTGTAGATGTCTATCAGGTCCATTTGATCCAGTGCTGAGTTCAGGTCTTGAATTTCTTTGTTAATTTTCTGTCCCGTTGATCTGTCTGATACTCTCAATGGTGGTGTTGAAGTTTCCCACTATTATTGTGTGAGAGTCTAAGTCTCTTTGAAGATCTCTAAGAACTTGCTTTATGAATCTGGGTGCTCCTGTTTTGGGTTTATATATATTTAGGAAAGTTAGGTGTTCTCATTGAAATGAATTCTTGACCATTACGTAATGCTCTTCTTTGTCTTTTTTGATCTTTGTTGGTTTAAAGTCTGTTTTGTCTGAAATTAGGATTGCAACCCCTGCTTTTTTCTGTTTTCCATTTGCTTGGTAGATTTTTCTCCATCCCTTTTTTTTTGAGGCTATGGGCGTCATTGCGTGTGAGATGGGTCTCTTGAAGACTGCGTACCATTGGGTCCTGCTTTTTTATCCAGCTTGCCACTCTGTGTCTTTTAACTGAGGCATTTAACCTGTTTATATTCAAGGTTTGTATTGATATGTGTGGATTTGATTCTGTTGTCATGTTGTCAGCTAGTTAGCATGCAGACTTGTTTGTGTGGTTGCTTTATAGAGTTGCTAGTCTGTGTACTTAAGTATGTTTTTGTAGTGGCTGGTAACGATATTTTCTTTCCATATTTAGTGCTTCCTTTGGGAGTTCTTTTAAAGCAGGTCTGGTGGTAAGGAATTCCCTCAGTATTTGCTTGCCTGAAAAGGATCTTATTTCTCCTTCACTTATGAAGCTTAGTTTGACCAGATATGAAATTCTGGGTTGAAATTTCTTTTCTTTAAGAATGTTGAATATTTCCCCCCATCTCTTCTGGCTTTGTAGGATTTTTGCTGAGAGGTCTACTGTTAGTCTGATGGGCTTCCCTTTGTAGGTGACCTGACCTTTCTTTCTAGTTGCCCTTAACATTTTTTCTTTCATTTCAATCTTGGACAATCTGATGATTATGCATCTTGGCTATGATTTTCTTGTGGGGTGTCTTAGTGTGGTTCTCTGCATTTCCTGAATTTGAATATTGGCCTCTCTAGCTAGATTGGGGAAATTCTCATGGATGATATTCTGAAATATGTTTTCCAAGTTGCTTCCATTCTCTCCATCTCTTTCAGGGACACCAATATGTCATAGATTTGGTCTCTTTACATAATCCTATAGTTTCCAGAGGTTTGATTCATTGCTTTTCTTTTTTCTCTCTATTCTTGTCTGACTGTCTTATATCAGAAAGCAGTCTTCAAGCTCTGAGATTCTTTCTTCAATTTCTGCTATTAACATTTGTGATCATATGAAATTCTTATATTTTGTTTTTCAGCGCTATCATGTCAGTTACATTCTTTTCTATATCAGCTATTTTGTCTGTCAGCTTCTGTATCGTTTTATTGTGATTCTTAACTTCCTTGGTTGGGTTTCAACATACTCCTGCATCTCCATGATGTTCATTTCTATCCATATTCTCAATTCTGTTTCTGTCAGTTCAGGCATGTCAGCCTGGTTGAGAAACTTTGCTAAAGATCTAGTGCAATTGTTTGAAGGAAGGGAAGTACTCTGGCTTTTGAGTTGCCAGAGTTCTTGCACTTGTTCTTTCTCATCTTTGTGGGCTGGTGTTCTTTCAATCTTTGAAGTTGCTGTCCTTTGGAATTTTTTTTTCTTTTATACTATTTGATGACCTTGAGGTTTGGTTGTGGTTTAAGATGGATTCAGTCAAATGGCTTAGTTTGTGGAAGTTTTTAGGGGGCCAAGGCTCAGCTACCAACTCCTATACTGTGTGTTCTAACTTCAGGGACTAGTATCAGGGCCATCTTTGTTCTCTGGCTCCTCAAGGTTAGGAACCCACTGCACTTGGGGGCCCAAGATGCTCTCAGAGTGCTGGTCACCACATTCTGATGGATGGCGCCAGCCAAAGCATTTTGTAGGGCGCTGGCAGCAAGGTTTCTCCTCGTTTGCACATGCCAGCAGTAGCAGCAGCAACAGCAGCACGACGGGAGAGCGCTAGTAGGTATGGGTGCTTGCCTCCATCCAGGCATTCACAGCAGCAGTAGAGGCACCATGGCTCAAGGGGGCAGGAGACCAGTTGGTGGATGTGTGCTGGTGGTAGTGTTAGCACAGGGGCAGGGCCCTGGCAAGCTCAGGTCTGTGTGTACCCTCTTTGGCCACTCAGGACGGGGGAGGGTCTGCTGTTCTCCAGGCCCGGCAGTGTTGAGGCAGAAGTGGGGTGCTGGCAGGTCCAGGCTGGCGGGCTCTATGCCTATCATGGCTCAGACTGCAATGGCGGTAAGGCAGAGAGATGCGGCAGAGTGCATTCCCGTCGTCAGCACAGGCAAGGCAGGGGAAATGTGCACATACGCCCTGGTGGGGCAGGTAAGGCAAAAATTCACCCGCACTCACACACACTGGCAAAGTATTGTGGGGGCTGGAGGTGGGCCTAGGGGAAGCTGCAGTGGGGAGAGGGAGAGGCTGGGCTGGTATGAGGCCCTGGTCTCCACGCTGCAGTATCTCTGCCCTGTCAGGCACCACTGACCAGTGCAGGAGCTATGATGTGAGCCCCCAAAGCATCTGAGGCTGCACTGCAAGTAGGCATGGCTAGACTGGGACTCCAGGAGAGGCTAGCAGCCCAAGGGGTGCTCAGGTTGGATGGGCCTCCTCTGATGGTCAAGACCACCTTGCAGAGTTCAGGTCTGACAGTTCCCCTAGGATTAAAGTCTCCTGTGGGAGCAAGTGGAGCCTGGGGGCATGGGCATCTCTGGCCATGCTCAGCAACAGACTCTCCCGCAGCAAAACCTCTGGGCTTTTCCTTGGCTGGTGTGCTGTCCCTACTACTTTTCTAAGCAGCTATCCCTGCCCACTCAAGTGTCCATGGTGGTTGAGGTGTCTCCGTCTGCTTGGATTCCAGAGGCACTTGGAGAAAGTGGGTTGCTTCTTTCAGTTCAACTCACCCTCACCCATTATCCTGGAGTTGTTGGGGGGCCAAGAAGGAGTCATGGTTTGTGGTAGCCCCATGCAGCTCCCAGCTTCCTCCCCACTCAGCCCAGCTTCTGTGTCTTCCCTCCATCCACTCTCAGTGCCTTCTCTGTAAAGATCTGCTAGGAATGTGCCAGTCTTCTTGGTCCCTTGGTGGCAGCTGTTCCACCTGGCTGCATGTGGTCAGCCATCTTGCCCGAATCTCTAAAATGTATGCCAATTTTGATTATCTTGTTTGAACAGCTTCTATATGGATATTTGGGTAAGTTTTTATGTGAATAACCATACATGTATATAATAAAATACCAATAGATGCTTCTATTTATTGAACTATATGTTAAACAATGTGCTTAAGCAATTTATATACATTACTGAGATGAAAATTACACTAGCACCAGGAGCTGGCAGTATTATTTCTACTCCACAGATGGGAAATTGAGATTTGGGGAGGTGAAATAACTTGCCCAAAGTCAAAGAGCTTATAAGTGGAAGAATTGGAGTTTAAATCTGAGGTGTGCTGACTTAAGTCTATGCTTTAAAAAAATTTTAAATAGACTTTATTTTTAGAATAGTTTGAAGTTCACAGCAAAATTGAGCAGAATCAAGTCCATGCTTTTAGCTATTATCTCATCGGATACTGCCTCTCTCATAAGGCTACTAGAGACACACACACATACGCACACACATGCACACTGATATTGTCTTACACATATATATGACTGAAAAGTAGCTTAATTGAGAAGGACTGTGGCAGAAGGAGGCTCCATTCTTCTTAAGTGTGTTACTTGCTTCCTTAATTTATTCATGCTGCTATAACAAATACCAAAGACTGGGTAATTTATAGATAATCAAAATTTATTTCTCACAGTTCTGGAGGCTCGCAAGTTCTAGCTCAAGACACCAGCAGATTTGGCATCTGGTGAGAACTGCTCTCTCCTTCTAAGATGGTGCCTTCTGGCTGCATCCTTTGGAGGGAACTAACTCTGTGTCATCACATGGCAGAAGAGACAGAAGGGCAAAGAGCCTAGCTAGTTTTCTACAACCCTTTTTATATGGCACTAATACCATCCATGAGGGCTCCTTCATGGCCTAATCGTTTAATACTGCCCCACCTCTTACTACTGTCACGGTGGGGGTTAAGTTTCAAGGTAAATTTTAGAGGGGACACAGTCATTCAAACCATAGCTCTGGCTCTTAGAGTCAATCATCCAAATAATAGTATTTTTAGCTAGGAATGAGGCTGCCCAAATAAAGAATAGATTTCTGAACATCTCTGCATGTTGTCTGTAATTAATTTCTGAACAATGAGATAAAAGTAGAAGCATTATGTGACAACTTTTGAGAATTTTCCTTAAAAGTGCTGGAGTTTACACTTTGTATCTTTTTCTTCACCCTTCCCTCTATCCTACTTCCTGGAATGCAGGTGATGCTTCCAACCTGGGAATGGGGGCCACACTCAGCATGGTGGATAATGAGCTGGAGAAGCTTAAGTTTTTGAGGATTTCATTGATCAGAGCTGACATGTCACCCCTGAACTGTGAAGCTTCAGAGTTTTACATGAAAGAAAAATACATATCTAAAGTATTTAAGAAACTGAAATTTTGAATTATTTATTCACCTGCAGCAGATCCTGATCCTAACTATTGTAATGATAAAGTGTTTCTCAGATGGATAACTAAAGGTGTGAAATACAGTCAGGTCTCAGAGCTTATCGACTATACCAGAACCCTACTTTCCCAGTGCCACCAGTCTGCAAGTGTATAGTGACTTTTTTTTGAACAACATTTCCCCAGATAAAGCTGAAGAGACACCCCAGAATTCATTATTTTTTGATACTGTTAGGACACAATCTTCCTGAGAAAAAAGAATCCTGGCTTCATGAAAATAAAGCTGCTTTCACTTTGTCACACAAACACTTTCATAGATATATCTGACACATAGGTGGAGGAGACTGTCTGTATTGACTAGACCTTAGCAGTGTCATCCTTTATAAGACCCTTGTTATATGCAATTCCTCTCCTAGAAAATAACTTGACTTATCTGTACACTAAGACTTTACATGCTATGCATAGATGCCTATCTGTCAAATAATATGAGGAAAGCACAACAGAAATGATTTCATTGCCCTGCAAATGAATAGAACATGGTAGAATATAGAATCTAGCAACATGAGTCAAACCATGCAATAGAGACTGAGATTAGAGAAGAGTAAGTATTGGTACAATATGTGGCATTCTAAAAACATTAAGGCATACTCAGTCCACGGTCTTCAGTTCACCCCAAACCCACTCCCAAGAAGCACTTTTTTTTTTGTCCTAGGAGATGAAATAGTTGCAGGAATAAAATTAAATGTGTGATATTATAGCACAAGAGTTCCTTATATATTTACTATTAGACCCTTCTAAAGTAGCATACAGATATGATTAAAAAGCTTTTCCTAATAGGCCTTAGAAACTTAAGTCTAAAACATGATTATAAGAAAGAAAGCCTCACAGGAGGAGCAGGGATACATTATTTAGAGGCACACTATGATGGTAAACTATGAGTTGTGGTCTGTAGCACCGAGTTTGCAGAAATGACTAGTGGCATTCAAACATATAAGAGATCCATAAAGGTGAGCATTGGACAAGTTTGCCCTAAATGACGGCAGCAGAAACTGGGACTTATAGGTAGAGAGTGTCAATTAGCAATACAAATCACCTGACTTCAGTGGCAGTGAGATAAAAATGGTAAAAATGAATGAATTCAGGGGTGTTCTATGTCTAGATAAGAGTAGCCCTGAAATCAGTCCAGGTGTAGCATGATTTAAAATTCACCAACTTTTTTTGAGTATATATTATTTGTTAGGCTCTCTAATACTAGACGCCGGTGACATAACAGTGATCAAGAGATACAAAATCCTTTGCCCTTATGAAGCTTACTTTCTAGAAGTGTGAGACACTGAAGAAACCAAATTAATCTACTTAAATTATACATTATTTTAAAGATATATTATGAAAAATATAAAGCATGCCAAAGCAGAGGAAGAATGCTGGAGTAGTTGGTTGCAATTTTAAATAGGATGGGCAGAGTGAATCACCCTGAGGTGATATTTGAGAACAGATTTGAAAGAGATGAGGAAGTAGAGCATCCTATGGAGAGGAAATAGCAAGTACAAAGACCATGAGATGGGACCATGTCCAGTATATTCAAGGATCAAGGAGCTCAGAGGGGCTATAACTTATTGAACTGATAAGTAGTACAAGAGGAAGTCAGAAAGGCAAGGTCTTGTAGACCGTTTGAAGGACTTTGGCTTTTATTCTAAGTGACATGGATGTCATTAGAGGACTTTGTGCAGAAGAAACATACGAGAGACTTAGGTATTAAAAAGATTACTCTGGATTTTTGAGAAAAGACTGTAAAAGAGTAAGAGTAAAATCAGTTAAAGATAATTACAATGAACAAGTTGAGGGATGATGATGGCTTGGACCAGGGTAGTAGCATTGGAAGGAGTGAGAAGTTTGAAATATTTTTTGAAGGGAGGGTCAACGGGATTTCCAGATTAATTATATTTAAAGAGCAAAAGAAAGAGATAAGTCAAGGATTATTTCAAGGTTTGTGTTCTGTGCAACTAGAGGGATTAAATTGCCATGAACTGGAGGAGCATGGGCACTCATACCTGTAATCCCAGCACTTTGGGAGGCCGAGTTGGGAGGACTGCTTGCCTGGGAGTTCAAGAGCAGCTTGGGCAACATAATAAGATCCTATCTCTACAAAAAGTAAATTTAGCAAATTAGCAGGCTGCAGTGGCATGCACCTGTAGTCCCAGCTACTCAGGAAGCTGAAGTTGAAGGAGCACTTGAGCCTGGGAGATCGACGCTGGTGAGCTACGATTGTGCCACAGCACTCCAGCCTCAGTAACAGATTGAGACCCTGTCTCAAAAAAAAAAAAAAAAAAAATCCTATCAACTAAGATGAAGAAAATCAAAGATGCAGCATTGTATTTGTTTGTCTGGTTTTTGTTGCTGTAATTTGTTTCTTGTTTGCTTTAACGGTAGATCAGTAAGCTGGTTTCAAATGTGTTAAATTTAAAATGTCTACCAGACAGCCAAGAGGAAATGTCAAGCAGGCAGTTGAAGAGTTGTATAGATCGTAATACAAACACAAGGTGAGAAAGATTACATGGGGATAAAGTAAATAGAGAAGAAAAGTGGTCTAGGAATTGAGTCCTGGGGCTGTCTAATCTGTAGAGATTTGAATTAGTAGGAGGAACAAAAAAGACTAAGAAAGAGGACCATGTTATAGGTGAAGAACCAATAATGAGCAATGTCCTGGAAATCAAGTAAAAAAATATTTCCAGGAGTAGGGAGTGAGGAATTATATCAAATGCTAATACATAATGTAAGATGAAGAATGGGAATTGACCATTGGCTACAGCAATATGGAAGTAATTAGCAACATTAACAAAAGCATTTTCAGTGGGATCTTGGGGACAAAAATCTGATTGGAGTTGGTTCAAGAGAAATGGGAGGAGAAGAATTAGAAACAGCAAATGTCGAACACTTTTTAATACAATGAGGACACTGAATAAGAGTATAGCTTTGGCAGCGTTTGTATATTGAGAGATGGGAAGACGCAGAGTGGAAGGATGCTCTTGTTCCCAAATCTGATGTATATGTAGCCCTATAATTTGTGGAAGTCAATTCCAGAAGATGGGCTGAACAGGCATACAACTTTCTAGGAAATTGGAAGGCGGCAAATGTATGCATTGGAGGGAGCAGGAGTATGTATCAATTTAAGGGCCTCTGCTTTTATTTTCTGAAAGATATTGTGGAGAATTGGTATTATTTCTCCATTAAATGTTTGGCAGAATACGCCACAGAACAACCCGGGTTTGGTGATTTTGGGGGAAAGTTTGTTAATTATTGATTCAGTGTCTTCAATGGATACAGGCCTATTAAGTAATCTATTTCCCCTTGTGTGAGCTTTTTTAGTTTGTGGTTTTCAAGAAATTAGCCTATTTCATCTAAGTTATCAAATTTGTGGGCATAGAATTGGTTGTTCATAGTGTTCCATTATTATCTTTAAATGTCCATGGGACCAGTAGTGATGACCTCTCACTTCATTTCCTTTCACTTCATTTCATTTCATTTCATTTTTTTCATCTCATTTCATTGCATTGGTAATTTATGCCTTTTCTCTTTTTCTCATGCTTAGCCTGGCTGGAGGTTTATTGATTTTACTAATCTTTTCAAAGAACCAGCTTTTGGTTTCACTGATTTTTTTTTTTCTATTTTTATTCCTCTTTCAAATTTTTATAATAATTTCTGCTCAAATTTTTATTTTTTATTTTCTTCTGCTTGCTTTAGGCTTAAGTTGCTCTTCTTTATCAAGTTCCTAAGGTGGAAGCTTAGATTACAGTTCTGTTATAATATATGCATTTAATGCCATAATTTCTGTCAAGCACTGCTTTTGCAGTATATCAAGTCTTTGATAAAATTTCTTTTCATTTTTACTTAGCTCGAAATATTTTAAAATGTTTCCTGAGACTTTTGGACCCATGTTTTATAACTGATAGATGATCTGTCAGTTGACAGGATTTTATGAGGTCTACAAATATTTACTTTTATTTTATTTATTTTTTTAGATGGAGTCTTGCTCTGTTACCCAGGCTGGAATGCAGTGGTGCAATCTCGGTTCACTGCAACCTCTGCCTCCCAGGTTCAAGAGATTCTCCTGCCTCAGCCTCCCTAGTAGCTGGGATTACAGGCACGTGCCACCACACCTGGATACATTTTGTATTTTTAGTAGAGATGGGGTTTCGTCATGTTGGCCAGGCTGGTGTCAAACTCCTGACCTCAAGTTATCCGTCCACCTTGGTGCTGGGATTACAGGCATGAGCCACCAGGTCCAGCCAAGCAAATATAATAGTGAATTGTCTATTTCTATTTGTGTTCTATCAGTTTTGCTGCACGTATTTTGATGCTTTATTATCAGGTGAATATACATTAAAGGTGTTATGTCTTCTTGGATAATTGACCCCTGTATCATATGCAATGCCCATCTTTATCCCTAATAACTTTCCTTGTCTTGAAATATGCTTTGTCTGAAATTAATAGCTATTCTGGCTTTTTTATTAGTATAAATCTTTCATCAACTCTTAACTTTTAACCTAGCTGAGACTTTATATTTAAAGTGGGTTTCTTATAGACAATACTTGGTCAGGTCTTATTTTTTATTCACTGTGACCATCTATGTATTTTAATTGGTGTATTTGCACATTTATAAGTGATTATTGATATAGTCACATTAATATCTACTATGCTTGTTACTGTTTTCTATTCACTGTGCCTGTTCTTTATTTTATCCTGCTCTTTTGCAACATTCATTAATTTTAATTGAGCTACTTTTTCTTTTCTTTTATTCAGAGATAGGATCTTACTCTATCACCCAGGCTGGAGTACAGTGGTGCCATCATAGCTCACTGTATCCTTGAATTACTGGGCTTAAGCAATCCTCCCACCTCATCCTCTCAAAGTGCTGAAAGTACATGCCACCATGCCTAGCCTTAATTCAACTTCTCATTTTATCTCCTCTGATAGCATATAAATTTTATTTATTTTAAAAACATTTAGTGGTATCCCTAGGATTTGCAATATGCATTCTAAACTAATCTATAGCTACCTTCGAATAACACTATGCTACTTGTAGCACAAGTATAGAATATTTCCAATTCTTCGGTCCTATTATGTCATTGGTACCATTCATTTTATGTCTCCATACATTATAATTCCTCAATATATTTTATTATTATTACTCCAAAAAACCATTTCCTTTTAGATCAATTAAGAAAAAGAAAAATAAGATTTTATTTTATCTTCATTTATTGTTTCCCTGACACTCTTCCTGTCTTTACATGAATCAAAGTTTCTGACCTATAGAATTTTCTTTTCTCTAAAGAAAATATTTTAACATTCCTTGAAGGGTAAATGTGCTGCAATGAAATTTCTTAGTTTTTGTTTGTTTGAATGAAGCTTAATTTCTCCTTCACTTTAAAAGGGTAATTTCGCTGGATATAGAAATTTATATTGGTGTAGGTTTTTTTGAAGACTTCAAATATTTCACCCGACTTTGTTCTCTCATATATGGTTTAGGGTGCAAAGCCCACTGTAAGTCTTATCTTTGTTCTTCTATGGGTAA
The DNA here is from genome assembly GCF_000001405.40 of Homo sapiens. Lineage (NCBI taxonomy): Eukaryota > Metazoa > Chordata > Mammalia > Primates > Hominidae > Homo > Homo sapiens. The sequence continues at coordinate 105,990,169 of NC_000023.11, forward strand.
GGTCTCTTTTGTCCTGTTGTTCCTTTGAAGAACTTCTCTCTGTCTTTAGTTTTCAGCAGTTTGAGTACAATATGCCTAAGTGTAGTTTTTTGCTATTCATCTTACTTGTTCTCTGAAATTCCTGGATCTGTGGTCGGTGGTCTGTCTTTAAGTTTTGAAAATTTTTGGACATTCTTACTTCAAATATTTTTCCAATCTGTTATCTCTTTTTTCGCCTTCTGATATTTCAATTATGAATAGTAAAGGAAAATAAATCTTAGGGCCCCAAAATCACTAAGCTAAATGGAGAAGTCGAGCTGGGAAGTGCTTAGGGCCAACCTGCCTCCCATTCTATTCAAAATCACCCCTTGCTCACTGAGATAAATGTATTATCTGATTGCCTCCTTTGGAGAGGATAATCAGAAACTCAAAAGAATGTAACCATTTGTCTCTTGTCTACCTATGACCTGGAAGCCCCCTACCCACTTCCATTTATCCACCCTTTCCAGACCTAACCAATGCTCATCTTACAAATGTTGATTGATGTCTCATGTCTCCCTAAAATGTATAAAACCAAGCTGTGCTCTGACCACCTTGGGCACACGTAGTCAGGACCTCCTGAGGCTTTATCACAGGCGCATATCCTCAACCTTGGTAAAATAAACTTTCTAAATTAACTTACACCTGTCTCATTTATCCGGGGTTCACACACATATGTTGCATCTTTTGAAATTGTTCCATGGTTCTTGGATGTTATTTCTTTTCATTTTTTTCTCTTTCCATTTCAGTGTAGGAAGTTTACATTGACATATTTTCAAGTTCAATGATACTTTCCTTGGCCGTGCCCAGCTTACTGATGAGCCCATCAAAACTATTCTTCATGTCTGTTACAGTGCTTTTAATTTCTTTGTTAGAATTTCCATCTGTCTTCATTTTCTTTTGATTCTTTATTAGAATTTCTATCGCTCTGCTTATATTACCAATCTGTACTTGCATGTTGTCTCCTTTTTCCCTTAGTGTCCTTAACATATTAATCACAGTTCCTTCAAATTTCTTGATAATTCCAAAATCTGTGCCATATCCAATTTTGGTTCTGGTGCTTGCTCTGTCCCTGAATAGTGTGTGTTTTCGCTTTTTTGTGTGCCTTGTAAAATTTTTTGTTATAGAAATCTAGACATGATATATCAGATAATCAAAACTAAGATAAATAAGCCTTTAGTGTCTGTTTTTTATGCTGATCTGGTTAGGAGTTGGGCTGTGTTTAATATGCAATACCTGTAGATATCTGAAGCTACAAACTCCTCCAGTGTCTTTGTTTTTTTTTTTATTGTATAAATCCTTTATTTTTATTCTTTAACAAATTTGTTTTAGCTATTCTAGTCCTTTTGCCTTTCCACATAAAAGTTTGAAATCAGCTTGTCTATCCCTACAAAAACAATCAAACATCCTGCTGAGGATTGAATTATGTAAAACCTATGACCAAAGTGGGCAGAATTGACCTCTTTACTGTATTGAATTTTTCAATTCATGTATACTGTATGACTCTCCATTTATTTAGGTATTCTTTGACTACTTTTATTAGCCTTTTGTAGTTTTCAGCACACAAATCCAGTATATGCTTTGATAGACTATATCAAAATATTTCATTTTGAGGAGCTATTTTAAATGGTATTTTTAATCAATATAACCATTGCTAATTGTCCATTGTTAGAATATATTAAAAAATTGATTTTTGTGTCTCGATCTTATATTTCATGATCTTGCCAAACTTCCTTATTAGTTCTAAGTCATTTCATTTTTTTTTTTTTTGGTACTTTCCTTGGTATTTTTTATGTGGACAATCATGTCATCTGCAAATAAGCCTGCCTTCCTTCCTTCCTTCATCTGTCCTTCCCTCCCTTCCTCCCTCCCTTCCTCCCTCCTTTCCTTCCTTTCTTCCTTCCTTCTTTTCTTTCCAATCTATATGAACTTTAGTTCTTTGTATTGCCTTATTGCCCTGACAAAAAAATTCCAGTGGAATCTTTATTTATTTATTTATTTATTTATTTTTTTTATTATACTTTAAGTTTTAGGGTACATGTGCACATTGTGCAGGTTAGTTACATATGTATACATGTGCCATGCTGGTGTGCTGCACCCACTAACTCGTCATCTAGCATTAGGTATATCTCCCAATGCTATCCCTCCCCCCTCCCCCCACCCCACCACAGTCCCCAGAGTGTGATATTCCCCTTCCTGTGTCCATGTGATCTCATTGTTCAATTCCCACCTATGAGTGAGAATATGCGGTGTTTGGTTTTTTGTTCTTGCGATAGTTTACTGAGAATGATGGTTTCCAATTTCATCCATGTCCCTACAAAGGACATGAACTCATCATTTTTTATGGCTGCATAGTATTCCATGGTGTATATGTGCCACATTTTCTTAATCCAGTCTATCATTGTTGGACATTTGGGTTGGTTCCAAGTCTTTGCTATTGTGAATAATGCCGCAATAAACATACGTGTGCATGTGTCTTTATAGCAGCATGATTTATAGTCATTTGGGTATATACCCAGTAATGGGATGGCTGGGTCAAATGGTATTTCTAGTTCTAGATCCCTGAGGAATCGCCACACTGACTTCTGACTAAAGAGCTTCTGCACAGCAAAAGAAACTACCATCAGAGTGAACAGGCAACCTACAAAATGGGAGAAAATTTTTGCAACCTACTCATCTGACAAAGGGCTAATATCCAGAATCTACAATGAACTCAAACAAATTTACAAGAAAAAAACAAACAACCCCATCAAAAAGTGGGCAAAGGACATGAACAGACACTTCTCAAAAGAAGACCTTTATGTAGCCAAAAAACACATGAAAAAATGCTCATCATCACTGGCCATCAGAGAAATGCAAATCAAAACCACTATGAGATATCATCTCACACCAGTTAGAATGGCAATCATTAAAAAGTCAGGAAACAACAGGTGCTGGAGAGGATGTGGAGAAATAGGAACACTTTTACACTGTTGGTGGGACTGTAAACTAGTTCAACCATTGTGGAAGTCAGTGTGTCTTTGTTTTTGTCTCTCATTTTTCCTTTGGGCTTTCCTAGGAACTCTTTCTTAGGTACAGTCTGCATCTTGCAGCTGTTTTAGATATAATCCATTGTATTATGTGGTTGTACTGTGAGTGCAGTGGTAAGGTGTGGGAAAACAGAAGTGTTCTAAAATCATTTTTCTTCAGTTAGGAAATATTTTATTTCATTTACTTTTTATTTTTTGAACAAATTATAATCATATAGTTATGGGTTACACAGTAATGTTATAATAATGTGTACAGTGTGGAATGATTGGATCAAGGTAAGTAACATATCCATCACATTAACTAATCCTTAATTCCTCCTGTCAAACTGAACCTTCTACAATTTGACCAGCATCTTCCCATCCTTCCCCCAAGTCTCTGGTAACCACCATTCTATTCTCCACTTCTATGAGTTCACTGTAACAACTCCACACATAAGTGAGAAGACATGTTTTTTGTCCTTCTGTGCCTGGCTGATTTCATTTACCGTTATTTCCTCAAGTTTCATCTATGTTGTCACAAATGACAGAATTATTTTTTATTGCTGAATAGTACTCCATCATGCATATATACCATTTTTTCTTTACTCATTCATCTGTTGAGGGACACTTTGATTGATTCTGTATCTTAGCTACTGTGAACAATGCTGCAATGAACACGGGAGTGCAGATGTATTTTTGACATATTGATTTCAAGTCATTAGGATGTCAGGATCATTTGACAAGGGGTTAATATCCAAAATACATAAGGAGATCAAACAACTTAATAGCAAAAAACCCAAACAACCTGATTTAAAAATGTACAAAGACCTGAAGAGTCCATTTCTCAAAAGAAGAGGTACAAATGACCAACAGATATATGAAAAAATATTCAATATCACTAATCATTGGAGAAAGGCAAATTAAAATCACAATGAGATATGACTGAACACCTGTCTGAATGGCTAGTATAAAAAAGATACGTGTTGGTGAGACTTCAAGAGAAAATGGAACCCTTGTACACAGTTGATGGGAATGTAAATTAGTACAACCATTATGGAAAACTGTATGGAGTTTCCAAAGAAAAATAAACTAAAAATAGCATTCTATAATCTTATAATTAAATATCAGATTTTGGTGTACCTGTATTTCTGAGCTGTGACTTTTACAAATGTTTTTAGCCTTCCTCCCCTTGGGTAAGACAGGAACGCTAGAGGGGCTGAAGCAGGGCAAATGCTCTTACAACACAAGGTGGGAGAAAGCTCTGGTAAAGTCTTTTCTCCTGGTCTCAACAATAGTTACTTTCCCCCTCCTTCTCCTTCTGCCAGATTCAAGACTGAGTCTTTCAGATCTGCACTCTGATAAGCTAATGGGATTCCTGGAGGAAAACTCTCGAAAGTGTAGACATGTCAGAGTTGAAACCAGAAGTCAAAGTTGACATTTTTTCTCTTTAATTTGGTAGATTTTAAAAAGATAACTTCTTTTTTTTATTTTTTATGGTGGTAAAAAACCACAACATTAAATTTACTATTTTAATCATTTTTTTAAATTTCTTTTTTGAGACAGAGTCTCACTCTGTCACCCAGGCTGGAGTGCAGTGGTGCGATCTCGGTTCACTGCAACCTCTGCCTCCTGGGTTCAAACAGTTCTCATGCCTCAGCCTCTGGAGTAGCTGGGATTACAGGTGTATGCCACCATGCCTGGCTAATTGTTTGTATTTTTAGTAGAGAAGGGGTTTCATTATGTTGGCCAGGCTGGTCTCAAACTCCTGTCGCCAAGCAATCCACCTGCATTCACCTCCCAAAGTGCTGTGATTACAGGCCATTTGTAAATGTACAGTACAGTTGTATTAACTATATGTACATTGCTTACAACTGATCTCTACAACCTTTTCGTCTTGCAACTTTTAAACTATACCAACTGAAATTCTGTAACAACTCCCCTTTTCCTCCTCCCCCTAGGCCTTGGCAGTTATAACTCTACTTTCTGTTTCTAAGAGTTTGACTGCTTTAGATACCTCACATAAGTGGAATTATGTAGCAATTCTCTTTTTGTGACTGGCTTATTTCACAAAGCATAATGTTTTCAAGGTTCTTCCATGTTGTATCATGTCCTGGGATGCAAGGTTTGTTCAATATATACAAATCAATAAATGTGGTTCATCACATAACTAAAACAAAAACCACATAATCATCTCAATAGACACAGAAAAAGCTTTTGATAAAATTCAACATCCCTTCATGTTAAAAACCCTCAGCATACTAGGCATCAAAGGAACGTACATCAAAATAATAAGAACCATCTATGAAAAACCCACAGCATCATACTGAAAGGGCAAAAGCTGGAAGCATTCCAGTTGAGAACCAGAATAAGACAAGGATCCCCACTCTCACCACTTCTATTCACCATAGTACCAAAATTCCTAGCCAGAGCAGTCAGGCAAGAGAAAGAATAGGCATTCAAATAGGAAGGGAAAAAGTTAAATGATCATTCTTTGCAGACCATAAGATTCTATACCTAGAAAACCCCATAGTCTCTTCCCAAAGGCTCCTAGACTTGATAAACAATTTCAACAACGTTTCAGGATGGAAAATCAATGTACAAAAATCATTAGCATTCCTACACACCAAAACAGCCAAGCCAAGAGCCAAATCAGAAAGGCAATCCCATTCACAATTGCCACAATAAAGAATAAAATACCTAGAAATACAGCTAAGCAGGGAGTTGAAAAATCTCTACAATGAGAATTCCAAAACAATACTGAAAGAAATCAGAGATGACACAAACAAATGGAAAAATATTCCATGTTCATGGAGAGAAAGAATCAATATTGTTGAAATGTTTATATTGCCCAAAGAAATTTATAAATTCAATGTTATTACTATCAAACTACCAATGATTTTTTTTGTGGAATTAAAAAAAGCTATTCTAAAAGTCATATAGAACCAAAAAAAGAGCCCCAATAGCCAAAGCAATCCTAAGCAAAAATCAAAGCAGGAGGCATCACACTATCCAACTTTAAAGTGTACTACAAGGCTACAGTAACCAACATGGCATCGTACTGGTACAAAAACAAACACATAGACCAATGGAACAGGCTAGAGAATGCAGAAATAAAGTCAGGTACCTACAACCATCTTATCTTTGACAAAGTCAACAAAAAGAAGCAATGGGGAAAGGACTCCCTATTCAATAAATGGTGCAGTGATTACTGGCTAGCCACATGCAGAAGACCCCTTCCTTTCACCATATACAAAAATCAACTCAAGATGGATTAAAGGAACAGGGAACCTACATAATAGGAGAAAATTTTTGCAATCTATCCATTCGACAAATGGCTAATATCCAGAATCTACGAGGAACTTAAACAAATTTACATAAAAAAACATCAAAAAGTGGGCAAAGGATATGAACAGACACTTCTCAAAAGAAGATATTTATGCGGCCAATATGAAAAAAAGCTCATCATCACTGGTCATTAGAGAAATGCAAATCAAAACCACAATGAGATACCATCTCACACCAGTTAGAATGGTGATCATTAAAAAGTCAAGAAACAGCAGAGAGGACGTGAAGAAATAGGAATGCTTTTTCACTGTTGGTGGGAGTGTAAATTAGGTCAACCATTGTGGAAGACAGTGTGGCAATTCCTCAAGTATCTAGAATAAGAAATACCATTTGACCCAGCAATCCCATTACTGGGTATACACCCAAAGGATTATAAATCATTCGCTATAAAGACACATTCACATGTATGTTTACTGCAGCACTATTCACAAAAGCAAAGACTTGGAACCAACCCAAATTCCCTTCAAGATAGACTGGATAAAGAAAATGTGGCACATATACACCATGGAATACTACACAGCCATAACAAACAATGAGTTCATGTCCTTTGCAGGGACATGAGTGAAGCTGGAAACCATCATTCTCAGCAAACTTCCACAGGAACATAAAACCAAACACTGCATGTTCTCACTCATAAGCGGGAGTTGAACAATGAGAACATATGGGCACAGGGAGGGGAACATCACACACCAGGTCCTGTCTGGGGGTGGGGGACTAGGGGAGGTATAGCATTAGGAGAAATACCTAATGTAGATGACAGGTTGATGGGTGCAGCTAACCACCATGGCACATGTATACCTATGTAACAAACTTGCACTTTCTGCGCATGTATCCCAGAACTTAAAGTATAACAAAAAATAAAAATAAAAACAAAACAAAACAAAAAAATGGATTAAAGACTTAAATGTGAAACCTAAAACTATGCAAACCCTAGAAGAAAACCTAGGAAATACCATTCTGGATATAGGCCCTGACAAAGATTTCATGACAAACTTGCTAAAAGCAATTGCAACAAAAACAAAACTTGGCAAGTGGGACCTAATTAAACAAAAGAACTTCTGCACAGCAAAGGAAACTGTCAATAGAGGAAACAGACAACCTGCAGAATGGGAGAAAATATTTTCAAACTGTGCATTCTGCTGAAGGTCTAATATCTAGCATCTACAAGAAACTTAAATGAACAAGAAAAAACAAACAACCCCATTAAAATATCGCCAAAGGGGCTGGACGCAGTGGCTCATGCCTGTAATCTCAGCACTTTGGGAGGCTGAGGCGGGTGGATCATTTGAGGTCAGGAGTTCGAAACCAGCCTGGCCAACATGGTGAAACCCCGTCTCTACTAAAAATACAAAAATTAGCTGGGCGTGGTTTGGGGCACCTATAATCCCAGCTACTCAGGAGGCTGAGGCAGGAGAATCACTTGAGCCCAGAAGGCAGAGGTTACAATGAGCCGAGAGATCGTGCCACTGAACTCTTGCCTGGGTGACAGAGTGAGACTCCATCTCAAAAAAAAAAAAAAAAAAAAAAAAAAAAAAATATATATATGTATATATATATATATATATATAGCCAAAGGATGTGAACAGACACTTTTCAAAAGACATACACGTGGCCAACAGGCATTGTGAAAAAATGTTCAACATTACTAATCATTAGAGAAATGCAAATCAAAACCACAGGGAGATACCATCTCACACCAGTTAGAATGGCTACTAGTAAAATGTCAAAAAATAACAGAAGCTGGCAAGGTTGTGGAGAAAAGGGAATGCTTACACACTGTTGGTGGTAGTGTAAGTTAGTTCAGCCACTTGGAAAGCCGTTTGGAGATTTCTCAAAGAGCTTAAAATAGAAATACCGTTTTATCCAGCAATATCATTACTGAGTATATACCTAAACGAATATAAATTGTTCTACCATAAAGACACATGTACATGTATGTCCATTGCAGCATTGTTCACAATAACAAAGATATGGAATCAACCTAGATGCCCATAAACAGGGGACTGGATAAAGAAAATATGGTACGTATGCACCATGGAATAATATGGAGCCATAAGAGATCATGTCCTTCACAGGAACATGGATGGAGATGGAGGCTATTATTCTTAGCAAACTAATGCAGGAACAAAAAATAAAATGCCACACATTCTCACTTATAAGTGAGAGTTAAACATTGAGTACACATGGACACAAAGAAGGGAACAATAGATACCAGGGCCTACTTGAGGTTGCAGGGTGGGAGGAGGCGGAGGATGGAAAAACTACCTATTAGGTACTTATTATGCTCATTATCTGGGTGATGAAATAATCTGTACATCAAACCCCCACAATATGCTATTTATCCATGTAACAAACTTGCACCTGTACCCCATGAACCTAAAATAAAAGTTGGAAAAAAATGCCAATTTGAGGAACCAGTTTGCAACGTTAAATAGTTTGTTATGATAAATTTCATTGAAAAGTGATTTTTTTTAAACAAAGATTTGAAGGAGGTGAAAGACAGTCAGGCAGGTATCTTGGGGAAACTTTCCTGGCAGAGGGAGGAGCCAGAGCAAGCCCCTAAAAGTGAGAGTGTACTTAGCATATTTGAGGAATCAAGGAGACCAACGTGGACAGAATAGAGAGAGTAAAGAGGATAATACCAAGATAAAACATCAGATAAAGAATAGTGGGTGGAGCAAACACAATATATAGGCCGTTGTGGGTAAAGGCCTTTTTGGGTAATTGTAAAAACTGTCTTTTTTCTGAGTAAAATGTGAATCTATTGGAGGGTTTTTAAGCAAACACAATCTAGTGTGTGTATAGAAAGATCACCATGGAAGTCATGTTAAAATTAGGCTGTATATATGGTAGAGGGGAATGAGTAAAAGTGGAAGGAGGGAGAAATAAGGAGGCCACTATTTATGTCTAGTGTTCTATTTTTGGAATGCTAAGCATGTGGGAGTTTATATCCCACTGCTCAAGGTCATCTCCAAGTCCAACTGCAAAAATTCAAACAATTGCAACCTCAGGCATAAAAGGGCTAACCATAATTCAGGAAGAGAAAATGCTTGTTTGAACCAGGGTGGTAGCAGTCTAGGTGGTAAGAAGTGTTCGAATTCTGGGTGTTTTAAAGTTAAAGCCACAGAATTTTCTAATGGATTGGATATGGGCTGTGAAATAAAGAAGTCAATGATGAACTTTTTGGTTTGGAGTTACTATTAACTATGATAGGAAAGTCTGTGGGTGCACCTGGTATCAGGTAGATTACTAAAAACTCCACTTTGGGTAAGTTGAATTGAGGTGTATAAAACACATCCAAGCAGAGATATCAACGAGTCAGTTGGATATATGAATCCAGAGTTTGAAAGAGGGGTATGGTGAAGATATAAATTTTTTTGTCTTCAGCACGTGGATGGTATTTAAAGCCATGAGACGATGTAACTAAGGGAGTGAGTATGGGTAGAGAAGAGGAATAAGGAATGTACCCTGGAGAATGCCAATGTTAACAGTTTAGGGAGAACAGAAGAAACTAGTATGGACAGTGAGAAGGAGTTGCCAATGAAGCTGGAGAAAAATCATGAGAGTTCTGTGTCCTGGAAATCAAGTAAAAAATGTCTATCAATGAAAAGGTAGTAATCAAGTGTGTTAAATGTTGTCACTAGGTCAATTATTATGAAGATTGAGAATTATGTCATATTCATACAATGGGATATTACTCAGCAATAGAAGGAATAAGCTAATAATACAGGCAACAATATAATGATTTGCAAAAACATTAATTTCAGCTTGTTATGATCACCTATTCACTCTGTCAGTGAGGGAGGGAGTCATGCCCTAAGGTTCTGGGAATGGCCAAACACAGGACACCTGACACTTAACAGATGCATTTGGCAGCAGTTTATTAGTCACATACACTCACAGTCTGGGGGAGGAGTATACCTGGGTGTTCATGGGGGGGTTGCACCTAGGAGCAGAGTGAACCAGAAGAGGTTGTGGCAGGGAGGCTTTTTAGTAAGAATAGGATGGGGTAACCCCTGGCTCCCACAGGAGGATGTGATTGACTTATTTAACTAGTTTGACAGGCTGGCAGGGAAATGAATCCCATTAGATTGAGGAGCTGATGAGGTGCATCTGTTCCAGCTGATAGGTGGACAAACCAGGTGGGGAATTTTCCTGCTTGAATGAGAAGCATACCCGGCAAGAACAGGGAAACTCACAGCTAAGAATTTGGGGCTCTGTGAGGCTCAAAAATGTCAAGGCAGCACGTAGAAAAGGGAATCACTGGAAGGCCCACTGCCCCAGGGGACGAAGGTCCTCTGAGTCAGAAGCCACTAACCAGATGATCCAGCAGCAGGACTGAGGGTGCCTGGGGCAAGCGCCAGCCCATGCCATCACCCTCACAGAGCCCCAAGTATGCTTTACCATTGAGGGCCAGGAGGTTAACTGTCTCCTGGACACTGGCGCAGCCTTCTCAGTCTTACTCTCCTGTCCCGGACAACTGTCCTCCTGATCTGTCACTATCCGAGGGGTCCTAAGACAGCCAGTCACTAGATACTTCTCCCAGCCACTAAGTTGTGACTGAGGAACTTTACTCTTTTCACATGCATTTCTAATTGTGCCTGAAAGCCCCACTCCCTTGTTAGGGAGAGACATTCTAGCAAAAGCAGGGGCCATTACACACCTGAACATAGGAGAAGGAACACCTGTTTGTTGTCCCCTACTTGAGGAAGGAATTAATCCTAAAGTCTGGGCAACAGAAGGACAATATGGATGAGCAAAAAATTCCCATCCTGTTCAAGTTAAACTAAAGGATTCCGCCTCCTTTCCCTACCAAAGGCAGTACCCCCTTAGACCCGAGGCCCAACAAGGACTCCAAAAGATTGTTAAGGACCTAAAAGCTCAAGGCCTAGTGAAAGCACGCAATAGCCCCTGTGATACTCCATTTTTAGGAGTACAGAAACCCAACAGACAGTGGAGGTTAGTGCAAGATCTCAGGATTATCAATGAGGCCATTGTCCCTCTATACCCAGCTGTACCTAACCCTTATACTCTGCTTTCCCAAATACCAGAGGAAGCAGAGTGGTTTACAGTCCTGGACCTTAAGGATGCCTTTGTCTGCATCCCTGTACATCCTGAGTCTCAATTCTTGTTTGCCTTTGAAGATCCTTTGAACTCAATGTCTCAACTCACCTGGACTGTTTTACCCCAAGGGTTCAGGGATAGCCCCCATCTATTTGGCCAGGCATTAGCCCAAGACTTGAGCCAATTCTCATACCTGGACACTCTTGTCCTTCAGTAGGTGGATGACTTACTTTTAGCCACCCTTTCAAAAACCTTGTGCCATCAAGCCACCCAAGTGCTCTTAAATTTCCTCGCTACCTGTGGCTACAAGGTTTCCAAACCAAAGGCTCAGCTCTTCTCACAGCAGGTTAAATACTTAGGGCTACAGTTATCCAAAGGCACCAGGGCCCTCAGTGAGGAATGTATCCAGCCTATACTGGCTTATCCTCATCCCAAAACCCTAAAGCAACTAAGAGGGTTCCTTGGCATAACAGGTTTCTGCCAAATATGGATTCCCAAGTACAGCAAAACAGCCAGACCATTATATACACTAATTAAGGAAACTCAAAAGCCAATACCCATTTAGTAAGATGGACACCTGAAGCAGAAGCAGCTTTCCAGGCCCTAAAGAAGGCCTTAACCCAAGCCCCAGTGTTAAGTTTGCTAACGGGGCAAGACTTTTCTTTATATGTCAGTCACAGGAAAAACAGGAAGAGCTCTAGGAGTCTTTACATAGGTCCGAGGGACGAGCTTGCAACCCATGCCATACCTGAGTAAGGAAATTGATGTAGTGGCAAAGGGTTGGCCTCATTGTTTATGGGTAGTGGCGGCAGTAGCAGTCTTAGTATCTAAAGCAGTTAAAATAATGCAGGGAAGAGCTCTTACTGTGTGGACATCTCATGATGTGAATGGCATACCCACTGCTAAAGGAGACTTGTGGCTGTCAGACAACAATTTACTTAAATATCAGGCTGTATTACTTGAAGGGCCAGTGCTGTGACTGTGCACTTGTGCAACTCTTAACCAAGCCACATTTCTTCCAGACAATGAAGAAAAGATAGAACATAACTGTCATCAAGTAATTGCTCAAACCTACACCGCTCTAGGGGACCTTTTAGAAGTTCCCTTGACTGATCCTGACCTCAACTTGTATACTGATGGAAGTTCCTTTGTAGAAAAAGGACTTCAAAAAGTAGGGTATGCAGTGATCAGTGATAATGGAATACTTGAAAGTAATCCCCTCACTCCAGGAACTAGTGCTGAGCTGGCCAAACTAATAGCCCTCACTCGGGCACTAGAATTAGGAGAAGAGAAAAGGGTAAATATATATACAGACTATAAGTATGCTTACCTAGTCCTTCATGCCCATGCAGCAATATGGAGAGAAAGGGAATTCCTAACTTCCAAAGGAACACCTATCAAACATCAGGAAGCCATTAGGATATTATTATTGGTGGTACAGAAACCTAAAGAGGTGGCAGTCCTACACTGCTGGGGTCATCAGAAAAAAAAGGAAAGGGAAATAGAAGGGAACTACCAAGCAGATATTGAAGCCAAAAGAGCCGCAAGGCAGGACCCTCCATTAGAAATGCTTATAGAAGGACCCCTAGTGTGGGGTAACCCCCTCCAGGAAAGCAATCCCCAGTACTCAGCAGGAGAAATAAAATGGAGAACCTCACGAGGACATACTTTCCTCCCCTCAGGATGGCTAGCCACCAAAGAAGGAAAAATGCTTTTGCCTGCAGCTAACCAATGGAAATTACTTAAAACCCTTCACCAAACCTTTCACTTAGGCATTGATAGCACCCATCAGATGGCCAAATTATTATTTACTGGATCAGGCCTTTTCAAAACTATCAAGCAGGTAGTCAGGGCCTGTAAAGTGTGCCAAAGAAATAATCTCCTGCACTGCAAGCCATACATTTCAATCCCTGTATCTTTAACCTCCTTGTTAAGTTTGTCTCTTCCAGAATCAAAGCTGTAAAACTACAAATGGTTCTTCAAATGGAGTCTCAGATGCAGTCCATGACTAAGATATACCGCAGCCCCCTGGAGGGGGCCTGCTAGCCCATGCTCCAATGTTAATGACATCGAAGGCACCCCTCCCGGGGAAATCTCAACTGCACAACCCCTACTATGTCCCAATTCAGCAGGAAGCAGTTAAAGCGGTCATCGGCCAACCTCCCCAACAACACTTGGGTTTTCCTGTTGAGAGGGGGTACTGAGAGACAGGACTAGCTGGATTTCCTAGGCCGACTAAGAATCCCTAAGCCAAGGTGATCGCATCCACCTTTAAACACGGGGCTTGCAACTTAGCTCACACCCAACCAATCAGGTAGGAAATAGAGCTCACTAAAATGCGAATTAGGCAAAAACAGGGGGTAAAGAAACAGCCAATCATCTATTGCCTGAGAGCACAGTGGGAGGGACAATGATTGGGATATAAACCCAGGCATTCAAGCCGGCAATGGCTACCCTCTTTGGGTCCCCTCCCTTTGTATGGGAGCTCTGTTTTCACTCTATTAAATCTTGCAACTGCAAGGAAAAAAAAAGAAAAGCATAGTTTTAAAAAGCTAGACATAGAAGAATCCATCTATGGACTCTTGAGTCCATTTACATTTAGGTTCAAACATATTAAACTAATCTATGGTTATGGAAATGAAAATGTTTGCTTGATATGAGAGTGGTGACGATTGGAAAGGGACATGAGGAAACTCTGAATTGATGCAAATATTTCATACCTTGATTTGAGATGGATTTTGTGGCTGTAAATTTGTGAAAACTCATTGAACTGCACACTCTCAATATAATTATTTCACTCTGTAAATTATAATGAAATGTGTGCATGTGCTTATATGAGGGAAAGAGATGGAGGGAGAGAGAGATACAGAGGTGCAGGGGACAGAGAATGGGATGAGGGGAATTGGAGAACTCAAGTGTTGACACATTTTAAAGTTTTGCTGTGCAACTTGAGTAAAGGAATATGGTATGATTTAACAGGGAATTGAGATCAAGGAATATTTTCTTTCATGATGGGAGAAAACAGGAAATCAGTATGTTTATTGGAATGACCCAGTACAGTACAAAAATAAAAATAGTTATATAGGAGAGAGAAGGGAGAATTGCTGGAGCTGAAGGCAAAAGTGGGCTAAAGGACATGTGATCTAGTGCAAAAAAATGGTTTTAGAGAAGAGTAAAGGAAGTTCATCTTTATAAGAAACAGGAAGTTACAGTATACAGGTATTGATGCTGCTAAGTGGGTAACAAGTCTGTGGAAAGTCTCCTTTAATTTTTAAAAATGTTCTCTGCAAAGCAGGAAGCAAAGTCATCACCTGAAAGAGAAGATGAAGGAGGCGATATTGGAGGTTTGAGGACAGAGAAGGTGTGAAATGGAAGATTTAATGGATTAGGAATAAATAATAAGATATTCTTGAAGTGTTACAACCGTCTTTTAAGTGTGTGGTCATTAATTTATCATTGTGCACTTTTTTCCCCAGTTACAATCTCAGGTATAGGCTTGGAAGACAGTTGCATTTGATCAAGGTTGCAGCTTTTCCAAGCAAATGTGACAAAATGAGAGAAGGGTAAGAGTTTCAAGGGTATATGCAAGAAAATTATTATAACGATTGACCATGGAACTTAAGTGAAATAAAATACCTAGATATAGAGACTATTTTAATGAACTTCCTTTAAAAATGCCTTCAGAAGAAAGGATCTATAGCTTCAAAAAAGTGAGTAATTGTAAAAAACCTCATATGCTCCTTGTTCAAAGAAAACGAAGTATACAATGCTCAATGTCCACATTTCCACCTCCACCCCAACAATACTCAGGGCCAACTACTGTTAATAGCTTTGTATATATATGTACACGTCAAAAATGTAGTTGATTTAAAAACACTCTCTTTAAAAATACAGCATTTTTGAAGAGTAAAAGGACTGCATTCATAAAAAGAGATTTGTGGCTTTTTAAATAATAATAATATATAAATATATAAAATATAAATATAAAAATTAAAAAACACAAATAATAAATCCAGACTCCCACACATTTATCAAATTCTGGAAAAATACATTAGAATAAGCAATTGGAAAAGATGTCCTTCTAATTGTTAGTTAATTGTACTAAGAGTGGAGATTTTTCTCTGGTAGTCCTGCTCTAGCACCAGGGAAAGAGGCTTTTGAATCCTGTCAGGAGCAAAACTTGGAGTTGCCAGATGTAAAAGGGAAAGTGGATAATGGGGAAAGTTTAAAGGTCCTCAGTGTTATCAAAGTAAACACTTGTTAAAAAATACTGATAAAACGCTTTAGAACTCTGAGGCAGGCCAATGGGAATGTGATGAACTACAGGAAGTATTTAGGTCAAAAATTTGACTATATATGTGTTGGTGATGAAGATTTGATTACAGAAAACATTTGGAAAATAGACCCAGAAAGGGGAAGTATTGATCAGCATCTCCTGGAAAAGAAATCGTTAGGGGAAGAGGAAAGAATGCTTCAGCTGAAGCTCTCAGTATCAGATAAGGCGAAGAACACCCTTCCACCTCACATGCACACCTAACTTATTTTAATAAATATGAAGTAAACCTTGTTGTCTCTGGTAAGTTAGTTATATACAAAAGACTCCAGGCCAGTAGCCAAAAGTCATTGAAAAGCAATTTAAACATTTATTATTTTCCCCCAGGAGTAGCTCCTAGCCCTATCCTATGTAAACAGAGCTGATTCTTTTAGTGTCTTTCAGTTTTACTGTTCTACCCATTATTCCAATAAGCACAATAAAATCTCATGTCTGGGTACTGCCCATGAAATTGGGCATTCTTCCTTTAACATGATAGTGAAGGAGGAAAACTTAACTTTTTAAAGTAACTGTTATATACTACTAATGTTAAGATTTTTTGGACACTTATCAAAGAATAATTCCAGGATGTGGGTGCCATTTTTATCATCTCCTTTTCCCAAATGAGAAAACTGAGTCCCAGAGAGGATAAATAAGCAGCAGAGCCAGAATTCAAACACTTGCTTTGATGTTAGTACTCATGTACAACATTTTTATATTATATGTGGCCTTTCTATTAAACTCCTTGAAAGTGGTTATGAAAAATAAAATAAACAACTCAGACAAACTCAAGCAGAAGTAAATTTATCATAATGATATTAAGGCTTCAGAGAACCAATGGGAAACTAGAGAACTGAGTTAGTGATGAACAAAAGTGGTGTTGTAGAACAATTGGTCTGATTAGGACACTGACACATTAATTGCCTGGACCTTAGACACTTTTAGTCTTTCTATCCCTATGACTAAAATTCAAAATCTAGCCACAGAGCATTACATTATCCTCACTTAAGTCATGTGCCTGCCTCCTCGTTACAGAAGAGAAGTGCCATTGATTTAAGTAGACTTAATATAAAGGCCAAGGAGTAGTTATTTAAAAGGAAATTGGAGTACCATTAAAAAGGGAAAAAATGATGCTCCAGTTCCTAAAAAGCCATACATGTCAACTAGAACCCATGCTTACAGCTGCCCATTATCTACACACCTTCCTCCCATAGACTGTCTCTGAAAAATGCTCCTGCCTAAAAATATACAGTTATTTCATGGACAACCCAAAACAAATCCTGCCACTTCCCAATAACTCATTGGTCACTTCATTGAGCTTTAATTCCTGGATCTGTGGGTAATATTCATACCCCCTCTAGATCCATTGTGATTATGTTTTGATACTCTTCAATCTGTGGACTAAATTTAGCCACCATAATCACAACTTATGTACAGATTAGGAAAAATAGAATACATATTAATTAAAATATATAGGTATATATCCATGACCATGAAGGAAGGACAAGTTTGTGAAGACCAAAGTTCTCAGTACTGTAGCAGGTCTTGAGGTCATATTTAGCATTTATGACTTCCTTCCTCCACTCTTCACTTAATATCTGCTTTTCTTTTCACCAGTATCTCAGTAGTGGTTCATTGCTCAGTGGTATACCCAAACTTTAATTATTGGCAGATCTGATCCCTTGAATGTCCTGATTGAGAAGAGTTTCATTGATTTACATTCTGATGCCAACTCCTTAATCTACGTCACACTCCAGAATGTTTCTTTAGCATTATACCCATTTCATACTACTCAGGCATTAAGTAATTTGTCAGAGTTCCCATAGCCAGTAAGTGGTAGAACCAAGGTATGAACTCAGGTACCTTTGACTCCAAAACTCACGCTTGTGATGCTAGTCTTGCTCCTTGAAAACATAGGAAGAGACTGAGACAGAAGTCAGGAAATAGGTGGAGCAACATCACAGATAGTTGTTCCTATGGTAGGCCCACAGTCAGCAAAGAGAAGGCCTGTTGTTTAGGTATTAGCAAAATGGAAAGCAGATAAGACAGTTGCCACAACTGGGTGGGGGGAGGAGGATGCATGCTCAGACAAGCCCTTGCAAAATCTCACCTTGCAAAGTTAATCATTTGCAGGGACATAAGACAAACAAGTGATAGGGGTAGCAAAAATCAACTTAGACCTCTTGTGGGGGCGTTTCATCTAGGTTCTGGGAAGTGAGGTGCATCAAACAGAAAGAGTAACCCTTGTTTCTCCAGCCTGCAGAAAGGAACAATTATAGCTGAACTGCTGTACTTTCTTTCTGCCCTGCTTTATTATTCTCCATAGTACTTATCACCTTGTAACATCTGGTATATTCTACTTATTTAGTTTACTGTCTATCTCCCCTCACTTAATATGTAGGCTCCATGAGGATTTTTGTTTTGTTTTACAGGAACACACCCTGGCATATGGTAGGCCCTCCATTGATGTTTATTGGATGTGAATAAATGAATGTGTCATCAAGAGGATTTGCGATGCCCCGCTCGTCATGGAGATGTTAGGACTCTAATATCCAGTTTCAACTTTCCAACTGGCTTCTTGGAAACTTGTGGCTCCTTCTTAAAAACTGGTAAAACTTTCTGCTTTTGTTTATTGTTTACTATTTACCTTGTAGGCGGTTTCCTGCTGCAGCAGGATGTAACTTCAGAAAGAGGCCAGTGCATTCACAGTAGTAAAGACATGGAATCAACATCAACACAAATGCCCATAAATGATAGACTGCATAAAGAAAATGTGGTACATATACAGCATGGAATACTTTGTAGCCATAAAAAGAAATGAGATCATGTCCTTTGTAGGGACATGGATGGAGCTGGAAGCCATTATCCTCAGCAAACTAATGCAGGAAGAGAAAAGCAAACACCGCACGTTCTTACTTATAAGTGGGAGCTGAACAATGAGAACACATGAACATAGAGAGGAGAACAACATACACTGGGGCCTGTTGTGGGGTGCAAGGGGAGGGAGAGTATCAGGAAAAATAGTTCTTGCGTAGTGGGCTTAATACCTAGGTGATGCATGGACAGGTGCAGCAAACCATCATGGCACACGTTTACCTGTGTAACAAACCTGGACATCCTGTACATGTACCTCAGAACTTAAAATAAAAATAAAAATTAATAGAAAAGAAATCCTAAGTCTAAAAAAGAAAAAAAGAAAGAGGCCAGTGCTGCTTTCATTGCCTTTGTTCCTACCGTTTTCCAGGAGGCAAGTAAGATCCTAGCCAAAACCAGAGGCCCAAGAGTGAGACAGCCTGGGTAAATATCCTGGTTTCACCCCTAAATAGCCATGTACCTCTGTAAAAGATCCTTACCCCCCTGAGCCTTTATTTCCTCATATGTACAAAGTATTGGTACATTTTTAGATAAGGGTAATGCTAACTGGTTTTTATTTTGTTTGTTTTTTAGAGACGGGGCCTCCCTCTATTGCCCAGGCTGAAGTGCAGTGGTACGACCATGGCTCACTGTAACCTTGAACTCCTGTGCTCAAGTGATCCTCTCGCCTCAGCCTCCAGAGTAGCTGAGACTGTAGGTATGTGCCACCATGCCTAGCTATTTGAAAAAAAAGAATTGTAGAGACGGGGGTCTCCCTGTGTTTCCCAGGTTGGTCTCAAACTCCTGGCCTCAAGTGATCTTCTCACCTTGGCCTCCCGAAGTGTTGGGATTACCGGCATCAGCCATCATGCCCAGCCCACTTACTGTTTTATCAAATAAAACTGAATGTTTTCATGGCTTAATACATCAGAAGTTTATTTCATTCTCACGAGAGTCCAAAGTAGTTGTTTGTGATAGATATGTGATTTCCTCCACATAGTAATTCAGAGGTCCCAGCTCTTCTATGTCTTGTGATTCCTCCATACCCTCAGGGTCTCGAGTGACCCCACTTCCAAATGGCAAAAGGAGAAAAGAGATAATGGAAAGAGCATATCGGCCTCTTGGCTCATAGTAACACAGATCACTTCTACTCATATTACATTTTTAAGAACAAGCCACAAATATCTGTCAAATATCTGGAAAATATAGTCCCTGGATAGCCAGCTGTTTCTTAACAATTTTATCCAATGGAGGGCAGGGCATAGATCTTTAGAGGACATTTATCTTTGTTTGCTCCTCTGGCCACCAAAGATCTGTATGCACATTTCTTCTCATACTTAGAATACACTCACTCTCTTCCCAAGGGAGATAAGCCAAAGTTCTATCTAGTTACTACATCCAGCTCAGTATCTATCAGGCTCCTATTGAGATAAAAGTTATCTGTCTCCCTCAAATCCTCAATGCATGATGGTGGAATAGATACAGAAAAAACCCAGTAAAAAACTCCCATTAAAAAACAGAAGGAAAGTTACAATGATTGGTGGCCCATGGCAATAACGGAATCTTACTGGTCAGATACATTCTGAAGACAGCCTGCCAGGGCGGTTGGGGAGACTCTCTGATTAGATCCTGATTCTTCTCTCTGTGGGAAACTTTCTTGTCCATTCCTTTCCATGATTATATCTCAGGTGGGTTTGGGGGAGCTTTTCCTCCTTAGTGGATACATAATTTTCCACAGCCATCTTTCTGCTGGTTCAGGTTTAGAGGCCAGGGCATTACTATACAGTGGTGGGCTCTTGTAGACTTCCTTTGTGGTTTCTTTGGCAGTACAATTATTTCAAATTCAGTAAGCTTTCAGTTAATTTATATTCAACCATTTCTGTGTGCCAGTAACCTAACCCCACTTTTTTCCTTGACAAAATTATTGTCTGCCTTATTTCTTTGCTTTCTCATCCTATTGCTCTCTCTTTTCTTAATGGAGGCCATTTGAACCAGTTGGATCAAGTGAGAAGGAAAGAACCTTAATCTGATATCTGCTGAAGGACTAAGTCCATCTTTTTAACTGACAAGTCTTAATAAGCATTTTTTATTCACAGACTATTTCATTCTGAACATTTTCTATTTAGCTTGAATTTTTGTGTGACTCTGAAAATTCGAATATTTAGTTGCTTTCTGGAGTCCCACATATCATGTAGGCTTTGTTCATTCCTTTTTTCTTTATTTTTCTCTGTAATATTTCTTTATTTATCTCTGACATATCTTAAAGTTCTGAGAGTCTTTCTTCTGCTTAATCTGCCTTATTGTTGAAGCTTTCAAATGTATTTTATATTTCATTAAATGAATTATTGTTTCAGAATTTCTATTTGCTTCTTTTTATGATATCTATTTGATAAATTTCTCATTCATATCTTGAATTGTCTTTCTGATTTCTTTGTATTGTTTTTCAGTATTCTCCTGTATCTCACTGAGCTTCCTAAAAATCAATATTTTGAATTCTTTTTCCAGGATTTCTTAGATTTGTTTTGACTGGGGTCTGTTACTGGAGAATTACTATATTCCTTTGAGGGCATCATATTTTCTCATTTCTTTCATATTTTCTGTGTCCGTATATCGATATCTGTGTATCTGGTATAATAGTCACTTATTCCAGTATTTTGAATCTGCTTTCTTGGGAAGGGCTTTTTCCTGAAGATGTATTGATTTTATTGGTTGGGTAGGGCACTTTGGCTTTGATTCTGGATGAGTGCAGTAGTGTAATCTCTGTATGATTACTTTGGCTGTAAACAGCATTACTAGTACCTGTGATTTCTTCAATTGTTTTAATAGTGGAGGCTGTGGTGAAGTTCTGCTGAAGACTGGGATGCCAGTTGGGCCAGTGATATGGTTTGATTGTGTCCCCATCCAAATCTCATCTTGAATTGTCGTTCCCATAATCCCCACATGTTGAGGGAGGGACCCAGTGGGAGGTAATGGAATCATGGTGAGGGTACCCCCATTCTGCAGTTCTTGTGATAGTGAGTGAGTTCTCACAAGGTCTGATGGTTTTATAAGGGGCCCCTTTAGCTCTGTACCTCTCCTTCCTGCCATCATATGAAGAAGGACGTGGTTGCTTCCCCTTCCACTATGATTGTAAATTTCTTGAGTCCTCCTCAGCCATGCTGAACTGTCAGTCAATTAAACCTCTTTCCTTTATAAATTAGGTATGTCTTTATTAGCAGCATGAGAACGGACTAACACAGTAAATTTGTACCACAGAGTGGGGTGCTGCTGTAAAGATGCCTGAAAATGTGGAAGCAATTTTGGAACTGGGTAACAGGCAGAGGTTGGAACAGTTTAGAGGGCACAGAAGAAGACAGGAAGATGTGGGAAAGTTTGGAACATTCTAGAGACTTGTTGAATAGCTTTGACCAAAATGCTGATAGTGATATGGACAATAAAGTCCAGGCTGAGGTGGTCTCAGATGGAGATGAGGAACTTGTTGGGAACTGGAGCAAAGGTGACTCTTTTCATGCTTTGGCAAGGAGACTGGTGTCATTTGCCCCTGCCCTAGAGATCTGTGGAACTTTGAACTTGAGAGAGATGATTTAGGGTATCTAGGGGAAGAAATTTCTAAGCAGCAATGCATTCAGAAGGAAGCAGAGCATAAAAGTATGGAAAATTTGCAGCCCACCAATGCATTAGAAAATAAAAACCCGTTTTCTGGTGAGAAATTGAAGCCTGCTGCAGAAATTTGCATAAGTAACAAGGAGCTGAATGTTAATCCCCAAGGCAAGAGGAAAAACGTCTCCAGGGCATGTGAGAGAACTTTGTGGCAGCACCTTCCATCACAGGCTCAGAGGCCTAGGAGGGAAAAATGGTTTCCTGGTCTGGGCCCAGGGCCCCCTACTCTGTGCAGCCTCAGGATATGGTGCTTTGCGATCCAGCTGCTTCAGCTCCAGCTGTGGCTAAAAGGGGCCAAGGTACAGCTCGGGCCATTGCTTCAGAGGGTGCAAGCCTCAAGCCTTGGCAGCTCCCATGTGGTGTTTGTCTTGTGGGTCTGCAGAACACAAGAATTAAGGTGTGGGAACCTCCACCTTGATTTCAGAGGATGTATGGAAACACGTGGATGTCCAGGCAGAAGTTTGCTGGACTTCTGCCATGTTGTGGAGCCCTCATGGAGAACCTCTGCTATGGCAGTGGAGAAGGGAAATGTGGGATCAGAGCCCTCACATGGAGCCCCCACTGGGGCACTGCCTAGTGAAGCTGTGAGAAAAGAGCCATCATCCTTCAGATCCACCGAAATCATGCATCATGTGCCTGGAAAAGCCGCAGACACTCAATGCCAGCCCACGAAATCATCCTGGAGGGGGTTGTAGCCTGCAAAGCCACAGGGGTGGAGCTGTCCAAGACCATCAGAACCCAGTTCTTGCATCAGCATGACCTGGATGTGAGACATGGAGTCAAAACAGAACATTTTGGAACTTTAAGGTTTAATGGCCGCCCTATTGGATTTTGAACTTGCATGAAGCCTATAGCCCCTTTGTTTTGGCCAATTTCTCCCATTTGGAATGAGCATATTTACCAAATGTCCGTACCTCCATTGTATCTAGGAGGTAACTAACATGCTTTTGATTTTACAGGCTCATAGGCAAAAGGGACTTGCCTTGTTTCAGATGAGACTTTGGAGTTGAGTTTTGGGTTAATGCTGGAATGAATTAAAACTTTGGGGGACTCTTGGAGGGCATAATTGTGTTTTGAAATGTGAGAACATGAGATTTGGGAGGAACCAGGGACAGAATAATATGGTTTGGCTGTGTCCCAACCCAAATCTATCTTGAATTGCATAATCCCCACGTATTGTGGGAGGGACCCAGAGAGGTAATTGAATCATGGGGGAGGTTACCCCCATGCTGCTGTTCTCATGATAGTGAGTGAGTTCACACAAGATCTGGTGGTTTTATAAGTGAATTTTTCCCTCCTTTTACTTGGCACTTCTCCTTGCTTCCACCATGTGAAGAAGAACATGTTTGCTTCCCCTTCCACCATGATTTTAAGTTTCCTGAGGCCTCCCCAGCCATGCTGAACTGTTAGTCAATTAAACTCTTTCCTTTATAAATTACCCAGTTTCAGGTATGTCTTTATTAGCAGTGTGAAAACAAACTAATACAGCCAGTCTTCAGGCCACAGTGGTAGCCACAGTGCACTGACCATACCTGTCCTTGGGCCCTAGGGCAGCATATACTGGCACCAGTATCACCAAGTGTAGATGGGATGATACTTGTAACTTCTTGGATGCTGGTAGTGGCAGTGGTGGGCTGGGTGGATGGGTGGGTTCTTGGGCCCTTGGGAAGCTGGTATGGTGTAGGCAATGACAGTAGCAGTGGCAGGATAATCATCTAGGTCCTGAGTGGTATGTGGTGGTGTTGGCAGTGGCTGTGATGTGCTAGGCAGGCCAGTCTCCAGGCCCACGTGTGGCACCTGCTGGCAGGTGCCCTTGAGGTGATAATGGCCAGGTGGGTAAGCCCAACCTCAGGCCTCCAGGAGGATTGCTCTGGTGCCAGCAGTGGTGGACTGGGGTGGGCAGCTCCTAGGACCCCAGACTGCTTGCTCTGGCTTTGGGGGTGTGGGGAGCCAGGCCAGGCTGACTTACCCTCAGGCCCTTCAATGTTGTGTGCAGGTGCAGGAGTGGGACTATCATCAGGCCCCAAGTGGAATGCTCAGGTTAGGAACAGCAGTGGCTATGCTGTATCCCTGCTGTTGGGGAGGCAAGGAACTCCTTTAGTGGTGGCAGCCTAGGCCAGCAGGTAAGGAATGTGGACTCTGTTCATGCCTCAGCCCCAGCAATGGCAGCCAGCACCTCACTCATGCCTCAGCCCCAGCACTGCTGGGCCTCAGGACAATGTGCAGTCTGTTGTGGGGTGTGCTCTCAAAATGGCCCCTTGCTGTGGCTGTTTAGGACTTGGAGAGTGTTTGGGATCCAGTGCAAGGTCCCTTTCTGGAGCAGTGCCACTGGACCATCTTTAGGCAACTCCTTATGTTAGTTTCAGGGTTTCAGGGCCCGTAAGGGTCAAGGGGACTCTTCTGTGGCTAGGATTGCACAATTCCACTGTGGGAATGTGGTCCACTGGGGTCTCTCACTTACCTTTTTTCTGGACTAGGGAGTCTATCCCAGGTTCGAGCCAATCTTGGTCAAGCAGGCTACCTCACTTCCCTCTTCTTTGCTTTAGGCATTTCCTGTCACTTTTCTATTGAACACTAGTATTCTCTCTTGTATGATCTATTCAAAGTAATATTTTCTATTTACTATTTTGATTTTTCTTAGTACAGGAACCGAGTACTAGATACTACTAGTAAGTCATCTTGAAGCCTTTCTGGTGTCTATTAGGGTTCTCTCTCTGTGTGTGTGTGTGTGTGTGTGTGTGTGTGTGTGTGTATCCCTAGGTTTTTTTTTAACATAAGATAATGTCATCTAAGAATATAGTTTACTTCTTGCTTTCTAGCCTGTACACCATTTATTTCTTTTTTCTTGCCTAATTGTTTTAGCTAGAACTTTTAGTAAAATGTTGAATAGAAGTGGTGAGAATGGGCATCCTTGTCTTGCTCTTATGGGGAATCCTGTCGTTCTTTATCATTAGTCATAGTATTAGATTTGGGTTTTCAGTAAATGCCTCTTATCAGGTTGAGAACATTCCATTTCATTCCTAGCTGATTTTTAATGCGACGGTGTTGTTGGATTTTGTCAAATGCTTTATCTTCACCCATTGAGATGATAATGTGCTTTTATTCCTCATTCTGCCAATATGGTGTTTACAGCCTGATAAATTTCACTCTGAGCACTGCTTTTGCAGCATCCTATAAATTTTAATATGTTGTGCTTTTTATTTTCACCCATCTCAAAATATTTTTTAATTTCTCTTGAGATTTCTGCTTTGACTAGTTGGTTGTTTAATACTGTGATGTTTCATAGCACCATAGCAAAGAATGCCTGCTACTACAGTCCACTCTTCACTATTGATGTTGGAGAGAATGACCAAAGGATATAGCTTTCATTTTATCTTCTTGGATTCCATTTTGGCTGCACTCTCCTCTGCTTCACTTGGGGCTTTTCTCTTGACACCAGCCCACTGTTCTACAGCAACTTTAGGCCCTCCTGCAAATACAGAAGCAATAGGGTTCCAGAGAATCTTTCTGTTTAAATCAACTTCAAAATTTTACACCCTCTAATAAATACCTTATTCCATATCATTTATAGTGGCTCCACTTCCTTGATCAGAACCAAATTGATGTGAAACCAAATTCTGATGCCCCAAGTAAGTTTTCTGTCTAATGTACATGCTAGTTTTGTGCTGCTATAATCACAAGAATTTAAAAATGTCTTCTACTTCACTGAAAGCAAATTCTGTGGAAAAACATATTTTCCTCAAAAGATTATTAGTTGACAACCTATTTCATATAGTAAAGGGAATTTCAGATGATATGGAAGTTCTAATTGAGTAACCGCTTCATGCCTACGTAATTCTTGATTTTCAAGCTATGTTTGCTCATGTATTCCTTAAGCAATGTTTTCAGAAATAATCTGGGGAAATAAAGGTTCCATTTGGGCAAGCTGAAAATGTCTTTGATTTAATGATTGTTTAATGATTTCGCTGGTGATTTTGCTCTTGGCTCAACATCATTTTAATCTCATGATACAGAAAAGCTCCCTCAATTATCTTGTAATAAATATTTTTGTTGATGAAAATTTAAAAAGTAGTGTGATGTTTAATTTTCACATTTCCCTTTGTTATTGATTCTAATTTTATTCCATATAAAGAGAAGATACTTTATATGATTTCAATCTTTTAAAGTTTATTGAGACTTGCCTTGTCATTTAACACATGACCTATTCTAGAATATATTGTATGAGGGCTTGAGAAGAATGTGTATTCTGCTGTTTTTTGTGGTGTGTTCTATTTATGTCTGTTAGTTCTAGCTGCTTTACAGTGTTATTAAAATCTTCTATTTACTTGCTGATCTTTTGTCTAGCTCTTTCATTCAGAATTATAGGTGGAGTATCAAACTTTCCAGTGTTATTGTTGAACTGTTTATTTCTTCCTTAAATTCTGTTCTTGCCACATATATTTTGAGTTCTTTTGTTAAGTGCATATATATGTTTATAATTGATATACTTTCTTAATGAATTGACAATTTATTATTATATAATGTCCCTTTTCTCTTGTAACAACTTTTGTTTTAATGTCTAACTTATCTGATAATACTGTAGTCATACCCACTCTCTTCAGGTTACTATTCACATGAAATGATTTTTCCACCCTTTTACTTTCAAACTATGTGTGTATTTGAATCTAAGTTGAGTCTTTCATAGACATCCTAAGGATTGCTTGTGATTTTTTACCCATTCTGTCCATCTCTACCTTTCAATTGTAGATTTTAATCCATTTATATAATGTGATAACTAATAAGAAAAAACTTAAATCTGCCATTATGGTTTTTGTTTTTTATATGTCTTATAGCTTTTTAGCTCCTTAATTGCTCATATATTGCCTTATTTTGTGCTAAACAGTTATATTCTAGTGTATCATTTTAATTCTCTGGTAATTTATTTTACTTTATATATTTTATTTGTTTTCTTAGTGGTTGTTTGGATTACAATTAACACCTTAATGTACAACTATCTAGTTTGGATTAATATAAACATATTTACAATTAAAAAAATTTCTATATAGCTGTGTCTCCTACTTTATAAGACTATTGCCACATATTGCATCTTTATTTTATACATTGTGTGCCCATCACCATAGATTTATAAATATTGTTTTATGCAGTTGTCTTTTAAATAATATAGGAAAACAGAAGAGTTACAAACCAAAAATACATTAATACCGAATTTTTAATTTTCCTTTGTGGTTACCTTTAATAGTTCTTAATTTATTCATGGTTACTGCCTGATGTTTTTTTTAAATTCAACCTGAGCTGTTTAGCATTTCTTGTATGGCAGGTGCACTAATAACAAACTCCCTCAGGTTTTTTTTTTCTCTGGTACTATCTTAATTTTTACTTCACTTTGAAGGATAGTTTGTTGGATATAAGATTATTTGTCAACCATTTTTTGTCTTTTGGTATTTTGAACTTCTCATCACATTGCCTCCTGACCTCCATGTTTTTTGTTAAAAAATCTGTTCTCACTCTTATTGAAGAGCCCTTAGAATTGATGAGTTGCTTTTCTGATGCTGCTCTCAGGATTCTCTTTGTCATTGTTTTCTGATAATTTGACTGTAATATATTACACTGTTGATCTCTTTCAGTTTATCCCATTTGGGATTCATTAATCTTTTCAGATGTGTGGTCATATCTTTCATTATATTGAAGAATTTTCTGTCATTATATCTTCAAATATTCTTTCTGCCCCTTTTACTCCCTCCTCTCTTTTAGGACTCCCATTATAAATATTTTGGTACACTTGATCATGTACTAAAAGACTCAGGCTTTCTTCATTATTCATTATTTTACTTTCTGATTCTTGATTGACCTATATTTAAGTTTGCCATTTTTTCTGCCTTCTCAAATCTGCTAGCAAATTTCATATAAGTTACTGTACTTATTGACTCCAAAATGTTAATTGGTTTCCCTTTATAATTTCTATATCCTTACTGATATTCTCTAATTGATGAGACATCATTTGGTTTTCTTTCGTTATTATTATGTGGTTTCCTTTAGCTCTTTGAGTATATTTAAAATAGTTATTTCAAAGTCTTTGTCTTGTAATTCTAATGCCTGAGTTCCACAATGAGAGTTTCTAGTAATTCTTTTGTCTATAGCATATTGGCTATATTTTACTATTTCATTGCCATACATATATATATATGTATATATATGCATATATACATATTTATATGCATATATGTATATATATGCATATATATGCATATATACATATATACATATTTATATGTATATATGCATATATACATGTTTATATGTATATATGCATATATACATGTTTATATGTATATATATGCATATATACATGTTTATATGTATATATATGCATATATACATGTTTATATGTATATATATGCATATATACATGTTTATATGCATATACATATAGTTGAAACCTGAGAATTATCATAACGTGGCAATTTTAGACATCATACATTCTCCAATTTCCATGATTTGTAGATGCTGCTTGTTGTAGTTGTTATTGTTTGTTTGTTTAATGACTTTTTCTGAACTAGTTTTGTGAAGTCTGTGTTCTTTTCATGTACCAATAAAATCTTTGCTCCATTAGCTTAGTAGTCAGCTAGTAAATGGACACAGATTTCTCTATATGCCTGGGGAAAAAAAAAGTATTTGCAAATGAGCTCACCATGTATATTGGTGCCTGTCTTCAATACCCAGCCTGGCCATTCACAACTCTGCTTTAGTTTTCACTTCCTGCTTGCACAAAGCTGGATGGTCAGCTAGAGCTGATGTTTAGGTCCTCAGGAATTTCCTGAGAATGTAACCAACCCTGGGCACATGTGTGGACTTATGTATTCCTAGGAATATAACAGAGTTTTGAAAGTCCTTATTCCCAAAGCATGTAATTCCCCAGACTCTTCCCAAGCTTTTTGGTTAGTTTATTGTTTGCTCCACCAGTTAACCATTTTCTCAGGCAACAGTGGCAAAGTGTTTGCCTTTAAATGTTTTCAACAAGTGTTCCTTGGGTAGTCACCTTAGCAGTGGGAGAGTTAGGCAAGCCTTTTAGCCTATCTTCTGGGCAGCCACCAAACACGTCAAAGCAAACAACCACAATCTTTTGAGAAAAAGGTCTGTTCTGCTCTCTCTGGTACCACCAGTGTCTCTTCTTAGAATGTAGGTTGTTGTCTTTGATGGCACCATCTAGCTAAGCAATGGGATATGGCATCAAGGTAACTTTAAATTCCAAAAACTTCTCTCTTCCCATTCATATTCAACTGGTTTTTTCCTGAGTAAGCATTCCCCTAGTTGCTACAGGTTTTTGGTTAGTTTTCAGAGTTCAGAAAAAATTGATTGTGACAGGTTTTGCCAGTTTATTAGCTGCCTTTGTGGAGACATGCAACTTTGGAGTTATGTATTCTCCCATTTTCACTCTAACTGATGAGCTTTACTGAGCCTTTTTGCTTAAATAACTTTTCAGCCTGAGTTCTTCCTATTTTGAGTACAGCAATAGTTGGTATTTTAAATCATGCAAGGCCACTACTATGGACAAAATTGTGTCCACACAAAATTTATATGTTGAAATCCTAAGCCCCAAAGTGACTGTATTTGGAGACAGGGATTTTAGGATGTAATTAAGATTAAATGAGGTCATAATGATGGGATCCTAATCTAATAGGATTGGTGGCCTTATGAAAATAGGAAGAAATAAGTTTTTATGTCTCTCCATGCACATGCACAGATAAAAGGCCATGTGGGGACTCAGTGAGAAGGCAGCTGTCTGCAAGCCAGGAAAGGAGTCCTCACCAAAGATCAACCCTGTCAGACCTTGATCTGGGACTTCAGCCCTCCAGAATTGTGAGAAAATACATTTGTGTGGTTTAAGCCACCCAGTCTATAATATTTTATTATGGCATCCTGAGCAGACTAAGACAACCAACAATTGCTGATCTGTATTGCTTTCTGTTTTAAATCTCAAACTAGGTAATTCTTGCTTGTATGCATCCCTTTTTCGACACACCTTGCTAAATGCGCAAGTAACAACCGATACACACTACTAACATTCTGTTATTCAATCTCTCTTCCTAGAGATTCAGTCTTAGTAGGTCTTTTGTCTGATTTCCAAATTATCATGGATAATAAATTCATCCAGTATTTGCCACTGTACAACTTGGGTATCCATATCTCCAGTTTCCAATGTCAGCTTCCTTACTTCATACAAATTGACTACTAAGGGAAAGCCATACAATGTAGTTTTTAAATTATGGGTGAATCCCACTTCAAAACACCAAATTTATGTATTGCTTAGCATAGTGTCAGCTGTCGTTTAAAATACACCACAATATTTCTGTCACTTAGAACAACAAAAGTTAATTTTTCACTTATGTAACAATATAATGTAGGTATTCCCAGACAGAAGGTAACTTTCTTCCACCTGATGATTCAGAGAAAACAAAATCTTGTGCATGCTGCTGGCATCCTGAGCAGACTAAGACAGCCACCAATTGCTGGACTCCATTGTTGGACTTTCTTAGGAGAGACCTCTTTCAAGAAAGAGAAACTGGAAATGACACACTAGCTTCATAAAATCCATGGTCCAGAAGTGACATGCAGTACTGACTTACCTTATTAGGTACAGTGTTCACAAGACCTAGAACTCATGAGAGTCTTAACAGCCCATAAAAAATGGTTTTAATTTTAACTTCTGTTAAAAACAGAAGAAAAATATGAACATAATAATAACAAACATGTAATTGTGAATTAAGCCAGGATTATATTCATCTGTATATCAATGTAGTCATAAAATATATTTTATGGGCTGGGTGTGGTGGCTCATGCCTGTAATCCCAGCACTTTTGGAGGCCGAGGCATGTGGATCACCTGAGGTCAGGAGTTTGAGACCAGCCTGGCCAATATGGTGAAACCCCATCTCTATTAAAAATACAAAAATTAGCCGGGTGTGGTGGCGTATGCCTGTAGTCCCAGCTACTCGGGAGGCTGAGGCAGAAGAATGGCTTGAACCCAGGAGATGGAGGTTGCAGTGAGCCAAGATCACGCCACTGCACTCCAGCCTGGGTGACAGAGCAAAACTCCCTCTCAAAAAATATATATTGTTTCTTTATAGAGGAAAATAGCCATGAAGTCAGAATACCTAGGGTCTTTGCAAATCACTATGTGGGCCTTGTGATATTTTGGGTCATATTTTTTTGGGTGGGAACGGTATCAGTTTCTGATGGCTGCTGTAACAAATTACCACAAACTTATTGGCTTACAACAACTGAAATGTATTTTTTCTTACAATTCTGGAAGACAGAAATCCAAAGGAGATTTACTGGACTGAAACCAAGATGTCAGCAGGGCTGTGCTCTCTCTGCAGGCTCTGGAAAGAATCTATTTCCTTGCCTTTTCCAACTTCTAGTACAGCATCCTCTGCATTATTTGGCTTTGAGGCTCTTTCTCCATCTTCAAAGCCAGCAAGATAGCATCTTCCAATCTCTCTCTGCATCCCTCTTAAAAGGAACCCTTGTAATTGCATTTAGGACCCACTTGGATAATCCAGGATAACGTCCTCATCTAAAGAGACTTAACTTTCTTTATCTGCAAGGTCCCTTTTGCATGTAAATTAAAATTTACCAAGTTCTGTAGGTTAGGAAGTAATTATGAAGACCATTATTCAGTCTATCACAAGAAATAATCACATTGCTCCATTTAACTGCATGGATGTGGATAGAAAACGTAGCCCCTCCTTGGGCTGCCACTTTCCAGAGATAACCCTTCACTGTGGAGGTAGGAGCAGGACAGCTATCTGACTCTGCCACACTCCTCCATAGGGTTTTCATAAAATTAATTGAGATAATATATATAAAATGCTTAGCATAGTGCCTGGCACATACTTAAACCTTGATATAGCATATCACCTATTATTCTGGTCACTCCTACTGTTCATTTGTACTATTTCTCTCCCACTACCTCTTATCCACTTTTTCCTGTGATGCTTTGTTCTTGACTCTTGGGGGCAAGGGTTAATATTGGGAAATATTTTTCAAAACACACTCTTGTTGCCCACATTTGGTGATCTTGCCTCAGCGTGGTATATCGTTTTCTCAGACTGCTTAATTAACCCCACCTGTCAAGGAATTTGGAAACATTTTCTAAGAACCAGATTCAGAAGCACTGTGAAGGAATCACACAAAGTCAAGTCAAGGTGATTCCTCAGAAAGGGTATAATTTACCTCATTCATTAACTTAGGTTGAGTTCTCTATACACCAAGAGGCCTTCCACCAGTGGACAGTAAAGCTTTTGTGTCCTTCTTGTAGAACCTTAGTCTTAATTACCCAAGACCTGATTATTAGTTCCAAAGTCACCTTTACCCTAATGTCCTAGGAGGCCTTGAGTTTTTCACCCAAATACTCTCCTGGTAGCTTCTCTGATAGCTCAGTGTCTATGGCACATGTACACAACAGTATTGACTATGATCTATAATGCATCTTTTATCAGGACAAGTCTATTATCTTTGAAAAGCCTTTGTTTTTATCTAAGGACCCTCTCCTTTCAGTTATGAGTCTCAGGCATGGCGTCTACTGAAGTTCTTCCTTAATCTCAGTTCTTGAGGATAGCATATGTTCCCATATTCCAGGAAGCATGAGACTGTATGCATAAATTGCTTTTGTGTAACACCCACTATGGGCAGCAGAGGTTAGCAGACACACCACTCTTTGAGAAAGAAATCTATAACTTATTCCTACCCTGCCTCCTTTACCTTCCTTGGCTGAGTTCCAGGTGGAGAGGACAAAAGAGACTCCAGATAAGTCTAGGGACCTTGCTTTAATTTCAAAATGTCATCCTGGAAATTTAAAACCTGTGTGGATAAGCCACATGTCCAATACAGCGTTTCAAAAGAGTAGCAATGGCTGAGAGAAGTATTAAGGTGCATGTACATTAGAACAACCTCATAAAAATGCTGGCATACCTATGTGGTATGGGGACAGCCTTTCTCAGTCTTCATGTCTCTAGGAGAGGGGATTCCTCAAAGGTTGAAGGAGAGCCAGAGTATTGAAAGAAAACTTTATATTGGCATCAGGACAATGCAATACGGGGGCCTCTATGAATTAAAGATCATGGCAGGACAGGAACCAACTGAGCCAATGCCAGCAGGAATGGGTAGCAGCCAGCATGGAAAGGAAATAGCAGCAGAAGTCAATGTGGACAGAGGCTACCCACTTTGGACAAAAAACCTCTCCCCTGACATGAAGGCAATACATGAGCAAGTCCCCTCCTTCTATGTTATTTAAATCATTGTGAGGGTTGGGAAGTAGGAAAAAGGTGGGAGAAATCCTTGAATGTGACAGTGTATCATCCAAAAGAGAGAGGAAGAGTTCATAAATGACTAACTTAACCTTGAAGTGACTAGATACATTGATATGCTATTAAAAGGGTTGTGTGGTCAAGAGCGAAGTTCAGTGCAGTTATAGGAAAATAAAGCAACATTTTTTAAACTTCATAAGCTACTTCAGGGAGATGTCCCCAAACTAAGGTTGCTCGAGACAAACATATGTGGAGAAAAAGGGAGAGAGAGAGATTTATTTTAAAGAATTGCCTTACGCAATTGTGTGGTTGGAAAATCTGAACTCAGCAGGGCTGGCAAGGTGGAGACCCAGGAAAGAGTTCCTCAATCTTTTCTCTTAAGGCCTTCAACTGATTAGATGAGGCCCACTCACGTTATGAGGGGTAATATGCTGTATTCAAATTCTACTGATTTAAATGTTAATAACATGTAAATAATAACTTCACAGCAACATCTACACTGGTATTTAACAACAACAACAACAACAAAAACCAGTATCATAGTCAAGTTGACAAAAAATTAGCCAACATACTCACCGTAAGAGAGAAGAATTTCAAAGAACTACATGTGAAAGTTATTTGGCCACAGAAAATACAGTCACATTTGTTTTTTATGCTATAATCCATCACCTTTCCCAAGGCAGATGCTATATGCAAAGCAGGCAATGATCAGCTAACCTCTGATCAGAACCAGGACAGACCTTTCAAGGATGTAGCCCCCTGGAACAAGGAGGGAAGCTGTGACTTACATGACCTTCCAGAGGAGCATGCTGCTTTCACGAAGTTATGAAATGGATGAATGCAAGTTAATAGTAACAGGAGTACCACAGGTGCTGTTCCAAGATGACAGAGGACAACTAGCTTTATGCCATTCCTTGTAATATGTATTAGACACAAAAGGTAACAAGGGCAACCCAATTTTTTCTCTTCAGGACTACCTGTGGTTCTTAGCTCTGGCTGCACCTTAGAATCACCTAGGAGGCTTAAAAAATATTCATGCCTGGACCCTACCTCTTGTTATTCTGATTTAATTCTCTTAAATTACTCACTTTTTTTTTCTTTCTTTTTTTTTGAGACAGAATCTCACTCTGTCGCCCAGGCTGGAATGCAGTGGTACGATCTTGGCTCACTGCAACCTCCGCCTCCCGGGTAAAAGTGATTATCCTGCCTCAGCCTTCCAAGTAGCTGGGATTACAGGCATGTGCCAGCATGCCCAGCTAATTTTTGTATTTTTAGTAGAGACAGGCTTTTGCCATGTTGGCCAGGCTTGTCTCAAACTCCTGACCTCAGGTGATCCACTCGCCTTGGCCTCCCAAAGTGTTGGGATTACAGGCATGAGCCACTGCACCCGGCCTAAATTACTCACCTTATTGTGAGATAGTTCCCCATATAATTTTTAATGTAGAAGTAGCAACATGTGAGCAAATAGATTATTAAAATAGGTTGTGATTAGTGCTATAAAAATAAATGTCAGGGAGAAAAACCTGTGGGCATAGCTAGACAAGAGTTATTGAGTTTTCTCGAGGGACTCAGTAATCATTCACCAGAAAGGTTATATTTAAACTGAGTTGTCTTTCTTAAGGCTCAAAAATTTCAAGCCTGCAGAGAAGTACTGAGAATAATATAACCTCACCCAGATGCCAATCACACAGTACTAGAAAATGTTTATATTTTATTTTACTCCTTAAGAAATAAATAAAAATGAAATAAACAATTATAGATGTAGTTGACTTCCTCTTTATTCCTTTACTCAATCTCATCACCACCTGCCTTCCCCTAGAAGTAAGCATTAACATAAATTTGATGCATGTATTTCCAGTTCACATTTTTATACTTTTACTTCATATATGTGTATTCATGAATTGTTTAGGTATTGTTTTAAAAAATATTTTTGAATTAAAATTGGCAAATAAATATATATTTATAGTATACAATGCAATTGTATACCTGTTAGACAGGTAGTTCTAATTTAGCAATTTGGGTGCTCAAACAATATTCCATCATATGAACATTTCTATTATACAATTTAGTCATCCATTCCTTTATTGATGGATATTTCAGTTGTTTGCAGTTTTCCCTTATAGCGTTGTTGCCATGAATTTCCTGGCACATGTCTCTAGTTATACACTTGCAAGTGTATCTCTAAGACAGTAGTTCTCAATGGGTTCTACACATTCGAATAACATCGGAAAATTTTAAAGAACGCATAAACATTTCTCATTTCACGTAGATGGAGTAGTTCGTGGTAGGTCAATGCTCCTATAAAGAACACCTAAAAAAGCCAGATAGATTACTAAAATCTAGTTTTAAATGTATCTGAAAACTGCAGAAGCAATTAGGATAAAAGGGAAAAAGATTCCAGAGAATAAAATCTTTCCAAGCTGTATTGAGTATCTGTAATTTGTTGTCCCCCGCTTCCCCCGTACCACCACCACCCCAGGAAGATTTTGCCAGTTCCAGCCAAGGGCAGCACCTGGGGAATTAATAATCCAGGTGAGCTTTTGGTGTTCACAGGAAAATGAGTGACAAATTTGAAGACATGGGGGGAATAAAACACACAACCAGAACCTTGCTCAAGGCATTTGCTGATTTCCAAAGCTGTACAGGATTGGAGGCTAAATATAAGTAGAAATGTCCTCTGAAAAGCAGAATGGAATTCCATATACTCTCTCAAGGCTACTCTGAAGTCTTTGTCTCCTAAGACTCTGTGGAGACAAAGACTTCACCAGAGAGTCTTAGGAGACATAGACTTATCATGTAAGGAGACAAAGACACCTCAGGGAAAGTGGCTAAGAACCCAAATGGAAAGATTTGGAAATCTTAAAGGGAGTGCTGAATTTTCAACAGCTTTCCCAGGGGAAAATTGCCAATCAACCAGAATGCACTTAGATGCTGACAATCCAGATTCAGGCAAAGATAGAGGGATGTCTATGGAAGCTGATTATATGCACACCCTATCACTCAGCAATTCCATCCCGTGGTTTATACCCATAAGGAAAGCATACATTTATTCACTAGGAGACCTGCTTAAGAATGCTTAGAGAGATATTATTTATCAAAGCTCATAAACTAGAGATTGCCTAAATATCTATCAACATTAGAAGGGATAGACAAAATGTGTTTTCATAAAACAAAATACCATGTAACAATGAGACTGAAAACTCTGTAACTATAAGCAATCATCCAGTGTTGAGTGGAAAGCAGAAAAACACAAAAAGAGTATAAATTATATGATTTAATTTGTTTGTATTTATTTGTATTTATTTATTTATTCATTCATTTATTTTTGAGATGGAGTCTCTCTCTGTCGCCCAGGCTGGAATGCAGTGGCGCAATCTCCACTCACTGCAAGCTCCGCCTCACGGGTTCACTCCATTCTCCTGCCTCAGCCTCCCTAGTAACTGGGACTACAGGCGCCCACCACCATGCCCGGCTAATTTTTTTGTATTTTTTAGTAGAGATGGGGTTTCACCGTGTTAGCCAGGATGGTCTCGATCTCCTGACCTTGTGACCCCCCCCTCCCCCCGCTTTGGCCTCTCAAAGTGTTGGGATTACAGGCGTGAGCCACCGCGCCAGGCCAATTTAATTTATATAAAGATTTAAAAACAGGCAAAGTAATTTGTGATGTTAGGAATCAGGATAATTACACTTGGGAGGTTACTAACCATAAGGTGGCATGAAAGCGGCTTCTTTCTTGATCTGGGTGCTGATTACATGGATATGTTCTCTTTGTTAAAATTCATTGAGCTAAATACTTATGACTTGTGTACATTTTGTATGCATAGTGTACTACAATAGAGAGATAAAAATTAAGATAAACAGAACAACCAACCAACTAATAAACACATATGCACAGGCCTCACCTCCAGGGATATGGTTTCAATTAGTCCTTGGGAGGTCCAGTTACCAGCACTTCTCATAGGTTTATTGGGCAATATAATTTTTTCCATCAGCACTGGTTTCTCTAATTTTTGCCCATTTTTTCTCTTAGATTATGTGCCATTTTCTTATTGCTTTTGTTGGCATTTATTATATCACTAATCATGTGCCTGGTATACTTATAGCAAATATCTTATTCTTGTCTATAATTATATTTTCACTTTGTTTAAGATGTATTTTGTCAGTTCTTGAGGTTAAATTTTCCAGTATTCTTCTGTATATGTTTTACTTTTGTTATTATTTCAAAACTCCTTCCCCATTTATTATTTTATGATATGCTATTAATACTTTTAAAGTTTACTTTTTACATTTAGATCTCTAATCCATCATGAATTTATTCTAGTATGTGGCAAAATGTAGGGTTCTCATAATTTTTTCTACACTGCCAGTATAGATGTAATCATCACTTCCTCAAAGATTTTTTACTCCAATTCCATCATATATCAAATTGGTTTACAGTTGGGCAAAATCATGTAACACAAGCCTATTTTATAATAAAGTGTTGGATACCTCATGTAATTTATTACATATTGTACTGAATGTGAAAAACAGAATTGTTTCACACCATCATACCATTAAAAAATTCTAAATCAGACCATTGTAAGTCAAGGACCATTTATAGTAACACTTGGAAGTTGCTGTCATAAAAGAGCATCAGAAAGACGTGATGAAGGCTTCCATAAAGCACAAGCTCAGAGGTGATACTTCACAAAACTGGATTCCTTCTTCCAAGGCACAGTATACTAACTTTAATCAGAGATCACTACATGATGTTGTGCTCCCAATAGGAAGAATTCATGAGTCAGGAAGCAATTGATGGAAAATGGAGTGACCACACTCGCATTACTCTCAATGGCCCACTGGGGAACTTTGCAACCTGTCCCTACAATTCTGGGATTTGTAGGGTTGCAAGTAATGATCACCAAAGGAAAAACACTTCTGCCATGAAATTCAGCAAGTGTCCCATTGAACTATAAGCTATGGATGCTGCCTGAACACTTCAGGATCTTTATGGTCAGGGAATATCAGGCAAGAAAAGGAATCACATCATTTGCTGTGGCCATCCTACAGACACAGGGTGGATTCTCACCCAAAACTTGGGTCAGGTGTCAAGACTGATTACATCACACACACACACACCAGGAAAGCAGGACAGGCCTCCTAAGCTGGTCAAAAAATGGCTTGAGAGAGGAGGGAAAGGAAATAGGCTTGGGCTTTTATGATT
Source organism: Homo sapiens (assembly GCF_000001405.40). NCBI lineage: Eukaryota > Metazoa > Chordata > Mammalia > Primates > Hominidae > Homo > Homo sapiens. Next base: position 106,028,937 of record NC_000023.11, read on the forward strand.
GTTAGGGGTTGAGGCAACTGTGAGGGTTTCTTTGTATAGGCAGCAGCTTGTTTGGCTGGAAATTCTCACTAGCACCAAAGAAGTGAGTGAACTGGCTTACTTATCAGCATACCCAGATGTAGGGCATAAAGGAAAGAAGTAGAAATAAGACTTATAAGATGTCAAATATTAAGAAAACGGAGTTAGACTCTTTATTACACCATTTAGTCAAGGGTAATTGATCCCAATCATTAGAAGGAAGAAGATATGTTGTTACATAATGGGACAAGTAGAATATGTTTGACATTCAAGTGATCCACATGAGTGCCTCTTTATAATTCCTTGCCCAATTTTGATGGGAAGTGGAGATATGAAGTAATCTTGGTCAAAGAATGCTATGGTAACTGGTGGCTCAATACTTGTCATGGATGTGGTTTTTAATAATGTCATCAGGTGAGCTATGGAGATCAGCTAAAGGGAAGGAGAATCTAGAATAGATAGTGGAGGGGAATGAAGCATTATCAGTTGTGACAATGAGACCAGCTGCAGCAGCAGAAGCTGTAGTTCATTCTACCAAATGTTTCCTTCTAAGCTTCCTCCAGGAAGAAAGATTCACCAGAATCCTTAAGTAAATACTTCCAAAACTTACAGAAAGAAGTAGATTTCAGCAGACAAGGAATTGACTGTGTTGGACATGGAGGTGTGCCATACAGATTTCTCTTCAAGAAAGGACTTGTTGTTCTAGTTGCTTAGGAGTCCTGTCAGCAGACAGGCTTCAGCTTTCAGTCCCTTCAAGGGCTGCCTTAGTTGCAGAGATGTCTTGCCCTCAATCATTACCTTTTCTGGTCAGCTCATATTCAATGACTGACCAAGGTAGATGTGTGAGGGTCCAGCTATTTTGACCTAAAACAGAACAACTCTAACTGGCCATTTTAGCTCCAGATTTCCTTGTGCAGTCAACCAAGGTTGTTGCTATTTGGACCTGCATGTTGGCTTGACTTCAGCCTCTGCCTAATTTTGCTTCCTTCCCTTCCATTCTATAGGCATCAATCCCAAGGGCCCTCCCTAACAAATGTTCTGTACTATAAACTCTGCTTCAGGATCTGCTTCCTGGATAATCAAACCTGCAACATCCCCACTACTACTACTACCAACTTCTGTATTACTTGGAGTAAGGCTAGTGTTATGGGCTTAATGTATCTGTACCCCTAATATTCATATTTTAAGGTCCTAATCCCCAGAGTGGCTGTATTTGGAGTAAGGTAGTAATTAATATTAAGTGAGGTCATAAGGATGGAGCTCTAATCTGATAAGATTAGTGTCCTTACAAGAAGAGACACAGGAGAGCTCTTGCTCTCTCTCTCTCTCTCTCTCTCTCTCTCTTTCCCTGTATGATGCACCAAGGAAAGACTATATGAGAACATAATGAGAAGGTGGCCATCTTCAAGCCAGGAAAAGAGCCCTCACTAGAAACAGAATTTGTCAGCACCTTGATACACATTTAATAACAACTCTCCATTTCTCCCTTCCTGCAGTCTCTAGCAATCACTGTCCTATATCCTCTGCTTTTAGGAGTTTTACTAATTTTGATACTTCATATAAGTGGAATAATACAGGTTTCTATTTCTGTGACTGGCTTATTTTATTTAGCTTAATGTCCTCCAGATTCATCTATGTTGCAAATGGCAGGATTTCCTTCTTCTTTAAAGCTGAATAATAGTCCATTGTATGTAGAAACACATCCTTTCATCTATTGATGGACATTTAGGTTGTTTCCATATCTTGCCTATTGTGAATAATGCTGCAGTGGACACTGGTGTGCAAATGTCTATTTGAGATCCTGATGTCAATTATTTTTGGTAAATATCCAGAAGTGGGATTGCTATATAATATGGTAGTTCTGTTTTTAACATTTTGTGGAACCTCCATACTGTTTTCCATAATGGGTATACTTACAAAGGGAATTTGTCTGTGTATTGTTGTTGAATTGGTGTTTGTCAAGGAAGTGGGGGAGGAGGATCCAGGGCTTCCTATTCTGCCATCTTGCTGATGTAATTTCAATATTATTTTAATAATTATATTTCTACATTATCGGTAGCATTGTAATCCTACTTTTTCTTAGCATTTAAATAATTATTCTGAAAAGATGTATGTAGATTTCACCAGACTGCCAAGGAGCTCTTTACCTGCTTGTGGTCAAACTTGGTCATAAGTAAGTCCACAATCCAGCTTAACAAAGGCAGAAAAAGAGTGGAGGAAGTACTCAACTATTGTAATTCCCTAGTTGATAGATGTTATATGTCACCTACATTCATATTTCATTGTTGAGAATTTACTTACAAGGCCACACCTAACTGCTAGGGAGGCTAGAACATGTAGTTTATCAGGGAAGCCGTGTGTCTATAATTCTATCACAATGTAGAAAGGAAAGCAGAATTGATAAATTCCGTGCAATCCATACCACTGCTTTCTTGTGGCTGGTTCCCAGATAAGTTTTCTGTCTTTTGTTCTAAGAATTCGTTAATATATTTTCTTGGTTTTTCTGTGTAGACAGATTTTTCTTCCTTTCCACTCTATTCTTTTAATGTTTATTTATTTTTCTTGTTTTACTGCACTAACATCTCCAATATCATTTTAAATAAAAGCAATAATATATAGAATCCTTGTCTTATTCCCAATTTAGTAAAAATTCTGCTACAAATTTTCTCTATTAAGTGAGATACATGTTCTAGTTATTTTGTGGGTAAACTTCATGAGGTTAAGGAAGTTATGTTCTATTCTTAGTTTGCTATTCTTAGTTTGTCACAGGACAAACAGTGATAGCCCTTCATGATCTGACCACAGGAAAGAATGACTGAATGAGGTTTAGTCTCTAAGGAGACACATGAACTACTTGAGGGATAATGTCTTTTAATCCCTGACTTCCCTCTGAAGATACTGATATTCCTTCCAGAACAAGTTCTGATGGAACTCATTTGGACGGTAGGGGGTAGGAAGGAGTTGATATTTACATTTACTCTGGCCTCTGGAGGTAGAGCCTGAGCTAGAGAACAGAAACCCGCAAATCAAGAGACTCACATTACAATCCTGGTTCTGATACCAGCCCACTGTCTGGTGTTGACCAACATGATTGAAACAACTAATATTTACAGGGCTTTTTATCAGGTCTCAGGCTCTGTGATGAGCATATTACATGCTACCTGCTTTGCAACATTGAAGGTTCACAAAATCCCAATGACATGGATATTCTTATTGTTCCCATTTTACAGATGAAGAAAATAAGGTACAGGGTTTAAGTGCCTTGTCCAAGATCACCAAACACTAAGTAGCAGGGCCAGGATTGTAATGTAACTTTAGTGAAACACAACTCCATGTTAACAATGAATTTTTGTACCAGAGATTCTGCTCTGGGCTTCAAAAATTGCTTACACAAAAGCAAAGTGTGAACTATACCAGGAATAAACAAACTTCCATGCAAATGGGTCTAATCAGAAAAAATTAGAATGTTTGTAATACACATGCTTTTCTAAACATAAATATTTATTTCAATATGGAAGTACAACATCTGCAACAGTACTTATGCATTTTTTTTACTATTTTCCTGTCACTGAAGTGTTTTACCTCAGGGCTAGAATTTCAGATACTACATCATTACCACTCACTGTGCCATTTATACTCAAGCTTTAAATACATAGTGTCTGAAATAAAATCTAGTTTGGTAGGTGGTAATGAGTTGGCATGTACAGGTAGAGGGAAGGTTGTTGAAGGATCTGGGGATACAAAAGTACCAATATTCAGTGAAATTAGAGCCAAAAAGGAGATTCCTACTTAAACAAGTGGGACAGGGGTGCTATATATGGAAAGGAGTCTGATTGGGATACAGAAAAAGAGGGTCTATGAGATATGACATGAATGAATTACTTTCTTTCTCCACTCCCAGCTTATACATTGGCAAGGTGGAAGTATGTTTTCTTGGGGGGAAGGTGGGGTTGGACAGGCAAGTTTATCTCTTGCTGTATTGTCCCATGCTTGTTCAGTAACTTGTTCAGTTGTCTCAGTCTGTAACTCATCCCCATAGTGGGAGTTCCTTTATTCAACCTACCAGTGTCAGATCTGGCAAGAACTCAGAGAATCCTACTAATGGGACAGTGGGAAGGGGGTTGAGAAGTTCACATATAAGACAATGCATCTGCATTGTTTTATGTCCATTGATCTTATTGGAGTACTGGGATACGAAGACCTGACCTGCTTTTTAGCTATTCCCCAGAAGACAGAAAAGGGAAAATTTTTCAACCCAGTCAAATTTATTAGAGCAAATGAGTTGAGGGGTATTCTGACAAAGAGAAATATACAAACATAGAGCCTTCCTATGCTTTGGATAATAATGAATTACTCATTGACATTCTGAATGCTCTGCCATAGGATTGGCCTCTTCCACAGCCAACAAAGTTCAGCCAGGGTTCAATCTTCATCCCATCATAAGGGAATGCAAGTCCAAGCTCACATCAATCACACCAGGCTATATTATTTATTTATTTCCCATTGCAATACACACGTGCAATTAGCCAATGGCCTTTTTCCCAACTACGCTTCCGTTGGGTTCACAACTTTCCCTAGAAAGAGAATACTCCTTGTGCTTCTCTCCAAAATCAACAACATGAAAGATCTATCAATTTGGATAATAGGGTGTAGGAAAGTGTTTTCAGGCTGATCCGAAAGTTCAACTTCAGGGACAGCTGCAGCTTCAGTTCCCTTTTCACCAATGTGCAGCACAGCCTTATGGGCAGCCTGTGTGGGGAGAACAAATCCTGCGGGTCTCTGAAGAAACAGGAACAGTCTTTGGGAAGGTCTAGAAGTAAGAAAGGGAAAGGAAAGGTGGGGCCGCCCCTTTGCTATACTATGTTGATGGTGCTAGAATATGAAGTTTCCTCTGCTAAATGTAGTCAATCATTCTCTGGCGATTCTACGGCTAGCCATTGGGAAACACCTCATTCACTATGGCCTGCTGCCGCCAGGAGTCACCTCTTAAGCATTCCCTCCTCACACCTCCTTCAGAACTGCATCTCACCAGAGTCACTTCTGATCATTAAGCTGTTCTATCAGAGTAATTCTGGGACATAAAGGTCAAGGATGGAAGAAACTGATACAATTACTTATTTGGAGTAATGGGAATGACTCTGGAGTGATTCTAGCTTAGGAGGAGTCACACCGCCTCTCTAGGCATCAGATTGCTAATTGGTAAAATAAGAAAGTTGAATCAATTGACTCCTAATTGCTCTTCCAGTTCATACATTTAAGAACTCTAGTTTATCAACTTACATTGGAAAGTTTCAGACCATTGTCCTCTGTGAGTCCAGAAAAATCAGCATTTTCAGAATAGGCATGCTGAATGCCCATCTTCAAAAGTGTGGCTCCAAGGTCATATGTGGCAGAAATGGAAAACTTTGGAACAAACAAGTCAACCCATCTGTGGGAAAAGAGGAAGGGAACACATGGCAATCACCATATCAAGCTTATGATTCTCTCCTTCTCTCTCTCATGATGGTATTATATTGGACTCTGCTTCTTCCCTGAGTATTGATAACCATTACTATGTAAGTCAATACATGGCACCAAACTCACAGAAGTTATTCTGAAAGGAATGCACTCAGGTACAGCCAATGTTGGACTGAAGCACTGGGAGTAGGGAGATGTAACTCCTTTATAATCAAGAGAAAATATCCCTGAGGTGACGACCAAGGTTGGGGAGCTAGTGGCATGAAGGTTAATGGGTAGCACCCAGGAGCTTCACAGTTTTCTGCCTTGCACTTCCAGTACAGAGTGGCTGCCCAATCACCTTTCAACATCAAAATCCAACCTGTTCTTTGAGCTCTAGTTGGTCTACAGGAAGCCATCAATTTACTAATAGGCTGACTTTGGGGAGCTCATCTTATCTTTCAAGACCAGACTTCCTAATTTGAAAAATGCCAATTATACTGCCTCCTTTGTAGGTTTGTTGATGTGCTTGGATGATATGAAGTATGTAGAATGCCCAGCCAAGGGCCTGGTAGACAGTATTTTCTTGGCATATTCTAGTGATCATACATAGCTGTTGGGTAGTTCAGGGTGATTCTTCTGCCTCTGGGTTTCTGCTGAACTCTGTCTCACCTGCACTTTTATGCCCACCTTCCACCCACACATCCTCTAAGGCATTTACCCCTTCTGTAGTAAGCGGTTCCACTTCTTCAGTGTTTTAGATGACATGGCAGCTTCCACTGACTCCATCTGTCCCTCCTTGGGAAGAACAAAGAGTGCCAGAGCATTCTTGCTGTAGTCCATTTGCAGAACTGTGCAGTTCAATTCCATATCCACTAGGTGATAGTATTGTTCCATCTGGTGCATCATGGGCACTTGAACAGTGGTGGTCTTGTCTATTAAGAAGCTGGAACTGTCTTCTGTCTTGGATGGATCAAAAGGATTTGCCCACTGGGCTTAAAATACAAAGAAAAGAGAGGTGTTTATTTTAAACCGGTATCAGTACCAACAAGACCTTTTCCATTAGTGATTTCATTTAGAAATTAAGATCACCACAGAGTTAGGTACCTACAGTCAACCAGTTTTACAAGTGACTGAGGATCAGGCAGAGAAAGTCATTTGTCATGGTCTCCCAGTTAACAGGTGGCAGAGCCAGGAATCATACCCAGGGCTGTTGGGCTCCACAGTCTGTATTCAAAACTACTATACCACACTAAGCCCATCAGAGCCATAGTTTCCTCTTCCATAAAAAGGTATAACGACATCCAACACACTAGGGAGAAGTGAGAAAACAGATCTGTTCTGCAATTTTAGCCAATCTATCTATGTGTGGTTTGTGGCCGACAATTGATTACTCCTCCAAGAAATGTGGCTGACATATACTATAGAACCAGGAGAAATCATTTGAGCACAGTACCTTTAGGAAATAGTCACATGATTCTTGTTTCTACAAGCACCAGCTTTAGACTCACACAGACCTTGTTGGTAATATCAGTTCTAAAACTTATTAACTGTGTAAACTTGGACACTTATGAGTATTGATTGAGACAGTGTGTGTATACCACACATGTCAGATGGTGTTTAGTACACAGTGAGTGCATAATACATGGTAAAATTATGTATGTAACATGCCTAAGTATGTACAGCAAGTGAGAATCACAGTAGGCTTTACATACAAATATGTCTACTTGACAAGTGCAAGCTTGTCCCACCTCACCAAATCTTTTGGAAACCATGAATCTTTAGCCAATTATGAGCAAGATGTTCATACCATTGTCACCCACCTCTCTGAAAGGGCGCTCTCCCTAGAAATTTCCTGGACTCATTCACAGAGCTGTGTGTCCATCTTGGAAGATCCAATACTATTCACAGCTATGTCCAGTGGAGCAGATCACTGTGGTATGAGGGACACCTACTGATGCCAGTAATAAGAGACCATGAGCTCCCCTCAGCACTCCACCCAAGTATCTGAGCCCTAGACTGAAAATTGACATCTGAAAGTCTTACCTTTAAAGTGAATATAGTTCACTAAGACCATGATGGTGTTTGGCTTGAGGTCTTGAATTAGACCCACAACTTTCCCTTTGGTTTGCATCTCCACATGACTGTTAATCTCCTGCTTGGCTGCAGAAATGTTGGAGAAGTCGGTAGAAAAGACTTCAGTCTCATAGAGGGTCTTGACATCATTCAAGAACTTTGCCAGTGGTTTCAGATGCTTGCCAATGAAGAGGGCATTTCCTATCTGCAATTCCAGTTCCTTCTTTGGAAAATTCAGTGAACAGATCAGATGCTGGAAGCCATGCTGGATCTCTACCATTGGAGTGTCTGTGAGGTTGAACCCCAAGGTCTCCACAATCTCAGTTTGGGTGCTGCAGCAGGCCCCAAAGGAAAGCATAACCAAAGCTGCAGAAATGCTCACAGGGGAAAAGAAGATGTTCTTATCTGGGGTCTCCACAGTGAACCTCCGGTACAGATTGAATGCAAAGTCAGCATTAATGGATGACATCTTGTAGAGAGTGGCATTTGGTTGGGATGAATGGCAGGCTGTTACTTTGCCTTCAGGTGATGCACAGTGGATTGTAGCATGAAGCCCAAGTACCAAGAGAACCAGATACAGGAATGGTGACATTTTGGAAGGAAGTTAATCTATAAGAGATGAAGTGAGACAACCACTGAGGGAGCTTAGTTGGATGAAACACTCCCTGAGCCAGAGACACATAATAACCACCCACATTGATTAATAAAACAATAGTAAATATTTGATGATGTGCTCATCAGGGGCTGAGCAGGGGTTTCTCTCCCTTGAAAAACAGGAGATGCATCTAATATGGACAGGGAGTAGGAGAAGTGGCTTGCTGCAACCACGGAAATAATGCCATGGACTGTCATTCAGATGTTATAGCAACATTATGAAAACGCTGTGAGTAAATTAAATTTATGGAAATTGAATCACTTTTTTTCTGAACTAGAGGCAGCCTTTTGGAGAGAGGGGATATTCTTAGGTTAAACTAGTACTCCCTCTGTATACATTATTCATTGTAGATTAGAATTTTAGATTTTTTTTTTCATCTGGCATTTTCTTAAGATAAAATCTATGAGATGAGAGAACACTCGCATCTTATTTGGCTAAAAGACAAAATGAAAGTAATTTGTACAATATATGATTAGTTGGAATGGATGGGTGGTGGTTTATGGAGCCACGTACAAGGTCATGAGCTGAAATTCATGCATTTTGCAATGCATGGAAGCCATAGAGGTATTTTCGAACAACCAGAAAATGAAAGAATAATTTTCTAAATTTTACATTTCTTTCACCATTAATCTTAGTAACATCTAAACAGTCATTTCTAAGTTGTAAGACATCTTAACACTATTATTCTTACACCTATGCATGTTACTTTTAATTATTATAAAGAAAGCCAGAAAGATAAGGTGTAAGGTTCTCTGATCCTGAAAGAGTGCAAAGAAATGGAGTAAAGAAGTCAGGTGTGGAAATCCAATGAAAGTGGACATGTGTGCTTAGAAGGAAGAGGTCTATGAACTCAGAAAAAGGATCCTTCCTCCACCCTCCATCTTCTTCCTGAGTGATCTTACCCTCCGCACTCAATTGCTAGAAACTGTATCTCTCTCAGATTGCTCTCCTGAGCTCCTAGCCATTTATCCAGCTTTCTTTTGGATATAACCACCAGGATGGTCCACACAGACCTCAGTCTCAATAAGAAAATCTCAAAGTTGCCAGATGTAAACATATCATCTCCCTACACCTTAAGCTTGCTCCCTCATCTTCATTCCACATCTCAGTTTATCACATCACTGTCTATAGAGACACCTAAGCCAGATACCTGGGAATAATCATAGCCTCCTTTTATTCTCATTCCCCATATCTAATGAAGCATGATGTCTTATGAATACTAACTCTTAAATAACTCTCAAAACTTCTCCCTTCTCTTCATTCCTGCTGCCTCTGCCTCTCAGTTCATGGCCTGAGCTACTATATCAGCTCCTAACAGATCACACCATCTCCTATATCCTCCATACCAACCCCCTTTGTTCACCACTCTATCCAATCTCCATATCATCATCAGAGTCCTCTTTCTTTAAAAGTCACTGAGGCTGGTAGAAAGTCAATTATTAGATGACCACACTTAGACCTTCACCCCTAGAGCCAGGAATTTGGTTTGGGACTCTGACTTGCCAACTTGGTTATTTGGGACTCTGACTTGCTGATAGAGATGTTCAAAGTTTCCAAAGAGAAAAAAAGTACTTACAGCAAATGCCCAAGAATCCACCTGCATCTCTCAGAAAGCAACATCTTTCCATTTTTATAGCATGTCCTGTATTGCAAAACTAGAGCACTCTTAGTTATAAATTAACCCCAGCATTAACCCTGGGATGGTATTTTCAAAGCTGATGTACAAAACCAAGGCCAAGAGGAACAAAGCAAAAAATGATAAGGTTTGAACTTTGAGTGATTGCTTTGGCTGCCAGACCCTTCATGTAAAACAAAAGAGAAAGAGGATTGTCAGAGCTGGAGGGGTTTAAGTCCATGCTGGCAAGAGTGTCTTCAGCAGGCAGAATAGGGGCCATAGGCAAAAGCACCAAGAGGCAGCAGGAAAAAGTTCTCACTATTGGGCCAAACAGCAGTGGAATTGGCAGTTTTTTAAGGGAAAGTTGTACAAAAGCAGAGGCTGGGTGATCCTTTCTAATAGGTTCTGTAGAAATTATACATGCATTCGCAGAGGAAATGATGTCAAAGGTAGCTTCCAGCCCTAGACTTCTGATGCTGCAAACATATATGTCTGCTAAGGGGGAAACCAGCCCTGTCTTCTCGTCATTAAAATTCCCTGTACCGTCCCCTGGCCACAGGACTCCAAAAGAGGATGCAGAAGGAGTCAAGGAGACTGAAATTAAAGATTCCACTGTCCAGTATTAATTGTGTACTGATTATATGCAAAGAAGCAATGGGAACAAAAAGAACTGGACTCAGTCAGGAGACTTGAGTTCAACCTGCTTCTGAAAGTTTCCAGCTCTAGTAGTAGTAGTAGTAGCAGTAGTAGCAGTAGCAGTAGCAGCAACAGCAACTCCTGCTTCTGAGTATTTACTACAGGCATGTGAAGCATTTTACTACAGACATTTTGTGAAGCATCAGATTCCAGACCCTGCCAGCTTCAGTACTACATTAAGAATCTATGTGTTAATTTGTAGTGGGAGGGGAGGCAGGGAATGAGGAGCTAGTTCGAACTAAGCCTAGATGCAGTCTATGGTAGGACTTATAATCCAGGACAAATAGTACTGACTTTACCTTGAGGGCACTGGGAAGCCACTGGGGGATAGACAGAGGGTGACTCTGTGTACCATTATTTCTTCTTAACAAAACATAGACTAAGCTCCCACTGTGTGGAAAGAACCACAGTCAGCACTGAGGTTTCAGAGCTGGTTGGTAAATATCAGTCCTGAACCCAAGAGGTCTTTCTAACTACCTGACACCCGCTGCCCATATTGAAGAAGGCACACCTCACAAATGTGATGGTCACTAGTACATGTGTCCTAAAGAAAGGGAGTGACAAGCTCAAGTCTCTAGACTGCGAGGTTAGTCCATGTAATATAACACATTGCTCTCTCAGCTACAGCAAGTCCCTGCAGAGAAAACAGCAAAAGACTGTGTAAAAAGAAAACTTCCAAACCTGTGCCCTCTGGTGGCATAGTCAGACAATGGCACAGGTTGTTTTCTGCTGCTTCTGATTCAGCTGAGCTTTGCTAGCAGGGCTTATCTCCGACATAAGAGAAAGGTACCCTTCCCTCTGCAGACTCCCTTGCCCTGTGCTCTGGCATCACAGGCATTAGACCTGTGCCCCTGCCATGTCTCTATGTTGTAACTGTGTAATTTGGGACAAGTTACCTAGTATCCTTGAACCTCAGTTTTCTCACCTCTAAAGTGGAAATAATAATGATTCCCATGTCATGTGGTTATTGAGAGTATAAAATGAAATTTAGAGGTGGTGTCCAGAAGCTCCTATAATAGTGCCCCGTACAAAGTGGGGATCCAGAAACAGATAATTCTCTTCCCTTTCTTCTGTTATCATATATTCCCTCACCTCAAGTCTCCATATTCCCTGGGCTTTATCTCTACCCCCTACTGCTGTTCATTTCTGCTTTCTGCTAATACATTCTCCTTCAGATGCAATTGATTGAGAAGGTGTAAGATCTTGCAAACTTATATTTATCACAATAATTTCAGTCTTGTGTAAAGCTGCTAGAGTAGCACATTGAATAAAGACTCTCTAGGAAGTTTTACCATATCAATAAATTCAATCAGATCTAAAATTATATATCTCCTTTTTTGAATGAACACCCTCATAATTATTCCCACACAAATTTTATTTTAGAAATGTTCAACGTTCCACAGTTCTTTCAGTTTGTAAACACTTTTCTCATTGTTTTGATATTTGATCCTCCACCCTAGTCTGGAGAGAAATGATGGGATCTTACTCTGCTTACAGGTCTGGAGACAACAATAGTTGTGAGATGGTGGCATTAGGAAAATTGGCTTCTTTTTGCAATTTAAGTCTCACGGGCAAGGAAATTACCGGGTGTGTAAGCAAAGGAGAAACAGCTGCATTGGACAAAGAGAAAGACTGCTTTTGCTGGCAAGAGAGGCTCAGTGGGGATTTGGAGTTGAGGTTCTTTTAACTCTCTCAACTGTCCTATTCTTGAATTTTTACTCTTTGCATTTCAGTGACTAATTTCGACAAAACCGACATCAATGTTGAGAAATCAACAAATTCTGTAATTTGGTAATACACAGGATCAAATGGCAAGCATAGGATTTGGCTAACTTAGCTCTCCAGAAATTATATTTACATGTTCCCTGTCTTCCATATATTCCTGGAGCACTTGAGCCAAGAAATTAGGCTTCTGAGCAAGAATTTAGGCTTCTTTTTTAAAGCTTTCTAGTGCCATCATAAGCATCCACTTCACCTCACAATCTATTAACTACTTACATTTTTCAGACTTCTCTATGGCAGCAATGAGGTCTTCTAAAGCCAGGCCTTCCAAAGGCTTTACATTTTAGAGAACCACTTAATTAAATGATATGCTCTTTCATTTCATGGGCTGCCATATTCCCCTTATAGAACACAAATGGAGTTTTCAACTACCTTTAGCCCTAATGGGGCAGAAAATCAACTTCAAAATTCCCCAATTTCCTTAAATTTTGTTGCATGAAACCTAATTTCTGTTATCAATGTCTGTATTAGTTATAGTACTTGGATCTAAATAACAGTAACTGCTGTTGCTAACCTTAAAATAAAAGACACTTATTGAAGGATATACATTTACCCAAAATGAAAAGGAATGCCAAAGAAACTTGCTCATTTTGTATGGAGAAAAACATGGGGACAGAGGTATGAATTTATCCCACTTCATAGACAATGGTTAATAGTTTGGCTGGAAGTCCTTTGGAAAGGACATGATTATAAAATAAGTGATAAACAAGTGTAGGGAAGAGGTATATGTGGCTATCTCTGCAAATGGGCATATGATATAAAGATATTCAGGTTTCATGTGAATACTCACCAAAGAACAACCTCAGCAGAGAAGTTTAATAATCAGGGGGATAAGATGATGCATTCTGTGGATTTCAGGCAGCCTCTTTCCCAGACACTCTTGTCTTTGTTTGATGTGTTCATGAAGAAAGTGGTCATACCAGCCAGGATGAAGCTTGTGAGTGGGCTCAGAATCATGGACCTCCATGCACCAAAGTCAATTTGGCTACAACTTCAGCGGATACCAAAACTAAGATTCCAATATGGCATTATTCCTCAGAAGGACTTGCAAGCTACATGTTTTGAACTTGATTACATTGGACCACTTCCATCTTGGAAGGGGTATTGTTTTGTTCTCACAAGAATACACAATGACTCTAAATGTGACATTACCACTTCGCCTGCAAAGCTTGTGCCAAAACTACCATCTGAGGATTTACTGGCTGCCTTATCTACCATCATGGTATTTTATACAGAGTCCCTTCTGGTCCAACAACTGATCTCATACCAGAGTGTGGCAATGTGCCAACTCATAAAATTCACTGACCTTACCATGTTACCTATCACCCTGAAGCAGCTGGCCAATCGAGAGTGGAATGCCTTTGATGACTCAGTTACAGAGCCAGCTAGATGATATTTTGCAGGGTTGGCCCATGTCCTCTGTAATGTGGTATATGTTTTAAGTTAGTGTCCAAAATGTGGTGCTGATTCTCCCATAGCCAGGAATCCTAGGTTAGGGAATCAAGGAATGACATTAATTTTAGATCTACTCATTATTTCCCTACTGATCCACTAGTAAAATTACTTTTCTCATCCCTGTAACTTAGGTCGTCCTGATTTAGAGGCCTTAATTCGAATGGTTGAATGATTCCACCACAGGTTGCAGCAATGCTTCTAATGAATTTATAGCTGAGATTGACATCTGGTGACTTTGAGTACTTGTGCCACTGAATAAATAGCAAAATAAGGGGGCTACAGTACTTACTGTTATGGTAGATCTTGAATATCAAGAAGAAATTGCATTGCTACACATAATGAGGATCTGTAATGCAGGTGTTCCCCATGGATGTCTCTTAGTACTTCCATATTCTGTGACTAAAGTCAATGGAAAATTATAGCAACCCATACAAACAGGACTTTTAATGGCTCAGACACTCGAGAAATGAAGATTGGGTCACATCTCCAGTCGAGGAAGCTCAACCAGGTAAGGTGCTTGTTGAGGGCAAAGGCAATATGGAATGGGTTAATGGAAGAAGGTAGTTAAGGAAGAAAGTTGTTAAAAACATCAATTTTGATCTTCTGGCTAGTTGCAAAACCCAATACTACAATAGTTAGGAGTACTTCCTTATGTTGATATCAAGATATCTGTGTTTATATTAATCATTTTGCTTCCACCTTCCTATTCCTCTATTCCTTCCTATTTACATAAGATGTGTTAATTGTAATTAATTTTATATGACAGTATCCAAGTTACTGGATGTCAAAGAGGACTCAAAGGAATAAGGAATGTCAGCCAAAGATGGATAAAGGGACTGTATTAGACCATTCAGGCTGCCACAACAAAATACCATAACCTGGTGGCTTAATAAACAACAGGAATTTATTTCTTACAGTTCTAAAGGCTGAAGAGGCCAAGGTCAAGGTGCCAACAAATTCAGTGTTTGGTAAGAAAATGCTTTCTGGTGCATAGAGGGTGCTCATTTTGCTGTGTCCTCACATGGTAGAAAGGATGAAAGCTCACTCTTGGACTTCTTTTATAAGAGCACTAATACCATTTTTGAAGGCTATGTCCCTGACCTAATAACCTTTCGAAGGCCCCACCTCCTAATATCTTGCATTTTCTTTATTATAAATCCCTTATTTCAGACAGAGGGAGAGAGAGAGAGAGAGAGAGAGAGAGTAAAGGAAGCTCTCAGACAACAAGTGCATTTTGAGGAGAGTAAAGTGAAAACTGTGCTCCCAATTCAGAGGTCTTTAGCCTATCTTTTGAAATCCACCTTAAGTTCTCCTTCTCTCTTTCCTGAGAAAAGCTCACCCACTGAGATCCTTCCTGATTCTTTCAGCTACACAATTTTTTTTAGTCAATGTATTACATGTAAAGATGCTTAAATCATGGATCCATTTCATATTCAGCATTTCCCCCCAGCTTTGATCCCCTTATTTCTAGAGACTGTGGCACCCACTTCTCAGTCTGACCATGTTTGTGATCAAGAGCTGGGTAGGGGGATAGAGACAAGCTGAAATGATCCTTTCAGTATCCCTCTACTTGGGGGTATTGAGTTCCTCTGTGGCTGGTTAATTAACCTTAAGTTGTTAAGCTGCCCCAGAAGCTGGATAAGAAAAAAGGAATACAGCCTCAAATGCAAATTGAACGTCATAAAATCTTAGTTTGAGGCTTGACTCCACCACTAACTAGCATGACATTTGGCAAGCCAGTTATCTGCTCTGGTCCTCGGTTTCTCCATTTGAAAAAGCATGGGCTTAGATGACATCTCTAAGGCACATTCCTGCTCTGGCATTCTGAGAGAATCTAAAATTTTTCTCTCGTGTGCCCTCCCATTATAGAAAATGCAAAGGAGTGCATAGCCACAAACCAGGGATGAGGAGAAGAATTATTCAACAAATAGTGTTGTGTGTTAATTATTTTTTTTAAATCATCTGAGATTTCAATCTTATACCAAGTGCCAATGTTAATTCCAGATGCATAAAGGAGTTGAATGGAAAAGTTCAGAAAACTTCCAAATAAGAAGAAAATATAAAATAAGATATATTTTACCTTTTGATAATTTGGAAGTTTATAAATAAAGGAAATGAACACATTAAAAAAACTGTTTATAGATTTTGAAACATAAAATTGAAAAACTGTGTACTTAGATATATTAATATTTTTAGCATGTAAAAAACAAACCAGGAGAAATATTTGTTAGGCAAGTGGTGAATAGCCTAAATACAATCCTATGTCATCCTATTTCAAACCTTGACTAAAGAGAAGGCATGAATTCTTAACACAGTTATCCAGGGAATAATTGCTTAAACCCCATGTACATGGGAAAAATTGATTGCTCCAAAGTCAAATTAGAAGATTCATTCTGAAGGCCTGAGAGACTAATCAGTAACTTCTCTCCAATAAATAAACAATGAGATTGTGAAAGAAAATGAAGTAAGTAAGGCTAAATCTTTCTAAAGAGGGGTCAAGAAATCCTTTTGAGAGGAATGCACACTCACACCTGCTAAAGGTCAACCACGGAATGTTCCAATAGACTTGGATAAGCAACAGAAGTCAGTATTAGGCTTTTGACATCTCTCAGCTGGGAGTACTCTAATTAATTAACTAGTCGAAAGGGGCTAATTTAGGATATAGGATTTCTGACTAGCCAATGAACTGCCTCCAAAAAAAACTTTTTGTGGAAATCCCCTGTTAAAAAAAAATCTTCTCCTGTCCTTGCCTTATGTGATACTATTATTATTCAGGGCTTCCCTGATTCCAAGTATCTGAGTTACACTTCTTTGTCTCCAAAATAAATGCTATTTATTTTCACCTCCGTGTCAGTCTTTTTTTTTTCTTTAAAGTTAACATAGCTAATGTCAGAAGTGGAACTCAAAATGATCTTATGTTGGAGTAGATTGGCATTTTCTGGAACAGAGCTCCTTGTGCTCTCTGCTTTCTTGAATTGCAGGCACCCTCTCTCATAAATCTTCTCAGGCTCCTACCTCCTTCCCTTTGGTTGAGGTCAGCACCTTTATTTGGGAATTTGAGGATGGTTGTTCCATTTGTGGAAGCAAAATGTGAGTTTTCCTATTGATGAGTATTATCTTAAGTGTGATATTCTTTAATTCTAAATCTCATAATGATTTTCCTTCTTCTGGGACTCCAGCTGGTAATATGTCCAAAAATTATGGGCCCTCCTCTTGTATTTATTTGGAACAGTGCACATTATATACAAAAGATACATTAGAACTGCAGTGGCCAAATTGAGGTTCCTTTGATATGTCAAAACGAGGTTTTCTCCAAACTAAATTAGAAGACTATGGTTCTAAAACAAAACAACCTGAATGTGGTGCATATTTTAATGGGCATTTAGAGGCATCCGAATGCATTCAGGACTCTAAAACTGCCTGTCTCCAAAACAGTCTGTAAACTCACTAATAAAAAATGGAAAGAGAAGGAAATTGTCCTTGAGACTCAAGTTTCTTCCACCAAATCTCATTCCCCGACTCTTTCTGTTCCCCTGTTTTTATATCATACACTTGCTGAACTTCCCTTTTATTCTTATGATCCCAAAGTTTCCCTTGATTCCCTAAATTTATTCTTTCAAACTCTGCCCAAATAATGAGGGCACTCTCTTAAACATTTCATATGTATTCTGAACAAAAGCCGAATTTAGGGCTATGGCTAAAGATTTCCTCAAGGTTACTGAGGACTGTCATAAATTAGCTGAAGAATTTTAAATTCTTATCTAAACTGATGAAACTGATTTCTCTACTATTTGCCAATTAACACTCATTGGAGAAGGTCAAGCACACATTGGATGGCTAAAGCAGGCTGAAACAATCCTCTTATGGGCCTCCAATTCAGTATATTCTCCAACAGAGGAAAACGTCCAAGAAAGAGCCAAAATTTTCTAGTAAGTTATTTCTTTAGCATTCCCTAAACCAGTAGATTGTAACAAGATTCAGGCTTGCACCCAAAATGAAGGTGAGGCTGTACATGATTATTCCCATAGATTTGAAATAGTTTTCAAGGAAAACTCTGGACTTGACTCAGATACCAAATCTACCAAAGTGGCTTTTAATTCTGTATTCATAAATGGCTTAGATAAAGATCTTGTAATTCTAGTTAAAGGGACTCAATTTATTTGGGAAATAATGTTCACCTCTGATTTAGTTAACCTGGTCAACCAATTAGCCCAAACAATTTCTAAGACAAATAAATAAAAAAGAAAATAATGAATCTACAGTAATTTTCAACCCCCATAATAAAACATGGCAGTCTAACATTAGGAATCCAAATCTTAAAGGGGTCTTCCACCAAAGCAAAAAGACCTGGACATTGATGAAAATATTGTGTACAATTAAAACATGCCAAAGGATACCTTAATAAACTGCCCTCCATGTTCCTTATGGATTGAGGGTGTTCTGAGAAAACACATGAGATCTTTCAGATCTTGCCTCTTAATCACTTGAGTGAAACTTCCCTAATGATTGGAGAGGAAGGTTTCACTGTCCTTATTGACACTGAAGCCACCCTTTCTGTGGTTAGCCCCACCAGCCTCAAGCAACCATTCCTTGGAGTACTGAAAAAATGCAAATTGTGGGAGTTTCTAATACGTCTTTAACAATTTACAAATATTTACCCTTGATTTTTCAAATAGGTCCTCTCCAGGATAGTCATTCTTTTTTAATAGTTCCCTTAGTCACAGTTTACTTACTTAGAAAAGATTTCTTAGAAAAATATCATGCTGTCATTTTCTTTCCCAAAAGGGGGAGATAATTCTTGAAATTGACTCAACCCCTGCTTTAACTGACAAGAGTAAAAATTATTCAACATCCTTGCACATTTTTGCCTTTAGCCTTAATAACAAAAATGCTGAGTGTTAAGTCTTTTAAAAGAGGTTCCTAAGCAACTTTGGGCTAAATCCACAACAGACAATGGACATACCCACCTGGCTCCCCAAATAGAGATTCAAATTGACCCAAACAAGCCTGTTACTAATATCAGAAAAAACCCCATAAGCCCTTAAACTTTTGTAGGAATTAAACAAATAATAGAAGAACACAAAGCAAAAAAAAAAAAAAAAAAAAAATCATCGTGCCTTGCACTAGCCCCTGAAATAACTCCTATCCTTCCTGTGAAGAAACCTCATGAATGAAGATGGAAATTTATACAAGACCTAAAAGCTATTAATAACATTGTCATTCCTTGACATCCTGCCTTTTCAAACTTCTAAACCCTCCTAACTTCCATTCCCACAGAAAGTAAATTTTTTACAGTGATAGACCTTCGTAGTGCATTTTTATAGCATTACTGTGGACCCTGAGAGTTAATTTTTATTTGCCTTCACATGGGAAGGACAACAATATATCTGGACAGTAATGCCTCAAAAGCATACTGAAAGACCCTCTTACTTTTCATAAATACTATAAGCAGATTTAGCAGTCATACCCCGAGGATCGACTCTCTTGCAGTATGTTGATGACCTTCTTTTTTCCTCTTCTAAACAGGCTTGTGAACATGATAATGTTCATCTTCTTAAACTTGTAGCAGACAAAAGCCTAACGTTTCCAGAGAAAAACTCCAATTTACTCAGGTTCATGTCAAATATTTAGGACACTTGACATCAAACCAGTGACTACTCTTAGATCCTTAGAGCATTTTAAACTTTCCTCAACCTCAGATTGAGAAAATAATGAGGGTTTGGGGGCCTGGCAATGTACTGTCAAAACTGGATATCTGATTTTTCTTTGATAACTCAACCCTTAATGCTCTTCTGAAATTTAACAAACCAGCATCCCAGGACTGGGAAGATAATGTCTGTATAGGCTTCTATCAATAAAAGGACTTCTAAGTCTTCCTGCCACAGTACCATAAATGCCAATTATGAGCTCTTTCTTTCTTTCCTTCTTTCTTTCTTTCTTTCTTTCTTTCTTTCTTTCTTTCTTTCTTCTTTCTTTTTCATGAAAGAGAAGGAAATGAATTGGGGATCCTTATACAAAAAAATGTAGATCAACACAGGGCTGTTATTGCAAGCAATTACATTCCATAGCTAAGGGATTCCTTCCCTTCATGAGAGTGATAACAGCCTCCATGGCTTTAACTAAATCTGTAGAAGAGATAGTCATGGGCTCTCCTCTCATTACCCACATTCTGTTCCTTATGCTGTAGAAGCCTTACTGAACTTTCATCATGCTTAACATCTTTCTGCAAGCAGACTCACTTCTTAAGAGATCTTGCTGCTTCCTTTCTCCTCATGTAATTCTTTCTCATTGCAACAACTTTAATCCAGCAACCCTTCTTACCATACCTGATAAGGGGATACCTCATGACTGTCTAAATCTAATTGGCCAGCCACTCAAACCTGGAGGTGATTTACAAAAAAATTCCTATACTAAATGGAGAACTATTATAGTTTACTGATGGATCCTATGTAACAGATGATGAAGGAAAATATCATGCTGGATATGCTATTACTACCCTTTTAAAAATGATCAACTTATTTTATATAGCTTTCTTGAAACTCTTGGTTTTTGACTTCTACTGCCTTGCACAAAAGAAATGCCTTGAATTATATCTTGGCTGAGCAAGGAGGTGTTTGCACTGTGGCCAATAACTCCTGTTACACTTAAATAAATACTTCTAACAAAGTAGAACCTGAATTGAACAAAATCCATGCACATGCTAATTAGCTAAGTAGAGTACCCACCATATGTTTGCCTTTTTTTAAATCTCTTCAACTGACTAACCTCTAAAGTCAGAAAGTAAGTAAAATCCAGTCTTCAACTCTTGTTACTCACTGTGTGGTTGTTGTTGCTATTATTGTAATATGTAAGTTACCTATGATACTCCTTACCCAATATTTCTTAGAAATAACAACCAAAGTAACAGTCATTTAGAAGATCAACATGGTCAATCATGCATATTATTGAAAAAACACCTCCCCTCTGATAACTTTTTTAGGTCCTAAACAGGCTTGATTCCTCTCCTCTCATAACCACTTTGTTACTCAAATGTGGTGACAAGGGACAAAATCAGACTTGTCAATTGATCTGTGAGTGTCTGGAGAAAAATCATGATTAAAAAGCAGAAATCTGAAAGAAAATGAAGTAATTAAGGCTAAGGCTTTCTAAAGTGGAGTCGGGAGATTTTGAGAGGATTGCACTCACACATGCTAAAGGTCAACCACAGAATATTCCAATAGACTTGGATAAACAACTGAAGTCAGTATCCACCAGACTCCAATATTTCTCAGCAGGGTGTACCAAATTAACCAATCAGAATGGGTTAGCAATTTAGGATTTCTGTCTAGCCAATGAACAGCCTCTAAAATCACCTTCTTTTGAAAATCCCCTGAAAAAAAAAAGCTCTCCTGTGCTTGTCTTATGGGACACTATTCAGGGCTTCCCTGATTCAGGGTACAGGAATTGCAATTCTTCATCTTCCAAATAAATGTTATTTCCTTTGATCTCTGTGTCAATCATTTTTTTTAGTTAACAGGACAAAAATATTGATATAATTTATACATGTATATCATATCAAACTATGAAAAGTGCTTACATATGCATTATCTCATTTGATTGTCAGAATAACCTTGTGAGGTAGCTAGGATTTGTTTCCCTAACTTGACAATTGAGAATACCGAGTCCTGAACATAGATGCAAAAATCCTCAACAAAATACTAGCAAACCAAATACAACAACACATTAAAAGATCATTCCTAATTATCAAGTGGAATTTATCCCAGGGATGCAAGTTTGATTTATCATACTCAAATCAATAATTGTGATACATCACATTAACAGAATCAAGGAAAATAACCATAAATAACCATATGATCATTTCAATAGATGCAGAAAAAGCATTCAATAATATCCAACGTCCCTGCATGATAAACTCTTAACAAATTAAGTATAGAAGGAACAACCTCAACACAACAAAGGCTATATATGACAAACCCACAACAAAAATCATACTGAATGGAGAAAGTTTGAAACTTTTCCTCTGAGATTTGGAACAACACAAGAATGGCCACTTTCCCCACTTTTATTCAACATAGTACTGGAAGTCCTAGCCATAGCAATTAGGCAACAGAAAAAAATAAAGGGCATCCAAATTAGTGAGGAGGAAGTGAAATTGTCCACTTTCAGCTGATATGATCATAGATTTTAAAAAATCCTAAAGACTTCACAAAAAAACTCTTGGAACTAATGAATTCATTAAAGTTGTGAGATATAAAATCAGACATACAAAAATCAGTAGCATTTTTGTGTCCAGAAAAGAAATCAAGAAAGCAATCCCGTTTATAATAGCAACAAAGGACATAAAACACCTAGGAATCAATTTAACCAAAGAGGTGAAGTATCTCTACAATGAGAACTATAAAATATTGATGAAACAAATTGAAGACACAAATAAATGGAAAAATGTCCTGTATTCATGGATTAGAAAAATAAATATCATTAAAATGTCTACATTATCCAAAACTATCTAAAGATTCAATGAAATCCATATCAAAATACCAATGACATTCTTTACAAAAATAGAAAAAAATTCTAAAATTTGTATGGAACCACAAAAGACTCCAAACAGCCAAAGCAGTCCTGAGTAAAGAGAACAAAACTGGGGGTATCACATTACTTGACTTCAAAATATACAGTACAAAGCTATAATAACTAAAACTGCATGGCACAGGCATAAAAACATACACATAAACCAGTGGAATAGAATAGAGAACCCAGAAATAAATCCATGCATTTACAGCCAACTGATATCAAAAAAGGTGCCAAGAACACAGATTGGGGAAAAAACAGTCTCTTCAATAAATGGTGCTGGGAGAATTGGTATCCACATGCAGAATAATGAAATTAGACTTGTGTCTCTCACCATATACAAAAATCAAAATGAATTAAAGACTTAAATTTAAGACCTGAAGCAATGAAATTACTAGAAAAAAAATTAAGGAAATGCTTCAGGAAATTTTTTTAGGTAAAACCTTAAATCACAGGCTAAAAAGCAAAACTAAACACATGGGATTACATCAAACTAAAAAATGCTTTTGCACATGAAATGAAACAACAGAGTGAAAAAGCAATCTACAAAATTTGAGAAAATATTTTTAAACTATGCATCCAACAAAGAATATCCAGAATATATAAGAAACTCAATAGCAAATAATAATAACAATAATTTGATTTTAAAATAGGCAAAATACCTGAACAGACATTTCTCAATAGAAGACGCATAAATTTCCAGCAGGTATATGTCAAAATGCTCAGTATCACTAATCATCAAAGATATGCAAACAAAAACCACAATGAGCTATCGCCTCACCCGAATTAGAATGGCTATTATCCAAAAAGACACACACACAAAAAAAAACCCACACACGCTGGCGTGGATGCAGAGAAAGGGGAACTTATACACTCTTCCTGGGAATGTAAATTAGTATAGCTGTTATGGAAAACAGTATGAAGATTCTTCAAAAAAAATTAAAAATAGAACTATCATACGATCCAGCATTTCCACTGGTGAGTATATATCTAGAGGAATTGACATCAGCATGGGGAAGAGCTATCTGCAATCTCATGTTCACAATAGCCAACATATGGGACCAACTTAAGTGTCCATCAATGGATGAATGGATTGAAAAATATGGTATACACATGTTCTCACTTGTCAGTGGTGTTGCAGGGCAGGCAAGCCCCAAAACTGGGACTTAGCCCATGAGAGTTCTTGGCTTCACCCAGGAAAGAATTCAAGGGTGAGCTGATGATGTTAAGCAGCAACTTTCATTGAAGCAGCAGTGTACAGCAGCAGCAGAAGTATTGTTCCTTGCAGAGCAGGGCTACCCCACAGACAGTGTGCCCAGAGTAGCAGCTCCAAGGATCTCTGCAGTCATATTTATACCCACATTTAATTATATGCAAATTAAGGTAAGGATTATGCAGAAATTTCTGGAAAAAGGATGATAACTTCCAGGTGGTCGGGTTGTTGCCATGGAAAGGGATGGTAACTTCTGGATGTTGCCAGGGTAATGATAAACTGACATGACACACTAGTGGGCATGTCTTATGGAAAGCTGCTTCTGCCCTGTCCCTGTTTTAGCTAGTCCTCAACTTGGTCCGGTGTCTCAGCCCTGTCTCCAGAGTTGAGTTCCACCTCTGGAGTTGAGTTCCATCTCCTACCTCATTGGGAGCTAAGTATTGAGTACACATGGGCACAAAGAAGAGAACAACAGACCCTGGGGCTTACTTGAGGGTAGAGGGAGGGAAGAGAGTGAAGATCAAAAATCTACCTATTGGATACTACAATTATTACCTGGGTGGTGACATAATTTGTATACCAAACCCCTGTGACATGCAATTTACCTGCATCTGTACCCCTACACCTAAAATAAACATTTAAAAAATGTAATATGTAAACACAATATATTACTGTTCAGCTATAAAAAATAATAAAATTCTGTCATTTGCAGCAATATGGATGAACCTTGAGGACAGAATGTTTACTAAAATCAGGCAGAGAAAGACAAATACCACATGATTTCCCTCAAATATGGAATCTAAAAAGTTTGATCTCATAGAAGCAGAGAGTAGAACGGTAGTTACCAGAGGCTGCAGAAGGAAGGGGGATAGGGAGTGGTTGGTAAATGGGAACAAAGTTACAGTTAGATAGAAAGAATAAATTGTTGTGTTCTATTACATAATAGAGTGACTATAGCTAATAACAATGTATTATTTATTTCAAGATAGCTAGAAAAGAGGACATTGAAAGGTATCACCATGAAGAAATGATAAAGGTGTGCGGTGAGGGACATGTCAACTACCCTGATTTGATCACCATGCAATGTATACATATATTGAAACATCACAATGTAGCCTATAAACATGTACAATTATGTCTGAGTTATAAACAAAGAAAAACCGTGAAGCCTAGAAATGATAAGTGACACACTAAGGTCCTATCAAGGAGCAAGTGATAAAACCAACTCTAGACTACAGATTGGGATTCTGATTCAGTTTTGATGTTTTTATGAAGAGATTGAATTAGAAATTTTCTACACTTCCTTTCAGATTTAAAGCAATAATTTACGATTATTCCATGCTTCCTTCTTTAGGTGGGACCAGTGGCAAAATTGAAAACAATGCAAATTTGGTGGGAGTGATGAAAGGAATGTATTGGTATTACTTTTCTGAGATGTAATATTAAGTCATTTGTCATACTATGCTTTTGCAAAGAGCATTTTCAGAGTTAGAAAACATTTTCCTTTTCTGAATAAGCATGAACTAGTGTTTGATGTCTCCTGTGAAAGGAAAATAAATCTTTGGGCCCCCAAATCACTAAGCTAAAGGGAAAAGTCAAGCTGGGAACTGCATAGGGCCAAACTGCCTCCCATTCTATTCAAAGTCACCCTGCTGCTCACTGAGATAAATGCGTATCTGATTGCCTCCTTTGGAGAGGCTAATCAGAAACTCAAAAGAATGCAACCATTTGTCTCTTATCTACCTATGACCTGGAAGCCCCCTCTCTGTTTTGAGTTGTCCTGCCTTCAGCTCGAGCTGTCCCACCTTTCCGGACTGAACCAATGTACATCTTACACATATCGATTGATGTCTCATGTCCCCCTAAAATGTGTAAAACCAAGTTGTGCCCCTACCACCTTGGGCACATGTCATCAGGACCTCCTGAGGCTGTGTCCTGGGCACCTGTCCTCAGCCTTGGAAGATTAAACTTTCTAAATTAACTGAGACCTGCCTCAGATATTTGGGGTTCACATCTTCGTAACCATGGAAGGATTCTGAATGGAGATGTTCCTGACCTTTGACAAATCTCCTATTGGTGCTTGGTACCAGCATGAGCTAACTTTATGGCTCAAACCAATAGGACAATTTGCTGAGGTCTGGGAGGGCCCCATCCAGAGAATCTCTAATCTCCCAAAATTTGGATGAGATCTAAAGTTTATTTTGCTGTACAACTCCCCTTCTTTTTGGAGTTCTACATGCTTTCAACAAGGAAGGCAAGATTTCCTGCTTTCATAATGATGGAAGGCAAATAACTCCTTTATGGAGTTTGAGCTCGCTCCCAGCAGGGAAGACAAGTATGAGTTGTTTTTCCTGCTTCTAGGATGGTAGAAAGCAGTCTTCAGCCTGAGACCCATCCCTAGGTAAGTAGCTGAATTGGGGTTTTGTCTTGGCTAAAGTTTAACAACCAGCTGGTCTTAATTTCTCCTTCCCATTTAAGCACTCAGTGATCATATTGTTGGGGTTTCTTTGTTGTTGTTTGTTCTGGTCTTTCTCCCATCAGATTTGACCAGCTCTACCTGACTTGATCAAACCCGAGTGAGAATTCCAAATTATGGGTAACAAAACCTCTTTAATATGGCTAAAATTCCTCACAGCTGCAGAAAAGAAAAGAAAAGAAAAGAAAAGAAAAGAAAACAAACAACAACAACAAAATGCGCTTGGTTTCTGTGTTTGCTTCCTGTCTTAAAAAACAAATGTTTTCTTCATTTACTTTCTTCCACCTGATACCCTTTCCCGTTTGCCATCTGGAGTACCAAAAAATCTAGAGAAGGCTTCTAATGACTTGAACCGCTTTAAAGAATTCAGAACAAAGGTGCCACTCACCTTTTTGAAGTGTTCTGTTTTCTCTGTGGATTTTCAAGAGTCATGAGAAGATTCTTTGTAGGTCTAAAACTCTGTTTTCCTGCATAGCATGACCTGACCTCTTTGGCTTTGGGGGTGCCAGAGATGACCTTAGACCATGAGAGGATTTGACCTTGGCATGTGTAATGATGGACAGGAGCTACAAACTAGGGGTGGCTGAGCCCAGTTTACAGGAAGTAGTCTTGGCTGGTTTTTTTCCTCCTAGGAAGCTGTTGTTTAATGGCCCTAGTTATAATTCAGAGATGCCTTCTAAAGGGTCTTTTTTATTGCTTTTTCTCCCAAAATTAATCTCGATTCAACCTATCTGTGCACATTTGTGTGAGGAACTGAACTGTTGTTTTCGTAGATAAATGAGATACTGAGTTTTCTCAGCTCTGAAGAGAAAGGGCATTTTGCTCCTCCCAGCCAAAAAGTGCCCCTGGGTGACTGGGGGCCTTGTGGGAATGTCTGGGGGGTTAACCCCCACGACGTGCAGCAGCCCTACAGGGAAATCCCCGACAAAAATTAATTTTAAAGAATGCTCATCCAGGAAACTAATATAAGGGCTAATTATCCAGAGTTTTGAGCCCTCTCAGAGGTCATACACCTCTGGAGAGAGAAACTGAGACACATAATAGGGTGGAAATGACTCAGTGATGACACACTGTGGAGTCCTGCCCACAAGCAGCACACATCGATCACCATACAAAAACCCTAGGCCATAGCTCAGTTCCTCCTTTTAAAAAAATAAAAAGTGGAAAACAATCTAAGAATGAGGAGAAAACAATGAAAATGACCCCATTGCGAACACTCCATAGGTTTTATGGCACCTTTACTTGCCAGAGTTTATGTAAAATGGAAGTAATATGGTCTTTGTGCATATTTACATTAAGGAAAAGAGCCCTAAGGCCCACCTGCAAACTATAGAGTTCTTAAGTCTTCTTTTTCTCTATTTTCTTTTCTGTCTGTTTTAAATTTGCTGCTATTTTTCTGTTAAGATAAAAACCACTGTTTGGATCCAAAAGGTTCTTTTCGCAAGCCGGTGAATTCGTATTTATCTTATGGCTAAAGTTCTGAAGTAAAAGCTATAGAATCTTTGTGTTTGTGTGTGTGTGTGTGTGTGTGTGTGTGTGTGTGTGTGTATCTTTAAAAGGCCTTTATAATTTCTATAATTTTGTGTTTAATTGGCAATTTAATCCATTTCAATTTCCCTCTAGCACAACAGACTTTTTCTTTATTTACCATATGGTATATATTTTGCTATCTGATTTTCACTTGAGTTGTTTTCTTTAACATGCAAGTAATGAGGAGAGGAGAGGAGAGGAGGGGAGGGGAGAGGAGAGGAGGGGAGGGGAGGGGAGGGGAGGGGAGAGGAGGGGAGAAGAGGGAGTTTATTAAGTATTAACTCACATGATCCCAAGTTCCCACAATAGGCCGTCTGCAAGCTAAGGAGCAAGAAAAGCCAGTCCAAGTCTCAAAACTGAAGAACTTGGAGTCCGATGTTTGAGGGCAGGAAGCATCCAGCATGGAAGAAAGATGTAGGCTGGGAGGCTCGGCCAGTCTAGTCTTTTCATGTTTTTTCTGCCTGCTTTAATATTCTGGCTGCACTGGCAGCTGATTAGATGGTGCCCACCCAGATTAAGGGTGGGTCTGCCTTTCCCAGCCCACTGACTCAAATGTTATTCTCTTTTGGCAACACCCTAATAGACACACCCAGGATCAATACATTGCATCCTTCAGTCCAATCAAGTTGACATTCATTAACCATCACACATGTGATATTGTTTGGCTCTGTTTCCTCACCCAAATCTCACCTTGAATTGTAATAAACCCCATGAGGCAAGGGCAGGACCAGGTGGGGATAATTGAACCATGGGGGCAGTTTCCCCCATGCTGTTCTGATGATAGTGAGTTCTCACGAGATCTGATGATTTTATAAGGGGCATTCCCCTTTGCTTGGCACTCATTCTCTCTCCTGCCACCCTGTGAAGAGATAGATGCCTTCCACCATAATTGTAAGTTTTCCAAGACCTCCCCAGCTATGAGGAAATGTGAGTCAATTAAATCTATTTTCTTTATAAATTACCCAGTCTTGGGTATTTCTTCATAACAGCGTAATAACAGACTAATACACCATGTATCCAAAGTTCAAAAACATGCAAAACAATTATGTATTGATTATGAATTCATATATGTAGTAAAAACCATGCATAGGAGGGATGTATGCAGATGTAGAAGGTGAAATGCATTTATGAGAATGATAAACATCTTATTGAAGATAATAGCTATGTATTGTGGAAAGAGGGAATATAATTCAATTGGAGAAGATGCTCAGCTTTCTATATCTGTCATAACAAAGTTTCACAAACTGGGTGATGTAAAGCAACAGAAAGGTATACTCTCACAGTTCTGGAGGCCAGAAGTCTGAAATCAAGTTGCCAGCACAGCCATGCTCCCTCCGTAGGTCTAGGAGAGAATCCTTGCCTATTCCAGATTCTGGTAGCTCCTGAAAGCCCTTGGTTTGTGGCAGCAAAATTCTAATCTCTGTGTTTGTTTTCATATAAACTTCTTCCCTGTGTCTTTCCCTCTCCTTTCTCTTCTGAGGATACATGTTATTGGATTTAGGGCTCACCTTAAATCCAGCATAACTTTTTCTTGAGTTTGTTACTGAAATTGCATCTACAAAGACCCTACTACCAAATAACATCACATTTACAAGTACTGGTGGTGAGAACTTTTGACATTTTTTTTTTTGGAAAATGAAATTCAACCTACTATAAGGATACAGGGGACTTCAATTGTACTTGTGATATTATATTGCTTAGGTAGTGTGGCGAGTACTTGACATATCCTTTATACCTTTATGTAGGTTTAAAATATTTCCTAAGAAAAAATGACAAAAATCAAAAGAGAAGGGAGAATATAGGCTTCATATCTAGAAGCCATTTAAGGAAAATGAAGTCTCAGTTGACCTTAGTAGAGAATCAAAGAAAGATAAAGGCCAGAGATTTGGTGGTAGACAACCTTGATTTTGCATTTATGTAAGGCTGCCTAGGTGCTCTCATATTCTAACTAATATTCTAACTAACATTTTTATTTTAAAATTTATACATTTACTCCTCTACCCCTTTGAATATCCCATGGGTTATGAAATTCTGAATAATTGTAGCTATAAAAGGTTTTATTTATCCTTTCCCGAAGTATAATTCACTGTTTTCTCCTTTTCAGAAGCTCAACCTATTAAATAAAGTGAAATAAATGTAATGCAAATACAACACACTTTTTGTCACCAGTGTTAACATTTTAAAATGTATTATCATGTAGTATCTATTCCTTATGGCTAGTACCATATGGTGAGACAGAAGGCACAGGGCCCTTTTTTACCATTATTTAAATGGAAAAATCAGGCTAAATAGACAACTACCCATGTAGTATGATTAGAAGACCCTCAATTTGTTTCTGATAGTTAGGGTTAAATATAGTATTTGTCTTATATCCTGTCAAGAAAAGCCCTTGTTCTGAACTCCATGCTTTAGAGACCCCTTTTGGCTTTCTTCTTGCTATGCCCTTCCTACAGTACCAGGAGCCCAGTTCGTGGGTCCAGAAGAATGTATACACACTCAGAGTTCTTGCCCATTGTGGTGCATCCTTAAGATACCTATGACCCCTGAATTCTTTACCCCAGTGGCCCCAAGCCTGCTTCCATCACCTACATGCTCCTCTGCACTGGGTCTGTCATTTTGAGGACTAACAGCACTGTTGGTGTTACATATGCCCAGCTAGCCATGGAGTGGCTATACATGGGTAACAGTTAAAGAATGGGTTGGGGTGTCCATATGCACGTACAGATGAGTCCTCTCATGGTGAGGGATGAAATCCAGGGTAGAAAGTGGAAAGAACAGGATTATCTGGGACCATGGCCTATAGAGGAGGTAGTAGTTCTTCTCACACTCATGGTGCAGAAGGTAGAGCATTTCAGGGATTCTAAATTAAAACCTGACCATTCTAGTCATTATAAATGTGTATTTGTTATGGAAGGAGATGTATAATATTTTATTTTACAGTTATTAGTCGATTAAAACATTCTAAATTATTTAGTATATGGTATGTAGGCCTTCAGTCAAAGTCTTGCTTTGAACCCTGCAAACTTTACAAATGTTACAGGCGGGTCATGTTAAATATTTGTCTACTTCTTCCTCCACGAGCCTTTGGGCTCTCTCTTGGTGTTTTGTGATGGTTTATGCTAACCACATGACTAGGTTAGAGAAACCAGATGTGCTCCTTGTTGTGCATATGTCCACTAATCATTGTCCCAATCATGGTATTCTCCATCTGGGACTTCCCTCATAAAAGTATTACAAATACTTAAAACATATAGTTCAAATAATTGGCAGGGCCAATTCCTGACAACTGGACTACATGTATTCTCTGCCTCAATTTTGTGGTTACCACTGGTGTCTAACAGGCATTGAAACTTGCTCCAGCTATGAAGTTGCCATTCCTATGTCAACAGCAGAATCTGGTCACTTAATGCTGGTTCTTGAGTCCAAGCTCTGCCATATTTTTGGGTAACTAGGAGATTTACATTCAGACAATGGCATTCTATTTATGATGAAGAACTAACGCTACACTACTAGACACAGCTTTCAATGACCATTTCATGTTTCTTTTAACATTTGTGCTGCTGGCATTTTCAAGAGGTAAAATGGCCTTTTAAAAAATTGGTAATGAAGATTGTTAGAAGTTTCACTTCTGACATAATAGCATGAGAAGCTCTGTAGATCCTCTCCTCAGTGAAACTGGTAAAAATAATAATAAAAAAAAACTCAACCACTTAAATTTTCTAGATATGTTCCTAAGGACACACAGCAAGTGAAAAAAACATTTATTCCAGAAAATCTACAGAAACTTGATAAGAAAAGCAAGAGTCTGTGGTATTTGAACCAAGACCTGAATCCTCTCTGCCTCCTTCTGTCATTAAAATGGAAACCCCAGACTGGTGCAGTCCAAAAAAACAGGGACCCCCTCTCATTTCAGCTCCAGAGTAATCTTTCCAGAAAAAGTATGTCAATAGCATTTTTTCATCCTATTTACAGCTACATTTCACTAAACCTGAATTCCAGGTGAGTACAGTGGAGAGGTGGGGTCTTATTTTCCATGCAGCCTCCATTCATAGGATGAAGGATCTACCTTGGACACAATGCTGCTGAAACTATTGGGCTTTCAATTGGGTAAGCAGTTCGACACAGGGAGAGGCAAGCAAAGAAAACCTGAGACTACTGCCACCCTCCACTGAATGCCCAGCTCCTAAAGCAAGTGTCATTCACTGAGAAGCACACAGTTGTCTCCAGATACAAATCCATAGCTCAGAGATTTTGTTCAGGGGAAAAAGCAGACCAGAAAACAGAGAGCTCTGCATCTCTTCTCAAAGGAAATGAGTCCATTTGCAACAGTGTGAAGAAGCTGAAGCCTATGGCTCTCTCAAAAATAATGGAGCTGTGGTTAAAAGCAATTAAGAGGAACTTGGTAAAATAATTGGAATAAAAGCTAACTATAGGCAAGCTAGTTTACCAAAAAGAACCAGGGAAAGAAACAACTAAGAAGAGCCCTCCTAGGGTCAGAACAAACCTCAAACACAGACTAAAAATCTATCCTTTAAAGGAGCCTGAACTTACTTATTTTTTTAACTTTCATTTTAAGTTCATGAGTACATGTGTAGGCTTGTTATATAGGTAAACTTTTGTCATGGGGGTTTGTTGTACAAATTATTTCATCACTCAGGTATTAAGCCTAGTACCCATTAATTATTTTTTCCCAATCCTCTCCCTCTTTCAACCCTCCAACTCTGGTAGGCCCAGTATCTCTTGGTCCCCTCTATATGTCCATGTGTTCTCATTATTAGCTCACACTTATAAGTGAAAATGTGTTATTTGTCCTTCTGTTCCTGTGTTAGTTTTCTGAGGATAATGGCCTCCAGCTCAACCCATGTTTCTGCAAAACAAAACATGGTCTCATTATTTTTCATGGCTAACACAGTATTCCATAATGAATATGTCCCACATTTTTTATCCAGTCTACTATTGATAGGCATTTAGGTTGATTCCATGTTTCAGCTATTGTGAACAGTGCTGTGATGAACATACACGTGCCTGTGTCTTTATGACAGAATGATTTAAATTTCTTTCAGTATATAGCCAGGAATGGAATTGCTGAGTTGAATGGTAGTTCTGTTTTTTGGTCTTTGAGTATTCACCACACTGCTTTACACAATGGTTAAACTAATTTACACTCCCACCAACAGTGTATAACTGTTCTCTTTTCTCTATAACTTCACCAGCATCTGGTATTTTTTGACTTTTTAATAATAGTCATTCTGACTGGTGTGAGATGGAATATCATTGCGGTTTTTATTTGCATTTCTGTAACACTCAGTGATGTTCAGCTTTTTTTTTCATATGTTTGTTGGTGCATGTATGTCTTCTTTTGAGAAGTGTCTGTTCATGTACTTTGCCTACTTTTTAATGGGGTTGTTTGATTCTTGAAAATTTGCTTAAATTCCTTACAGATGTTGAATATTAGACCTTTGTCAGGTACATAGTTTGCAAAAATTTTCTCCCATTCTGTAGGTTGTCTGTTTACTCTGTTGATAGTTTCCTTTACTGTCTAGAGCTCTTTAGTTTAATGAGGTCTCATTTGTCCATTTTTTCTTTTGTTGCAATTGCTTATGGTGTCTTCCTCATGAAATATTTGCGCATTCCTATATCTAAAATGGTATTGCCTAGGTTGTCTTCCAGGGTTGTTTTTCATTTTGGGGTTTACACTTAAGTCTTTAATCCATCTTGAGTTGATTTTTGTATATGGTGTAAGGAAGGGGTCCAGTTTCAATCTTCTGCATATGTCTAGCCTGTTACCCCAGCACCATTTATTGAATAGGGAGTCCTTTCTCCATTGCTTGTTTTTCTCAGCTTTGTTGAAGATCAGATGGTTGTAGGTGAGCAGCCTTTTTTCTAGGGTATCTATTCTGTTCCACTGGTCTATGTGTCCGTTTTTGTACCAGTACCATGCTGTTTTGGTTACTGTAGCCCCGTAGCGTAGTTGGAAGTTGGGAAGCATGATGCCTCCTGCTTTGTTCTTTTCGCTTAGTAGTGCCTTGGCTATTCAGGTCCTTTTTTGGTTTGAAATGAAGTTTTAAATAGTTTTTTTCTAGTTTTGTGAAGAATGTCATTGGTAGTTTTACGGCAATAGCATTGAATCTATAAATTGGGCAGCATGACCATTTTAACGATATTGATTCTTCTTATGCATAAGCATGGAATGTTTTTTCTATTTGTGTCATCTCTGATGTCTTTGAGCAGTGTTTTGTAATTCTCATTGTAGAAATCTTTCACCTCCCTGGTTATCTGTATTCCTAGGTATTTTATTCTTTTTGATGCAATTGCAAATTGGATTGCATTCCTGATTTGGCTCTTGGCTTGGATTTTGTTGGTTTTTAGAAATGCTAGTAATTTTTATACATTGATTTTGTAATGTGAGACTTCACCAAAGGTGTTTCTTAGCTTAAAGAGCTAATAGCTAATAGGTAGAGATTATAGGATTTTATAGATATAGAATCTTGTCATCTGCAAACAGGGAGAGTTTGACTTCTTCTCTTCCTATTTGGATGCCCTTTATTCTTTTCTTGATTGTTCTGGCCAGGACTTCCAATACTATGTTGAATAGGAGTTGTGAGAGAGGGCATCATTTTCTTGTGACAATTTTCAAGGGGAATACTTCCAGATTTTGCCCATTCAGTATGATGTTGGCTGTGGGTTTGTTGTAGATGGCTCTTATTATTTTGAGGTATGTTCCTTCAATACCTAGTTATTTGAGAATTATCAACATAAAGAAATGTTGAATTTTTCTTCAACTTTTATTTTAAGTTCTGGGGTATATGTGCAGGATGTCCAGGTTTGTTACATAGGTAAACATGTTCCATGGTGGTTTGCTGCACAGATCATCCCATCACCTAGCTATGAAGCCCAGCCTCCACTAGCTATTCTTCCTGATGCTCTCCCTCCCCCTGCACCCCACAACCCGCCAGGCCTCAGTGTGTGTTGTCCCCCCTCCCATGTGTCCATGTGTTCTCATCATTCAGCTCCCACATATGTGAGAACATGCAGTGTTTGGTTTTCTGTTCCTGTGTTAGTTTGCTGAGGATAACAACTTCCAGCTCCATCCATATCCCTGCAAAGGACATAATTTCATTCCTTTTAATAGCTGCATAGTATTTCGTGGTATATACGTACCATATTTTCTTTATCCAGTCTATCATTTGGGTTGATTCCAGCACTTTGCTATTGTGAGTAGTGCTGCAAGGAACATTCATGTGCATGTATCTTTATAATAGAATGATTTATATTCCATTGGGTATATACCCAGTAATGGGATACCTGGGTCAAATGGAATTTCTGCTTCTAGATCTTTGAGAAATCGCCACATTGTCTTCCACAATGGTTGAACTAATTTACATTCTCACCAACAGTATACAAGTGTTCCTTTTTCTCCATATCCTCACCAGCATCTGTTGTTTCCTGACTTTTTAATAATCGCCATTCTGATTGACATGAGATGGTATCTCATCATGGTTTTGATTTGAAAGAAATGTTGAATGGTATTGAAAACCTTTTCTGTGTATTTTTCTTTAGTCACATCTATATGATGAATCTTATTTATTGATTTGTGTATGTTGAAACACTCTTGCATCCCAGAGATAAAGCCTACTTGATTTTTGCGGGTAAGGTTCTTGATGTGCTGCTGGATTTGCTTTGTCAGTATTTTGTTGAGGATTTTTGAATCTATGTTCGTCGAGGATATTGGCAAGAAGTTTCCTTTTTTTGTTTTGTCTCTGCCAAGTTTTGGTATTAGGGTAATGCTGACTCTACAGGAAGAGTTGAGGAGTCCCTCCTCCTCAAATTTCTGGAATAGTTTCAATAGGAATGATACCAGTTCTTCTTTGTACATCTGGTAGAATTCAGCTGTGAATCCATCTAGTTCTTGGTTTTTTTCTTTATTTGTTTGATAGGCTAACTATCACTGATTCAATTCCACAACCTGTTATTGATCTGTTCATGGATTCAGTTTCTTCCTAGTTCCATTGTGGGAGTGTGTATTTGTACAGGAATTTATCCATTTCTTCTAGGTTTTCTACCTTGTGTGCATAGAGGTGTTCATAATATTTTCTGATGGTTATTTCTATTTCTGTGAGGTAAGTGGTGATATCCCCTTTGTCATTTCTAATTGTGTTTATTTGTATCTTTTCTCTTTTCTTTATCAGTCTAGCTAGTGGTCTATTTTATTAATTTTTTTCAGAAAGACAACTCCTGGATTCATTAATCTTTTGAATGGTTGAATGTCTCAATCTGCTTCATTTCAGCTCTGATTTTGGTTACTTCTTCTCTTCTGCTAGCTTTGGAGTTGGTTTGCTCTTGGTTTGCTTGTTCTTTTAGTTGTGATGTTAGGTTGTTAAATTGAGTTCTTTCTAACTTTTTTTATGTGGGCATTTAGTGCTATAAAATTCCCTTGTATATCTGCTGTAGCTGTGTTCCAGAGATTCTGGTATATTGTATCTTTGTTCTCGTTTATTTCAAAGAACATCTTGATTTCTGCCTTAATTTCATTACTTACCTAAAAGTCATGCAGAAGGAGGTTATTTAATTTCCATGTAATTGTATGGTTTTGAACAATTTTCTTAGCCTTGATTTCTAATTTTTTGTGCTGTGGTTCAAGAGAGTGGTTGTTATTATTTCAGTTATGTTGCATTTGCTAAGGAGTGTTTTATGTTTGATGACATGGTTGATTTTAGAGTACGTGCTGTGTGACAATGAGAAGAATGTATATTCTGTTGTTTTGGAATGGAGAGTTCTGTAAAGGTCTATTAGGTCCATTTGATCCAGTGATGAGTTTAGGTTCTGAATATCTTTGTTAATGTTGTGCCTGGATAATCTGTCTAATACTGTCTTTGGGGCATTGAAGCCTCCCACTATTATTGTGTAGGAGTCCAAGTCCCTTTGAAGATCTTTCAGAACTTGCTTTATGAAACTCGGTGCTCCTGTGCTGGGTGCATATATATTTAGGATAGTTAGGTCTTCCTGTTGAACTGAACCCTTTATTATTATGTAATGCCCTTCTTTGTCTTTTTTGATCTTTGTTGCTTTAAAGTCTGTTTTGTTTGAAATTAGGATTACAACTTTGCTTTTTTCTGCTTACCATTCACTTGGTAGATTTTTCTCCATCTCCTTTTTATTTTGAGCTTTTGGGTGTCATTGCATGTGAGATGGGTGTCTTGAAGACAGCATACCATTGGGACTTGCTTTTTATCTAGTTTACCACTCTGTGCCTTTCCAACTGGATCTTTTAGCCCATTTATATTAAAGGTTAGTATTGATATGTGCAGATTTGATCCTGTCATCATGTTAGCTGGTTGTTATGCAGGCTTGTTTGTGTGGTTGCTCTATAGTGTCACTGGTCTACACATGTAAGTGTGTTTTTGTAGTGACTGGTAGCAATCCTTTCTTTCCATAATTAGTGCTTCCTTTAGAAGCTCTTATAAGGCAGGTCTGGTGTAATAAATTCCCTCAGTATTTTCTTGTCTGTAAAGTATTTTCTTTACTTGTCTGTAAAGTATTTTCCCTCAGTATTTTCTTGTCTTATTTCTCCTCCACTTATGAAAGTTAGTTTGGCCAGGTAGGAAATTCTTGGTTGAAATTTCTTTTCTTTAGGAATGTTGAATATTGGCCTTCAATCTCTTCTGGCTTGTAGGATTTCTGCTGATTGGTCTTCTGTTAGTTGGATGGGCTTCCCTTTGTAGGTGATCTGACCTTTCTCTCTAGCTGCCTTTAACATTTTTCTTTCATTTTGACCTTCGAGAATCTGAAGATTATAGGTTTTGGGGATGATCTTCTAGTAAAGTATCTTACTGGGTTCTCTGTATTTTGTGAATTTGGATATTGGCCTGTCTAGCTAGATTGAGGAAATTCTTATGGATAATATCCTGAAATATGTTTTTCAAGTTTCTTTCATTCTTCCCATCTCTTTCAGGGACATCAATAAGTTGTAGATTTGGTCTCTTTACATAATTCCATATTTCTCAGAGGTTTAATTCATTGCTTTTCATTCTTTTTACTCTATTGTTATCTGACTATGTTATTTCAGAAAGCTTGTCTTCAAGCTCTGAGATTCCTTCCTCAGCTTGGTCTATTCTGCTATTTTTATTTTATTTATGTATTTATTTTTTGAGACAGAGTTTTGCTATTGTCACCCAGGCTGGAGAGCAATGGCATGATCTCAGCTCACTGCAACCTCCGCCTCCCAGATTCAAGCGATTCTGCAGCCTCAGCTTCCCAAATAGCTGGGATTACAGGTGCCCACCACCACGCCTGGCTAATTTTTGTATTTTTAATAGAGATGGGGTTTCCCCATGTTGCCCAGGCTGGTCTCAAACTCCTGACCTCCAGTGATCCACCTGACTTGGCCTCCCAAAGTGCTGAGATTATAGGTGTGAGTCACTGCACCTGGCCTATTCTGCTATCAATACTTGAGATTACATTACAAACTTCTTGAAGTATGTTTTCCAACCCTATCATGTTGGTTACATTCTTTTCTATAAGGGCTATATTTTTCTGTTAGCTTCTGGATTTTATTGTGATTCTTAGCATCCTTGGTTTGGGTTTCAACATACTCCTGCATCTCTGTGATCTTTTTTCCTATGCATATTCTGAATTCTATTTCTGTCATTTTAGCCATCTTAGCCCAGTTCTGAATCCTTGCTGGAGAACTACTGTAGTCCTTTGGAGGAAAGAAGACATTCTGGCTTTTTGAATTGTCAGAGTTCTTACGCTTGTTCTTTCTCATCTTTATGGGCTGGTGTTCCTGCAATCTGGAAGTTGCTGTTCTTTGAATGGGTTTTATTTCCTTTATCCTATTTGGTGATTTTGAGGATTCGATTTTGGTATAAGATGGGTTCAGTCAACTGACTGTTTCTGGAAGATTTAGGGGGTCAAGGCTCAACTCCCAACTCCTGGATCACATGCTCTAATACTGGAGGACTTGTATCTGGTCCCTATTTTGTTATCTGGATCCTTGATATTAGGAACCTACTGTACTTGTTGCATTGTGTGTGGGGCAGGGGTGAGGGGTCAAAATGCTCCCAGACTGCTGGTCACTACACTCTGATGGGTAATGGCAGCCAAAATGTTTCATAGAGTAGTGGTGGCTGGATCCATTCTTGTTCTCATGTGCCAGTGGCAGCAGAAGTGTGGTGGGGTGCATGCTGGTTGGTTTCGGCAGGGTGCTAGTGAGTGCCAGGTGCCTGCCTTTGTGGAGGTGTTTACAGCAGCACAGTTCAGGTGTGCTGGGGTCCTTCACTGGTGACTATGCTCACAATTGCACTGGTGATGGTATTAGCACAGGGGCTGGCCGCTGACAGGCAAAGCTCTGTGTGCATTTATGTTGGCAGGGTTGACCACTCAGGGTTGGGGGGATGGTCCACTGTGTCTAGTTTTACTCTGGTGACAGCGTTGACACAAGAATGGGGCAGGGGCAAGGTGCTGGCAGGGTGGGGTTTACTGTTTCTGCCCACCAGGGCTCCATCTGCAATGGCTGTACAGCAGGGGAGGGGCACAAACTGCATTCCCACCGGCAGTAGAGGCAGGGCAGTGTGCATGTGCACATGGATGCTGCAGGGTAGGTATGGCAAGATCCACCCATGCACACAAGCACTAGCAAAGTGATGTGTGGGGTTGCTGTGGGCCCAGGGGAAGCTGCAGTGTGGGGAGGGTGTGGGCAGGCTGGTATGTGGTCCTGCAGGCCGCCCTGCTAGAGCTTGTCACCAGTCAGGTGCAGTCTGCCAGCACAGGTGCTATGATGCGGGCCCCCAAGGCACCTGAGGCTGCACTGCAAGCAGATGTGGTCAGGCTGGGGCTTCGGGAGAGGCCAGCAGACCAAGAGCTGCTCAAGTTGGACTGTTCCTGTCTGTTGGGCAAGACCACCCTGCAGAGTTCAGATTCGACAGTTCCCTTAGGGCTAAACTCTCCTGTGGGATGAAGTCAAGCTTAAGGGAATGGGCGTCCCTAGCTGAGCTCAGCTACAGATGCTCCTGCACCAAACTATCTGGGCTCCACACCAGCTGGTGTGCTGCACCTACCACTTCTCTAAGAAGCTCTCCTTCCCAACTCAAGTGTCTGTGGTTGTTGGGGGGTCACCTTCTGCCTGGATACCAGAGGCCCATAGCAAAAATGGGTTACTCCTTTCTAGTTCAATTCACCCATTTCCCAGAGACATAGTGGGCCAGGAATGAGTCCCAGTGTGCAGCAGCCCCATGCAAGCTTCCCAGCTTCCTCTTCCTTCAGCCCAGCTTCTATGTCTTCCCTTTGTCCACTTTCAGTGCCTTCTCTCTGAAGAATTGTTAGGAATGCACCAGTTGTCTTTGTCTCTGCGTGGCAGCTCTTCCACCTGGCTGCTTCTAGTTGGCTTGCTCTAACTCCAAGAAGCCTGAATTTAATTGGATCAATCTGTTAAGCAATTTATGACCTACCCAGCAATTGGTGAAGATTAACAGGTGAGTGTGGTCAGGGAACCAGACAAAGGAACTGCAGGGCAAGGTGTCGGAGCCCCAGCATCGGGAAGTGGTCAACTCGTTGGTTGGTAAGTAGAATTTACTGACAACAGTATAGGCTTGAAAAAGGAAAGTTTTATTAGAAAGAAAGAACACTGTAGAAGAGCGCAACGGGGTGCCTCAGCAGGAGAGGACTGAGTGTACTGTGGTGGATTTTTTCCTTAGGGGTATTTATGGACTTTAAGGGGGAGCTGAAGGGTAATGTGCATGATAAATGATTACTTTTTTATACATTTTGGTGCCTTAATGTCAGCAAGGATTGCACAATAGTTTCGGCAAGCATGCATTCCAGAGATGTATAGAAATTATAGTTACTTAGAAATTTTAAGTTGAAATAAGGCTTGGAACCAGGTGCTTTAGATAATAGGGAATTCTAATTACTTTGAAATTCCTCAAATAAGGAGTTTTTGTCTTTGGGGCCTGCCTGATCACCAGGTGAGCCTTGCTCCCCTCAGGAATCCTGCAAATACACTGTCATCCCACAGTGACTGTGGGCATACCCAAGCCTTTACTCTCTGAGGAGGAACATCAGGGGTTTCACACTTTGGAAGAGGGAGAGTAGACTTCAGCTAAATAATACAACCAGTCACTATACAAATCACAAAGTGAATAACAATAATAGGCCCGAAGTTGGGAGGAGGAACCAATACCCAGAGTTGCTGCAATATATTGTACAAAATGTACAGTTTCTCACCAAAAAAAAAAAAATTATAAGACTTGCAAAGAAACAGGGAAATTTAACCCTGGTTTTAGTCTACTCCTATTCACTCTATTGGTGAGAGAGGGATCCTACACCCTAAATAGTAAGAGATAGCCAAACACACAACACATAACACTGGACAGATGGAATCAAAGTGAAGTTTATCAATCAAACATACAATTCTGAAGGAGGGCATAGCACGCCATTCAGGTCCATATGGAGGTTGCACTCAGGAAAAGAGTGAATTAGCACGGCCTTTAGAGAAAGGCTTTGTGGTAAAAACAGACTGAGGTAACTAACTCCAACTTTTATAGGTAGATGCTATTGGTTTGTATGAATAATCTGCAGCCTGGCAAGGAAATGAAGCCCTTTAGGCTGAGGACTGGGAAGAGTATAGCTGGTCTGGCTGATAGGGAAACTAGCTTGGTGGAGAGGCTTTCCTTCTGAGGTGGAGGAACATATAGGGCAAGAGTAAAATAAATTCTGGCTAGACTTTTGAGGTCCTATGAGGCTCAAAGATGTCAAGACAGCACATGGAACTTGAGGCCTTGCAACACATACGCATACATTGGGGAAAAAGTGGTCAAAAGAAATTGGCTGGCTTTGCATTCAGGTCCCTGTACATACGGTGCAGCAGGGCAGTAGGTAAGAAATCAAAACTGGCTGAGGGAGCTGGTTCTGTTGCTGCTGCAGGCTAAGCAGAAAAGATACACACATTGAGCAGTTAGGATCATCATCAGGGCCTGAGGACACTTCTTTGTTGCCACAGTTAGTTTTATATGAGGCACCCATCAGTGATGAGGCTAAGAACATACAAAGGTTCTCAGCAATCAAATCAAATCTAAATACAATGTACTGACAGAAAAGAGGAAATATTTACAGGTTTACAATACCCTGCCTTCAGGAGGAGAAAAACCACCAAAGAATGAAACTGCCTGTTGACTTCAGTTTTTTCTCTTCACCCAAGAGAGCAAGAGAGAGAAAATCTTTCAAAATAGAGTAGAATTGGACATGATATATATAATAATTTGATCACATCAACATCTAGAGCAGGAGAAAAGCCTAACAAATATCTTGAAATCTGGTAGTTATGAAATGATAAGTTAATACATAAAACAAAATGTAGAAGTAGAAGATACTCCTTCCTCTGGCAGTCCCCCAAGGACTACATTGCTGGGGACTATATTTTCTCCTGTCTTCAACTATTTCTTCACTGGGAAATAAAAATGTAACATCAAGATCAGATTCTTCAGGACAGGCTGTGGAAGCTGAAGAGATACTAAAACAACTTGATATGAAACCGGTGGGTGAAATCACTACTGGTAGGACAGAATCAAATAATGGAGCAGCTTCTTCAAATCAAGCAGTTCAAGGGAGGCTATCAATAAATTATGGTTTAGAAGAAGCAGAAGGCACAGTTCATTGTGATATCCCACCCCTTGAACGCAAATAACTTAGACAGTGATTATTCATCAGCTCATGCAGAAGCTGCCTAAGAATAAGACTAGAAAGTATTTGACCCTAATTATGTCATCAAGCATGTTCTATCACTAACAGAAAAAACAACTTGTAAATTTGTTTAAGTTTCTTATAGGTGCTGAATATTGACCTCTGTCAGATGCATAGTTTGTAATAATTTTCTCCCATTCTATAGGTTGTCTATTCATTCTGTTGATAGTTTCTTTTGCTGTGCAGAAGCTCTTTAAGTTTAATTAGATCCGATTCGTCAGTTTTTCCTTTTGTTGCAGTTGCTTTAGCTGTCTTTGTCATGAAATCTTTGCCTGTTCTTATGTCCATGATGGTATTGCCTAGGTTGTCTTCCAGATTTTAATAGTTTGGGGTTTTACATTTAAGTCTTTAATCTATCTTGAGTTGATTTGTGTATATGGCATAAGGAAGGGGTCCAGCTTCAATCTTCTGCATATGGCTAGCCAGTTATCCCAGCACCATTTATTGAATAGGGAGTCTTTTTCCCATTCCTTGTTTTTTTCAACCCCATTAAAAAGCGGGCAAAGAACATGAACAGACACTTCTCAAAAGAAGAAGTACATGCATCAACAAGCATATGAAAAATAGCTCAATAACACTGATCATT
Organism: Homo sapiens; assembly: GCF_000001405.40. NCBI lineage: Eukaryota > Metazoa > Chordata > Mammalia > Primates > Hominidae > Homo > Homo sapiens. Next base: position 106,071,779 of record NC_000023.11, read on the forward strand.
AGAAAAATGCAAGTCAAAACCACAATGAGATACCATCTCACAATGGCTATTACTAAAACCAGTCACAATGGCTATTTACTAAACTAGTCACAATGGCTAATTACTAAACCAGTCACAATGGCTATTACTAAAAAGTAAAAAAAAACCAGACTCTGGTGAAGTTGTAGAGAAAAGGGAACCCTTATACATTGTTGGTGGGAGGGTAAATTAGTTCAAACATTGTGGAAAGCAGTATGGTGATTCCTCAAAGAGCTAAAAGCAGAACTACCATTCAACCCGACAATCCTGGCAATACCATTACTGGATATATACCCACAGTAATATACATCATTCTACACAAAGACATATGCACATGAATGTTCATTCCAGCACTGTTCACAATAGCAAAGGAATGGAATCAACCTAAATGCCCATCAGTGACAGACTGGATAAAGAAAATGTGGTACATATACACCATGGAACATTATGTAGCCATAAAAAAGGAGATAATGTCTTTTGCAGAAACACGAATAGAGCTGGAGGCTATCATCCTTAACAAAATAATGCAGGAACAGAAAAGCAAATACTGCACATTCTCACTTATAAGTGGAAACTAAATGATAAGAACTTATGTACACAAAGAAGGAAACAACAGCCACTGGGGTCTACTTGAGGGGTAAGGTGGGAGGAAGGAGAGAAGCAGAAAAGATAACTATTGGGTACTGAGTTTAGTACCTGGGTGATATAACATGTACAATGAACCCTTGTGACACATGATTATCTATGTAACAAACCTTCACATGTACCCCCAAACCTAAAATAAATTTTCTTAAAAAGGAAACAAGTTAAAAGAATTTCAAAAAGAAAAAAAAAACAACTAAATAGGAAAGCTGCACACCAGAATTCTGCCTATTTTTAGACCTGAAAGAAACACTAGTACACTGCAGTCAATCTAAATGAGTAAGAAGATGTATCACTTATTTTTCCAGTTCATGCTAAGATTTTATCAGGTTTATATGAGATTAAGATCATGCTTCGAATAATTGCTGAAATGAATTTCTCAGCGGTATCAATGTTTCTACTGCTTCTAAGAAGGTATATGCAGACAAGTTACTGAATATATTAGACCTGAAAATGTGACTAGGTAACTGGTCAGGCACCAGCCCTTCTGAAAATATTTTGTTTGTGGACAAGGAAACTATATAAAGGACTTAAATATCCTCGAAAGAGATCTTTCAAAAACTAAAATAATGAATAACCCACCATAAGCATTTGCATATTAGCTTTCTAATGGAATCCCTATAGAATTGTGGTTTATAGATTAAAATGCCAGTGAACAACTTAAATTGATTTCATTTCTGGAGAATCTTGTAGAACTGAATGAAGATATTTGACTTCATGTCAGAGACAGATTTCACTTACATCACTTGCTGTCATCAGATTAAACACAAAGACTTGTCAAATCACTTAAGGAAGAGAGAAGTTAGGGCCCTTTTGGACTAACATAAAAATATTGTCAATACAATTGAAATTTTGTGTTTTGTACCCCATCTTGCTTTTCTTCTTCAGTGTCCAATAATAATGATTACAAAAATCCATCTCAGATTGAATATATACAGCAGGAGACTACAAACAGAAATCTTTGGAACTTGTGCAACTATTGTATTTTTTTAATGTATAGGATGTCTGCAGCTTATTAAAAATTCTATTTTTTCCACAAGCAATTTGACCCATAGTCAAACAGGATTTTATAATAAGAGATGAAAATGAACTTGGATTTTCATATCTGCTTTTTGCCCTAAGTGGAGTTGAAGCTACTTTTCTGTTACTTTACGATTGTCATTTCAACAGATACTGCCAGTAAGTTTTCTTTTCCCTATATTTTATAACCTTGTTAACCTGTTTGACCTGTATTAAATTAGCATTTCATTATGCATTCTCTTTAGTTGGGGCACTTCATAGTTTTTTGGACCTAATAAATTTTTATTACCCATTTGAATGCCATTTTTGTGCTTTGTTTTCCTGCATGCTGCATATTTGTTTTTTAAATATTCTCAAATGTTAGTCATTGAAAATTTCATTTGGAAAGATGTACATTTGTATATTTTTCTGTAATCTACTGTAGGTGAACTCTATTAGAATAGATAAGAATATATGTACACTGTTGGAGGGAATGTAAATTAGTGCAACGACTATGGAGAACAGTTTAGAGGTTCCTCAAAAAACTAAAAATAGAGCTACCATATGATCCAGGAATCCCACTGCTGGGTATATACCCAAAAGAAAAGAAATCAGTGTATCAAAGATATATCTGCACTCCTGTGTTTGTTGCAGCACTGTGTACAAGAGCTAAGATTTGGAAGCAACCTAAGTGCCTATCAACAGATGAATGGATAAAGACTATGTGGTACGTATACACGATGGAGTACTATTCAGCTATAAAAAGAATGAGATACAGTCATTTGCAACTACAGAGATGGCAATGGAAGAATTATGTTAAGTGAAATAAGCCAGGCAGAGAAAGACAAAAAATTTGCATGTTCTCACTTATTTGTGGGAGCTAAAAATCAAAACAATTGAACTCAGACATGGAGAGTAGAAAAATGATTACTGGAGGCTGGGAAAGATAGTTGGGGATTTGCGGGGAGGTGGGGATGGCTAATGGGTACAAGAAATTAGAAAGAATAAATAAGACCTACTATTTGATAGCACAATAGGGTGATAATAGTCAATAATAACTTAGTTGTATATTTTAAAATAACGCAAAGAGTGTAATTGGATTGTTTGTAACTCAAAGGATAAATGCTTGAGAAGATGGATACCTCATTCTCCATGATGTGCTTATTTCACATGGCATGCCTGTATCAAAACATCTCATGTATCCCATAATTATATATGCCTACTATGTACCCACAAATATTAAAAATTAAAAATATAGAGAACCAATTAAAAAAGATTTGGGTAGCACAAAATTCTGACATTTATAAGATTTTAAAATGGATTATATAGCCTCTCATTCCTTGTTATTTGATAGCCATTTTGATTTCCCCTTTCGGTTATTACAATAAGGTAGAAGGGGATGCCAGGCCTTTGTAGGATCTATCACAGAGAGTCAAGTGTCAATAGTATTAAAGAAGGGTGTACAATTGGAGAAAGTGGGCAGGCAGCCTGATCAAATGCAAAACACAAATGAGAAGTGCCCTTTAAATAATTGCTGCTCTGAGACCACAAACTGCTTCCCTGAGATATGTAGTCTAAGCTGGGGGCATCTTGTCCCATCTTGCCAGCTGCTTAAGCCTGTCCTCTAAATCACTGAACCACCCTTATGGCTTGGGGATGATATGAAGCACAGAGAGTCCATCATATACTTATGATTGTGTCCACTGGTGGACACAAAACTATAGCTTTGGTCACAAATCTGAAGCCATTATTAGATGCAATGTGTTCAGGAAACCTGAACAGGAAATAAATGTGGTTTTCCAGGTCCGGGATAGCCTAACCTAAGTCAGTGGAGCAGACAGGGATGGCTAAGACAAACTCCAAATTAAGTTTCATCTGTCCTCAGAATCCAGTGAAACCCTCTAGATGGGCCCAAAGCCCCAATGTGATGAAACTGTTGAGAATTTCCTGTCTGATTGGCTTGGGGTATCTGTCCCTGGGTACTGGTAAACCTTGGGCAAGGTTTAGCAGGCAGGAGAGATTTTCCATTCTGCTTCATCATTTTCTAATGATAGTGACAATCCATCTGTGTAGGTCAAGTCTGGAATAGTGTCAGAATTCCTATGGGTCATCCTCTTGTGTATCCAGGAGGTGATCTACCAAACATCTACTTGCTCTGGAGCAGAGGACATTTTAGTCCCTGCACTTAGCTGACAAGCACAGTATGCTCATTGATTGTGTTTCCCTTATCAGCCTAGAGGCCTTTCTTTTGAATATCTACATAAGGAACAAAATGTTTATTAGGAGCTGAACTAACCTTTCTCTAAATGCCTTGGTCTCACTGGGAAGCTTGTTTTATATGCCAGTCTGAGACTTCTTAGTAGCCTGATCAAATGACCATGCCATTACCTATAACTCATGAATCAGATAGGTTTACAGTTTTCTATTTTCACTAAAGTAGCAATTCCCATAAGAACCTAGAGGTGAATGCTAGCAGAGGTGTGTGTGTGTGTGTGTTTACACACACATATATATACACACAATATATATATCAATTTCAATAACACATTCAGTAGTGCAGTCCATAAAAACAGATTTGTAGGAGCCCACTGGTACCTACCTACAGTCGAGCTTTATGGTGGTAGCTTTAGGCTTCAAACTGGAAGGTATTATCTACTTTTCTCTCAGGTGTCAGGTGTGAGGACCATAGTCACCTATGAAACAATACCTAGACGGCCAAGAAGTTTAACTTTTTCACTTTTTAATTGAATCTTAACCTTGGCATAGGGACTCCCAGCCTCACTGTGGATAGAGAGACATTGGTTTAATCCCTAGTCTTGTTTGTTTTTTAAAGCTGAGAGGTCTGGGCAAAAACTGTTGAGCCTTTTCATCTATCCCCAGGCTTACAGGGAGGAGTGGAGGGAGCAAAACCTGCATGAGTCACAGGGGCTGCCAATGTATAGAGCCAAGTGGGGCCACCTGCCTTGATTTGGCCATAAGTTTTCTAGGGAGAGAGGGAGCAGAGAGTGGGTGGAACTATGGACTGGAGTGGACGGCTGTTTGCTGGCCAGGACTTCTAAAGCTATGCAAGGCAGGCCTGTTCAACCAGAGCCTGGGCTTCCTTGGAGGGGGATGGCACCCACATGGCTACAGCTGCTGTTGCTCTTGCTGATTGCATTCTGTTATTCTGGCAATGGCTGCTGTGAGGACACTCTAAAGAAAGGAGCTTGTAGTAACACACCCCACACCATGACACTACCTTATTAACTTTAGCAATAGTACCTCTGGAGAGGTTGTAATTAAGTTTCTGTGGTCTCTTCAGAGATACTGCGCAAAACTAGGAGGGAACTATATTTTTCTCTTGAAGTTTCAACAACTTGATGCACCGCAGCGTGTTTATTGGTACCAAGGATATATGTAGAGTTACTTAGCATGTTGGGTAGTCCCCACCCACACTTCTAGTCCTATTATCAGAAATCCCTAAGCAGTGGCTAGGATGCCGCTTCCCTAGCTTTTCTTTAAATTTCCCTGTTGTATCCCTTTTCTGACAAACCAGTCCAGCTCAGCTGAGGTGTCAGGGACTAAAGAGACTAAAAGTCACCTTGGAACTGAAAAGTTTATGTAAAAACCTGCTAAAACCTTCTAAAAATGTCCAATAGCTTCCTCTAGCACTGCCCAAGACCCATACACGTTGCTGGTAATATGTATTCTGTATTATAAATGCTTTAGTTTGTTTTTTGCAGAAAATCTGCCATGATTTTTTTAATGAATAAAAATTTTCCATAAAACAAGTTTGGTTTATGTGCTAAATTTTAAAACAATTCAGTGACACAATATGCTAACTACATACACCCTATATAATAAAACAGGAAAACACTCAACTTGATGGAATGTTAAAATCTTCATTAATATACTGAAAATTGGCATAACTCGTCTTTAAAATAAATAATACAAAAGCTATATGTTTGCCTAATATGACTTCCTTATTTGAAACATTCATTTGAAAATGAAGCTGCATTTATATGTACACATAAGTTATAAAAATGCAACATTAATATACATAAAAATTAGCTGACATACTCCTCAGTTATCAATTGTCTGCCTTTAATTTCCAATACTATACTTTCTTCACAAGCATACAAAATATCAAAATACTCTTTAGAGAAAACATGCCATTCTTTGAAATCCTTTATACAAAAATAGTCTTATCCTGTGGCAAGTTAATGCAGTTGAGAAGCAAATTATACTTTTACAAATTATACCTTCCATTAAAAAGCCTCCCCCAAAGTAGGTTACATACTGCTATAAAAATTTCAACCTCTTATGGTAGCTTCAAGCACGTAGCTTTAAGCACGTAGCCTTAAAGACTATTTTTATACAACATCAAAAACGACTATGAGAGCATATTAACTGCATTTGTGGCTTGAGAGAGAGTTGTGCCACAGGATTGTGTATAGGTACTATTAGTTGTGAAGACTATTACATAGAGTTTTAGATTGACTATAACCAAAAGCATAATAAACGTACTTCCAGCCCATGCAAAATAACTAAAAACACAGTTATTATGCTGAATACTTCATTCCTAGAGAAAACTGAAGGCAACAGTAACCACGTCAAGCCCAACAGGTGGCCACACTCATTCTTCTTAAAGATTGTAGAGTACAGTGAAGTCTGAAGTGGAAATTACCTTTTGGAATACATAATATTAAAATGGTTTAAATATTGGAAGTATCAGTATTCTTTATTTATTTCTTATTATGTTAAAAAAAGTTTGGCTGGGAGCAGTGGCTCACGCCTGTAATCCCAGCACTTTGGGAGGCTGAGGCGGGTGGATCTCTTGAGGTCAGTAGTTCCAGACCAGCCTGGCCAACATGGTGAAACCTCATCTCTACCAAAAATACAAAACGTAGCCAGACGTGGTGGTGGGCGCCTGTAATTCCACCTACTCAGGAGGCTGAGGCATGAGAATCACTTGAACCCAGGAGATGGAGGTTGCACTGAGCCAAGATCCGCCACTGCACTCCAGCCTGGGGAATAGAGACTCAGTCTCAATAATAAATATATAGATAGATACATTTGTGGATATGTATTAGGTGTATATATTTATGGGGTGCATGAGATGTTTTGATACAGGCATGCAATGTGAAATAAGCACATCATGGAGAATGGGGTATCCATCTTCTCAAGAGTTTATCCTTTGAGTTACAGAAAATCCAATGACACTTTTTAAGTTACTTTAAAATATACAATTAAGTTATTATTGACTATTGTCACCATATTGTGCTATCAAACAGTAGGTCTTATTCATTCTTTCTAATTTTTTGTACCCATTAGCCATCCCCACCTCCCTGCAAATCCCCCACTATCTTTCCCAGCCTCTGGTAATCATTTTTCTACTCTCTATGTCCGAGTTCAATTGTTTTGATTTTTAGCTGCCACAAATAAGTAAGATCATGCAATTTTTGTCTTTCTGTGCCTGGCTTATTTCACTTAACATAATGTCTTCCAGTTCCATCCATGGTTTTGCAAGTGATTGTATCTCATTCTTTTTATGACTGAATAGTACTCCATTGTATATATACCACATATTATTTATCCATTCATCTGTTGATAGGCACTTAGGTTGCTTCCAAATCTTAGCTATTGTAAGCAGTGCTGCAACAAACATGGGAGTGCAGGTATATCTTTGATACACTGATTTCCTTTCTTTTGGGTCTATACCCAGCAGTGGGATGGCTGGATCACATGGTAACTCTATCTAGTTTCTTGAGGAACCTCTAAACTGTTCTCCATAGTGGTTTTACTAATTTACACTCCCACCAACCATGTACCAGGGTTTCTTTTTCTCCACATCTTCACCAGCATTGTTATAGCCTGTCTTTTGGATAAAAGCCATTTCAACTGGGGCGAGATGCTATCTCATTTCAGTTCTGAGTTGCTTTTCTCTGATGATCAGTGATGTTGAGCAGGTTTTCATATGCCTGTTTGCCATTCATATGTCTTCTTTTTTTATTTTATTTTATCTGTACTTTTATTTGAAATCAGGATGCTTAAGAATTTTAGTTTCTTTATCCAGATATCATCATCTAATTCAAGCCCCACTTAATAAAATGTACAGACTAATTCATTTTCTTTGTAAGCCACCATGACTGAATTTAGTAATTAAAAAAAATCACTTCTTAGTTCTAAACCTTGAACAGGAAGTTGCACTAATATTAATCTTTTTTTTAATCTGTTTTCTTTTTTTTTTATTATACTTTAAGTTTTAGGGTACATGTGCACATTGTGCAGGTTAGTTACATATGTATACATGTGCCATGCTGGTGCGCTGCACCCACTAACTCGTCATCTAGCATTAGGTATATCTCCCAATGCTATCCCTCCCCACTCCCCCCACCCCACCACAGTCCCCAGAGTGTGATATTCCCCTTCCTGTGTCCATGTGATCTCATTGTTCAATTCCCACCTATGAGTGAGAATATGCGGTGTTTGGTTTTTTGTTCTTGCAATAGTTTACTGAGAATGATGATTTCCAATTTCATCCATGTCCCTACAAAGGACATGAACTCATCATTTTTTATGGCTGCATAGTATTCCATGGTGTATATGTGCCACATTTTCTTAATCCAGTCTATCATTGTTGGACATTTGGGTTGGTTCCAAGTCTTTGCTATTGTGAATAATGCCACAATAAACATATGTGTGCATGTGTCTTTATAGCAGCATGATTTATATTCCTTTGGGTATATACCCAGTAATGGGATGGCTGGGTCAAATGGTATTTCTAGTTCTAGATCCCTGAGGAATCGCCACACCAACTTCCACAATGGTTGAACTAGTTTACAGTTCCACTAACAGTGTAAAAGTGTTCCTATTTCTCCACATCCTCTCCAGCACCTGTTGTTTCCTGACTTTTTAATGATTGCCATTCTAACTGGTGTGAGATGGTATCTCATTGTGGTTTTGATTTGCATTTCTCTGATGGCCAGTGATGGTGAGCATTTTTTCATGTGTTTTTTGGCTGCATAAATGTCTTCTTTTGAGAAGTGTCTGTTCATGTCCTTCGCCCACTTTTTGATGGGGTTGTTTGTTTTTTTCTTGTAAATTTGTTTGAGTTCATTGTAGATTCTGGATATTAGCCCTTTGTCAGATGAGTAGGTTGCAAAAATTTTCTCCCATGTTGTAGGTTGCCTGTTCACTCTGATGGTAGTTTCTTTTGCTGTGCAGAAGCTCTTTAGTTTAATTAGATCCTATTTGTCAATTTTGGCTTTTGTTGCCATTGCTTTTGGTGTTTTGGACATGAAGTCCTTGCCCATGACTATGTCCTGAATGGTAATGCCTAGGTTTTCTTCTAGGGTTTTTATGGTTTTAGGTCTAACGTTTAAATCTTTAATCCATCTTGAATTGATTTTTGTATAAGTTGTAAGGAAGGGATCCAGTTTCAGCTTTCTACATATGGCTAGCCAGTTTTCCCAGCACCATTTATTAAATAGGGAATCCTTTCCCCATTGCTTGTTTTTGTCAGGTTTGTCAAAGATCAGATAGTTGTAGGTATGCGGCGTTATTTCTGAGGGCTCTGTTCTGTTCCATTGATCTATATCTCTGTTTTGGTACCAGTACCATGCTGTTTTGGTTACTGTAGTCTTGTAGTATAGTTTGAAGTCAGGTAGTGTGATGCCTCCAGCTTTGTTCTTTTGGCTTAGGATTGACTTGGCGATGCGGGCTCTTTTTTGGTTCCATATGAACTTTAAAGTAGTTTTTTCCAATTCTGTGAAGAAAGTCATTGGGAGCTTGATGGGGATGGCATTGAATCTGTAAATTACCTTGGGCAGTATGGCCATTTTCACGATATTGATTCTTCCTACCCATGAGCATGGAATGTTCTTCCATTTGTTTGTATCCTCTTTTATTTCCTTGAGCAGTGGTTTGTAGTTCTCCTTCAAGAGGTCCTTCACATCCCTTGTAAGTTGGATTCCTAGGTATTTTATTCTCTTTGAAGCAATTGTGAATGGGAGTTCACTCATGATTTGGCTCTCTGTTTGTTTGTTGTTGGTGTATAAGAATGCTTGTGATTTTTGTACGTTGATTTGCAGACGGCATGATTGTATATCTAGAAAACCCCATTGTCTCAGCCCAAAATCTCCTTAAGCTGATAAGCAACTTCAGCAAAGTCTCAGGATACATATGTCTTCTTTTGAGAAATGTCTATTCAGATCTTTTGCCCATATTTTGATCAGATTATTAGATTTTTTTTCCTGTAGAGTTGTATGAGCTCCTTTTACATTCTGGTTATTAATCCCTTGTCAGATGGATACTTTGCAAATACATTCTCCCATTCTGTGAGTTGTCTTTTCAATTTGTTGATTGTTTCCTTGGCTGTGCAGAAGTTTTTTAACTTCATGTGATCCCATTTGTCCACTTTTGCTTTGGTTGCTTGTGCTTGTTGCATAGTACTCAAAAAATTTGCCCACACCAGTGTCCTGTACAGATTCCTCAAAGTTTTGTTTTTAGTAGTTTCATACTTTGAGGTCATAGATTTAAGTATTTTATCTATTTGACTTAAGGAGTCTAGTTTCATTCTTCTGCATATGGATATCCAGTTTACGCAGCACCATTTAGAACAAACTGTCCTTTCCCCAATGCATGTTTTTGGCACCTTTGTCAAAAATGAGTTCACTAAAGACACATGGATTTGTTTCTGGGTTCTCTCTTCTGTTCAAATGGTCTATGTGTCTGTTTATGTGCCAGTACTATGATGTTTTGGTTTCTATAGGCCTGTAGTATAATTTGAAGCCAAGTAATGTGATTCCTTCAGTTTTGTTCTTTTTTCTCAGGATAGCTTGGCTATTCTGGGGCTTTTGTGGTTCCATATACATTTTAGAATTGTTTTTCCTATTTCTATGAATAATGTCATTGGCATTTTGTTGGGGATTGTATTGAATCTGTAGATTGCTTTGGGTACTGTGGATATTCTAACAATATTGCCTCTTCCAGTTCATGAACATGGAATATATTTCCATTTTGGGGTATCGTCTTTAATTTTTTTCATCAGTGTTTAATAGTTTTGCCATGGAGATCTTTCACTTCTTTGGTGAAGTTTATTCCTAGGTAATTAATTTTACTTGTGCCTATTGTAAATGGGATTAATTTTTTATTTTTCAGATTTTTTTGCTGTTGACAGGTAGAAATGCTACTAATTTTTGTGTGTTGATTTTGTATCCTGCAACTTAACTGAATTTGTTTATCAGTTTTAAGGGCTTTTGGGCAGTGTCTATAGGTTTTTCCAAAAATAAGATTATATTATCTGCAAACAAGGATAATTTGACTTTCCTTTCTAGTTTGGATGCCCTTTATTGTTTTCTGTTGTCTGATTGCTGTAGCCAGGACTTCCAGCTTCATCCATGTCCCTGCATAAACAAACAAGCAAAAAATAAAACTAATAAAAACTCTACAGGTTAACTTCATCCCCCTGCTTTTAAATTTTCTGTTGTTTCTATTTATATCTTATTGTACTGTCTATGTCTTGAAAAGTTGTTGTAGTTATTATTTTTGATTTGTTCACCTTTTAATCTTTGTACTTAAGAGTAGTTTACACACCACAATTACAAAGTAATAATATTCTGTGTTTTTTCTGGTACTTACTATTACCTGTGTGTTTTGTACCTTCAGATAATTTCTTATTGCTCATTAACATCCTCTTATTTCTGATTGAAGAACTCTCTTTAGCATTTCTTGTAGGACAGGTGTGACATTGATAAAACCCCTCACCCTTTGTCTGGAAGAGTCTTTATTTCTCCTTCATGTTTGAAGGATATTTTCACCAGATATACTATAATAGTTTAAAAGTTTTCTTTTTTCCTTCAGCATTTTAAATATGTCATGCCACTCTATCCTGACCTGTAAAGTTTCCACTGAAGGGTCTGCTGGCAGACATATTGGAGCTCCATTGTATGTTATTTGTTTCTTTTATCTTGCTTTTATAAGATTCTTTCTTTATCCTTGACCTTTGAAAGTTTGATTATTAAATGTCTTGAAGTAGTCTTCTTTGGGTTAAATCTGCTTGGTGTTCTATAACCTTCTTGTACTTGAATATTAGTATCTTTCTCTATGTTTGCAAGGTTCTCTATTATTGCCCCTTTGAATAAACTTGCCACCCCTATTTATTTCTCTACCTCCTCTTAAAGGCCAATAACTCTTAGATTTGCCTTTTGAGGCTATATTCTAGATCCTGTAGGCTTTCTTTCTTTCTTTCACCATGCCTCGCTGCTTTATTGTTTTTTACTCTTTTTTCTTTTGTCTCGTCTGACTGTATTTTCAAAGAGCCTGTCTTTCAACTCACTAATACTTTCTTCTGCTTGATCAGTTCTGCTATTAAGAGACTCGGATGCATTCTTTAGTATGTCAGCTGCATTTTTCAACTCCAGAATTCCCACTTGATTCTCTTTTTCAATCTGTTTGTGAAATTTTATCTGATAAAATTCTGAATTCCTTCTCATGTGATATTAAATTTCTTTGAGTTTCCTCAGAACAGCTATTTTTTATCTCTATCTGAAAGGTCACATATCTCTGTCTCTCCAAATGGGCTCTTGGTGCCTTATTTCATTCATTTGGTGAGGTCATGTTTTCTTGGATAGTCTTGATGCTTGCAGATGTTTGTCATTGTCTGGGCATTGAAGAGTTAGGTACTTATTTTAGTCTTTGCATTCTCCGATTGTTTGTACCTATCCTTCTTGAAGGTTTTCCAGGTATTCAAGGGGACATGGGTGTTGTGATCTAAGCCATATCTGCATTAGGGGAGACCCCTAGCCCAGTAATGCTGTGGTTCTTGCAGACTCGTAGAGGTACTGTTCTACCAGAGGTACAAGGAGGAGCTGGTACCATTCCTTCTGAAACTATTCCAATCAATAGAAAAAGAGGAATCCTCCCTAACTCATTTTATGAGGCCAGCATTATCCTGATACCAAAGACTGGCAGAGACACAACAAAAATAAGAGAATTTTAGACCAATATCCCTGATGAACACCGATGCAAAAATCCTCAATAAAATACTGGCAAACCGAATCCAGCAGCACATCAAAAAGCTTATCCACCATGATCAAGTGGGCTTCATCCCTGGGATGCAAGGCTGGTTCAACATACGCAAATCAATAAACATAATCCAGCATATAAACAGAACCAAAGACAAAAGCCACATGATTACCTCAATGAATGCAGAAAAGGCCTTCAACAAAATTCAACAGCTCTTCATGCTAAAAACTCTCAATAAATTAGGTATTGATGGGACGTATCTCAAAATAATAAGAGCTATTTATGACAAACCCACAGCCAATATCATACTGAATGGGCAAAAACTGGAAGCATTCCCTTTGAAAACTGGCACAAGACAGGGATGCCCTCTCTCACCACTCCTATTCAACATAGTGTTGGAAGTTCTGGCCAGGGCAATCAGGCAGGAGAAAGAAAGGGTATTCAATTAGGAAAAGAGGAAGTCAAATTGCCCCTATTTGCAGATGACATGATTATATATCTAGAAAACCCCATTGTCTCAGCCCAAATTCTCCTCAGGCTGATAAGCAACTTCAGCAAAGTCTCAGGATACAAAATCAATGTGCAAAAATCACAAGCATTCTTATACACCAATAACAGACAAACAGAGAGCCAAATCATGAGTGAACTCCCATTCACAATTGCTTCAAAGAGAATAAAATACCTAGGAATCCAACTTACAAGGGATGTGAAGGACCTCTTCAAGGACAACTACAAACCACTGCTCAACGAAATAAAAGAGGACACAAATAAATGGAAGAACATTCCATGCTCATGGATAGGAAGAATCAATATCGTGAAAATGGCCATACTGCCCAAGGTAATTTATAGATTCAATGCCATCCCCATCAAGCTCCCAATGACTTTCTTCACAGAATTGGAAAAAACTACTTTAAAGTTCATATGGAACCAAAAAAGAGCCCACACTGCCAAGTCAATTCTAAGCCAAAAGAACAAAGCTGGAGACATCACGCTACCTGAATTCAAACTATACTAAAAGTCTACAGTAACCAAAACAGCATGGTACTGGTACCAAAACAGAGATATAGACCAATGGAACAGAACAGAGCCCTCAGAAATAATACCACACATCTACAATTATCTGACCTTTGACAAACCTGACAAAAACAAGAAATGGGGAAAGGATTCCCTATTTAACAAATGGTGCTGGGAAAATTGGCTAGCAATATGTGGAAAACTGAAACTGGATCCCTTCCTTACACCTTATACAAAAATTAATTCAAGATGTACTAAAGGCTTAAATGTTAGACCTAAAACCATAAAAACCCTAGAAGAAAACCTAGGCAATACCATTCAGGCCATAGTCATGGGCAAGGACTTCATGTCTAAAACACCAAAAGCAATGGCAACAAAAGCCAAAATTGACAAATAGGATCTAATTAAACTAAAGAGCTTCTGCACAGCAAAAGAAACTACCATCAGAGTGAACAGGCAACCTACAACATGGGAGAAAATTTTTGCAACCTACTCATCTGACAAAGGGCTAATATCCAGAATCTACAATGAACTCAAACAAATTTACAAGAAAAAAACAAACAACCCCATCAAAAAGTGGGCGAAGGATATGAACAGACACTTCTCAAAAGAAGACACTTATGCAGACAAAAAACACATGAAAAATTGCTCACCATCACTGGCCATCAGAGAAATGCAAATCAAAACCACTATGAGATACCATCTCACACCAGTTAGAATGGCAATCATTAAAAAGTCAGGAAACAACAGGTGCTGGAGAGGATGTGGAGAAATAGGAACACTTTTACACTGTTAGTGGAACTGTAAACTAGTTCAACCACTGTGGAAGTTGGTGTGGCGATTCCTCAGGGATCTAGAACTAGAAATACCATTTGACCCAGCCATCCCATTACTGGGTATATACCCAAAGGAATATAAATCATGCTGCTATAAAGACACATGCACAAATATGTTTATTGTGGCACTACTCACAATAGCAAAGACTTGGAACCAACCCAAATGTCCAATAGGGATAGACTGGATTAAGAAAATGTGGCACATATACACCATGGAATACCATGCAGCCATAAAAAAGGATGAGTTCATGTCCTTTGTAGGGACATGGATGAAGCTGGAAGCCATCATTCTCAGCAAACTATCACAAGGACAAAAAACCAAACACCGCATGTTCTCACTCATAGGTGGGAATTGAGCAATGACACAGGAAGGGGAACATCACACACTGGGGCCTGTTGTGGGGTGGGGGGAGGGCAGAGGGATAGCATTAGGAGATAAACCTAATGTAAATGACGAGTTTACGGGTGCAGCACACCAACATGGCACTTGTATACATATGTAACAAATCTGCACGTTGTGCACCTGTACTCTAGAACTTAAAGTATAATTTAAAAATATATATATATATATATATATATATATAAAAGATCCAAAATAATTCTCTGGATTACCAGGCAGAGACTCTTGTTCCCTTCCCTTACTTTCTCCCGAACAAATGGAGTCTCTGTCTGTGCTGAACTGCCTGGAGCTGAGGGTGGGAGGACATGAGATCCCCTGTGGCTACCACTTGGACTGCGCTGGCTCAGACCTGAAGCCAGCATAGCACTAGGTCTTATCCACAGCCCACTATAATCACTATCTATCTACTGCCTGTGTTTGCTCAAGTCCTTAGGGCTCTGCAATCACCAAGTGGCAAAGCCGGCCAGGCTTCTATCCTTCCGTTCAAGGCAGTGAGTTCCCCCAGGATCGAGGTAGCTCAGGAGATGCCATCCAGGAGCCAGGGATTAGCATTCAGAAACCTTAGAAATCTCCTTGGCCCTCTATTCTGTTGTAGCTAACCTGGGGCTCAAACCATGAGACAAAGTCCTTCTCATGGTTCCCTCCCCTTTCCATAGACAGAGAAGCCTCTTTCCATGGCCACCACCACAGAACTACAGGGGGTACTTCTAGGCTAACACTGATGTTCACTGAAGGCCCAAGGACTCTTCAGTCAGCTTGTGGTGAATGCTGCCAAGCCTGTGACTCACCCTTCAGGGCAGGTCTAAGAATGCCATCCAAGTGGCAAGGCCTGGAATTAGGGACCCCAAGAGCCCACTTTGTGCTCTACTCCACTGTGACTAAGCTGGAACCTGAAGCTAGTATGTCTCAGAGCCTCACTTAAGGCCCACAGCTTACTACCTGGTAATTGCTGCTGGTTCTCAGGGCTCAAGGGTTCTTTCATCAGCAGGTGATAAATCCTCCCAGGATTGGGTTTTTTCCTTCAAAGCAGTATGTTCTCTTCTGGCCCAGGTATATCTAGATATGTCATCTGAAAGCTGGGGCCTGGAATAAGTGCCTCACAACTCTGCCCGGTGCCCTATCCTACTGTGGATGGGCTGGTACCCAGGATGGAAAAGTCCTCTTCACTGGTCCCTTTCCTTTCCTCAAAAAGAAGGAATGATTCACCCTTGCTGTGAGCTGCATTGCCTGAGCTTGGGGGAAGGGTGGCACAATCACTTCCTTAGCCACCCCATCTGGTATCCCACATCCACTGGGTCTGCACCCAGCACAGAACTAGGACTTACCTAGGAATTGCAGTCCTTGTGGCCTAGACTGCCTTTCAAGTTTATTAGGACCCCAGAGAACTTTAGCCCATGGTGGCAAGGCTTGCCAAAACTTAAGTTCTGACCAGGACGGGTGATTCCTCTCTGGTTATGGCCAGTCTACATGCTCCCTCCTTGAGCAGGCACTGGCAGAATTTAGCCTGGTTTTGCTGTCCGCTGCGATAGAGCAACACTGAATTCAATGCAGGATCCCACAATTGCTGTGCTTTCCTTCTCTCAAGTGCAGATTTTCCCCATTCCATGTGGCCTCTGCTGGGGTGGATGATGGAGGGGTGGCTTCAGCAATTCAACATAGTCCTTCCCGCTCTATTCAGTGCTTCTTACAGCTATATGAAGTTAAAATCAGCTACTGTGTTTGCTCACTGATTTTCAGTTCTTATGAAGGTACTTTTTTTGTGTGTAGATAGTTGTTAAATTGGTGTTCCTGTGGGGGATGATGATTGGTGAAGGCTTCTATTCAGCCATCTTACACTGCCCTTGTCTACCAAATTGTTAAACATGGTTTTTTTTTCTGGCTATGGTATAAAAATATTTTTCTAGAAAAATGCTTTTTTTCTCTTGCATACAGTCCTTCTGGAGAAAATGTTCAGATACAAATTTTAAAATGATTTTTTTAATGTAAAGTTTTGCTTACTGTTTGAGACACCCTGGCAACAATAGAAGAAAAAACTTAACCCTGGTACCTGGGGAGCTGATCAGGATGGAAAAGGGCATTAACGTCATTTATTTTGCAGAATCACGACTGAAAGCTTTCCCCTTTTCCTGAAAAACCAAAAGGAATGAACAAAACACTTTCCTACTGCCTTTCCAAGCTACTTTGAGTGCTTTGGCTTCAGACTGATTACTGTGTGTGTGTGATCATACCTGATAGTGTTGACTATAAGAAAACTGTAGCTTCTATAGTATTAACTAAGAAAAGACACCTCCAGATGTTGTCCACACTCATGAGGCTGATAAACTGAGGTCACAGACAAACAAAACTTTAAAACTGACTGCCTCAGGAAATACCTCTAAAAGCAAGAACTAATCTAAATTATTTAGACTGGACTGAGGATCTTTGGGCAAGAGGCCCTGCAATGGAAGGCTGCATTGAAAGCTCTGTTAACCTAATTGTCTGCTTAATGTTTGTCCTACTTAGTATGACCTAACATTGTGAACTCTTTATTTTCAAAGATATCATGTGTACTTTCTAGGACTGTATTTCTTATGCACATACCGTGACTTTCATGACACTGCCTCAGCCCTGAAAGCCATTCAGGTCAGCTTCAATTTAATGGCCAGAATTGTGCTGTGCCTTAATTGATACCTCAGCAAAGGTTTGAAAAATCTTTATATAGAAATTTTCAAAATAAACCTCCTGGCTTTCTAACATGGACCTTAATGGGCTATGGGACATATTTTTTTCTGGCAGGACAACAGTTGAGGCTCATGTTTCCTCCATACAAGCCTGATCATCCTGCTTAAAGTGATCTTGATCATGGCCTTGGTAATATTGCCTCAGAGCAGTTAGCAGGTGATTGTCACAGCCCTTCAAAGTCTACCCTATTCAGGTCCATGATGGGTAGCCCATGTTTCTTATTCATGTCCTGAAAAATCAAGGAGTGAAGTCGAAGAGTCCAGATCCTAGTTAAAAACCTACATACAATTTTTCAAGCCTGACCATAGGCACCGCAATGGCTTTACCTGGCCAACCTCATAGGAAAAAGCTGTTTTCCCAACACAAAACACAAATGTGGAGTATAGCCAATGCATTGTAATCTCAGAAAGGAATTGCCAGCAAGGACTCATGCCTACCTGACTGGACATGCTTTTATACATACCTGCATTCCTAGTCCAGCCACCTCCATTTGGAATCCTCTTTATTCGGGATCTTCTGCAAAGGGCTTCCTTTGGTTTTGAACCAAAATCTCATTATGAGGGGTGGATAGTGGAAGAGACTTGAAGTCATTTCCCCCCCTACTCTGGCTCAGTAATCAGTACTTTTCCACTCTTATCCCTTCCCTCTCCTCCTTTCCATGACCCACAGGTCCATAAAACTGCAGGAACCTTTAGTTCAGAGCTCCCTCAACAGTGAGATGACCCCCATGTGTGTACCCATCCACCTGATCTTTGACCAGTACCATTCCATGCAGAAAAGTGGAATGTAGGGGGCGGGTAGCACTTTTCTGGTTTAGCCTCTTGCAGTAACCAATTAAGGGCTTGACCTTTAATTTGAGTAACTTTGAGTTTGACTTGTTGTCTTAATCAGCTCTTCTGATACTTGACAATTCAGTACTGTCTCCAACTCACCTGAGCTCCTGATACAAAACTCATTTAAAAAATTAAAAATGTTACATTAGAAAATATTCACTTAATGCAAAAGAAGACAGTGAAGCAGAAATAGAAAAACAAAAATTGCATGTGACATACAAAATGAAGGTAAATGGTAGATAGAAGTATAAATATATTAATAATAACATAGAGTGTGAATGCACTAAGCATTCCAATAAAAAGACAGTGATTCTTAGACTGGATAAAACTATAAGATTAAAGTATATGCTATCTACAAAAGACACAATTTAGAGTTAAAGATACAAATAGATTGATAATAAAAGGATGTAAGAAGATACATCATGCAAACAGCAAGCTCAAGAAAGGTGTAATGGCTATACTAATAACAGACAAAATAGATTTTAAAACAAAATGTTACTTGAGATAAAAAACATTTTACAATAATAAAAGATGAATTCATCAGTAAGATATTATGATCATAAAGCAGTAAAATACATAAAGCAGAAACTGATGAAACGAAAAGAGAAATAGATGATTTAACAATAATAATTGGAGTTTCAATCCTGGATAGAAAAACTAGACAGAAGATGAATAAGGAAATAAGTAATGAAACAACAATAGAAAATCTAACCCAATAGACATCTACAAAACACCCCCAAACAGTAAAATACACAGTCTTCTCAAATGTACATGTAAACATTCCTTAGGATATGTTATATGACATGATATAAAACAAATCTCAATACAGTTAAAGTAAAAGAAATAATTCAAAACATGTTCTTTGACTATAATAGAATGAAATTAGCAATCTGTAATCAAAATGAATTCGAAAAACTCACAAATATGTGGTAAACAGCATACCCTTAAATAACTAATGAGTCGAAAATGATGAAAAGGAAATTGGAAAATACTTTAAGAAGAATTAAAACAAAGACACAGCAGAGTGAAATTTATTGATTTTAGGTAAAGCAGCGCTTAGAGGAAAATTTATAGCTGTAAATGCCTCTATTAAAAGAGAAGGAAGACCTTAAATCAATTACTGCACCTTGCACTTTAAGACACTAGAAAACAAAAAGGCAAAGCTCAACCCAGAGCAAGGTGAAGAATGGAAATAATAAAGATTAGGGGAGAAATTAATAAAATACAGTATAGAAAAATGGTAGAGGAAATAAATGTAGCCAAATCCTGTTCTTGAAATGATCAATAAAATTGGCAAAAATTTAGATAGATTCACCATTAAAAAAGAGAAGGCTCAAATTACTAGAATCAGAAACAAAAGAGGGGATACAATACTTATCCTTCAGAAATGAAAAGAACTTTTGTAGCTTAGGGTGGCAGTTAGACAATAATGTATGACAACCCCAATCTACTGGTTCTACTATCACTTAGTTTCAGGTGTTGTATGTGGTGCATCACAGACCACTAGGATAATAATATTTTGATGGAATTTGTGAACCTTTCAGTAGTCCACTTGAACAGCAATAGAGGATATTACGGAGCACTTGAAATGTTAGCATGGTGCCCCAGCCACCATGCTAGCCCTTCCTAGACCCATCTAGGAAGGTTTGTATATAGGTGGTGGATGGCTGGGTGAAGGGAGAAGTAATGACTACCAAATAAGTTCGAAAAGACTATGTGGTTATGGAGGGAGAACAACCACCCCGGCACCTAGATTTGAGTTTTGTGACTTTGAGAAGTGCAAGGATTGGGAGAAATCAACATTTTTTTTCCTTGGATTCAGCACACCAGCATGGCAAAACAACCCTTTAGTCAAGTAGCAAAAGTAGCTGATTATTTGACCTGTTTCTGGTTTTGCAATCCCCATCTACATGCTAAGGGAATTCACGTCTATCTCTTGATGTCTTAGTAGCCTTGGAGTACTTCATGAATGGCTGTCAATGTTGTATCTACTCAGTAGCACTGCCATTGTGGCTTTGTGGCTTAACCAAATCACTGTAAAGCTGATCCAAATCAAGTGTAACATGAAATCTCAAACTGGAGGGTCCTGTGTCACCTTGAGTTTTATGTTTTATATGTTGTAGAGTTGGCTACAGAACATCTTTACATTGGGGATGTGTATGACATTTTATTATATTATTACCACCTTTAATGAGCGATAGCAACACAATCCCCTGGACCCCTTAGTGGACCACTAAGTAAAGAGAATTGTCCTACCCAAGTAGGTACATTGACTTCTGATTTCATACAGCAGCATGAATACAACTCCCTAAAATCAGCGTCTTCACCATAGAGACAATGGTCAGGAACCTATCCATTACCTTTAGCTACTATGGCCAACAAGATAGATCAATAGACCTATTTAGACTCCCTTGAGTAGGTTTTAATGAAATTAGTCTTACCATAGAATACATTTAGGTTTAACAGGGAGGCTATGTATGGTCATTAGCATCTTCACGTTTGACTTAATTCCCCCAGCCAGGTGAAACAGTTTAGCTAACCTACCAGTTTAGGCTGGTTACCCTGCAAAGTTGTGACACTTTCCTCCAGCACTGAACCCAAAACTGGTATTTGGTGCCATGTCCTCAAATCTAGTGTGCGTGAATCTGGCAACAAAGAGGTGAAAACTGGATTGCCTCCTTTCACACATCATTATCATTCATTAAATTTTAGGGTCTGCCAGAATAGATATCCTGCTTCCCAGGAGAGAATGCTTACACTAAGTGAAAGCTTACAACCTAATCACTTCAGTGTCCTCATGGAAGTGGATCAGTAGGCAAAGAGTTAGTACACTAACGGGACAAATTGAACCTGATTACAATGCAGAGCTAGGATTGCTGTTACATAATGGGAATAGGGAAGAATATGCCTGAAACCAAGATTCTTTTATGCTTCTGTGCCTTGTGACAATGATAAATGGGAAATTGTGGGAACCATGGCTTGCAAAGGAAATTAAGGGTTCAGATATTTGGGGGATTAAGTTCTGAGTCAACCTACCAGGCATAAAGTAGAAAAATATTTATTTCCACGGGACTGTCTACTGACATCTGGGACTATGACACTTCTATTAAACCTCTTGCATAAGTATTTGCATAGATTTCAGCTGGCCACTATGGTAAATATGATTTTGAAATGAATTATACTTAATGATGTGATTAAGCAGACCCAAGCACTTTATTATGTTGTCCATATAAGGTATTCTTTCTGCAATTCTGAGTTTCCTGGCTTCATGATGCCTAAATGTGCTTTAGTATTGAACCCATCTACCTTTAGGTAGTGCCCTCATATTGTCAAGAATCATTTGTCATTCAGGCCCAAAGATTTCTTATTTATTCAACTCATTATAAGAATCTCCTCAAGAGGCAATAGGTGAAGATTGAGAGTAAGAAGCCAATGAAACAAGAATATGGGCAAGGGGAATCGGGGCCACTTGAGGTTTTTTTTTCTGACACCGTGTAAGTTATGTCTTTTCCAACACTAGTTCTCCATTTTTTTAAAGTTTTTTTTTTGAAAATTTTATTTGAGGTTCAGGGATATGTGTGCAGGTTTGGTATATATGTAAACTCGTGTCATGGGATTTTTTTTGTACAGATTATTTCATCACCCATGTATTAAGCCTAGTGCCCATTAATTATATTATTCTATGCCTCTCTTTCCTCCCACTTTCCAGCTTCTGGTAGGCAATAGGGTCTGCTGTTCCCCTCTTTGTGTCCACGTGTTTGCATCATTTAGTTTCCACTTATAAGTGGAATATTTTGTTCCTGTTCCTGTGTCAGTTTGCTAAGGGTAATAGCCACCAGCTCCATTCATGTTCCTGGAAAGGACATGATATCCTTTTTTGATGGCTGCATAGTATTCCATGGTGTATATGTACTACATTTTCTTTATCCAGTCTTCCATTGATGGGCATTTAGGTTGATTCCATGTCTTTGCCATTATGAATAGTGCTGCAATGAACATACATGTGCATGTGTCTTTATAATAGAATGATTTATATTGCTTTGGGTATGTACCCAGTAATGAGATTGCTGGGTTGAATGGTAGTTCCATTTTTAGTTATTTGAGGAATCACAATACTGCTTTCCACAATGGTTGAACTAATTTACACTACAACCGACAGTGTATTAGCATTACCCTTTCTCTGTAATATTCAGCAGCATATGTTATTTTTTGACTTTTTAGTAGCCATTCTGACTGCTGTCAGATGACATATCATTGTGGTTTTGATTTTCATTTATCTAATGATTAGTGATATTGAGCTATTTTTCATATGCTTGTTGTCCAAATGTATGTCCTCCTTTGAAAAGTGTCTGTCATGTCCTTTGCCTACTTTTTCAATGGGGTTGTTTTTTTTTCTTGCAAATTGGTTTAAGTTCCTTATAGATACTGAATATTAGACCTTTGTCACACACATAGTTTGCAAAAATTTTCTCCCTTCCTGTAGGTTGTCTGTTTACTCTGTTGATAGTTACTTTTGCTGTGCAGAAGCTCTTTAGTTTAATTAAGTCCCATTTGTCCATTTTTGGTTTTGTTACAATTGCTTTTGGTGTCTTCCTCATGAAATCTTTGCCCATCCCTATGTCCAGAATGGTATTGCATAGGTTATCTCACAGAGCTTTTATTGTTTTGAGTTTTACATTTAAGTCTTTAATTCATCTTGAGATGATTTTTGTATATGGTGAAAGGAAAGGGTCCAGTTTCAGTCTTCAGCAAATGGCTAGCCAGTTATCCCAGCACCATTTATTGAATAAGGAAGTCCTTTCCCTATTGCTTGTTTTTGTCAGCTTTGTGGAGGATCAGATGATTGTAGGTGTGCAGCCTTATTTCTAGGCTCTCTATTCTGTTCCATTGGTGTATGTCTGTTTTTGTACCAGTACCATGCTGTTTTTATTACCACATCCATGTAATATGGTTGGAAGTTGGGTAGCATGATGCCTCCTGCTTTGTTCTTTTTGCTTAGTACAGCCTTGGCTATTCAGGCTCATTTGGTTCCATATGAATTTTAAAATAGCTTTTTCTAATTCTAGGAAGGATGTCATTGGCAGTTTGATAGGAATAGCATTGAATCTGAAAATTGCTGTGGACAGCATGGCCATGTTAATAATCTTGATTCTTCTTATACATGAACATGGGATGTTTTTCTATGTGTTTGTGTCATCTCTGATGTTTTTGAGGAGTCGTTTGTAGTTCTCATTGCAGAAGTCTTTCACCTCCTTGGTTAGCTGTATTCCTAGTTATTTTATTCTTTTGTTGCCAATTGTGAATGGGATTGTGTTCCTGATTTGGCTCTTGCCTTGGCTGTTGTTGGTTTATAGAAATGCTAGTGATTTTTCTACATTGATTTTTGTATTGTGAGACTTCACTGAAGTAGTTTATCAGCTTAAGTAGCTTTTTGGCTGAGACTACGGGATTATCTAGGTATAGTCATGTCATCTGCACACAAGCATAGTTTGACTTCCTCTGTTCCTATTTGGATGCCTTTATTTCTTTCTCTTGCCTGACTGCATTGGCTAGGACTTCCAATACTATGTTTGATTAGGGAATGGTGAGAGAGGGCATCATTTTCTTGTGCTGGTTTTCAAGGGGATTGCTTCCAGCTTTTGCCCATTCAGTATGATGTTGGCTGTGGGTGTGTCATAGATGGCTGTCGTTATTTTGAGATATATTCCTTCAATACCTAGTTTGTTGAGAGTTTTTAACATGAAAGGATAGCAAATTTTATCAAAAGCTTTTTCTATATCTATTGAGATGATCATGTGGTTTTTGTCTTTACTTCCATTTATGTGATGAATTACATTTTTGATTTGTGTATGTTGAACCAATCTTGTACCCCAGGGATAAAGCCTACTTGATAATGGTGGATTAGCTTTTTAATGTGCTGCTGGATTTGTTTTGCTAGTATTTTGTTGAGGATTTTTGCATCAGTGTTTATCAGGGATATGGGCATGATGTTTTTGTTGTTGTTGTTGTTGTGCCTTTGCCAGGTTTTGGTATCAGGAAAATGCTAGCCTCTTAGAATAAATTGGGAGCAGTCCCTCCTTCTCAATTTGTTGGAATAGTTTCAATAGGAATGATACCAGCTCTTCTGTGCACATCTGGTAGAATTCAGCTATCAATTGGTCTGGTCCAGGGCTTTTTTTTTTTTGATTGTTAAGATATTTATTACTGATATAATTTCTGAACTCATTATTGGTCTGCTGTTCAGGGATTCAATTTCTTCCTGGTACAATCTTGGGAGGGTGTATGTGTGCAGAAATTTATCTATTTCTTCTAGATTTTCTAGTTTGTCTGCATAGAGGTGTTCATAATAGTTTCTGATGGTTATTTGTATTTCTGTGGGGTCAGTAGTAATATCCTGTGTCCTTTCTGTGGTTTTTTTTTGGATCTTCTCTCTTTTCTTTTTTATTAGTCTAGCTAGCAGTCTATTTTATTAATTTCTTAGAAAAATCAGATACTGACTTTATTAATGTTTTATTGGTTTTTCATGTCTCAATTGCCTTCATTTCAGCTTTGATTTTGGTTATTTATTGTAACCTGCTAGCTGTGGGGTTGGTTTGCTCTTGGTTCTCGAGTTCTTTTAGTTGTGATATTATGTTGATTTGAGATCCTTCTACCCTTCTGATGTGGGCATTTAGTGCTATAAATTTCCCTCTTAACACTGCCTCAGCTGTGACCCAGAGATTCTGGCATGTTGTAAATTTGTTCTCTTTAGTTTCAAAGGAATTCTTGATTTCTGTCTTAATTTCATTATTTACCCAAAAGTCATTCAGGAGCTGGTTATTTTCATGTAATCATATAGTTTTGAGCGATTTTCTTAGTCTCGAATTCTAATTTTGTTGTGCTGTGGTCCAAGAGAGTGGATGGCATGATTTCAGTTCTTTTGCATTTGCTGAGGATTGTTTAATGTCCAATTGTGTGGTTAATTTTAGAATATGTGCCATGTACAGATGAGAATAATATATAGTCTGTTGTTTTCGTGTGGAGAGTTTTGTGTATGTTTATAAGATCTTTTTGCTCCACTGTTGAGTTTGGGTTCTGAATATCTTTGTTAATTTTCTGCCTCGATAATCTGTCTAATAGTGTCTGTGGGGTGTTAAAGTCTCCCACTATTATTGTATGGGAGTCTAAGTACCTTTGCAAGTCTCTAAGAATATGCTTTATTAATCTGGGTGCTCCTGTGTTGGGTGCATATGTATTTAGGATAGTTAGGTATCTTCTTGCTTAATTGAACCCTTTACCACTATGGAATGTCCTTCTTTGTCTTTTTAAATCTTTGTTCATTTAATGTGTCTTGCTGAAATTAGGATTGCAGCCTCTGCTTTTTTTCTGTTTTTTATTTTCTTGGTAGATTTTTCTCCATTCCTTTATTTTGAGCCTATGGGTGTTGATACGGTTTGGCTCTGTGTCCCCACTCAAATTTCATGTTGAATTGTAATCCTCTGTGTTGTGGGAGAGACCGGGTGGACGGTGATTGGATCATGGGGGAGGATTTCTCCCTTGCTATTCTCATTGATAGTAAGTGAGTTCTCACGAGATCTGTTTGTTTCAAAATGTGTAGCACTCGGCCGGGAGCGGTGGCTCACGCCTGTAATCCCAGCACTCTGGGAGGCCGAGGCGGGTGGATCACGAGATCAGCAGATCGAGTCCATCCTGGTTAACACAGTGAAACCCTGTCTCTACTAAAAATACAAAAAAATTAGCTGGGCGTGGTTGTGGGTGCCTGTAGTCCCAACTAATAGGGAGGCTGAGGCAGGAGAATGGTGTGAACTGGGAAGGTGGAGCTTGCAGTGAGCCGAGATCGCGCCACTGCACTCCAGCCTGGGCGACAGAGCGAGATTCCGTCTCAAAAACAACAATAACAACAACAACCAAAAAAAAATGTGTAGCACTTCCCCTTCACTCTCACTGTCCTGCTTTGCCATGGTAAGACCTGCTTGCTTCCTCTTTGCCCTTTCACCATGATTGTAATTTTCCTGAGGCCTCCCAGCTATGCTTCCTGTACAGCTTGAAGAACTGTGAGTCAATTAAACCTCTTTTCTTCATAAATTACTCAGTTTCAGGTAGTTCTTTATAGCAATGTGAGAACAGACTAAAACAGGTATTGTTGCATGTGAGATGGGTCTCTTGAAGACAGTGTACCATTGGGTCTTGCTTATTTATCCAGCTTGTCACTCCATGTCTTTTAACTGGGACATTTTTCCCATTTATATTCAAGGTTAGTATAGATATATGTATTTAATCCTGTCATCATGTTGTTAGTTGTTTATTTTTCCAGCTTGTTCATGGTTACGTTATAGTGTCACCGGTCTGTGTACTTAAGTGTGTTTTTGTAGTGGCTGGGAATGGTCTTTCCTTTCCATATTTAGGCTTCAAGTGTGTTTTTGTAGTGGCTGGAAATGGTCTTTCCTTTCCCTATTTAGGCTTCTTTCAGGAGCTCTTATAAGGCAGGTGTGATGATAACAAATTCCCTCAGTATTTGCTTGTCTAAAAAGGATCTTATTTCTCCTTCGTTTATGAAGGTTAGTTTGGCTAGACATGAAATTCTTGGTTGGAATTTCTTTTCTTTAAGAATATTGAATATAGGTCCCAAATCTCTTCCGGCTTGTAGGGTTTCTGCTGAGATGTCTGCTGTTAGTCCAATGGGCTTCCCTTTGTATATTACCTGGCCTTTCTCTCTAGCTGCCTTCAATATTATTTCTTTCGTTTCAACTTTGGAGAATCAGATGGTTATGTGTCTTGGGGATGATCTTCTTGTGAAGTATCTTGCAGGGGTTCTCTGTATTTCCTGAATTTGAATGATGGCCTGCCTATCTAGGTTGGGGAAGTTCTTGTTGACGATATCCTCAAATATGTTTTGAGATTTGCTTACATTGTCCCCATCTCTTTTAGGGACAGCAATGAGTCATAGATTTCATCTCTTTACATAATCCTATATTTCTTCGAGATTTCATTCATTGCTTTTTTTTCTGTATCATTATCTGTCTTATTTCAGAAAGCTTATTTTCAACTTTTGAGGGTTTTTGTCAGCTTGGTCTATTCTTCTACTAATACTTGTGATTGTATTATGAAATTCTTGTAGAGTGCTTGTCAGCTCTATCAAATCACTTAAGTTCTTTTCTATACTGGCCCTTTTGTCTGTCAGCTCCTGTATTGTTTTATTGTGATTCTTAGCTTCCTTAGATTGGGTTTCAACATTCTTCTAAATCTTGGATGATCTTCATTCCTATCCATATTCTGAATTCAGCCATCTCAGCCCAGTAAAGAACCCTTGCTGGAGAACTAATCCAGTCATATGGAGGAAAGAAGGCTTTCTGGCTTTTTGAGTTGTCAGAGTTCTTGCACTGCTTCTTTTTCATCTTTGTGGGCTGATGTTCCTTCAATATTTGAAGTTGCTGTCCTTTGGATGGGTATTTTTTCTTTCATCCTATATGATGACCTTGGGTATTTCATTGTAGTATAAGGTGGGTTCAGTTAACTGGCTTCATTACTGGAAGATCTCAGGGGCCTCTATGATTCAGGACTCCTGGACTCTGCTCTTATTCTGGGGGACTTTTATCAGGCCCTGGCTTTGATGTCTGGCTCCTCAAAGATAGAAACCTGCTGTGTTGTAGAGACCGACGTGCTCCTGGACCACTGGTCACAACACTCCGATGGCTGGTGCCAGCCAAAACACTTTGTAGGTTGGTGGCAGCAGGATTAATCCTTGTTTGCTTGTGCCTGCCTGCAGCAGCATTGGCAGCATGGCAAGGTGCACACTCATCGCCTGTGGCAGGGTGCTAGTGGGTGCCAGGATACCTGCCTCCATGTAGGCATTTGCAGCAGCAGCAGTGGCAGTATGGCTCAGAGTGGTGAGGGGCCCTCACCAGCGACTGTGCATGCACTTGCATCAGAGGTGGTGTTAGCACAGGCGTGAGGCACTGGTCAGCACAGGACTGTGTGAGAGCCCTCAATACACGTTCACGCTGGCAGCAGTGGCCGCTTAGGGCTAAAGGAGCTTTGCTGTTTTCCTTACCTACTTTTTCACTGGCACCCCAGCACAAGGGTGGCACACTGGCAAGGGCGTGGCTGGTAGGCTGCATGCTGCCAGTGCTCTGAGGACAATGGCAATGAGGCATGGGGTGGTGGGGGTGGGATGCTCTCACACTGGCAGCAGTGGCACTGCAGGGTACACATGCACACTCATGCTGGTGGGGGAAAGAAGGGTAAGTATGCCCACGCATACTGGGAAAGCAATGTGGGGGTAGCTGTGAGTTAGTACATGCAAGCAAAGCAGCATTGAGAAGGCTGAAGTGGAGAGAGGGCTGGGCCGGCTGGTGGGTGTCAGCAGGGGCTTCTCAGCTTGAGCACTCTGCTGGTCAGGTGTGGTCTGCCAGTGCTGGAGCTATGATGCAGGCCCTCAGGAGGTACCTGGAGGCTGTACTGCAAGCAGGTGGGGCTAGACTGGGGCCCCAAGAGAGGCCAGTAGGCCAAGGGGTGCTCAGGTTGGACTGGCCTCGTCTGATGGGCAAGACCACCCTGCAGCATTCAGGTATGACAGCTTCCCTAGGTCTAAAGTCTCCCATGGGACATCCCTAAGGGGATGGGCATTTCTGGCTGTGCTCCACTACAAATGCTCCTGCACCAAACCCTCTGTGATCTGCCACAGCTGGACTTCTACCCCTGCAACTTCTCTAAGCAATTTTCTTGCCAACTTAAGTGTCCATGGTGGTGGAGGGGTCTCCTCCTGCTGGGATTCCAGATACCCATAGCGAGAGTGGGTTGCTCCTTGCCTGTTCAACTTACCCCCTCTGCAGGAGTCACTGGGGTCCAGGAACAAGTCTAGGTGTGTGGTATCCCTCTGGAGGGCTCCCAGCTTCCTCCCTCTTCAGCCCAACCTCTGTGTCTTCCTTCCAATTGCCCTCGATGCCTTTCCTCTGAAGATCTGCTAGGAATGTGCGAGTCTTCCTGATGCGTCAATCCCTCTGTGGGAGATGTTCCTACTGGTTGTGTCTAGTTGGCCACCTTTTACTTTCTCCAGTTCTCTAATTCTTCAACACCAACTGAGTGCCTGACAATTCAGTACAATTCTGATACTAACTCCTAGAATTACCATCAGACCCCACAGGTTAAAGGCTTAGTTCCATAAGACTGTCTCCCCCATCAGATGCCAGCCACAAATGGGGTACCCAGACTACCAACATTTCTATCCAGCTAACTACAAATTCAGGAGTTTCCACATCCCATCCTCTCAGATTTGATAATTTGCTAGAACTATTCACAGGATTCAGGAAAACACTTTACTTATATTTACTGATTTATTATAAAGAGTACAATTCAGGAACAGCCAAATGGAATAGATGCATAAGGTAAGATATAAGGAGGTGTATGGCACTTCCATGCCCTTCATAGTTATGCCACCCTCCCAGCATGTTGATGTGTTCACCACCTAGAAGCTCCTTGAGCCCCATCATTTAGGCGGTTTTATTAAGATTTCATTAGGTAAGCATGATTGATAAATTATTGGAGATTGGTGACAGAACTCAATCTTTAGCCCCTCTTTCATCCCTGGAGTTCAGGAGGTGTGAATGAAATTTCCAACCCTTTAATCATGACTTGCTCTTTCTGGCAGCCTGCCCCTATCCTGAAGCTATCTAGGGGCCAGCCACTAGCCATTCTATTAGCATAAACTCAAGTACGATTTAAAGAGATTTGTTATGAATGGCAAAATAATTCCTATAACTCTGGAAATTCTAAGCATTTTAGACCAAATATATATTCCCATTATACTATATTTATGAAGCTTTCTTGTCTCATCAGATCCTGCTTAAGCCCAGTCTTCCAGACCACTGGAATTTTTGATGAAATGCTGCTGTTCACCTCCAACTTTATGATTTAGTGCAAGCTTGTCCAATCCATGGCCTGCAGGCCACATGCGGCCCAGGATGTTTTTGAATGTGGCCCAACACAAATTTGTAACGTTTTGTAAAACATTATGAGATTTTTTTGCAACTTTTTTTTAGCTTATCAACTATCATTGTTGTTAGTGTATTGTATACGTGGCTCAAGACAATTCTTCCAATGTGGCCCAGGGAAGCCAAAAGATGTGACACCTCTGGTTTAGTGGCATAAGCAACATTCAGTTCATTGTGAGCAATTTAGGTCACACTTGCTTGGGTAGCCCATGGTCAAGCACTCAGTTTTTTCCAGACTTTAGGGTCACACCAGAGCTGTTCTTAAAAGGACGATGGTGAAGGGAAATCTTCCCAGTGGCCAGAACATCAAGCAAGGCATCAGCTTGCTCATTTTCCCTGGAAGGAAGCATGGAAAGAGATTTACATCTACCTGGTGTCAGGGACATTGGTTAATGCTTCGCCTGTGTGGTCAGGGACATAGAAGAGACATGATTGGAAAATAGATGATAAAGAGGTCTGGGGCAAACGTATGTTTGTAACCCTCTGCAAATGGGCATGGAGCGTGAAGATATTTGTGTTCCATGTGAACGCTTACCAAAGAGCAACCTTAGCAGAGTAGAAGTTTAATAATTAGGTGGATAAGATGATTTATTCAGTAGATGTCAGTCAACCTCTTTCACAGACACTCTTGTCTTTGCTTGATGGGTACATGAAGAAAGTGGCCATGCCAGCCACGATGAAGTTTATGTATGGGCTCAGAAACACAGACATCTGTGAACCAATGTTGATTTGGCTACAGCTTCAGCAGATACCAAAACTGATATTTCAATATGGCACTATTCTTCAGAAAGATTGGCAAGCTACCCATTTTGAACTTGAATACATTGGACCACCTCCATCACGGAAGGGGCATTGTTTTGTTCTCACGAGAATACACAATTACTCTAAATGTGATTTTGCTTTTCTTGCCTGCAAAGCTTGTGCCAAAAGTACCATCAGAGGACTTACTAACTGCCTTTTCCACCATCATGGTATTTTATACAGAGACCCTTTTGACCAAATAATTAATTTCACACCAAAGTGTGGCAATAGGCCAATACTCATGAAATTCATTAGTTTTACTTTGTTTCCCATCACCCTGAAGCATCTGGCCTAATAGAGAGTGGAATGGCTTTGATGACTTCAGTTACAGAGCCAGCTATGTGACCACATTTTGCATATCTGGATCATATCTTCAATGATGAGGATATGCTTTAAATCTGTGTCCAAAATGTGATGTTGTTTCTCAAATAGCCTGGATTCACAGGTTAGGGAATCAAGGAGTGAAAACGCATCTGTATTCATTCGTTATTCCCTTATTGCTCCTCATTCATTATTCCCTTCTTACTCCACTACAAAATTCTTGCTTCCAGTCTATGTGACCTAGGCTTTCCTGGCCTAGACATCTTAGTTTAAGTGGAAGAATGCTTCCACCAAAGATGTGAAAACAGTTCCATTAAGCTTATAGTTGTGATTGCCACCTGGCCACTTTGGACTATTTATTGCCACTGCATTGATATGAAAAAAATGGCCTATAGTACTAGTTAAGGTGGTAGATCTTGAAAATCAAGAGGAAATTTCATTGCTATACAAAATGGTGGTCTACAATGCAGGAGGTTTCCAGGGATGTCTCTTTCTACTCTCATGTATTGTGAATAAAGTCAATGAAGAACTACAGCAATCCAAATAAGTAAGACTGCTAATAGCTCATTCCATCCAGAAATGAAGATTTGGGTCACCTCATCAGGCAAAGAACCTTAACCAAGTAAAGTGTTTATTGAGGGCAAAGGGAATATGGAATGGGTTAATGAAAGAAGGGAGATAAAAGCACATTATGGCTACCTGATCAGTTGCAAGACTCAGGACTTTAATAGCTCTGAGTGTTTCCTTCTTACTTTGATATAATTGTTTCCATTTTTATATTAACCATTTTTATTCCACTGTCCTAGTCCCATATTCCTTTCTATTTACATAACGTTTATTCATTGTAGTTCATTTTGTGTGACAGTATCCAAGTTATGAGATGTCAAAGTGGGCTCAGAGGAATAAGGAACGTCAGCCAAAGATGGATGAAGGGACTACCAAAACAGGCTACCACAACAAAATACCATAAACTGGGTGGCTAATAAGCAACAGAAATTTATTTTTTTACAGATCTGGAAGCAGAGAAAGCCAAAGATCAAAGTGCCAAAAAATTCAGTGTCTGGTGAGGGAATCCTTTCTGGTTCATATAAGGCACTTTTTTTTTTTCTGTGTCCTCACATAGTGGAAAGGATGAGGGCTCTCCTTGGGCTTCTTTTATAAGGGTATTAATGTAATTCATGAAGCCTCTGCACCCATGGCCCAATCACATCCCAAAGGCCCCATCTCCTAATACCATTATCTGGGGTGCTACATTTTAACATAACATTTTCAGGAAGACATGAGCTTTCAGACCTTAGCAGGGACTTTTTATCCTCTTTTGTAGAGAGGTTTAACATGTTTTCAGCTGTACATAGGATAGTTGCATCATGAGAGACAGAACTATGGCTTTGCTCTGTTCTTTAGTTAGAAGTGAAATATGCAATAAAGATGTATATGTGGATGCCAAGTTGACAAGGGCTGGAATGTGAGTGCTTTGTAATATATGTGTCAACTTGACTAAGCCTAATTACATTTTCCAGAAATCTTTCTCTGTGTATTTCTGGTTAGGGTGGTCTGTGATAGAAATATCCTACTATTTGGAAAGCAGAAATGAAACAGTAACCATGTTTTATTATTCAAAGGATGGTGATATGGTTTGGCTGTGTCCCCGCCCATATCTCATCTTCAATTCCCACGTGTTGTGGGAGGGACTGGTGGGAGGGAATTGAATCATGGGGGCAGGTCTTTCCCATGCTGTTCTCATGATAGTAAGTCTCACGAGATCTGATGGTTATTATAAGGGGGCGTTTTCCTGCACAAACTCTTTTTTTTTTTTTGCCTGCTGCCATCCACGTAAGATGTGACTTGCTGCTCCTTGCCTTCCACCATGATTGTGAAGCCTCTCCAGCCATGTGGAATTATAAGTCCAATAAACCTTTTTATTTTGTAAATTGCCCAGTTTCAGGTATGTCTTTATCAGCAGCATGAAAACAAACTAATACAGTAAATTGGTACCGGTAGAGTGGAGCATTGCTGAAAAGATATGCTAAAATGTGGACGTGACTTTGGAACTGGGTAATAGGCAGAGGTCGGAACAGTTTGGAGGGCTCAGAAAAAGATAGGAAAATGTGGGAAAGTTGGGAACTCCCTAGAGACTTATGGAATGGCTTTGACCAAAAACCTGATGGCGATATGGACAATAAGGTCCAGGCTGAGGTGGTCTTAGATGGAGATGAGGAAAATGCTGGGAACTGGAGCAAAGGTGACTCTTCTTATGTTTTAGCAAAGAGACTGGTGGTTTTTTGCCCCTGCCCTAGAGATCTGTGGAATTTGACCTTGAGAGAGATGATTTAGGGTATCAGGTGGAAGAAATTTCTAAGCAGCAAAGCATTCAAGAGGTGACTTGTGTCCTGTTAAAGGCACTCAGTTTTGCAAGGGAAGCAGAACATAAAAGTTCAGAAAATTTTCAGCCTGACAATGTGATAGAAAAGAAAACCCCATTTTTCTGATGATAAATTGAAGCCAGCTGCAGAAATTTGCATAAGTAACGAGGAGCCAAATGTTAATCACTAAGACCATGGGGAAAATATCTCCATGGCTTGTCAGAGGTCTTCACGGCAGCCCCTCACATCACTGCCCCCAGAGGCCTAGGAGAAAATGGTTTTATGGGTCGGGCCCAGGGTCCCCATGCTATGTGCAGTCTAGGGACTTGGTGCCCCGTGTCCCAGCCACTCCAGCCATAACTGAAAGGGGCCAAGGTATAGCTTGGGCTGTTGCTTCAAAGGATGGAAGCCCCAGGCCTTGGCAGCTTCCATGTGGTGTTGAGCCTGCAGGTGCACTGAAGTCAAGAATTGAGGTTTGGGAACCTCCACCTAGATTTCAGAAGATGTATGGAAATGCCTGGATGCCCAGGCAAAAGTTTGCTGCAGGGGCGAGGACCTCATGGAGAACCTCTGTTAGGGTGGTGTGGAAGGGAAAAGTGGGGTCATAGCCGCCACACAGAGTCCCTACCAGGGGACCACCTAGTGGAGCTGTGAGAAGAGGGCCACCATCCTCCAGACCCCAGAATGGTAGATCCACCGACAGCCTGCACCGTGTGCCTGGAAAAGCCGCAGACACTCAATGCCAGCCTGTGAAAGCAGCAGGGAGGGAGGCTGTACCCTGCAAAGCCACAGGGGCAGAGCTGCCCAAGATCATGGGAACCAATCTCTTGCATCAGCATGACCTGGATATGAGACATGGAGTCAAAGGAAATCATTTTGGAGCTTTAAGATTTGACTGTCCCACTGGATCTCAGACTTCCATGGGGCCTGTAGCCTCTTTGTTTTGGCCAATATCTCCCATTTGGAATGGCTGTATTTATCCAATGCCTGTACCCCCATTGTATCTAGGAAGTAACTAACTTGCTTTTGATTTTACAGGTTCATAGACAGAAGGGATTTGCCTTGTCTCAGATGAGATGTGGGACTGTGGATTTTGAGTTAATGCTGAAGCGAGTTAAGACTTTGGAGGACTGTTGGGAGGGCATGATTGGTTTTGAAATGTGAGGACATGAGATTTGAGAGGGTCCAGGGGCAGTGTGGTATGGTTTGGCTGTGTCTCAACCCAAATCTCATCTTGAATTCCAATATGTTGTGGGAGGAACCAGGTGGGAGATAATTGAGTCATGGGTTGATGTCTTTCCCATGCTGTTCTCATGATAGTGAATAAGTCTCATGAGATCTGGTAGTTTCATTAAGAGGGGCTCCCCTGCATGAGTTCTCTCTTTGCCTGCTGCCATCCACGTAAGATGTGGCTTGCTACCCCTTACCTTCTGCCATGATTGTGAAGCCTCCCAGTCACATGGAACTGTAAGTCCAATAAACTTTTTTCTTTTGTAAATTGCCCAGTCTCGGGTATGTCTTTATTGGCAGCATGAAAATGGACTAATACAGATGGCATAGGTCAAGAAACCTCTTGTGGCTCACAAGCGATTTTGTGCATCTGCTGGTTCACCTCATTGGCAAAGGCGACAGCTGTAGCTACCAGGATCCTATTCCTCAAGCTTCAGTAATTTCTGGTCCAGGTTCAGGAGGACTTTGTGCCAAGAGTTCCATTTCTCTTGCAGGTCATGCATGCCAGTAAATTTGCTGGCTTGAAGATGGAGAACGTCTGATATGTGTTCCAGTGAGAGAAAGATATAGTTTCCATCTTGTTTGCATGTTGTTTTTCCTTACATTTTCCAAGTTAATATTCATTTTTCCTTTCTGACCCCATGTCTTATGAATTGAGGGTCAGCACTAGATTCTAAACAAGCAGCTAAATCTGGATTGTTTTAACCATTCCCACAGTTGGGTAAGGTCAAATCTCTATTATAAATCTTTTCATCCAGAGAGAAGGTGTCCAAGTCAGTTTGGGCTGCTGTAACAAGATTCCACAGAGTGGGTAATTTGTAAACAATAAAAATTTATTTCTTACAATTCTGGAGATGGAGAAACTCAAGATCTAGGCACCACAGGTTTGGATTCTGGTGAGGGCTCTCTGCTTCTAAGGGAGGAGACCACCCCTCATATTGTCTTATGCCCAATTTCTGCCTCCAAAGAAAGAAGAAGTAAAAACTAAAAGGCAGAAATGGAATCCACAGGCAGATAGCCCAGCACGGCACCCTGGGCCTGATAGTTAAAAATCAACCCCTGACCTAACTGCTTGTGTTATATATAGATTTCAGACATTGTATGGAAAAGCGTTGAAAATCCCTGTCCTATTCTGTTCCGTTCTGATTACCGGTGCATGCGGCCCCCAGTCACGTACCCAGTGCTTGCTCAATCAATCACGACCCTCTCATGCAGAACCCCTTAGAGTTGTAAGCCCTTAAAAGGGACAGGAATTGCGCACTCGGGGAGCTCGGTTTTTGGAGACGTGAGTCTGCCGATGCTCCCAGCTGAATAAAGCCCTTTCCTTCCACAACTCAGTGTCTGAGGGGTTCTTGTCTGTGGCTTGCTCTGCTACACTTCCAAGATAGTGCCTCCTTGCTGCATCCTCTACAGGGAATGAACACTGTGTCCACACATGGCAGAAGAAATGGAAAGGGCAAACTCACCATCCCTCAAGCCTTTAATAGGGTACTAATCCATTTATGAAGGTGGAGCCCTAGTGGTCTAATCACCTCCAAGAGAGGCCGCTTGTTAATACTGTTGCCTTGCAAATTAAGTTTCAACAGGAATCTTAGAGGAAACACAACCATTCAATCCATAGCAGAAAGTCAATGACACTCTCAGACCATAAGCATACTTTGAGGGGGACAAAGTGGAAACACTGCTCCCCATGTAGGGGTCTGTGGTCTATCTTTCAAAGTCCACATTAAGTCCTCCTTCCCTGCCTGAGAAAAGCCCACTCACTGTGAACCCTCTGTATTCTTTCAGCTACATAGTTTTTGTAGTCGATAGATTCCATATAAAGATGCTTAAGTTATGAATCCATTTCACATTCAGTCTTTTCTCCAACTGGACCTTGAGATTCTTATTTCCAGAGACTGTGGCAACTGCCTTTCAGTCCTTGGCAATGTTTTTGCTCAAGGGTGCAGGAGGTGGGGGTGGAGATAGGCTGACATCCTATCCACTCAAGGCCATTGACTCTCTGTGTCTGGCTAATTGCCCTTTCTACATTCTCTTTAATATTTAAATCAATGTTTTATGACAACGTTCTCCCTTCTTGGGGTGGGACAGTAGGTAAAATTAATATCATCTAAATTTGGTTGGAATTATAATAGAAATGTACTGGTATTATTTTTCTGAAATGTGATATTTCCTAATTCATTTGCTATGCATTTTTTCTAAAATATTTTTCAGATTTACAAAATATTTTCTTTTTCAATGTAAATATGAAAAGCTGCTTTCTCCATAATTTGAAAAATTATTTACATCTGAGGTCTTTGGCTTAGTGTGGCCGAATGCAACAGAAAGTCTTAGTTTACTCAGATCATCCTGGAAAGGCTGCCCTTTTAAATTCTGTATAAGGATTGCCTTTAAGAAGTGTCTTGCTCTCAGTATTCATTCTTTGGAGGTTTGATGTTAATTTGGCAGTGTCCATAAAACACTTTCCAGTTCGTGTTTTTAACACTTCTTCAAATCTCTGCACTGACTGGGTCCTTTTCAACTTTATATCTTCTGTACTAAGTGCCTTTAATAACATTAAAACATCCAGATTTTCTCTCTTCTTTTACCACTGATGACATCTGAGCTATACAATTGTTTCATTGCTCAGTCACTCCTTTTTTTTTTTTTTTGAGATGGAGTCCTCACTCTGTCACCCAGGCTGGAGTGCAGTGGTGCAATCTTGGCTCACTGCAACCTCTGTCTCCTGGGTTCAAGCAATTCTCCTGCCTCAGTCTCCTGTGTAGCTGGGATTACAGGTGTGCACCACCACACCCAGTTGGTTTTTGTATTTTCAGTAGAGACAGGGTTTCACCATGTTGGCCAGGCTGGTCTGGAACTCCTGACCTCAAGTAATCCACCTACCTCAGCCTCCCAAACTACTGGGATTACAGGTGTGAGCCACCATGCCCCGCCTCTGTTGCTACTGGCATGAACCGTCTCAGGTAAAAACTGGGGAATAAGTCATAATGCTTGTTTTTGTTTTTGTTTTTGTTTTTGTTTGAGATGGAGTTTCGCTCTTGTTGCCCAGGCTGGAGTGCAGTGGCACGATCTTGGTTCACTGCAACCTCCGCCTCCTGTGTTCAAGTAATTCTCTGCCTCAGACTCCCGAGTAGCTGGGATTACAGGTGCCCACCACCACACCCGGCTAATTTTTGTATTTTTAGTAGAGACAGGGTTTCACCATTTTGGACAGGCTGGTCTTAAACTGCTGGCCTCATGATCCACCTGCCTCGGCCTCCCAAAGTGCTGGGATTACAGGCATGAGCCACTGCGCCCGGCCAATTTTTTAAAATTTAGTTTCATAAACCAGTTTTATGTTAATAATGTGTGTGTATATTAGATAATACAGAATGCAGCACGTTCTAAAAGGCACTCTTGCAGTTACGAGTCCTTTGAACTGTCTTCTATACGTGGGAAATTTATGAGACCTGGTAGCTGAGGCTGATATTTGCTTATAACACAGTTGCTAGAACAATTTGGCTAAAGCTGTTGGAACATACACTTGACATTAGGCTTGCTTCATTGGATGGCCACAGAAATATGGTATTTTGTACTAACTAGGAGACAATGCCTTTGAGAATGCAACTACCTACAAAAGTTGTAAAAAGTTAAGAATTTCAAGTAGGATCATAATTAATGATTGAAACCTAAGCATGCATTCAGTTTTCAATTTCTGTATTTCATGTGATAGTCAAAAGAAAATAAAATTAGTCCTAATAAGATTTTGGTTATCAGTGAATTTTTAATTAATTCAACTTTTATTTATCCTCTTTTCCTCTTTTTTCTGTTTCTCATTTTATAGATATGGAACCTATGGGTCTGGGAGATTAAGAAATTATGGTTTATAAATAGAGCACAGGATTTTAAGGGAAAAATTATTTATTTATTTCCCTGAATGGTCTCTCAGGGGGAAAAAACAGGCATCAGGCATTTTTAGTGTTTGGCAAGAGGGAGATGAGGTCGATATGATCAGACGATGCACAAACACCCTGCCTGATACCCAATGATCTGGTTTAAAAAAGGAAAATGTGTTGATTTCTCCCATTGAGACAGCAGACAAACATAGGATGGACTCTTTTCTTAGTTTTGGAAAGAGTTCATTGGTTCATGTTAATAGTGCACAGTTATTTTAGGAAGAGTAATTGGTTCATGTTAATGGTGCATGATTGTTAACTTTTTTCTTATTTTTTCTATAGTTCAGAGGCATAAAAAGATATGGATGAAGTGATAAACAGTGAATTTGTTCTTCAAGGATTTGAGATTTTCTCATTTTCAGTAGCACATGAGAATTTTAGCAACACTGGTTTTCTTCCAGTTATTGTTTTGTTCCAAAAAGTTATATCTAATGTTGTTTGACTTTTCTCCTATATTTTAAGGGAAGATATATCTGACAGCATTTCTTCAGATTAAAAATAAAAGTGTTTCAAAATGACTAATAAGCTTCAGGGTTTTTTTAGATAAATAATATGGACTCAAGTCTGTTGCACCTTTCTTAATGTTTTGGCCCACACTACTGACATTGAAAGAGATCACTTTCAACTATGTTTTAAGTTATTTTATTACACCCCCAATTAATTAAAATATCAACTTTAAACAATTTCTGCAAAGAAAGAAATGGAGGTCTAGCCTCTACTGCCTTTCATTGAAAGAAACCAATGGATGATCCAGCTCTCCTGGAGGCTAGATCGTGCTACTGGGCTGCACTGGATGAGCAGCATCAGCATCACCTGGGAATTTGTAAGAAATGCAAATTCCCAAACCCCACTGCAGACTTACTGAATAGGAAATTCTGAAGGTGGGCCAGCAGTCAAACTTTTTCAAGTCCTCTAGTTGATTTTTGAATCTCAATAAGGTTTGAGAACCACTGGCTTAGAGTGATGCAGGGAAAACTTTCAGACTCACTTATGGTAGGACCAGCATTAAATCACTGACTTGAGACTGTTTCAGGTAAAATGAACAGGACGGTAAATACTGGACTGGGGAGGAGATGACATACTGCCACCAACAAATCTTTGCCTCTCAAGCGGTTTTTTTTTTTTTTCTGGAGAAAGACTATAAATTTTTACTGGAGAAAGACTCGCTGGAGAGG
This sequence comes from Homo sapiens, assembly GCF_000001405.40. NCBI lineage: Eukaryota > Metazoa > Chordata > Mammalia > Primates > Hominidae > Homo > Homo sapiens. The sequence goes on from NC_000023.11 coordinate 106,112,064, forward strand.
CAAAGATTGGGTGGTGGCAGTGGAAAAACTGGATAAAGAAAAAAGCTAGTTCCTGAGGGAAACAAACACTATGATATCATGTATATGAGGTTTAAAAACATGTGAAACAATCACCATAAATTGATTGTGGGTATATACATATATGTATTAAAATGAATGTGTGTGATACATGCATATGTATCATGCAGAAAGTTGTGTATGAAAATAATACTTCTTCAGAATAGTGGCTATGTCTTTTGGACAGAGAGGGAAGGCCATTGGGGAAGGTCACACTGTGGGTGTCAACTGTAATATTATATTGTCTAACTTGAGGGGTGAGTACATGTATGTAAGTTTTATCTATATCTTTATGTAGGTCAGCAATATTTCCTAACAAAATGAAAAAAAAAATTAGAAGAGGAAAGGGAGAAAATTGGCCCAATAACTAGAATGTGTTTAAGGAAAAGCATGAAGTCACAGAGGTTGAGAGAAGGGTAAAGGATAGAGGTTGAGAGAAGGGTAAGAGACAGAGCTTTGAGGGTAGAAGGCCTCCTACATTTATGTAAGGCTTCCTGGGTACTCTAGTTAGACATACTACCTTTTCTCATATTCTATGATAGCACATCTATTCTGACTTAACTACCATTGTTCACATAAATGTATCAATGTCACTATCCTCTAGAGAGTAAGTTTCTGAATGGTTCAGACTTTAAAGTGTTTTATTTATCTTTCCTAAAGTACCTAGCACTAGGTTTTCACTGAGTAGGTGCTTGATAAATATCTGTTACAGTTAAGTTACCTTAATGCGTCCACAATTCTTTGGTTACAATGCTGCCATTTAAAAATATATTATCAGGTGGTGTTTCATACTTAAGAGAGACAGAAGATGGAGGGCCACATTGTAAGCCAGAATGCATGGGGCCTTTTGTCACCATTTAAAATGAAAGGAGAGTCCAAATAGGAATTTATCCGGGTAGTTTCATTTGAAGAGTTTCACATTGGTTCTGATTGGTCAATGCTGGTAGGATTTCTGCTAATATAATTAAAAACTAATTTGTGAACCTTCTATAAATCATATTGGGTTTCCCTTCATTATACAAAATGTGCATCCGTAAATCTCTTTCAGGTAATCTCTTTTCACCCTGGGCTTCCGCTGAGACTGCTTAGAGACAATAACCTTTCATCTTTTTAGAAAGCCTATTGTTTTACCGAATGTTTCTACGTAGAGGTCTTTTGGTAACTTATTCAACAATAGAAAACTAATACACTGGGCTTAGCTGAGGGCAGCTTAGGAAACCTCAGGTATCTGATGTGTATTCTGAGTATCACCCAAACATTCCTGATATATCCTGTTACTGACAACTTTATGGGTCTTTTTGTTGTTTTGTTTTGTTTTGTTTTGTTTTTGAGATGGAGTTTCACTCTTGTCACCCAGGCTGGAGTGCAGTGGTGCGTTCCTGGCTCACTGCAACCTCTGCCTCCTGGGTTCAAGCAATTCTCCTGCCTCAGCCTCCTGAGTATCTGGGATTACAGGCGCCCGCTACCACACCTGGCTAATTTTTTGTATTTTTAGTAGAGATGGGGCCAGGCTGGTCTCTAACTCCTGACCTCAGGTGATCCACCCACCTTGGCCTTCCAAAGTGCAGGGATTACAGCCGTGAGCCACCGTGCCTGGCCAACTTTATGTTTTTAAATTTCTTTGGTACACTAAACAAGAATAGAAAAAAAAACTTTAAAATACACCAAGTATTCTAAATTCAATTCTGGTTTCAGATTGGTAAGAAGGTACATTCGTCATGGTAGGAAAGATTTTTTATTTAACAGTCGATTAGTGCCAAGACCAGCTTGGTCGTGGAGACCCTAACGAAGCAGTGCTAGAGGAATTAAAGACACACACACAGAAATATAGAGTGTGGAGTGGGAAATCAGGGGTCTCACAGCCTTCAGAGCTGAGAGCCCTGAACAGAGATTCACCCACGTATTTATTGACAGCAAGCCAGTGATAAACATTGTTTCTATAGATTATAGATTAACTAAAAGTGTTCCTTACAGGAAACAAAGGGATGGGCTGAAATAAAGGGATGTGTCTTGCTAGTTATCTGCAGCAGGAGCATGTCCTTATGGCACATATCACTTATGCTATTGTTTGTGGTTTAAGAACGCCTGAAGCCATTTTCCTCCCTGGGTGGGCCAGGTGTTCCTTGTCCTCATTCCGGTAAACCCACAACCTTCCAGCATGGGGGTCGTGGCCATCACAAACATGTCACACGTGCTGCAGAGATTTTGTTTATGGCCAGTTTTGGAGCCAGTTTATGGCCAGATTTGGGGGTCTGTTTCCAACAGATTAGTTGATTTAAACCTTTCAGATGATTTTATACATGGCACTTAGGCCTCCAGATGAACTGTTGCCAAGATCCCTGCAACTATTACAAAAGTTACAGGTGGTCCAGCTTAAATATTTGTTCTCTTGCCTCTTCCCTTTCCGAACTCCCTGTCACACTTGGTTACTTAAACATAGGAACAATGCTGCCCCTTGGTTTGGAAATGGCCTCTTCAGCTTGATGCCATAGCCCCTCTTTCTGTAGGGCTTGGAGCAATGGACCTCATCCCTGGGCAAGGCTAAAGTATAACCACCAACTATATAACCACCAACCATCCTGCCTCTCTACCTATGCTCAACTGCATCCACTCCCCCACACATCTTGCTTTCTTCCTATATTTTGTGCACAAATCCTCTTATTCACGACCACTTACTCATGCAAATAGCCACCTGGAGGCTAACTGCCATCAGCTGGTTCAGGCACAACTTTGTGGAGCCCCTTTCTGATCAGCATAATTCTTAAGAATGCTTTGCTTCTCTAACCATGCTTAGGTCTCTGGCCATGCTTAGGCCTGAACTTTCAATGTCCTGTTTGATCTTTCTCCCCTGTTACATGAAGACTGAGATGGGGTACAAAACAGGTTGTTTTTATAGTTTAGTTTTTCATAGAGCCGTGACCAAGGAAACTGCAAAGAAGCTGGAAACCTATCAGAAAGTGCCTCCTCGCATCTAGACATTCTAATCTCTTCATTAGAAAAAAAAAACAGTTATATTGCTAACTTTGGAGAAATATTAATGGGGAATTTTCAGAGTGAAAATATATTTGCCCACTCTGAAAAAAAAAAAAAGTAAAGGGGTGGGAGGTATATCAGCTACCATGCCACAATTATCTGGGTAAGGGAATCAATCCAAATGAAGCATTTGCCATAAGCATTAGAAAGAAATATAATCAGATCTGTCACCTGTAGGAGTCTGAACAGTGCTTCATACAGCATCCCAGTTTGCCACAGCCACTGCCAGAGCCATTGGGTCTGCTGGGCCTTATCGACCAAGCATCATAGCAGCTTGTATGATAGCCTGCTCCTGTTGCAGAGCCTTTTCTTGTTCTGGGCCTCCACTCAAAACTGGCAGCCTTTTAGGTTACTCGGTAAATGGATATGCTGTGCAAATGTGTAAAAAGTGTATGCTTTACATTCCCAAATAAGGCACAGGATAACTTCAGAATAAAAAGCCCACTAGTTATTGTGCATGGTAGTAGGAGCCAAATGCAGCAAACTGTTCTTTCCCTTAAAAGGGATATTTCAATGTATTCTACACCTCTGAACCTGTAGAAAATTCACCAAGGAGGCCATTCCCTGAATTCTTGGGTTCATTTTTCACCCTCTGGCATGTGTGCATTTACCAAGGTGTGTAATAAGCATGATATCAATGTAATGGGACATCATGTTGTCCTGTGGAATGAAAAGGTGATCAAGATCCCTGAGGACTAGATTTTGACATAAGGCTGGAAAGTTGATATAGCCCTGAGGTAGGACAGTGAAGGTAATTTCCTGGCCCTGTCAGCTGAAATCAAACTATTTCATATGGACTTTACTTCCAAATATAGAGGGGGGAAAAAGCTTTATATCAGGTACCTGGTGATGTGGGTTTTTTTTCCTGCAAAAATCACACCTTAAATAGCATGTATATTTGGATTAGTCACCTGATTACTTTAAAAATAATCAATTATTCTTGAAATCCATCTCTCTCCTGAACAGCCAAATAGGAAAGTTGAATGTGATTGCAGAGAGAAATCTCCACTCTGAATATCTCAAGTCCTTGATAGTGGCGTTAATCTCTGAAATTCCTCCAGGAATACATTATTGCTTATGGTTTATATATTGGTAGATAGAAGCAGTTTTAGTGGCTTCCACTTGTCCTTGTCTATCATAATAACCTGTATTCTACGAGTCAGCAAACCAATGTGGGCATTCTTTCAGTTTTTGAGTATGTCTATTGCACTTACGCATTTTATAATGGAGGCAATGCAGGGAAGCAGGAGATGTGTCGCTAACCTGAGTTAAACTCCACAGTGGCATTTTGGATCTCTAGGAATTGGGGCTACATTACTGTCAGTTTCTAGTAATCCTTGAAAAGTCTAATTATTTCCATCCTTCCCCAGTGCACAGTCAACTTGGCAAATGGATAAAAATTGCTTTATAGAAGGCCAGGAAGATTTACAATATTTATTTTGGGTAGGTAGCAGAGTCTTTTTTCAAGGGAATCTGGCCTCCTCTTAGTTCATGGGGCTTTGGGTGAATTGTCTCATGTATGGGAATTGATGAGAGGATATGACTCTTAGTGATTCAAGTCAGACATCCAATCAGTAGACCTGGTGTTATTTAATTTATGAAGATGATGTCGACGAAAAAGTCAAACTCTGTGAAATATTTGAAGAGTGAGTGACCATGGCCCATGACACAGCCCTCAGGATGTCCTGAAAACATGTGCCCAAGGTGGTCAGAGTGCAGCTTGGTTTTATACATTTTAGGGAGATGTGAGACTTCAATCAAATACATTTAAGAAATATATTGGTGTGGATAAGAAAGGCGGGAAAACTGGAAGCAGGGGCTTCCAGGCTATATGTAGATTTAAAAATTTTCTGGTTGACAATTGGTTGAGTTTATCTAAAGACCTGGGATCAAAAGAAAGGGAATGTCTGGGTTAAGAAAAAGGATTGTGGAGACCAAAGTTCTTATTTGCAGAGGAAGCCTTCAGGTACTAGGCTCCAGAGAGAACACGTTGTAAACTGTTTCTTTCCAGACTTAAAGTCTGTGTTGATATTAATGCTGGAGAGGTATGTCCAACCATCACTTCCCATCATGGCCTGAACTAGTGTTTAAGGATAAATTCTAAGAGTGCCCTGGCCAAGGAGGAAGTCCATTCAGATGGTTGGGGGGGAACTTAGAATTTTATTTTGGTTTATATTCTCCCTGTTCTGGCCAAGATTTGCCAGAGGCAACATCAAAGGCCAGCAAATCTTTATTTTATCCCATAGCATTGCCAGGTTGGTATGGCTGCCTGACCCCCATCCATCCTGTCCCTTGATGGGACTCCCTATGGCCGAGGGACTTAGTAGTCAAAAGACTTATAGCCAATTAATTGTTCTACATCAGATAGGAATGGATGTGGACAGGCATCCATTATCTCTGAAAATTATTATTATTTTAAATAAAAAGCCAACAAAAAACAAAAGGCAAAGTTATAAAACTGACAGATTTTTAACTTTTATGTGTTGAGCTACTGTAAACTTGGTTATAGTTCCAAACTTATATCAATTAGCCATACAAAACATAAGCATTGTTTAAAAATTTTACATATATAATTTTTTTACATATATAATTTTAATTACTTATATAATTGCATTTATATGCATTATATATATATATATATAAAATCTTTGCAACTTATAACTGGGAGTATTATATTATACCCAGGAGGCTTTGTCACAAAGTATCCTGTCAGTAAATATTTTCTTTTAATTCTATTGGGGGCAGAAAATTCTCTGTAGTTGAGGTGGATGCAAAATTGACAAATAATAGCTTAGAAGCTTGTTTGGCCAGCTGTTTAGGCATCTTTGTTTCCTTCCTTGATTTGGAGAGTCTGACTTTGACCTAATTCTATTCCTTAAAACTGGCCCTTACAATCTCACATGCCCACCTTTCCTGTGACAGTCCCTGAGCCTAGAGGAGGGTACTTGTATAGTTTTAGCAGCAGGGCATTTGCAGTGAAAAACAGATTGGGGGCCCATTGGGATGCCAAATGAGGGAGATTCATATCTCTGGTCTTCAGAATACCATGATTTGGGTTTCCTTGGAAGTAAAACAAGGAGAGATAAATAACATTTATATTTTGACAATCAAAAGAGTATTTGTGTGTTAGAACAGAAAAAGGAACCTATTCTGTTAGGGCACCAACTAAAAATATGAAGAAAATTTATAATCTGGTATCTCTAGAGGATTATTATAGCCAAGAAATAATGATTCAATCTGCACTCAAAAAAAGGGCTGAAATATAGTATTAAGTGTTACACTTTGCCTTTGAAACAATTTATCTTTCTCTAGCCATCCTTTTCTATTAAAGAGAAATTATAGTAAGACCAATTTGTGTGCAAAATAAGTTTCAGGCTTATTATACTTGGCCTAATTATTTGCATAAAATGCAGCAAGAAATGAATGGTCATATAGGCTCCTTTTAAGTTGGCTTTGCTAGAACTTTACCTAAAAATTTACTATTTTAGTTAAAGTTTTGATAAAATAACCAGTGTCTCCAATTGTTCTGTTTTAAAAAGACTCTTATTGAACTTATGCAAATAACTATATTGTCATAAAATCACAATCCAGATTTTGAAGAACTCAGAGAGGTAAATTTGCTTACAAAAAACATACTTCATCCATGTAACTCAAAATAAAAAGATTTTCTTGTTCCTTCTTTAACTAGAGCAGCAGCTTTCAAACAAATATTTGTTCACCTTGGAAATGCCATTCATAAGCCAAACAGTTCCTGAGAGCTGTCTATCTGTAGAATCTATCAGCTCCTCATATAGTTAGAATTTGTCCTAAGGACAAAAAGAGGCTCTCTGCTTATAAGTATCTCCTCCTTGTATCCTCAGGTAGCAAGATCCTATGTAAACCAGTTTTATTTTATCGTGGAACTCCTTTGGGCATCATTATTTCTATTAGCATAGGGGTAGTTTTAGCTAACATTCCACAGTAAAGCAGTAAATGCCCCTCAGGTGGAAATTCTCTAGTCCAGTAGTTGTCATTGGGAAGTATTTACAGTCTTTTGTCATCAGCACCAATAAATGCTCCACAAAGGGCTATGAAGTTCAGGATTTGTCCTGACTAACATGCCAGCTTCTACCCTGTACTCTGTAGGCTCAGGCAATTTTACTAGTTCCCATTTAGTATGTCCAATTAACATTTCTCAAAAGAGATTTCCTGCCTTCAGTTTTATAGTACTAGATAGGGGAAACATCCTCAAGTTAGACACAATACCCATTTTTATAATACATTTAGGTAAAAGGGTTGCAACTATCATAAAGCCTGTTTAAACATCTTAAATTTTATAATTCTATTAACCTGTATATTTTTATGTTCTACCCTTGGACCACTTTACCTTTCCTGGTGAAAAAGGGTTTGGGTTCCCAGCAGAGAGTTGCATCTGTAAGACCCATGAGGGATAGCAAATTTGATAAGGCTTCTCAAACAGTCGTATGATTTTGTGGGAGGGGCATCCCTGTAAAAGGGGCCCCCTTAGCACCCAAATTTACCATGACCTAGGTAATAGGCATATTCTGTGGGATGATATCCTAGTCATCATAAAGCCAGTCCCACATAGCTCATGCATGAAGCATATTAACTGCTTCATCTTGCGGTACTCCACTTGGTATTTTATAGGGAGAGCTGGGTAGTCCCCTTCACAGAGCAAACAGTGATGTTTATCTGGTCCACTAGGCTGATTGTTCTCTCAGGAATAACCTCCTGTGCCTTTGGATTACATATACTCATCAGTAATTGTTCAATACTGAGTTATGGGTCCTGCATCAACCCAAACAAGCTCTTACGTTTTGTAGCATTTAAAATTGAGGATTTTGTCTAAAGTGGTTATTTTTACAATCCGCTATAGTAAAGATTTTTTAGGAAGCTGATGATATCAATCTACAAAATGGAACAATTCATTTACATTATGCCCTCTAGTTTTAATAGTTACTTGGTTTTGCCCTTCCCCTACATTGACTATCTTCTTAGTAGCCACAGGTCTTAGAGTTAACTTTTGTTGCCCTGGCCTGATGTTTTTATTTTTTTTAAACTATTTAGTTTTATTTGTATAATTTTTTCTTCATTTTAAAGCGACTCTTAAATTGTTTCCTAACTAGAAAAAAAGCATTTTCTGTTTTTTAAGCAAAATTGACATCCTTGTGTTTTATAAACTTTGCCAAAAGCATATTTTATTCACCTACTATTTTAACTCTTAGGAACCCAAATTCCCAGTGGAAAAAACCGAGGTTTTAACATAACACAATTTTATTATTTTAAACTACTGAAGAGAATTTTGAGATTAAATTTACCAAATTAATTTTCCCAAAGATTACTAACGTTATGTGAATTAAAAGGCATCTGAGATAGTTTCTACCAATCTAATAAGCACTTAGTTTTTTTAAATCAATTGATTAGCTCTTTCATGTCATTTGGTAGTGAAATATCACTTCCACATGACACGTATAAAGATAAAGATATAACAGGCATGCAGAATAAAAAGGGCAGGTCCAAAAGAGATTTCACTTGCCTGTTTTTTTTTTGAAAATCCATCTCTTACTTTAGATAATTTATAAAAGTTACGGGAGCCAACAAAAGGTGATGGAGAGAGCTATCATCCAATGCCTTTTCAAAAGAGAAAGAGTTAAACTTTTTAGATATTGATCTGAAGAATTTCAAGGAGACAGATCATATTTAAAAATTAAAAACTTCTTGCATTAAGAATAAGTCAATCTTTTAATAAAATCTTGTTTTTACAAATTAGGCTTGTATTAGTGTATTTTTTAAATATCAAACACCCATATCTAGAAAGACTATTATAATTTCTTCTTAGTCATAGCCAACTGAATTATACAACCCTTTTTTCTTAAAAAAATTCTTTATACTAACCTTATTACTACTTACATAGATTATTCACAACAAGCTTGGACTATCTGTTTTGTACTAAATATTCCTCTTTCCTGATCAACCAGTTATCTTAGTTTAGGATAAACATTTACCATGTAAGATTCTTTCTTATATAAAATTACCTTCCTTTTTAACTTCTTTACCAAAAATACCTATTTATATTCATAACTTTCTTTACATCTTTCCTTTTACTTTGTTTTATATATAACCTTTAAATATGTTCTGAATTAGACAAAGATATTTGCCTTTTAATAAGAACATTTAAAAAACATTTTCCTATAATTTTTAAATTGTAAATGACTCATACTTAATACCTATTAATACTCTTAGATCCTAAATTATGACAAGTTTACAAGCATTTATTCCATTATATTTATCTGATTAATTTAATAATAGTTTGCCTAGATTATTCACGAAAACTGTGGTAGTCATTATTTAAAGTTGTTTCCCTGCTAGCCATTTTTATAGCTGTGAATTTCAGGTGTTTTCTTAAGTAAGAAACTTAAGGTTAAAAATAAGGGCATTTTTACCAATAACTCAGTATTTAGCTATTTTCATTAAGCCAACAATATCTCATGTCTTATTTATCCAAAATTACAGATGCAAAGATCATTCTGTCTTGGGATGGGTTTTATAGTTCTATAACCCTTATGGCAAATCTTACAGTATTCTGCATGAATAAGCATGAAACCACTTGATCAACAAATGCAATCAAAAATTCTAGTAATTCTTAAGACATTTCTAATATTATTTTACAAATAATTTCCAAGACTATTTACTAAAGATTTTACTTAACTCATGCGAACTTGAAAAATCATTTGACTAGTCTTTTATTTCTGATAAAGTATTTTATTTAAGCACTTTTACTTTTCTTTAAGCCACTTAATTAGAGCTCTTTTATATATTTTTAGTAGTGAAAGATTATGTACACAACACATAAATATAGACATTTATTAGGCATGCTAATAGAAGTACATCTTACAGATTCGTAAGACCACTTTTTTTCCTCTTACACTTTCAAATTGTTGATAACCTGTTTCATTACCCTGGGCAGTTGTCAGCTAAATAGCCATAAATTTGCATATTAAAGGAATCAACTGATAGCAAAATCTACATCTTAAAGTACATAGAGAAAGCTTAATGTACTAGAGGAAAATTAAAACTGATATAATTGCCAATTAAATATAAAACTTTAGAAATCTATCATAAACGCCTGTTAAATACACACACACACACACACACACACACACACACACACACACACACATACACAGAGAGAGAGAGAGAGAGATCCCACAGCTTTTACTTCAGAACTGTAGCTATGAGATATTAATACAAATTTACTGGCTTGCAAAAAACATAGTTGGATCCAAACAGTGGTTTTTATTGTAGTACAAAAGTAATAGCAGATTCAAAGCAGGCAGAAAAGAAAATAGAGAAAAAGAAAACTTAAGAACTCTATAGTTTGCAGGTCGACCTTACAGCTCTTTTTCCTTGATGTAAATGTGCACAAAAAGACTATAATATTTCCATTTTACACAAATACTGGCCAAGTAGAGGTGCCAGAAATCCAACAGAGTGCCTGAAAGGGGGCCATTCTCCTTGTTTTCTCCTCATTCTTAGATTATTTGTTTCCTACTTTTTTTTCTTAAACAGATGAACTGAGCTGTGGCCTAGGGTTTTGTGGAGTGGGTTGAAGTGTGCTGCTAGTGGGAAGACTCCACAGTGTGTCACCACTGAGTTGTTGCCACATTCTGTTACATGTCTCAGTTTCCCCCTCCAGAGACCTAGCACTTTCAGGAGGACTTAAAGCATGGAGTGACCAGCTCCCATATGCACTTCCTGGACAAGCCTTTTTTAAACTAATTTTGTTGGGGTTTCCCTGTGGGGCCACTGCACGTGATGGGAGGGGCCACCCCCCAGACACTCCCACAAGGCCCCCAGTCACCCATAGTGCCTTTCAGCTGGAAGGAATAAAATGCCCTTTCTCTTCAGAGCTGAGGAAACTCATTCTCTCATTTACCTATGAAAACAACAGTTCTGTTCCTCATACATGTACACAGGCAAGCCAAATCGAGATTAATTTGGGAAGAAAAGCAATGGAGAAGACCCATTAGAAATCATCTCCAAACTAGAAGTAGGATCCTTAAAAACAACTTCCTAGGGGTGTGAACCCCAAGTATCTGAGACAGGTCTCAGTTTAGGAAGTTTATTTTGTCAAAATTAAGAACTCACACCTGTGACACAGCCTCAGGCAGTCCTCACAACATGTGTCCAAGGTGGTTGGGGAGCAGCTTGGTTTTATACATATTAGGGAGATAAGAGACAAATTGTTGCATTCTTTTGAGTTTCTGATTAGCCTTTCCAAAGGAAGTGATTAGATATGCATTAATCTCAGTGAGCAGAGGGATGACTTTTGAGTTCTGTGTGTCCTTTGTCCACAAGGAAATTCCTTGTGATGGAGGTTATGTAGCTTTTTATTTTAAATCTTAGTAGCTATGTTTTTTTTAGGAATAGAATGGGAGGCAGTTTTGCCCTAAGCAGTTCCCAGCTTGACTTTTCCCTTTGGCTTAGTAATTTTGGGGTTCCAACATTTATTTTCCTTTCACAAGATAAAAAAATAGCTTAGGGACCATCAACCAAAATCAGGGACCATTAACCAAAGGGAGGTCCAGGCTAGGGAGGACTTAACAGTTCTACCAGAGGAGAAGCTCCAAGTTGGGAAGGTTTCAATGGGCCCCTGATGGCACCTTAGCTTCAAGTTTGGGGAACTCTTTTGGGGTTTTGAGTCTTTTTGGAGGCCCCAAGCATTTGGATGCCAAATTACTGCCAACAAAGAGTCAAACTATGTAAAATATTTGAAGAGATTTATTCTGAGCCAAATATGAGTAACCATGGCCTGTAACAGGGCCCTCAGGAGGTCCTGAGAACGTGTGCCCAAAGTGGTTGGGGTGCAGCTTGGTTTTATACATTTTAGGGAAACATGAGATTTCAATTAAGTACATTTAAGAAATGCATTGGTGTGGTTCAGAAAGGTGGGACAACTGGAAGTGGGGACTTCCAGGCTATAGGTAGATTTAAACATTTTCTGGTTGACAATTAGTTGAGTTTATCTAAAGACCTGGGATTGGCCAGGCACAGTGGCTCCCGCCTGTCATCCCAGCACTTTGGGAGGCCATGGTGGGCGGATCACTTGAGGTCAGGAGTTCGAGACTGGCCTGGCCAACATGATGAAACCCCATCTCTACTAAAAATACAAAAATTGGCCAGGTGTGGCAGTGTGCGCCTGTAATCCCAGCTACTCAGGAGTCTGAGGCAGAGGTTGCAGTGAGCCAAGATGGAGCCACTGCACTCCAGCCTATATGATTCTATTAAATCACATTTGATATTTGTGTTTACTACTCATTTGCATTCTTACATAATTTTGTTTGTAATATTTTAGCTTCTTACAAAGGTATGTCTTAATATACCAAAATGATTGTGTCAATTTTTATAGTTTTATCACTCATTCATTGTCTTGTATGTGCAAAAACTTTGATTTTAAGTTCATCTAACATTGTATTTTGCCTTCTTTTGGTTTATTACTTTCAACATTTGATAAGCTATTCTAAAATTCATCTGGTGAAGTATAGGTACATCAGCAACCAAGAATCAGAATTTTAAAGGCATATTAAGAATGTAGTCTTTATTACAATAAAAGAATTTGCTAAATCTTAATTTCAGAAAATATTTCTCTACGGGACCTTTGCTTTTCCAAAGGCTATAGCTCACAAGAAGTGTCAAAGTAATAGCAAGAAGTTTCAGACATTGGGGTAAAGAAGAGAAAAAAGGAACTGCTACACTATAGTCATGGTTATATTGGGGTATTGGTACTAAAGTTAAATGCTATTATTTTGGGGTAATTCATTACCAGAATTTTTCCCTCCATATTTATTTTTTTACTTTTTTATTATTATACTTTATATTCTAGGGTACATGTGCACAACGTGCAGGTTTGTTACATAGGTATTCATGTGCCATGTTGGTTTGCTGCACCCATCAACTCGTCATTTACATTAGGTATTTCTCCTAATGCTATGCCTCCCCCAGCCACCCACTCCCGCCGACCAGCCCTGGAGTGTGATGTTCCCCGCCCTGTGTCCATGTGTTCTCATTGTTCAACTCCCACCTATGAGTGAGAACATGTGGTGTTTGGTTTTCTGTCCATGTGATAGTTTGCTTAGAATTTCCAGCTTCATCCATGTCCCTGCAAAGGACATGAACTCAACCTTTTGTATGGCTGCATAGTATTCCATGGTGTATATGTGCCACATTTTCTTAATCCAGTCTATCATTGATGGACATTTGGGTTGGTTCCAAGTCTTTGCTATTGTGAATAGTGCCACAATAAACATACGTGTTCATGTGTCTTTATTGTAGAATGATTTATAATCCTTTGGGTATATACCCAGTAATGGGATGGCTGGGTCAAATGATATTTCTGCTTCTAGATCCTTGAGGAATTGCCACACTGTCTTCCACAATGGTTGAACCAATTTACACTCCCACCAACAGTGTAAAAGTGTTCCTATTTCTCCACATCCTCTCCGGCATCTGTTGTTTCCTGACTTTTTAATGATCGCCATTCTACCTGGCATGAGGTGCTATCTCATTGTGGTTTTGATGTGCGTTTCTCTGATGACCAGTGATGATGAGCATTTTTGCATATGTCTGTTGACTGCATAAATGTCTTTTTTTGAGAAGTGTCTGTTCATATCCTTTGCCCACTTTTTGATGGGGTTGTTTGTTTTTTCTTGTAAATTTGTGTATTTCTTTGTAGATTCTGGATATTAGCCCTTTGTCAGATCAGTAGATTGCAAAACTTTTCTCCCATTCTGTAGGTTGCCTGTTCACTCTGATGATAGTTTCTTTTGCTGTACAGAAGCTCTTTAGTTTAATTAGATCCCATTTGTCTATTTTGGCTTTTGTTGCCATTGCTTTTGGTGTTTAGTCATGAAGTTCTTGCCCATGCCTATGTCCTGAATGGTACTGCCTAGGTTTTCTTCTAGGGTTTTCATGTTGTTAGGTCTTACATTTAAGTCTTTAATCCATCTTGAGTTAATTTTTGTATACAGTGTAAGGAAGGGATCCAGTTTCAGTTTTCTACATCTGGCTAGCCAGTTTTCTCAGCACCATTTATTAAATAGGGAATCCTTTCCCCATTGTTTGTTTTTGTCTTGTTTGTCAAAGATCATATGTTTGTAGATGTGTGGTGTTATTTCTGAGGCCTCTGTTCTGTTCCATTGGTCTATATATCTGTTTTGGTACCAGTACCATGCTGTTTTGGTTACTATAGCCTTGTAGTATAATTTGAAGTCAGGTAGCATGATGCCTCCAGCTTTGTTCTTTTTGCTTAGGATTGTCTTGGCCATGTGGGCTCTTTTTTGATTCCATATGAACTTTAAAGTAGTTTTTTCCAATCTGTGAAGAAAGTCATTGGTAGCTTGGTGGGGATAGCATTGAATCTATAAATTACTTTTGGGCAGTATGGCCATTTTCATAATATTGATTCTTCCTATCCATGAGCATAGAATGCCCACTGAACCGTGCACGGGAGGGTATCTCCTGGTCTGCTGGTTGCTAAGACTGTGGGAATAGTGCAGTATTTGGTCAGGAGTGTACCATTTCTCCACATACAATATATCACGGCTTCCCTTGGCTAGGAAAGGGAAATCCCCCGACCCCTTGTGCTTCCCGGGTGAGGCAATGCCCCACCCTGCTTCAGCTCACCCTCTGTGGGCTGCACCCACTGTCCAACCAGCCCCAATGAGATGAACCAGGTACTTCAGTTGGAAATGCAGAAATCACCCATCTCCTGCATCAATCTCGCTGAGAGCTGTAGACCAGAGCTGTTCCTATTCAGCCACCTTGGAAGCGACCTCATTTAGGATAATCACAGGGTCCTACAATAGGGTGTCTGCAGGCTGAGGAGCAAGGAGAGCCAGTCTGAGTCCCAAAACTGAAGCACTTGGAGCCCGATGTTCGAGGGCCGGAAGCATCCAGCAAGGAAGAAAGATGTAGGCTGGGAGGCTAGGCCAGTCTCTCCTGTATATTTTAAATCTACATGGGCATAAGGAATGAGGGATTTTACTTTCTAAGAATCTAGTAAGGCTTTTGATTGCGGAAATTCAGCCTAATTTTTTAATAGGCATGTCTTTTTTCAGCCAAAATGCAATAGCAGCAGAGTTACAAAGCATAAAGGAATGAGAATTTTTTTTAGAGGGGGTTAAAATTCATACAATATTAAATTCACCATTTAAATCATTTTATAGTGTATAATTCGGTGAGTTTTAGTACACTTACAGTGTTGTTCAACCATTACCATTATCTAGTTCCAGAAAATTTTCATCACCCCCAAAGAAAACCTCATATCCATTAAGCAGTCATTCCCCGTTTTTCCCTACCCCCTGCCCCTGGCAATCAGTAGTCTGTTTTCTGTCTGTATGTATTTGACTGTTCTGGACATTTCATATAAAATAGAAACATGCATGTGGCTGCTTTTACTCAGTGTAATGTTTCAAGGTTCATCCATGTTATACCATGTATCAGTACTTCATTCTTTTTATGACTAAATAATATTCCATTGTATGAATATAATACATTTTCTTACCCATTTATCAGCTGATGGACATTTGGATTGTTTACACTTTTTGGCTATGATAAGACTGCTATAAACATTTGTGTGCAAGTTTTATTTGGCTACCTGTTTTCAATTCTATTGGATATGTATGTAGCAGTGAAATTGCTGAATTATATGATAATTCTATGTTTAATATTTTCAGGAATCAGCAAAATGTGCCACAGCAGCTGCACTATTATGCATTTGTATTAGGGAATTCCAATTTATCTATGTTCTTGTTGACCCTTGTTTTCTACAATCTTGACTGTAGGCATTATAGTGGGTTTGAAGTGATATCCCATTGTGGTTTCGATTTGCATTTCTCTAAAGACTAAGGATGTTAATCATCTTATCATGTGCTTTTTGGCCACAATTTGGTCAGAAAAGCGTAAACAAGGTTGCAGAGAGAATTGAATATTTACCCCACTCATTTGCAATGAGGCAATGTAAACCAGCGTTCTAGCCAGCCCACATGCTGTACTTCAATAAGGGTATTTCTATGATAAAAGAAGATTAAACAGGATCACCAATTTCATTATACTAAAAAAATCTCCAGAATAAAATTTAAAATCATCATACCAAGAAACCACAAAATCACAAACTGACTGAGAAAAGATAATCAAATGATGCCAAAACCATGAAGATTAAATTTTAAAACTGTTGAACAAGGATTTTAATGCAGCCATCATGCAAATATATCGAAAAGCAATTTTAATCCTTTTGAACTTTGTGTTAGAATCATGCAATGGAATACTATGCAGCAAGACAAAAGAAGGAACTACTAATAAACTCAACATGGTTGAATCTCACAGATAATACTTAATGATGGAAACCATACACACAGGGATACATGCTGTATAATTCCATTTATAAACTTCAAGACCAGACAAAACTAATTTATGTTGGTACATGTCAGAAATGTTGTTGGCTCAGGAGTGGTAGCTCCTGACTGGAAAGATAAACAAAAACCAGGGAAAATTGTCTATATATTGAACTATGTGGTAGTTAGAGGGGTGTATATCTATATAAAATAAAATTGGTCTGTACAATTAATATTTGTATAGTTTATGAAAAGTACGCCTCAACTGAAAAAGTGAAGCACAATTGAAAAAACAAGTTAAAAAGATAAAACTACTGATTTTAAAACCAATACATTCCATATATACATATGGGTCAATCATTAGATACAAATACCTTAATTTTTCTTCTCTTTAAAGCTGTTAAATGCAGAATAGAATGAAATAAAAGTACTATATAAAAACGTCTATAGTAATAAAATTATTACTGGGAGAAAATCATTATAATAATGATAAATATGAAAGATACTTCTAAACATTGAATACCCCTAAGTGTTGACAGAGACTTCCTAAGAAATCATTGTAGCAATCTATAATACCACCAAGAGTGTACCTTTTCCTACATACCTTAGCTAGGTTAGAATATTAGGTTTACTTTTAATGTTAACAAAATGATTGACAAAAAATAGTTTAACATATTTTTGCATATGAATATTAAGACATTTAATGATGATTATCATCCCCCTCTATGCATACAACTGTAAAACCTAGGATGTAAGATAGCAAAAAACAAAGGCAACTCTGAAAGATGGAAGAGAGAAGGCAGATTGACTAGGGAACCTTGGGACTTAAAGAACATAGTAGTGAATTGGCTCTTTGTTTCCTTATTACCTCCCAAATGTCCTGGGCAGTGCACTGCAGAAGCCTCCAACTCAGAAATGCCAACAGGTACAGATAAAAAATAAAGTAAACTAAAAGCTTCAGTAAAACCTATTTCTCCTGGTCAGGTACTAGTAAAGCATAGCCTAACAACAGAAGATCTTTTTGACAATACCTTCCCTACTCCAGTGAAACACCAATGGAAAAACTGCACTCCTCTCCAGTGGGGCCAAGCAGGAGGCAGATCATCCACTCCACACACCATGACTTGAAAGCAGCTGCACACTACAATTTTCCCACCTGGTGATGTCAATGGAGCTGATCTGGAAACTAACCTATGCTCAACTTGGCAAAAGCAAGAAACAGTGTTATTTCTTAGATGGGTGACAGAGGGACTAGCAAGAAGTTGATCTTCCACCTCCTGGCATGAATTCATCTGCCAGGGTACACTGACAATGAGGCGAAGTATAGAGCTGAGTCGCCATCCCATTTTGGCATGAATAACACTGAACAAGGTGAAGCAAGTCAGGGGTGGTAAGCGGTTATCCTCCCTACCACTGGTGTCAGTGAAGTCCAGTAGATAGCTGAACATCCACATCCACCTACCAGTGACAAGAGTGAACAAGGAGGTGCAAAGAAGGGCTAGTTGGCAATCCTGTTCTTCTCCCTGGTGTCAGTGGAGCCCACTGTTGAGCTGAGCTTCCATGTCTCCCCTATGAAGTAGTGCCCTACTTTTGCTCAGGTGGTGTTGGTAAAGTCAAGATAGACACTAAACATACATGCTCACTTGGGCCTTGCATTATACCTCAACAGGGAGACAGACTGCTAAAAAATAAGTTTAAATAGGATACTCCATACACAGAAGAATGAAACTAGAGCCTTATCTCTTGTCATATACAAAAATCAAATCATAAAGGTTTAAAGACTTAAATCTAAGACCTCAAACTATGAAACCACTAACAGAAAACATTGAGGAAAATCTCCAGGATGTTGGTCTGAGCAAAGATTTCTTGAGCAATAACTCAAAAGCACAGACAACCAAAGGAAAAATGGACAAATTGAATCACATCAAGTTAAAAAGCTTCTGCACAGCAAAAGATACAATCAACAAAGTGAAGAGACAACCCACTGAATGGGAGAAAATATTTGCAAACTACCCATCTGACAAGGGGTTAATCACCACAATATGTAAGTAATCATCTGACAAAGAATTAATAACCAGCAAATATAAGCAGCTCAAATAACTCTATATGAAAAAAATTTAATAATCATAAAAACCTGGGTGGAAGTTCTGAATAGATATTTCTCCAAGAGAAGACATAAAAATGGCAAACAGGCATATGAAAAGGTGCTCAGCATCACTGTTCATCAGAGAAATGCAAATCAAAACTACAGTGAGATACAATCTTACCCCAATTAAGATGGCTTATATCCAAAAGACAGACAATAACAAATGTTGGCAAGGATGTAGAGAAAAGGGTACCCTTGAACACTGTTGATGGGAATGTAAATTAGTACAAACACTGCAGAGAATGCTTTGGAGGTTTCTCAAAAACAAAACAAAACAAAAAACCCTAAAAATAGAGCTACCATATGACCCAACAATCCCACTGCTGGGTATATACCCAAAAAACAAGGGAGTGCAGATCAGCATATCAAAGAGATATCTGCACTCCCTTGTTTGCTGCAATTCTGTTCACAGTAGACAAGATTTGGAAGCAACCCAAATGTTCATCAACAGATGGATAGAGACAATGTGGTACATACATACAATGGAATACTATTCAGCCATAAAAAGAATGAGATTCAGTCATTTGTAACAACATGCATGGAACTGGATATCACTATGTTAAGGGAAATAGACCAGGTACAGAAAGACAAACATTGCATGTCCTCACTTACTTTTGGGATCTAAAAATCGAAACAATTGAATTCACAGACATAGACAGTAGAAGGGTGGTTACCAGAGGCTGGGAAGGGTAGTGGAGGGTGGTGGGGAGGTGGGCATAGTTAATGGGTACAAAAAATAGTTAGAAAGAATAAGTAGGCCCTACTACTTCATAGCACAACAGGATGACTAGAGTCAATAATGACTTAATTGTACGTTTAAAATAAGTAAAAGAGTATAATTGGATTGTTTGTAACACAAAGGATAAATGCTTAAGGGGATGGATACCCCATTCTCCATTACATGATTATTATGCAATGATTGCATGCCTGTATCAAAATATCTCATATACCCCACAAATAGATATACCTACTATGTACCCACAGAATAAAAACAAAAAGATTAAATAGGATAGATACTTTCATACTATTGTATGAAGAATGTTCAAAATCCAACTGAAAACCATTCAAATTATATCAAGAACCAGAATAAAACACAAAATGAATAATAATAGAAAATAAAAAGATGCCAACATTGAGATGAATCGAATGTTGAAATGATCTGACAAGGATTTTAACATAGTTATCATTAAAATGCTTCAATAAGTAACTAAGAATTATCTTGAAACAAAAGAAAGATAATCCCAGTAAAGAAATAAAAGTTCTATAATAAGACAGAATAGAAATTTTTGAAATAAAAATGCAATAGTTGAAATAAAAATCTCATTGAATGGGCTGAATAGTAGAGGCAAGAAAATAGAGGATAGAATCAGTGAACTTGCAGATGGTTCAATAGAATTTACACCATCTTGGCCGGGCGCGGTGGCTCACTCCTGTAATCTCAGCACTTAGGGAGGCCAAGGCGGGTGGATCACCTGAGGTCAGGAGTTTGAGACCAGCCTGACCAACATGGAGAAACCTCATCTCTACTAAAAATACAAAATTAGCCTGGCGTGGTGATGCATGCCTGTAATCCCAGCTACTCAGGAAGCTGAGGCAGGAGAATCACTTGAACCCAGGAGGCAGAGGTTGCAGTGAGCTGAGGTAACACCATTGCACTCCAGCCTGGGCGACAGAGTGAGACTCTGTCTCAAAAATAAATAAATAAAGAAATAAATAAATTACACCATCTTAACAACAGAGAAAAAATAGACTGAAAAAAAAAATCTAGTGACCTGCAGAACAATAACAAAGAATCCAACATTCATATCACTAAAGTTCAAGTAGGGGACAGTGGAACTGAAAACGTATTTAAAGGTATAATATCTGGAAACTACCCAAATTTAGTAAAATATGTAAATCCGTAATTTCAAGAAGCTGAAATGCTTCCAAATATGATAAACTCCAGGAAATCTGTACTAGGACACATCATAATTATACTTTTGAAAACTGGAAAGAAAAAAAATTAAAAGCAGCCAAAGAGAATACAATTAAAATGGCAGAAATTTTTTCATCTGAAAACATGGAGGCCAAAAAGATGTGGGAAATATTTTCCACACACTGAAAGAAAATAATGCTCAGTTGCAAATTCTATATCGGGGGAAATAAACATTATGAATTAAGGGAAAATAAAGGCATTCTCAGATGAAGGAAAACTAAAATAATGTGATGCTAGGAAGCCGATCCTTAAAAAATGGCTGAAGCATTATGCAATATACCCATGTAACAAATCTGGACATGTACCCCGTGAATCTAAGATTATAAAAGATGGCTAAAGAAAGTTATCTAAACAGAAATGAAATGATAGCACAAAAAGGTTTGGAATTTTATAAAGGAAGAAACATTTTAGTAAGTAAAAAAGGGTTAAAATGATGATTAATATTTGATAGTTGAAGCACAAATTATAACTCCATCTGATGTGGTACTTACTATATGTAGAATAAATACTTAAGCAAATTATATTTTAAAAGTGCATAGGGTAAGGAGATCGAAATGAAAGTAAGGTTTTGTCACTTTACATAAGGTGGTAAAATGCTGATACAAGTAAACTGCAATAAGTTACGTATGCATAGTGTTGTACTTAAAGCGTCCACCAAGAAAACTAAGCAAAGCACTATACTCTAAAACACTATAAATAAATCAAGATGGAATCCCCAAAAATGTTCAAAATAACTCACAGGAAGTTAAGAAAGAAGAAGTAGAGAAACAAGAAACAGAGGAAACAAAAAGAAAATAACAACATGGCAGACTTAAGTCAGAACAAAACAATAATTCCTTAAATGTAAAGGGCCTAAATATACAAATTAAAATAAAGATAATGGCCCATGGATTTTAAAATATAACCTAACAATATGCTGTCAAGAGAAAACTCATTTCAAATGCAATAACAATGGTAGGTTGGCATGGAAAGGTAAAGATATGGAAAAGATATACCATGCTGTCAATTAAAAAAAAAAAGATATGTGGCGTTATTTCTGAGGGCTCTGTTCTGTTCTATTGATCTATATCTCTGTTTTGGTACCAGTACCATGCTGTTTTGGTTACTGTAGCCTTGTAGTATAGTTTGAAGTCAGGTAGCGTGATGCCTCCAGCTTTGTTCTTTTGGCTTAGGATTGACTTGGTGATGCGGGCTCTTTTTTGGTTCCATATGAACTTCAAAGTAGTTTTTTCCAATTCTGTGAAGAAAGTCATTGGTAGCTTGATGGGGATGGCATTGAATCTATAAATTACCTTGGGCAGTATGGCCATTTTCACAATATTGATTCTTCCTAGCCATGAGCATGGAATGTTCTTCCATTTGTTTGTATCCTCTTTTATTTCATTGAGCAGTGGTTTGTAGTTCTCCTTGAAGAGATCCTTCACGTCCCTTGTAAGTTGGATTCCTAGGTATTTTATTCTCTTTGAAGCAATTGTGAATGGGAGTTCACTCATGATTTGGCTCTCTGTTTGTCTGTTATTGGTGTATAAGAATGCTTGTGATTTTTGCACATTGATTTTGTATCCTGAGACTTTGCTGAAGTTGCTTATCAGCTTAAGGAGATTTTGGGCTGAGACAATGGGGTTTTCTAGATATACAATCATGTCATCTGCAAACAGGGACAATTTGACTTCCTCTTTTCCTAATTGAATACCCTTTATTTCCTTCTCCTGCCTAATTGCCCTGGCCAGAACTTCCAACACTATGTTGAATAGGAGTGGTGAGAGAGGGCATCCCTGTCTTGTGCCAGTTTTCTACAACTATCTGATCTTTGACAAACCTGAGAAAAACAAGCAATGGGAAAGGATTCCCTATTTAATAAATGGTGCTGGGAAATCTGGCTAGCCATATGTAGAAAGCTGAAACTGGATCCCTTCCTTACACCTTATACAAAAATTAATGCAAGATGGATGAAAGACTTAAACGTTAGACCTAAAACCATAAAAACCCTAGAAGAAAACCTAGGCATTACCATTCAGGACATAGGAATGGGCAAGGACTTCATGTCTAAAACACCAAAAGCAATGGCAACAAAAGCCAAAATTGACAAATGGGATCTAATTCAACTAAAGAGCTTCTGCACAGCAAAAGAAACTACCATCAGAGTGAACAGGCAACCTACAAAATGGGAGAAAATTTTCACAACATACTCATCTGACAAAGGGCTAATATCCAGAATCTACAATGAACTCAAAAAAATGTACAAGAAAAAAACAAACAACCCCATCAAAAAGTGGGCAAAGGACATGAACAGACACTTCTCAAAAGAAGACATTTATGCAGCCAAAAAAGACATGAAAAAATGCTCACCATCACTGGCTATCAGAGAAATGCAAATCAAAACCACAATGAGATACCATCTCACACCAGTTAGAATGGCAATCATTAAAAAGTCAGGAAACAACAGGTGCTGGAGAGGATGTGGAGAAATAGGAACACTTTTACACTGTTGGTGGGACTGTAAACTAGTTCAACCATTGTGGAAGTCAGTGTGGCGATTCCTCAGGGATCTAGAACTAGAAATACCATTTGGCCCAGCCATCCCATTACTGGGTATATACCCAAAGGACTATAAATCATGCTGCTATAAAGACACATGCACACGTATGTTTATTGTGGCACTATTCACAATAGCAAAGACTTGGAACCAACCCAAATGTCCAACAATAATAGACTGGATTAAGAAAATGTGGCACATATACACCATGGAATACTATGCAGCCATAAAAAATGATGAGTTCATGTCCTTTGTAGGGACATGGATGAAATTGGAAATCATCATTCTCAGTAAACTATTGCAAGAACAAAAAACCAAACACCGCATATTCTCACTCATAGGTGGGAATTGAACAATGAGAACACATGGACACAGGAAGGGGAACATCAAACTCTGGGGCCTGTTGTGGGGTCGGGGGAGGGGGGAGGGATAGCTTTAGGAGATATACCTAATGCTAAATGACGAGTTAATGGGTGCAGCACACCAGCATGGCACATGTATACATATGTAACTAACCTGCACATTGTACACACGTACGCTAAAACTTAAAGTATAATAATAATAAATAAATAAAGAGCAGATGTTAACTGTGTAATTATTAGATACAGTAGACTTCAGAGCAAAGAAAATTACTGGTGATGAAGAAAGACTTTACATGATGATAAAAGAACTATTACTTGGAAGATACAATTCTAAATGAGTACACACCAAATAATAGACCCTCATAATACATGAAGCAAAAACTGACAGAGCTGAAAGGACAAATAGACAAATAGACAATTATACTTTGGGACTTCAGTACTCTACTCTCAGCTATTGATAGAAAAACTAAGCAGAAAATCAGCAAGCACATAGAACAGAAGAACACAATGCCAACATGATCAAATTAACATTTATAGAGCACTCCACCCAGCAATAGCAGAATACACATTTTTTTTTCAAGTGTTTATGAAACAGTCACCATATCCTGGGCCATAAAACAAATCTCAACAAATTTAAAAGAATTACAGGCCAAACATGGTGGCTCATGCCTGTAATCCCAGCACTTTGGGAGGCAGAGGTAGAAGAATCACTTGAGGCCAGGATCCAGAGACCAGCCTGGGCAACAGAGCAAGGCCCCATCTCTTAAATAAAATGTATTAGCTGGGAGTGGTGGCACACACGTGTAGTCCCAATTACTAAGGAGGCCGAGGCAGGAGGATGCTTTGAGCCCAGAAGTTAAGACGCTGCATGAACTATTATCATGCCACTGCAATCCAAACTGGGCAACAGCAGGATGCTATCTCTACAACAAAAAAAGAACTATAATCATATATAGTATGTTCTCTGAACATTATGGAATCAAACTAAACATCAATAACAGAATGACAATGGGAATTCTGCAAATCTTTTGATATCTAGCGAAAATATATCTTAGCAATCCACTGGATCTAATAAGAAGTCTCAAAGGAAATAAAAAGATAAAACTAAATGAAAATTAAAATACAATGTGTAAAATATGTTATCCACAGCTAAGGCAAAGATAAGATGGAATTTATAGCACTAAAATGCTTTCAGTAAAAAAGAGGAAAATTCTCAAATGAATAATCTAATTTTCTACCTTAGTAAACTATAAAAAGACCAAAATAAACCCAAAAGAGCAGAGGGAAGGAAATAAAAACAAGAGCAGGAATCAATGAAATAAAAAATAGGTAAACAACAGAGAAAATCAGTAAAACAAAAATCAGATTCCTTAAAAATCAATATAATTTATAATTCCCTAGCAAGACTGACAAAGATTAAAAAGGGAGAAGACATAAATCAATAATATCAGGAAAAAAATTTGGGATATCAATACAGATCCTGTAGCCATTTAAGGGATAATAAGGGAAGACTATGAAACATTTTATGCTCATAAATTTGATTACTTAGAAGAAACAGACCAATTCCTAAAAACACACAAAACAATAAAACTCAATTAAGATGAAATATGCACTCACAATAGTCCCATGAACATTAAATAAACTGTATCTAAAATTAAAAGACGAGGTTCTGGCACAGCCCTAAAGAATCTGAGTGGCTCTGTGTTGACCAAACCTAGAGGATGCAGTTAGTGCTAGAGGCTGGCCCTGCCTGCCAAGAGGCTCATTCATGCCTTCTAGGTTTGCTGGGCCCACCTGCCCTCCAGCCACCTTCTTCCCTGTATGTCTTGAGAATCTTTTGAGATTTATTCCCATAGTAGGTGAAATTCTTCCACGCTACTATAAATGGTGTTTATTCCAGAAAACTTTGAGGAGATAAAAAGTAAAAAATAGGAGCTGGGTAAGATGGCCAACTAGGCACAGCCAAGTGGAACAGCTGCCACTGAGGGGCCAGTACAACTGGTGCACTTCTAACAGATCTTCAGAGGGAAAGCACTGAGAGTGGACCGCACGAAGACACAGACGCTAGGCTGAATGGGGAGGAAGCTGAGAACCCTGCACAGGGCTCCCACTAGGACTCATTCCTGGCCACCAGTGGTTCTGGGGGAACAAGTAAGTTGCACTGGCAAGGAGCAACCAGCTCTCATCATGGGCCTCTGAAATTCTGGCAAGGGCCGGGAGCAGTGGCTCATGCCTGTAATCCCAGCACTTTGGGAAGCTGAGATGGGCAGATCACCTGAGGTCAGGAGTTTGAGACCAGCCTGGCCAACATGGTGAAATCCTGTCTCTACTAAAAATACAAAAATTAGCTGGGCTTGGTGGTGCGTGCCTGTAGTCCCAGCTACTTGGGAGGCTGAGACAGGAGAATCGCTTGAACCCGGGAGGCAGAGGTTGCAGTGAGCCAAGATAGCACCATTGCACACCAGCCTGAGCAAAAGAGTGAAACTCTGTCTCAAAAAAACAAAGAAAGAAAGAAAGAAACAAAGAAAGAAAGAAAGAAAGAAAGAAAAGAAAAAGAAAGAAAGAAAGAAGAAAGAAAGAAAGGAAAGAAAAAGAAAGAGAAAGAAAGAAGAAAGAAAGAAAGAAAAGAAAGAAAGAAAGAAAAAAGGAAGAAAGAAAGAAAGAAAGAAAGAAAGAAAGAAAGAAAGAAAGAAAGAAAGAAAGAAAGAAAGAAAGAAAAGAAATAAAGGAAGAAAGAAAGAAATTCTGGCAGGAGGAGACCCCCTGACCACCATGGACACTTGAGTTGGAAGGGAGAGCTGCTTAAAGAAATGTTAGGGGCAGCACTTCAGTTGATGTGGAGCCCAGAGGGTTTGGTGCGGGAGCATTTGTACTGGATCATGACCAGGGATGTCCATCCCTTTTACGATCGACTTGCTCCCATAGTATACTTTAGCCCTAGAGAAACTGTTGGACCTGAACTCTGAAGGGTGGGTGGTCTTGCCCATCAAACAAGGCCAGTCCGGCCTGAGCACACCTCAGTCTACAGGCCTCTCCAGGGACCCCAGCCTGGTTGTGCCTGCTTGTAGTGCAGCCTCTGGTGCCCTGGGGGCCCACATCACAGCTCCTACACTGGCATAATGCAACTCACTGGCAGAGAGCTCCAGAAGAACAGTCCCTGAAGACATGCACCAACCTGCCCACGCCCTCCCATGATTGCAGTTTTCCTGGGTCCATGACCACCACCCCCCATATTGCCTTGCCAGTGGGTGTACGTGTAGGTGGATCTTGTATTCCATGCTCAACCAGTGTGTGTGTATGTGTGTGTGTGTGTGTGTGCATGGACCCTGCCTTGCCATTGCTGCTGGCCCGAGTGCACTCTGCCCCCTCCCTCACCCCCCACCATACCACCGTTGCAGTCAGAACCTTTTTGGGCACAGAGTCCACCAGCCCTGCCCATGCCAATGCCTTACTCCCGTGCCAACACTGCTGGTGGAGTGAAACTATTCACGGAGAACAGCGGATCCTCCCTCACCCTGAGTGGTCTGGTGAACCCTGAACGTTCACAGAGGGTGCACACAGACCTGCGCCTGCCAGCTCCCAGCCCCTATGTTAACACCACCACCACCACCAGTGCATCTGTGCACACAGTCACCAGTGGGAGCTCCCTTGCCCCTCTGAGCATCCTGCCTCCACTGTTGTGAATGCCTGCATGGAGGCCAGCACCCACTTGCCCCCTGCCACAGCCAACAAGCATGCACCCAGCAGCACTGCTATAGCCACTGCTTCTGGCATGTGTGAATAAGGACGGATCCTGCTGCCATTGCCCTATGAAACGCTCTGGCTGGCAACACACATTGCAGTGTAGTAACAAGCAGTCGAGGAGCACTCAGCCCCCTGCCAGTGCAGTGCATTCCTAACTTTGAGGAGCCGGATAACAGATTTGGGGCCTGATACAAGTCCCCCAGTGTTAGGGGATGCAGTCCAGTAGTTGGGAGATGAGCCTTGGCCCCCTAAAATCTTCCAGTAACAAAGTCAGTAAACGTTTGAACCCCACCTTATACTACAATCAAACCCTCAAGGTCATCAAATAGGATAAAAAAAAAACATCCAAAGGACAGCAACTTCAAAGATTAAAGGAACTTCAACCCATCTGAAAACTCAGAAAGCTAGAATGCCTTCTTTCCTCCACATGACCACCCTAGTTCTCCAGCAAGGATTCTGAATCAGGCTGAGATGGCTGAAATGAAAGGAATAGAATTCAGAATATAAATAGGAATGAAGATCATTGAGATGCAAGAGTACATTGAAACCCAAGCCAAGGAAGTTAAGAATCACAATGAAATGATATGGGAACAGACAGACAAAATAGCCAATATAGAAAAGAATGTAACTGACCTGAAAGAGCTGAAGAACACACTACAAGAATTTCATAATGCAATCTCAAGTATTAATAGCAGAATAGACTAAGCTGAGGAAAGAATCTTAGAGCTTGCAGACTGGCTTTCTGAAATAAAATAGGCAAGAATAGAGAAAGAAGAATAAAAAGGAATGAACAAAACCTCTGAGACATATCGGATTATGTAAAGAGACCAAATCTGTGACTCATTGTTGTCCCTGAAGGAAACAGGGAGGATGGAAACAACTTGGAAAACATATTTCAGGATATCATCCATGAGAATTTCCCCCAACCTACCTAGAGAGGCCAACATTCAAATTCAGGAAATGCAGAGAAACCTGGTAAGATACTTCACAAGAAGATTAACCCCAAGTCATATAATTATCAAATTTTCCAAGATCTTTATGAAAGAAATCATGTTAAAGGCAGCTAAAGAGAAAGGAGAGGGCACCTACAAAAGGAAGCCCATCAGACTAAGAGCAGAACTCTCAGCAGAAACCCTACAAGCAAGAAGAAATTGGGGGCCTGTATTCAACATTCTTAAATAAAAGAAATTCTAAACAAGAATTTCATATCTGGGCAAACCAAGCCTCATAAGCAAAGGAGAAATAAGATCCTTTTCAGACAAGCAAATGCTGAGGAAATGCAGACCCACCTTACAAGAACTGCTAAAGGAAGCACTAAATATGGAAAGGAACAATCATTACCAGACACTTCAAAAATACACATAGGCAAACAGACTGGTAACACTATAAAGCAACCAAACAAACAGGTCTGCAGAAAAATCAGCTAACAATCAGCTAACATCATGTGAGGATCAAATCCGCTCTATAAATACTAACCTTGAATGTAAATGAGTTAAATGTCCCCTATTGAAAGGCACACAGTGGCAAGCTGGATGAAGAAGCAAGACCCAATGTCATGCTGTCTTCAAAAGACCCTTCTCACATACAGTGACACCCATAGGCTCAAAATAAGGGGATGGAGAAAAATCTATTGGGCAAAGGGAAATCAGAAAAAAGCAGGGGTTACAATCCTAACTTCAGGCAAAACTATTTTAAAGCAACAAAAATCAAAAAGACAAAGAAGGGCATTACATAATGGTAAAGGGTTCAATTGAACAATAAGAACTAACTATCCTAAATATGTATGTACCCCACACAGGAGCACCCAGATTCATAAAGCAAGTTCTTAGAGACCTTCAAAGACACTTAGACTCCCACACAATCATAGTGGGAGACTTCAATACACCACTGACAATATTAGACAGATCATCGAGGCAAACATTAACAAAGATATTCAGAACCTGAACTCAGCACTGGGTCAAATAGACTTGATAGACATCTACAGAACTCTCCACCCCAAAACAACAGGATATACATTCTTCACACAGCCACATGGCACATACTCTAAAACTGACCACACAATTAGACATAAAATATTTCTCAGCAAATGCAAAAGAACTGAAATCATAACAGCCACTCTCTTAGACCACAGCACAATGAAATTAGAAACCAAGACTAAGAAAATCACTCAAAACCATACGATTGCATGGAAATTAAACAATGAGCTCCTGAATGACTTGTGGGTAAATCATGAAATTAAGGCAGAAATCAAGAAGTTGTAATGAGAACAAAGATACAACATACCAGAATCTCTGGGACACAGCTAAGGCAGCGTTAAGAGGGAAATTTATAGCACTAAGCACCCACATCAAAAAGTTAGAAAGATCTCAATTTAACAACCTAACATCACAACTAAAGTAACTATAGAACAAGGAGCAAACCAACCCCAAAGCTAGCAGAAGACAAGAAATAGCCAAAATCAGAGCTGAAATGAAGAAGATTGAGACACGAAAAACCAATAAAAAGATCGATGTGTCCAGGAGTTGTCTTTTTGAAAAAAAAAAAAAATAATGGATAGACCACTAGCTACACTAATAAAGAGAAAAGATCCAAATAAACACAAATAAAAAGGACAAAGGGGATATTACAACTAACTCCACAGAAATATACATAACCATCAGAGAATATTATTAACACCTCTATGCACACAAAATAAAAATCCTAAAAGAAATTGATAAATTCCTGGACACATATCCACTGCCAAGACAGAACCAGAAAGAAATTGAATCCCTGAACAGATCAATTACAAGCTCTGTAATTGAAACAGTAATAAGTAGCTGCCCAGTTAAAGAAAAAAAGCCCAGGACTGGATGGATTCACAGCTGATTTCTACCAGATGTACAAAGAACAGCTGGTACCATTCCTACTGAAACTATTTCTAAAAAATGAGGAGGAAAGACTCCTCCCCAACTCATTCTATGAAGCCAGCGTTATACTGATACCAAAACCTGGCAGAGACACAAGAAAAAAGAAAACCATAGCAATATCTTTGATGAACATCAGTGCAAAAATCCTCAACAAAATACTGGCACACTGAATGCAGCAGCACATCAAAAAGCTAATGCACATGATCAAGTAGGCTTCATCCCTGGGATGCAAGGTCGTTGCAACATGGGCTCATCAATAAATGTGATTAATCACATAAACAGAACTAAAGACAAAAGCCACATGATTATTTCAATGGATATAGAAAAGGCTATCGTTAAATTCAGCACCCCTTCATGTTAAAAACTCTCAATAAACTAGGTATAGAAGGAATCTACCTCAAAATAATAAGAGAGATCTATGATAAACCCACAGCCAACATCATATTCAATGGGCAAAAGCTGGAAGGATTAGTCTTGAAAACTGGCACAAAACAAGAACAACCTCTCTCACCACTCCTACTTAACATAGTATTGGAAGTCTTGGCCAGAATAATCAGTCAAGAGAAAGAAATAAAAGCCACGCAAACAGGAAGAGAGGAAATCAAACTATCCCTGTTTTCAAACAACATGAGTCTATATCTTGCCCCCAAAGCTCATTAGCTGATAAACAACTTCAGCAAAGTCTCAGGATTCAAAATCAACATACAAAAATCAGTAGCATTCCTATACATCAACAAAAGTCAAGCCAAGAGCCAAATCAGGAATGCAATCCCATTAACAATTGCCACAAAAAGAATAAAATTCCTAGAAACACAGCTAACAAGGGAGGTGAAAGATCTCTACCACAAGAACTACAAAACACTGCTCAAGGAAATCAGAGATGACATAAATAAATGAAAAAACATTCCATGCTCATGGATAGGAAGGATCAATAGTGTTAAAAAGGCCATACTGTCCAAAGCAGTTTACAGATTCAATACTATTCCTATCAAACTACCAATGACATTCTTCACAGAACTACAGAAAACCATTTTAAAATTAATACAGAAGCATAAAAAAATTCTGAATAGCTAAGGCAATCCTAAGCAAAAAGAACAAATTTGGAGGCATCACATTACCCAATTTCCAACTATATTACAGGGCTACAGTAACCAATATAGCATGGTACTGGTACAGAAACAGACATATAGACCAATGAAACAAAAGAGAGAGCCCAGAAATAAGGCCTCACACCTACAACCATATGATATTTGACAAAGCTAACAAAAGCAAGCAATGGGAAATTGACTCTTCATTCAACAAATGGTGCTGTGATAACTGGCAAGCCATATGCAGAAGATAGAAACTGAACCCTTTCCTTTCACCATATACAAAAATCAACTCAAGATAAAGCCTTAAATGTAAAACCCAAAACTATAAAAACCCTGGAAGACAACCTAGGCAATGTCATTCTGGACATAGGAACAGGCAAAGATTTCATGAGGAAGACACCAAAAGCAATTGCAACAAAAGCAAAAATTGACAAATGAGACCTAATTAAACTAAAGAGCTTCTGCACAGCAAAGGAAACTATCAACAGAGTGAACAGACAACCTGCAGAATGGGAGAACATTTTTGCAAACTATGCATCTGACAAAGGTCTAATATCCAGCATCTATAAGGAACTTAAACAAATTTACAAGAAAAATGAACAATCCCATTAAAAAGTGGACAAAAGACGTGAATACACACTTTTCAAAAGAAAGCATACAGGTGGCCAACAAGGAAGCATATGAACAACTGCTCAACATCACTGATCATTAGAGAAATGCAAATCAAAACCACAATTAGATACCATCTGACACCAGTCAGAATAGCTATTATTAAAAAGTCAAAAAAATAACATATGCTGGTGTGGTTATACATTGTTGATGGGAATGTAATTTATTTCAACTATTGTGGAAAACAGTATGGCGATTCCTGAAAGAGCTAAAAACAGAACTGCCAATCGACCCAGTAATCTCATTACTGTGTTGATATGGTTTGGCTGTGTCCCCCCCCAAATCTCATCTTGAATTGTAGCTCCCATAATTCCCAAGTGTTGTGGGAGGGACCCAGTGGGAGATAATTGAATCATGGGGGCTGTTTCCCCTATATTGTTCCCATGGTAGTGAATAAGTCTCATGAGATCTGATGGTTTTATACGGGGAAACCCCTTTCACTTGGTTCTCATTCTCTCTTGCCTGCCACCATGTAAGATGTGCCTTTTGCCTTCCACAGTGATTGTGAGGCCTCCCCAGCTACATGGAACTGTGAGTTCATTAAACCTCTTTTTCTTTATAAATTACCCATTCTTGGGTAGATCTTTATCAGCAGCATGAAAACAGACTAATACATGGGTATATAACCCAAGGAATATAAATCATTCTATCATAAAGACAAATGCAGGTGTATGTCCATTGCAGCACTATTCATAGTAGCAAAGACATAGAATCCACCTAAATGTCCCTTAATTCTTTATCCATTAGACCAGATAAGGAATATGAGGTACATACACACAATGGAATACTATGCAGTCATTAAAAAGACTGAAATCATATCCTTTGCAGAAACACCGATGGAGCTGAAGGCCGTTATTCTTATCAAACTAACATAGGAACAGAAAACCAAATACCACATGTTCTCACTTATAAGTGGGAGCTAAATGGCGAGAACACATGGACACATAGAGGGGAATGACAGACACTAGGGCCTACTGGAGGGTGGAGAATGGGAGGAAGGAGAGATTCAAGAAAAATAACTGATGGGTACTAGGCTTATTGAAAGGAGTTAGTTAGCTTGCCTTAGGTAGATAACAAGGGAAGGGTTCCTGGAGAGCCTCCAGCCCTTGGGTCAGTGCTTCATCCCCACATAGCATAAAAAGCAGCCTGGGAAAAAAATTCAAGCTGCAGGCACTGATAAGAGAACTAGCACAGGGTGTTGTGCCTGGAGACATGCCCAGGCTGCACAGATAGAAAAACTTCTGGCCCATTTGGATAAAAACTTGCACAAACCTCCAGCTTACTCAGATAAGGGAACAAGGCCTGACACAGAAATGCCTTTGTCCTTTATATAGTCAGTGGGCTCCCAGGAAAAATATTTCTTCCTTTGTGGGCATGGGCACAGTGGGCTTGGTGTGTTCCAGCTTCTAAGAATCATCACTTCAGCACCTGATTGGTCCCGGGCCAAGGTCACAGACCAAGCTTTCACTTCAGCTTCTGATAATCCCTGGGCCAAGCTAAGCAGCAACTATTAATCATTTCAGCACCCAGTTGGTTCTGGGCCAAGTCCGTGTGCCAAGCTGATCACACTGTTCTCCAAGACAGCCCACAGAATAAGCACATTCCTTCCCCTTCCCAGTCCATAATAATCCTGGACCCCAGCATCATAGGAGCTGCCCCTTTTGGGCCCCCCTCTCTGCTGGCAGAGAGCTTTCTTCTTTCATTTATTAAACTTTCACTCTAACCTCACCTTTGTGTCTGCACTCCTTAATCTTCTTGGAGGTAGGACAAAGAACTCTGGGCATTATCTCAGACAAGAGACTGCTACATCTTGCTGCATTGCTGAGACTACAACACCATTACCTGTGTGACAAAATAATCTGTACAACAAACCCCTATGACACAAGTTTACCTATATAACAAACCAGCACATGTATCCCTGAACTTAAAATAAAAGTTAAAACAATAGTTAAAAAAACCAAATTTATCAGCAAATGGAAATAGACTATGTATTGAGCACCCTGTAAATACCAGGAATTTTACATCCATTATTTTGTTTGAACCTAAACATAACATTTGGGAGCTTATTATCACATTCATTTTGCAGAGGAGGAAACTGAAGGCTGAGAGTGTTAGGAAATCTTCCAAGTTTACAAATGAATAAATGTTAGCACTTGCATTCAAACTAAGGTGGGACTGACTTCACAGTCACGGCTTTTCCCCACAGAACTGTGCTGCCTTAAGATCATTTATGTTTTATAATGGTGATTGTATATGAAAACATAGCATTAATTTTTTATTTAACAAATATTTACTTGGTAAATAAAATGTGACCAGCAAAAAACCTCAACAAATTTATAAGCAAAAACTAAACAACCCCATTAAAAAGTGGGCAAAAGACATGAACACTTTCAAAAGAAGATATACATGCAGCCAACAAGCATATAAAGAAAAGCTCAACATCACCAGTCATTAGAGAAATGCAAATCAAAACCATGAGATACCATCTCACACCGGTCATAATGGCTATTATTAAAAAGTCAAAAAATAACAGATGCTGGCACAGTTGTGGAGAAAAATAAATTATACACTGCTGACGAGAGCGTAAATTAGTTCAACCATGGTGGAAAGTAATGTAATTATTCTTCAAGGAGCTAAAAGCAGAATTGCCGTTCAACCCAGCAATCTCATTTTTGGGTATATAACCAAAGGAATATAAATCATTCTATCATAAAGACACATGCACGTGTATGTTGATTACAGCACTATTCATACCAGCAAAGACATAGAATCAATCTAAATGCCCATTAATGGTAGACTGGATAAAGAAAATGTGGTATATATGCACGATGAAATACTATGCAGACATCAAAAAGACTGAGATCATGTCCTTTGCAGGAACATGGATGGAGCTAGAGGACAATTACTAAGGATAATGGAGGTTATTATACTTAGTAAATTAATGAAGGAACAGAAAACCAAATACTACATGTTCTCACTTGTAAGTGGGAGCTAAATGATGAGGACACATGGACACATAGAGGGGAACAACAGACACCGGGACCTACCAGAAGGTGGAGGTTGGGAGGAGGGAGAAAATCAAGAAAAATAGCCAGTGGATACTAGGCTTAATACCTGGGTGATGAAATAATTGGTACAACAAACCTCTACGATGCAAGTTTACCTATATGACAAACATACACATGTATCCCTAAACTTAAAAGTTAAAAAATAAAATAAAATAGAAAATAAAGGCTGTGTATTTTAAATTTCAATAAAATAAAGTTAAATGATACAAGAGAAAGAAATATCTAAGCCAAGCTGGATAATTTAATCAGACATTTAATGAATAATTAAAACCAATATTACATAATATTTTCTCAAAAAAGAAAAGGAGGAAAATACGTTCCAGTTGGTTTTATATAACTAGTATTACCCTACTATGAAAACCAAACACAGTAGACACAGAAAACACAAACCAATATTTCTCATGAACTTAGGTTCAAAAATTCTCAATACAATATTAGCAAACTGAATCCAACAATACGTTAAAAAGCTTTATTAAAAATAATCAAGTGGAATTTATTCAAATTATACAGGGCTCATTCAACATTTGAAAATTAATATAATTTACCATATCAATAAACAAAACAAGAAAAATCATATGATCATATCAATCAATGCAAAAATGCATTTGATAAAACCCATCATCCAATCATAATAAATTCAGCAAATTGGAATACAAGGAAATTAATTTGATAAAGAGATCTATTAAAAAACTTATAACTAACATCATATTTAGTGGTGAAAGACAACGCTTTTGCTCCAAGATTAGGGACAAGCCAAGGGTGTCTGCTCTCACCATTCTTATTCAACATAGTACTGGAAATTCAAGCCACTGCAATGAAGCAAGGAAAAGATACAAAAGACATACATATTGCAAAGGAAGAAATAAAACTGGCCTTGTTCACAGATAACATAATTATCTAAGTAGAAATTTCCAATTAGTCTACTAAAACTCCTAGAACTAATCAGTGAGTTTGGCAATGTTTCAAGATAAAAGATCAACATGCAAAACATAATAATATTTCTACATGCTAACAACAAACATGCAGAGGCCAAAAATTTAAAAAGCCAACATAATTTACAACCCCTCCAAAGTAAATGAAATACATAGGTATATATTTAACAGAACATGTGTAGATTCTGTATGCTGAGGATTACAAAATGCTGCTTAAAGAAATCAAAGAAGACCTGAAAGCTTGGAAAGTATTGGAAATTGTGTTCATGGATTGAAAGTCTCAATAAAGATATCAGTTATCCCCAAATGGATCTTAGATTTAATTGATTTCCTATCAAAATCCCAGCATGTTTTTGCAGGCATAGACAAGCTTATTTTCAAATTTGTATGGAAAGGCAAGGGAACTAAAGTAGCTGAATTACTCTACTGACATTAGTACTTAATATACAGCACAGTAATCAAAACAATCAAAATGTGGTATTTGCAATGACATAGACACAAGGATCAATGGGACAGAATGGAGAACCCAGAAATAGTCCCAAACAAATATGCTTAATCAAGTTTTGACAAGCAAAAGCAATTTAAGGGGAGAAGGATAATCTTTTTCAACAAAGGGTCCTGGAGCTATTGGACATCCATAGGCAAAGAAGCAAAATCCACCTTAAACTTCACACCTTATATGAAAATTAACTCAAAGTGCATCATGATCTTAAGTCTGACATGTAAATCTATACAACTTTTAGGAAAAATCTTCAGTATTTAGTGCTAAGCAATTGTTAGACTTGAAACCAATGCCACTATTCATAAAAACAAAAAACAAAGAATTCGAACTTGTCAAAATTAAACACTTTGGTTCTGACAAAGTCATGTTAAGAGGATGAAAGAATAAACTATACACTACAAGAATATATTTGCACACACCCATATTATAATGGACTAATATTTAGAATATATAAAGGACTCTCAAAATTTAATAGTAACAAACAAGCAATCCAATTAGAAAATAAGCAGGTATTTCACTGAATAGGATTTGAAATGGCAAATAAGCATATGAGAAGATTGATCATTGGAGAAAGGCAAATTAAAACCACAATGTGATATCATTATCTGTATATCAGAATAGCTAATTTTTTTAAGCAATAATACCAAATGCTGGTGAGGATGCAGATAAACTGGATATATTGCTACCAGGAATGTAAAATGGTATAGCCACTCTGGAAAAGTTTGGCAGTTCTTATAACACTAAATATTCAACTATCATAACCCATCAATTATACTCTTGGGAATTTGTCTCAGACAAAACTTATATTAACAAAATCATCTGTACATGCTTTATAGCATCTTTACTTAACGAATTAACATACCAAATATATAACATACCAAAAATTGAAAATAACCCAGATATCCTTCAATGGGCAGATGTTTAACAAATGTAGCATACCCCACCATGAAATATTACTTGTCAATAAAAAAGAAGTAACTATTGATATACACAAAATCTTGGATGAATCTCCAGGGAATTGTACTGACTGGGAAAAAAAAGCCAATCCTAAAATATTTTAAACTGTATAATTCCATTTATGTAACATTCTTGAAATGACCAAATTATGAAAAATTGAGAACAATTTAGTGATTGCCCGTGGTCAGGGAGTCAAGAATGGGATGGGATAGCGAGTTGGGCGTGGCTAGAAAAGGGACATCATGAGGGATCTTTGTATTGATGGAACTGTTATATATTTTGGTGGTATCAAATGTCAATATCATGATTGTAATGTTGTACTATATTTTTGCAAGATGTTACCAATTGGGAAACTGGGTAGTGGGTGCATAAGATTTCTTACAACTGCATATGAACCTACAATTATCTTGAAATCAAAAAGTTTACTTAGAAAAAGTATGTGGCAACTTACACTTTGGATAAGAATTGAGTAATAGTGACTTGGAGTACCCTTTCTCCTGAAACACCTATAAAACCAGAAAAAATATGAATAAATGCTTTTTAAGACATTGGCTATTGGATAAAAAAAAAGACATCAATCCTTGAGATATAGGAAATAAATTATGTGAGCCCTAAGATTACTCCAACTTACAGTCTGGAAAGTTTTCAGGCCTGTATGGCAGGCAGGTACCCAAGTAGATCCTAGTAATCTCCCTGAGTTAAGAAGACAGAATCAGATGTGAAAGGCTAGAGTTGGGAGAGCAGAGTTATGGGGAAGAGCCAATTGCAAAGAGACAACTCCACATACCTGCCATAGTCTTATTATACTCTTTAGCTGAGTAATGATCAGCAAGTGTGTGAGCATGTTCCCCCTGGCAGAGGAAAGAATCACTTGGGCCCAGGCACAGTGGCTCATGCCTGTAATTCCAGCACTTTGGATATGGAAGTGGGAAGATCGCTTGAGCCCATGAGCTCGAGACCAGCCTTGGCAACATGGTGAAACTCTGCCTCAAAAAAAAAAAAAAAAATTACCCAGCCTTGGTGGTGTGTGCCTGTAGTCCCAGCTATTCAGGAGACTGAGGTTGGAGGATTGCTTGAGCCCGGGAAATTGAGGCTGCAGTGAGGCATGATCTCATGACTGCACTCCAGCCTGGAAAACAGAGTGAGACAAAAGAAAAGAAAAGAAAAAGAAAAGAAAGAGAGAAAGGGGGGAGGGAGGGAGGAAGGAAGGAAGGAAGGAAGGAAAGAGGAAGGAAGGGAAGGAAAAGATCTGTTCCCACAGCTCAAACAGGACAAGGAATGACTTCTGTTCCTGTGAGTTAGAGTGGGAAACCTCATAATTTACAGGCATCCAGTGAGAATACTCAGAAAGTTTTGCCTGTGTAGGGAAAGCTAGTTCTAGATTAAACCCTGCTTTGGTTTCAGTTTTAAAGAGTTTAAAAATAGGACCTGAGAGGATCAAACTCTTTTCAAAAACTATAACCACATTTCAGAACAAACCACAAGAATATTTATAGCAATTCAATATTGAGCACCTAAAAAGGTCACTTTAAGTCGAGAAAGAGAGACCTAAGTGACCCTGTTAGCATGCTTAGTATGTTATGCTCTGTACCAACTTGGGACTGTGAAGAGTCCCTACCAACAAGAAAACTTTCGCCAGATGCAGCCTCTCAACCTTGTACTTCTCAGCCTCTAGAACTGCAAGAAATAAATTCCTTTTCTTTATAAATTATCCAGTTTCAGGTATTCTGTTATAAGTGCTGGAAAATGGATTAAGATGTGCCAAAAACTAGAGAAAGAATTGGATCTGTCAAGGATACCCATGAATGATATAAAAAGGTGCAAATCCAACTTCAATAGAAGAAAACTACAGTTTGTGGGATTGAAGATACATTAGATTGGATTAATAGCAAATTATGCAGTACAGATGAAAAGATTAGTGACCTTAACAACAGAGCGATAGAACTATCTATCCAAAATGAACAGAGAAAAAAAGGAAAAGGATGACTAATGGATTGAGGGATAATTTAGCAAGTTATGTCAAAACCAAATTGCTCAAAACTAGTGATGGAGTAAATTTTAAAAGCAAGAAAAAAAGCACATTGTGTGCAGAGTACCAAGGAAATGATGATCTCCAATTTCTCATTGGAAACAATAAAAGTTAGATGATATTGTAACTACATCTTTAAGAAAAAATTAACCTGAATACCTAACTCAGTGAAAATAGCTTTCAAAATGAAATGGGAAATACATAGGTTTTCAGACATACAAAGCTGAAAGTGGTTGTCACCAGCAAAATTCTGCTACAAGATAGGTTACAGGAAGTCCTTCAGGGAAACAGAATATGATTTCAGATAAAATCTGGCTACACAAAGTAATGCAAGTGTACTGGAGACGGTAACCACATGAATAAATCAAACAGATTTTTTCTTAAATGTCTTCAGAATTGACTATTTAAATGCTATCAAGATATTGTGGATTTAAAAACATATGTATAAGTAAAATGTATGACAACAATAGCACAAAGTTTGGGGATGGAGAAATAAAAGTATACTGTGGAAAGATTCTTAAGGCATGAAATTGTATAATATAACTTGAAGATACACTGTCATAAGTTAAAGACATATTTAAAATGGAATCATGAAACATATTCAATTAATTCATAAGAAGGCAGAACAAGAGGAAAAGAGGAACAAAGAGAAGTTGGGGCAAATGGAAATGTCATTGGCAAACAGAGACAATTTGACTTCCTCTCTTCCTCCTTGAATACCCTTTATTTCTTTCTCTTGCCTGATTGCCCTGGCCAGAACTTCCAATACTATGTTGAATAGGAGTGGTGAGAGAAGGCATCCTTTCGTCTCAGCGCAAAAACTCCTGAAGCTGATAAGCAACTTCAGCAAAGTCTCAGGATACAAAATCAATGTGCAAA
Organism: Homo sapiens; assembly: GCF_000001405.40. NCBI lineage: Eukaryota > Metazoa > Chordata > Mammalia > Primates > Hominidae > Homo > Homo sapiens. The sequence goes on from NC_000023.11 coordinate 106,152,341, forward strand.
AATCACAAGCATTCCTATACACCAACAATAGACAAGCAGAGAGCCAAATCATGAGTGAACTCCTATTCACAATGACTACAAAGACAATAAAATACCTAGGAGTACAACTTACAAGGGACATGGAGAACCTCTTCAAGGAGAACTGCAAACCACTGCTAAGGGAAATAAGAGAGGACACAAACAAATGGAAAAACATTCCCTGCTCATGGATAGAAAGAATCAATATCGTGAAAATGGCCATACTGCCCAAAGTAATTTATAGATTCAGTGCTATTCCCATCAAGCTACCATTGACTTCCTTCGCAGAATTAGAAAAAAAACTACTTTAAATTTCATATGGAACCAAAAAAAGCCCATTTAGCCAAGACAATTCTAAGCAAAAAAGAACAAAGCTGTAGGCATCACGCTACCTGACTTCAAATTATAGTACAAGACTACAGTAACCAAAACAGCATCGTGTTGGTACCAAAACAGATATATAGACCAATGGAACAGAAGAGAGACCTCAGAAATAACACCACACATCTTCAACCATCTGATCTTCAGCAAACCGAACAAAAACAAGCAATGGAGAAAAGATTCCCTATTTAATAAATGGTGCTGGGATAACTGGATAGCCATATACAGAAAACAGAAAGTGGACCCCTTCCTCACACCTTATACAAAAGGCAACTCAAGATGGATTAAAGACTTAAATGTAAAACCCCAAACCATAACAACCCTAGAAGAAAACCTAGGCAATACCATTCAGGACATAGGCATGGGCAAAAAATTCATGACTAAAACACCAAAAGCAATTGCAACAAAAGCCAAAATTGACAAATGGGATCTAATCAAATTAAACAGCTTCTGCACAGCAAAAGAAACTATCATTAGAGTGAACAGGCAACCTGCAGAATGGGAGAAAATTTTTGCAAGCTACCCATCTGACAAAGATCTGATATCCGGAATCTACAAGGAACTTAAACAAATTGACAAGAGAAAAACAAACAACCTGATCAAAAAGTGGGCAAAGGATATGAACAGACACTTCTCATAAGAAGACATTTATGTGGCCAACAAACATGTGAAAAAAACCTCAACATCCCTGGTCATTAGAGAAATGCAAATCAAAACCACAATGAGATACCATCTCATGCCAGTCAGGATAATGGTTATTAAAAAGGCAGGAAACAACTGATGCTGGTGAGGCTGTGGCAAAATAGGAATGCTTTTACACTGTTGGTGGGAGTGTAAATGAGTTCAACCATTGTGGAAGTCAGTGTGGCGATTCCTCAAGGATCTAGAACTAGAAATACCATTTGACCCAGCAATCCCACTACTGGGTATATACCCAAAGGATCATAAATCATGCTACTATAAAGACACATGCACACGTATGTTTACTGCAGCACTATTTACAATAGCAAAGACTTGGAACCAACCCAAATGCCCATCAATGATAGACTGGATAAAGAAAATGTGGCACATATACACCATGGAATACTATGCAGCCATAAAAAAGAATGAGTTCGTGTCCTTTGCAAGGACATGGATGAAGCTGGAAGCCATAATTCTCAGCAAACTAACACAGGAACAGAAAACCAAACACCTCATGTTCTCACTCATAAGTGGGAGTTGAACAATGAGAACACATGGATTCAGGGAGAGGAACATCACACACCGGGGCCTGTCAGGGTGTAGGGGGCAAGGGGAGGGAGAACATTAGGACAAATACCTAATACATGCGGGGCTTAAAACCTAGATGACAGGTTGATAGGTTCAGCAAACCACCATGGCACATGTATACCTGTGTAACAAACCTGCACATTTTGCACATGTATCCCATAGCTTAAAGTAAAATAAACAAAAAAAAATAGCAAGATGGTAGGTTTTAACCCAATCACATCAACAACCATATCTAATATAAACAGTCTAAACAACCTAAATGTAAGGTTGGGTAAAAAAACAAGACTAAACTATAGGCTGCTCGCAAGAAACCCACTGTAGTTATTAAGACACACCAAAAAGTAAAAGTGAAAGGATGGAAACAATATACCATGATAACAGTAATCAAAAGGAAGCTGGAATGACTATATTGATATACAACAATATAGATTTTAGAGACATAATTAGTGTTTATGTATCAGGACACTCAATTTTTAAGGTCTCAATTCCACTTAAATTGATCAGTAGAGTCACTACAATTCCAGTCAATATCCCAGCAGTCTCTTTGTAGAAATTAACTAGGAGATTCTAAAATTCACATGAAAATGCAAAGAAGATTGAATAGCCAAAACAACTTTGATAAGGAACAAAGTTGGAGAACATACTTCCTGACTTCTTGCAAAGGTGCGTTAATCAAAATAGTGTAGTGCTATTGTAAAAATAAACAATAGAGCAATGAAATAGAAGAGAAAGTTCAGAAATATATTACTCATACATGAACAATTGATATGATATTTTACAAAGATGCAAAGGCAATTCAGAAGAAGAAACATTCTTTTCAGCAAATGACACAGGAACAATTGAATATACACATAAAAATCTCACATTATGTTCAAAAAATTAAACCATAGAACTAAATGTGAAGTATAAAACCACAAAACATTGTAAACAAATAGAAGAAAACCTTGATGGCTTTCAGTTAGGCAGAGACTTCTTATATATGACAGCATTGCATAATCCTTAAGGGAATAAAATAATAAATCAGACTTCAAGAAAATTTAAAAGTTGTGCTCTTTGAAGAGCTATAAGAGGATGAAAAGACTTCATAAACCAGAAGAAAAATTTTTTAAAATGATATATCAGATAAAGGACTTCTATACAGAATGTATACAGAACTCTCAAGATTAAATAAAATGAAAACAAATTACCAAATAAAAATAGGGAAAATATTTGAATCGACACTTCACTCAGGAAGATATATGAATGGCAAATAAGCACATGAAAGTTGTTCAACATCATAATAAGGAAGCAACTGCACACTTAATAGACCAGTTAAAAATTGTGTATACCTAGTGTTGGTGAAAATGTGGAGAACTGAACTCATATATTTTCGATGGGAATGTAAAATGATGCAGTTACTTTGAAACAGCTTGGCAGTTTCTTAAAATGTTAAGCGTACATCTACTATATGATCCAGTCATTCCACCATTAGGTATTTATGCAAAAAAAATATGACTACACAAAGGCTTTTACATGAATTTTGTAGCAGCTTTATTTGTAACAGCCCCAAACTGGAAATAACCAAATTTCCCGTTAATAGGTGAGTGGCTAAAAAATCCATTGTGTGTAAATTCAATGGACTACTAATCAGCAATAATAAGGAATAAGCTATTGATACATATAACAAGAAGAATGAATCTCAAAATAATTATTCTGAGTAAAAGAAGCTGATAAAGAAGGTGACTCACTGTACAAGTGTATGTATATAAAATTCTGGAAAAACAAATCTATAGTGACAGAAAGCAGATTAGTGGTTGACTAGGGATAGGGACTGAGTGGGGGGTGATTAAAAAGGGGTGCAAGGAAAAGATGTTATGCTGATTGTGGTGATAGTTTAACAGTTTATACATATGTCAAAACATATTAAGTTATGTAATTTAAATACATGTGGTTTATTTTAGGTCAATTATACCTCAATAAAGCAGTTTAAAGAAAAAGCAGGTTATTAAACAGTAAGTAAGGTGTCTTAGTCCTTTCCTGATGCTATAGCAGAAACTCCTTAGACTGGGTAATTTATAAATAATACAAATATTTCCCACAGTTCTGGAGGCTAGGAAGCCCAAGATCAAAGTGCCAGCAGACTCAGTGTCTGAGGAGGGCTTGCACCTTCTTGCTGCATCTTCACATGGCAGAAGGGGCAAAAGGGAGAAACACTGTGTCCTCACATGGCAGAAGATATGGAAGGGCCAGGCAGTTTACTGAAGCCTCTTTTTAAGGGCATCCATCCCATTCACAAGGGTAGAGAATTTCTGACTTAATCACTTCCTTAAAGGACCCACCTCTTAATACCATCACCTTAGGGTTTAGGTTCCAACATATGAATTCTGGAGGAACATACTTTCAAACCATATTAGACAGCCTATCCACAAGATTTTACAGTATGTTGTTTCTAAAAACAATGAAGTTGCTATATATGTAGTGACATAGAAATGTCATGTTATTTTTTAAAAAGGCAAAATGCAGAATGGAATGTATCATATGGCCCCATTTTCGAAGCAGAATACATGTTTTTGAACAGTATGTAAAAAAATCTATAAAATATATGCCAATAATTAATAGAGCATAGCTGGATAAGCAGGCACGGACCAGGGGTGATGGAGATACAGGATTATATCAACATCTATATTATAACATTCTCCTGGTTCGATTTTTCTTTAAAAATTTACATGAGTTTTGCTACCAGAAAAATGAGATATTTTAGAAATATAAAGAATGTATTGTTCAAAATAATCTTTTAAATGATGAAAATAATACTTTTGATTTAAAAATATTTAAATATATCGTTGAATTTAAAAACCATAGTATCAAATAATATTCACATATATATGTGTGAAAATTTATGAAGGATAAAAACCACAAATATTTACAGTAGGCATCTCTGGTGTGTTATACTGTCTTCCTTATATATCTTGTATTTTTGCATTTTTATATTTTCTATGAGCATATATAATTATTTTACAGAGAAATATTGACAATAAAGACATTATAATCCTATTGTATCTGATTCTCTCAGTTCTTTTTCCATTCTTCTGTATTATAAGTAATGGAAGCCCATAGACTACTTCGCCCAGACTCCCTTGCTACCTTGATATCTGTTAGATTATGTAAATGGGAGAAACTGGTAGGAGATTGGGAAGGTGGAAGAAGGAGAGAAGCCATTGTTCTTTTTTTCTCTCTTTTTTTTGGCAATATAAGTTTCCTATAATTGCAGTAGTAGGAGTGGGGAGGTAGACTCCTCAGCAGGAGTGTGGGTTCCCCAGTAGAAATGTAGTCTCCTGGGTTCCTGCTCAGGCAGAATGGTCCTGGCTGTGGTGTCACAGATGGTCTGGCAGCCTACGCAGCAGTGTGCTCCTAGCTCTGGCTCTGACAGAGGCAGTGGGAGTTGTAGCAGGCTTGGAAGCACAGCACTTGTATATTTTGATCCCTATAGCTTCAGGGCACTCATGGGCTTTGGCTCCGATGACAAAAGTGGCAGGTGACTTTGAGCAAGTGGGCTTCTGTAACATCAGTGTTGCTGTCACACATGAGTACAAATATACTCACAACTTAAAATAAATGAACAATAATAAGAATATATTGGTCTTAGGGTGTTATGATAGTACTCTTATAGTTCTTTTTTAACATATATTCCATGTATGAGATCTCCTCTGTATGATCCCCACTCTTTTTATTCTCATATCTCTACTGCATCTTCATTGACAAGATTCTTTTTCTGATATGACTCTTTTTTTCTGATTCTCCTTTTCTGTCTTGTACTTAATTCAGTATCTTCAAGTATTGCCCACTCAAAACAAGTGTTTAAACCCCTTTGCAGTTTTAGGAGGAAAAGATGAGGGCACCAAAGTTGGTATCAGTTAGTAATCCTAAAACAAAAGAGCCATATTAAAAGCCTCACGTTAGTAGAGAACCAGGAATTTAAAACATGTCAATATCCCAAGGATTTTCCCAGGATGCAAATAATTTATGACAGATTTCTAGTCTATATTTATGTAAAGTCATGCACTGAATAATGATGGTTTGGTTGACGACAAACAACATATGCAAAAGTGGTCCCATAGATTATAATGGAGCTAAAAAGTTCCCATGGCTGAGTGAAGTCCACAGTAGCTGTCGTAGCATTATTCATCTGCTTGTGGTGATTCTGGTGAAAACAAACCTACTGCACTTCCAGTTGTATAAAAGCATAATTTAACACATACAATTATGTGCAGTACATAATATTTGATAATAATTAATGACTGCTATTCATTTATGCATTTACTATACATTTTATTGTTATTTTATAGCGTATTTCTTCAACTTATTAAAACAGTTAACTGTAAAACAGCCTCAGGCAGTTCCTACAGGAGGTATTCCAGAAGAAGGCTTGTTATCATAGGAGATGACAGCTCCATGCCTGTTACCGCCCCTGAAGACCTTCCAATGAAACAAGCTGTGGAGCTGGAAGACAGTGAAATTGATGATCTTGACCCTGTATAGGCCTAGGCTAATGTGTTTGTGTTTTAGTTATTTTTTAAAAGTTTTAAAAGTTAAAAAAAAATTTAAAAAATAGGAAAGAGCTTATAGAATCAGGATATAAAAGAAGAAAATATTTTTGTAGAACTATACAATGTGTTTGTGTTTTAACCTAAATGTTATTACAAAATAATCAAAAGTTAAAAAATTAAAAAGTTTATAAAGTAAAACAGTTATAGTAAGCTGTTTATTATTGAAGAAAAATAATTTTAATTAATTTAAGTTTCCAGTGTTTATAAAATCTACAGTAGTGTACAGTAATGTCCTAGGCCTTCACAGTCACTCACTACTCACTCACTGACTCGCCAAGAGCAACTTCCAGTCCTGAAAGCTCCATTCATGGTACATGCCCTACATAGGTATACCATATTTTATCTTTTATACTTTATTTAAAAGTACCTTTTATATGTTTAGATATGTTTACACACACAAATACTTACCATTGTGTTACAACTGCCTATAGTATATGGTAACATGTACAGGTTTATAGCATAGGAGTATAGTAGGCTATACTATAGGTTTATGTAAGTACACTTTATGATGTTCGCACCACTAAGAAATTGCCTAATGATGCGTTTCTCAGGATGTATTCCTGTCATTGAGCAATGCATGACTGTACATCAACAGACCATGTATATCTTCAGATGCTCTACAATTCATTTGGATTTCTTTTTCCCTTTCTCCCATTCTCGCTATGTCTTCATTAGTTGCTTGCTCCATGCCTAGGTAGGGTTAGTAGTACAAAAAACTTTTAATTATTGTAATTTCGCTTATATGGCTTTATATATGGCAGTGTTAGTTTTCCCTACTTACACTTATTTTTCAAAAGTTTCCTGTAAATTCCCACATGTTTTTATTTCAGGTGAACTACAGTATTGATTACTTCTATCAACTTGAGTTAGATATTAAAATTACATTTTATAGATGAGGAAACTGAGGTACACAGAAATTAAGAAACTTAAGATGACATGACAAGTGGTAGAGCTGGGAAATAAATTCATATCTATCAGACTGCCTGTAATATTGAGAAATCAAAAATGTAACCATCTGGGTATGTGCATCCCTGACAATTTATTAAAGCTAAACAGCTCACCTTGTGAATAGTCTCCAAATATCCTCACTAGAAAATGATAATGACTTTCATGCAGAATAGATACAGGAATAATTCTGGTCCAGGATGGCCCTTCTTTTATGGATCCCCTAGACAATAAGATGGCTCTTTCTTGCTTTAGAATCACCAAGATTGATCACAGAAGGTCCTGCTCTTTGCTTGTCAATCCCAAGAAGAGTTGTTTCTCACTGAAGCTCTGTCTCTCTAACATGTGATCTCAGAGTGTGGCAAGAGCTAGGATTGTTTGTTTTTTGTAATTATGTGTACACTGTGATGAGGTAGTTGTCAGGTCTTCAGAAACCTTAGCACTTTGTTTTAAAATCTTAGTATAATATTAACCTAAGCAGTCTAACTCATATTATTATTAGCCATTGGCAATGTGCAGGTTTTACATATTGACTCAGAAACACAAAAATTCCCAAATATGGCAAACTCAAACTTATATTCCTGTGGGTCATGTGTCAGCAGATTCTTTGTGGGAGCTCATCTCTCTTCACTGGAAGCACTTTTTCCCTCTCCACCCTGTTCCCACACATTTGCCCAGAGATTTCTCAGGCTCCTTTGGCCCTAGCAGTGATTGACTAGTTTGCCTTTCTCAGTATCCATAAGCTCAACTCCAGTACATTCTTTTCTTGCTCTTGTGCTTAAGGTGGCAAGACATTCAGCCAGTAGGCATTTTTTTTTTTTTTTTTTTTGAGACGGAGTCTCGCTCTGTTGCTCAGGCTGGAGTGCAGTGGCGCAATCTCGGCTCACCGCAACCTCCCTCTCCGGGGTTCAAGCGATTCTTCTGCCTCAGCCTCCTGAGTTGCTGGGACTACAGGTGCGCGCCACGACGCCTGGCTAATTTTTGTATTTTTAGTAGAGATGAGGTTTCGCCACATTGGCCAGGCTGGTCTTTAACTCCTGACCTCGTGATCCGCCCGCCTCAGCCTCCCAAAGTGCTGGGATTACAGGCGTGAGCCACCACGGCTGGCTGGCATTCTTACATACTGTTTGTTCATAGCGTGTTAGATAGGTGAAAGTCTATGCCTTCGGAATTGTTATATACTTTGTATATCACCTGATACAAATTTGCTTTGGACAAATTTATTTCTACCATGTGTCAAATTTTGTTAATTTACCAGCAAGGGAACCAGCAAAACAACAGAAACATTTAAAAGAGAGCATGCCAGGTGGGAAAGGGCTTTGAAATTGAATGATTAAAAATTTGGAAACTAAGAATGCTTACATAAACAAGTAGGTTTTCATAATAATGAAGAAAGTGTCCTTTCATAAAGTCTTAAAAGACATAATGTCCTTTCCTGATGTTACAAAGGAAGCTTGTGGCAGTACAGTTCATACTGACCATCAGTCAGAAAATAAAAAGCACTTTCGGTACATGCTATCAGTCAGAAAACAAACAAAAAAAAAACATTTGTATTTAAGCAGCAAATGTTCAGAATTTATCTGCTTGAGATTAAAAGTTTTCATCCTCCAGCAACAGTGTAGAATAGGGACATCTAACAAGAAGGCCTGAAATCAAGTCAATAGAGATAGGAAGCAGAACACCAAAAAGCAAGTTATTGCCAGTGATTTTCTTTCAATCTGAGAATAAATATGTAGAATATATAGTTTGCCCATTTCTTAGCTTGGCAATATTTTTTTTCCTTTTGACTGTCTATTTTTCTGGTCTCCTCTTCCAAAAGGCAATAATCATTCACATTTTAACATGTTGTTTGATTGTTTGTTATAATTTTTCAATATAGTGAAACTTAGACATACTTTCTTTATACACTGTTATTAGAACCATGATTATCAGCAAGGTTTGTACTTATTTATATTAATCATTTAACTCAGTTTCCAACATCTTGGAGCAATTTCCAAATTAAATAACCAAGTAAATAAATCTTAATGGTAACAAATTAATTTGTCAATTCACCTGGGCTTTTAGAGTATTTTGTTTACATATCTTGATATATTTACATAAGTGCATTATGTGTTACTGAACATACCCACACCTCATTATATTGTTGCCAACCCTTTCATGGTGAGAAACTACCAAGCCCTGATAACTGTTTCTCCGAAGATTGTGAAAAAATCCAAAGCTCTATTTTAAAAAGTCCCAATTACTCCAGAAATGCTCTTTACCAATTTTATGAACTTACTTTCTCCAAAGTTAGAGAATAAAGATCAAGAAATTTACCTTAAAGACTGAGATATTTCTGGTATGCTGTAATGTGGAGAGTTAAAATATAAAAGGAAGAGGAGGAGAAGGAGAAAGAGAAGGAAAAGGAGAGGGAGAAAGAAAAAAAACACTATGGCATAAGACCGTCAGAATAGAGAATACCTATAAACACAGTATCTAAAACATCCCCATGAAAATAATCATAATTAGACTTTCCCCTCCTTTCATTCAGCCCTCCCTTAGTCTCATGTAACAAATTCTTGTTCCATTTGTTTTGGAATCGTGATCTACCTCCTGAAGTCCCCTGCTTCTGGGCTGACATAGTCTGGGAAATTTTGAATCTTGGGTCCTTTGTACAGTGCATTTCATTGTGGCTCTAAGGCTAACTTTCTTAGACCCATCTTTCATAATACCCAATCTTTGATCTGTAATTTGTGACACATCCCTTTGTGACTGTCACAATGAAAGTTGCAAGACTGACAGCTTTGGGTTGATTTAGTACAGCGATTGAATATATCAGATAGAGGAGCCTGGATTTCCCTATTGGGTATAATACATATACGGACCTAACCATGACCTTTTCTTAAGGACAAAAAACCAAACACTGCATGTTCTCACTCATAGGTGGGAATTGAACAATGAGAACACATGGACACAGGAAGGGGAACATCACACTCTGGGGACTGTTGTGGGGTGGGGGGAGGGGGGAGGGATAGCATTAGGAGATATACCTAATGTTAAATGACGAGTTAATGGGTGCAGCACACCAACCTGGCACATGTATACATATGTAACAAACCTGCACATTGTGCACATGTACCCTAAAACTTAAAGTGTAATAATAATAAAATTTAAAAAAATTTCCAAAAATTGAAAAAAAAAAAGAATTTAGGTAACAATTACCATAAGTAAGTGTAAGTCAGTCAGTCTATGTTTTATGGACTGTGATTGGCAAGTCTACTTTATAAACCTTCCTATAAAGTGTGGACCACAATTGTCACTAAAAAGCAAGGAATAAGAACCTGGGAATGAAATCTTATAATGTACATCAATTTGTAAAATGTTATTGTGTCAGCATGTACACATGAATAAGAGCATGCTTATGTCTATCTGAAAAAGATACAGTCAGTGAAACATTTATATCAATAGCCCTTTACCTATACAAAATTAATCTAGGAGAGGCTGATTTTCTTTTTTTGATTTGGCAGTTTTTCCAAAATGTGTGTCTAAAAAGAGATAGTCGTTCTTCTAACACTAAATCTACTTATAAAATAGCATGCCAAATATACCTAAGTATATTTTCATCCCTTCTTTTATTAGGTGAGGGAGTATGCCTTTTGTATTATTTTCTAGCCATCTGAAAACTGCCAAAGATGATTTGGGTGTATAAGACAATGGGACAATTTAGGGTTAAAGACAGTTTAGGGTTAGGCCAGGCGTGGTGGCTCATGCCTCTAATCCCAGCACTTTGGGAGGCTGAGGAGGGAGGATTGCCTGAGGCCAGGAGTCTGAGACCAACCTGGCTGACATAGTGAGATCCCGTCTCTACAAAAAATAAATTGGTAATTAATTAATTAAAGATAAAATTTGGGGGAAGAAAATAACTAAAGAGGCTACTAGAGGAAATCAGCTGCTTAATTAAAATTAGAAAATACACACCTAAGAGGAAGAAACAGTTTTATCCATGGATATCTCATTAACTATAGTGACAATGCAATATTTAAAATAAACATAACAGAAAGAAGCACAACAATAAATAAAAATTTAGCTCTTCCTGAAATGAAGACTTTGTGAGCACAAGAGGTAGCACAAAAGAATATGAATAACCTCGTGTGGATTGAAAATGTACATGAAGGTGAGGCGTATTAAATATTTTGCTATCATGATAGAATATATGAAATGTAAATAATAAGTTTATGCCGGGCGCGGTGGCTCACATCTGTAATCCCAGCACTTTGGGAGGCCAAGGCAGGTGAATCACTAGAGGTCGGGAGTTAGAGACTACCCTGGTCAACATGGCGAAACCCCGTCTCTACCGAAAATACAAAACGCCGGGCATGATGGTGCATGCCTGTAATCCCAGCTACTTAGGAGGCTGAGGACTTGAGCCAGGGAAGCGGAGGTTGCAGTGCGCTGAGAAAGCGCCATTGCACTCCAGCCTGGGCAACAGAGGGAAACTCTGTCTCAATAAATAAATAAATAAATAAAATAATAATAATAAGTTTATATAATCTCATTTTGAAGTCAGATTACATGTTCTAAAATCATTATTCATTTTAATTTAATCCTCTCTATTGTTCCTAAACTACTCTTATTTAAATTAATGTACCATTATATGTGTATATTTAAACACAGACCCAAATACACACACATAAACACATATCATAGAAAGGTGTAAATATGAGCTTTAAAATACAATTAACCTCTCAACATATTAGTAGATGATACACATACAATATTGATTTTACTGTTTTATTTTGAGCTTTATAAAAATACTTTTATATGTAAGTAAGAATCTAAATAAAAATTGTTAATTGGAATTTGGTATGTTTGATGCTTTGTGTTTATGAATTCTGATTTTCTTAGGAATTGTCCAGATATCCAAAAAAATTTACTCATTATTTTCAAGGTCTCAAAGTCAATTACAGAACTAAGAAATTAAATTTAGGTTGACGTTAAAGAAAAATACACTCACTGTTGGTATTAGAATTTTGGTTTTATGCAAGCCGGGCTCAAAACCTAGGTGATAGTTTGACAGGTGCAGCAAACCACCATGGCACACATTTACCTATGTAACAAACCTGCACATCTTGCACTTGTACCCTTGAACTTAAAACAAAGAATTTTGGCTTTATAATATTACAGTGAAAACACTTACATAGTCCAAATAGAATAACTGTATACCCACATATTTTGTGGCTTTACCTGAAGTTTGAGAGAACCAATCATTTTGCAAAGACATGGCTTACTGTAATTCAGTTTCTCATGATTACCTTAAACATTTAATGAGAGTAACGTTAGCTTACCTGAGCAGTGAAAACAGTATACAGGAAATTTAGCAAGTTCAGCTTAATTAGTCTTTTATGAGAAAATAATCCCAAACCATGCAAATGGTTTGGGAAAGGACAAGTGGGAAGGCTATGTGGGGTGTGAGTGCCATAAAGCAGGGATGTCCACATATATTTTTATCACCATTGTAAAAAAAATTTGACACCTCCCAATTGTTCGATATTTTTATAAAGTATGTAATACATTATAGTATTTATTATGTGCATTTAACATATTTATAAGTAGAAGCTTATAAAATAAATCAAAATGAAAGAAATTGAATTTTAAACATTTACTTTCTATGTCCCACTGGATCATCTGGGTACCCATAGGTCTCTGTGGAGACCATTTCTCTATTACCAATTTAGATATTCCACTCTGCTACTTAACGCACTAGATGGTTCTCTCTTAACCTCTATAATGCTCAGCTTTAGGCAAATAGTGCCAAAACAGTTCCCAAAATGTGAGTTCCAATTTACATTTCTGTAAAAAGTGTATGAACCTTCCAATTGCTCCTTATCCTTACCAATATTTGGTATTTTCAACATTTTATACTTTGGTATGTTTATGTTCTACAACCACTGGTTTTTTTTATTTTTTATTTTTTATTATTTTTATTTTTTTTATTATACTTTAAGTTTTAGGGTACATGTGCACATTGTGCAGGTTAGTTACATATGTATACATGTGCCATGCTGGTGCGCTGCACCCACTAACTCGTCATCTAGCATTAGGTATATCTCCCAATGCTATCCCTCCCCCCTCCCCCCACCCCACAACAGGCCCCAGAGTGTGATATTCCCCTTCCTGTATCCATGTGATCTCATTGTTCAATTCCCACCTATGAGTGAGAATATGCGGTGTTTGGTTTTTTGTTCTTGCGATAGTTTACTGAGAATGATGCTTTCCAATTTCATCCATGTCCCTACAAAGGACATGAACTCATCATTTTTTATGGCTGCATAGTATTCCATGGTGTATATGTGCCACATTTTCTTAATCCAGTCTATCATTGTTGGACATTTGGGTTGGTTCCAAGTCTTTGCTATTGTGAATAATGCCGCAATAAATATACGTGTGCATGTGTCTTTATAGCAGCATGATTTAGAGTTCTTTGGGTATATATCCAGTAATGGGATGGCTGGGTCAAATGGTATTTCTAGTTCTAGACCCCTGAGCAATCGCCACACTGACTTCCACAATGGTTGAACTAGTTTACAGTCCCACCAACAGTGTAAAAGTGTTCCTATTTCTCCACATCCTCTCCAGCACCTGTTGTTTCCTGACTTTTTAATGATTGCCATTCTAAGTGGTGCAACCACTGGTTTTTTAGAGCACTTTTTAATACCAAAGAAAATAAAACTGATGTCAACAATAATAAAAAAGCGACACTTTAGAGTAGAGTCTTTTCATTCTGGATAGCAATGTTTCTCAAGGTCTTGTGACTTTATAGAACACAGTTTATCAGTTCTCTGTTCTTGATGTTGTTATATTTCAATAAACTATTATTCTTAGTATTATGTCCTTGTTACACATTAGCAGAATTTGTCCCACAATTTTGCAGAATGTTTCATGAACAGAAGCGGTTTTTATAGAGCTGCAATACTGAGAAGCTTTGAGCTTTGAAATTATATCAGAGCTTTTGAGATAACTTGCTATTAGAAATCACATGAATAAACAAGTGGGACTACATCAAACTAAAGTTTCTGCACAACAAAGAAAATAATCAACAGAATGAAAAGGTAACCCATGGAATGGGAGAAAATATTTGCAAACCATGCATCCAATAAGGAGTCAATATCCACAATTAGAAACTTATAAAATTAATACCCACAATAAGAAACTTATAAAACTCAATGTCAAGAAAAAACTAGCAAGTAACCTGATTTTAAAAATGAGTAAAAGACACTGGGTAGTTATTTTTTCCAATGAAAATGTGCAAATGGTCAAAAGGTACATGAAAAGGTGACTGTAGTTAATAATATGTAATGTATATTTGAAATTTGCTAAGAAGGTAGATCTAAAGCGTTCTCATCTCACACGAAATGGTAACTATGTGAGGTGATGGATATGTTACCTGGCTTGATTGTGGTAATCATTTCACAGTGTACACATATATCAAATCATCACATTACCCATCTTGAATATATATAATTTTTGTCAATTGTACAAAAAAATCACATTCCAAGACCAAAATAAACAGACATTAATCTGGGAGAGATCAAAGTACTTTGTAGGTAAAAGAGCCTCAGGAGGAGGCACTGACCACCAGTTCCTTTTACTTCTATAAGAGCTAATCAAATTTTTCTTACTTGCCCAATAATGTATTTCTATCCATTTTTGCATTATTATACATTTTGAGGTAATCTCGTGGGTACAAAAAGTTTACAATTGTCATATCTTAAAAATAATGAAGAAAATGTGGTAAAAATAAGTTGAATAGCAGATGAAACCAAAATTGTCAGCTTTATTAAGAGGGGAAGATAAATTGCAGGACTTTGCTTGTGAGAGTGAAATGAGACTAACAGAACTCCAGACTTAAGGAAACCTATCCATCAGCCTAGAAGCATATTTCTCTAGTCTAGAAGACGCAGAGAGCCTTCAAGTTACACTGCTTTGAGATTTCTTCACAGTGAAGTGAATATCAGGAATAGGGAAGGACGTTGGGAATTCTCTGCTTGTGTTCTTTGCCCCTTTCTCTACTTTGTTGTTCATTTCTTTCTTATTGAAATGAAAGAACTAGCTTGGGTATATTTTTGTTTATCTAATCATATGGACAAACAAAAGCACTTGAAAAGCACTCCTAAGTTTGCGGCTGATTTTTTAACTTGGCCTATGGTGATTTTACGCTTAATACATTTTTTTTTTCAATTTCAGTATAATCAGATTTTGTCTGAGGATTTTTCTTTGGAAATGACCTAAGGAAAGAAGTATAAGAAACTTGAATAAAAGGAGAGATATATTATGTCCCAGGTTCAGATTCAAAATTGTAAAGAATTAATTCTACCTAAAATAAAGTATTAATTCACTGTAATCCAAATCAAAATACTTAGCGTATGTTTTTTTGTGAAGTTTGGCCAGTAGGTCTTAAATTTACCAGAAATAAAGTACAAAAGAGGATCAGAAAAAATATATGTAAGGAACGTTTTAACCACATCTTTATTATATGAAAAAGAGATTTGCTGTTGCTTCTCTTTTTCCATTAAAACACCTATCCTAGGGGGTTGAATGGAAATTGAACAGACATAGGTTACCATTACACTTTAAAGTACTTTAAGAGGAACATTTCTTCCCTTTAACTGTATTTCGGTTTAAGTTGGTCATTTTTCTCCTAAGCGAAGGAAGAACCTCGTGCTTTCCCCATCACGGAGAGGGGGCGGAGCATCCTCTAGGAGCTTGGAAGAAAGCTGCGCCCAGCCAGTCTTCGGGGAGGAGCTGCATTACACACAGGCTTCGGAGGCTTCCGTGGAGAAGCTTGGAGGTAATGGCTGTCGTAAATGCTAGTTATTTTCAGAGAGTTCTCGAAGATTTGGAATAAAGGTGAGAAAAGAAGAGAGTGCTGCTTAGGAATAACGGGAAAGGAGTGTCGTTCTGTGAGGGTCGTTGTTTCTGTGAGGGAATTAATATCTGTGTTTTGTGTTCCTTCAGATTATTTTAAAAGTCCACAGTCGGGGAGGTGGTAATCAACATTACACCTGTGGAAAAATATTCTTAAAGAGGTAGCAAAAGCTAACTTTTTAATAGAGCATTTTATGTTTCCATCAAAAGGCAGTGGTGGCTGAGATAAATGATGAAACAAAACTTGGGAGTTTAATCTTCCTTATTTTGAAAAAGGTTGTAATAGTCTTAAATGAAAAATTAAGTTGTTGGGGATGTTGGTTTTTTATATTACTTTGAATGTGTTGTGTTTCTAACAAATCTTACTGTTTTGGTGGAGTATGTTAGTAATTTAAAGTAATGCATAACTGTGCAAATTCGAGTATCTCTGAGAATTAGTTTGGTTATTTGTCAAGGGATACACAATGACTTAATATAATAGCTTTTTAAATAATGTGCAAAATATGATCTTTGTCTGTACTTCTACCTATCTCTCAAGAGAATTGTACATTCCTATTTGTACTGCAATGGAAAAAATCTAAAAGATCATAACAATAACAGACGTGCATTAGTATAATAAAACACAACAAACAATATACTTAGTAATAAAGGATGCCTGATAAAAAAGGATGTCAGGGGAAAAAGGAGGAAATTTTCCACTTCTTTCTTCCACATTTTACTTAGCATGTAGTTTCTATGTCGGCATAGAAACTGAGATGAGAACTTAAAATCATGGGGAAAAGCTACTTTCCCCAAAATAGCGTAAACTCATATATAAACAGGGAAAGGTGTTCAAATATGTGGCTAAATAAATGTAATTTTAAATAGTATATTCAAACATGTATGTGATGAGGAAAAAAATAAAAAGGATTAGACATCAAATGTATGCCGTGAACAACTCAGGGTTTGAGTACTGATGATGTGTATTTTCATCTTTAGATTTTTATGTACTTTTAGATTCTTTTGGAAACGATAATGGAGCTGAAAAGGGAATAATCACTTTTGTTACAGACACTTGAGCAAATAGCCACACACACATTCCATTGTCTTTAGCTGCAGTAGGATTTTTCTATGGGTCTGAGAAGGCTCATTACCTGATTGCTTGTGCTTTTCTTGCAATTCAACTATTGAGGCTATAGTCCAGACTCTGGTTCAAGCAGAACATATTTATCTTTATACTCCTGAGGAATAATTCGTAAAATGTTTTAAACATATTATGACATAGTCATATAGGATAGTATATCTATAATGTTGAATACTACGCAGCTGTAAAAGGAATGAGTTAACTCTAAATGCAATGATTAGAGTAAATGTCCAAGGTAGTTTCTAAAAATAAGCAAATTGAAGAATGGCCTGTATCATGTAATCCTATTTGTTTACCAAAAAGAATGTGCATGCATTCGTACAGTGTATGCAATAAAAACCTGGAAATATACATGCTACTTTATTAATTGGAGAAATCTGGAAATAATACATGCCACTTTATTAATTGGAGATATAAGTGTTCTTATATCTCCACACATATCTCCAATTAATAGACAGAATATTTTAACCTTCTATGTATTACATTTCCCCATTTTAAAAATTTCATTTTGAAAAGAGCAAGCCTGAATAATTTTCATCATGAGAAAAACATAAAATTTTAGAAATGTGGAAAAAATTTTGTAAAGCAATTCACAAAAAGATGATATGGAAAATAATTATTGATATGGAAAGATGTTCAAATATATTACTGGAGGAATAAAGGGTCTAGTTTCAAAAAGCTTCCACATTGGTAAGTCTCTACAGAAAAAAATCTAGAAATATACAGAGCAAACCATTACATTTTGACCATTGTTGTGGAGATTTCCTTTCTTCTTTGGAAATCCAAAAGATGTAGAAAGATATATACAATTTGCATGAGAGATATTATGATGAAAAATATTAAAATGAGAACATTATGATCCCATTTTTGTATAACACATGCACAGAACTCTTAAACTGAGAATGAAAAATTCTAGAAGCCTGAGTGTCTGCAGTTCTGGTTCTGGTCACAAGATGGTGCTTGCCAGGTTTACTAAGCTTTGTCCAGGCAAATATTTTTATGAAGTGGACAAAGCAATGAAATATGTTTTGTATTAGCCGACTATGAGACAGCATGTAGAGTGTGATTGAAATTCCATTCAAAATATTATAAATATCTAGAAGAAAAATCCCCACCAATAACTGACATGAAGACTCACACAGAAATCATAAAAAATGCTGCTACATAGAGTCTGGCCCATAGTAGAAACAAGTCAATTGTTCTTTCCCTTCTCTCTTTTCTCCACCTCATAATTTTCCTGAAGGATATGATTTTAGCATGAACGAAATAACATAACTGACCCAGAGAGCATTTCATATTATAATAACATGAAGGAAAATAGATGGCATCTACATCACAGATGAGATTTTGCCTCATTCCTGTGTTTTGGAATGACAGCCTGTTAGAGTTTAGGTAGGGAAATTTATTTACACCTTTTCCATTTCATTGGTTTGATTCCCTGCCAGCCGAGCCCCAGAAAGACAGGTCAACCACAGAAGTGCTGAGCCAGGTAAAGACCCTGCTGGACAAGCAGCTGGAGTGAGAATCAAGACAGCTGGACCACAGGACCAGACCCAGCAGTATCCATGTAACAGTGAGTAAGACTCTTCCCATTTCACAAAACATTTCACGGTATAAACATGTTGAGAACTTGGAGAACAATGTATTTTGCTTCCGGCTCTACAGTCATCATAGCATTTTAAATTAAAAGCCACATTTCATGTAAGGATTATGTTAGGTTGAGAATTTGGGGTGTACTTCATTTTGTTTCCTGTTCTACAGCTATCATGTTTGTAATTAAAAGTCATAACTTCTAGTTTTTGGAAAGAATCCATATATTATACCACTATGAAGAAATCATGCAAGAGGCTATGCAGGTGTCTCCCTGAGGCCTGACTCTGTAGTCCTTGACAACTATACTAGGTTGTCATACCATAAACTAGATAACATAGTTATAAAGGTTTCTTAGAACCTGCTTAAGGTCTTATGACCTTCTTGAATCACCTGTACAGTCATGCATGGCTTAACGATGGGGACATATTCTGAGAAATGCTTCAATAGGCGATTTTATCTGAGAACATTATAGAGTGTACTTGCACGAACTTAGATGGTATAGCCTACTACACACTTAGGCTATATGGTATAGCCTACTACACACTTAGGCTATATGGTATAGCCTATTGCTCCTATACCACAAACCTGTATACCATGTTACTGTACTGAATACTATAAGCAGTTGCAACACAACTGCCTACAGTGGTGAATACTGAATACTGTAGGCAGTTGCAACACAACTGCCTACAACATGGTGCTGTTGTCTCCTAGAATAACAATGCCCTTTTCTGGAATACCTCCTGAAAGACCTGCTCTGTGCCTATTTTACGATTAACATTTTTTTTTCTAAGTTGAAGGAATATACTAAAATAAGATTAAAAAGTATAGTAAGTACATAAACCAATAACAGTCATTTATTATCATTATAATAGTATTTGTATATCCAAACATATCTAAATATAGAGAAGTTACAGTAAAAATATGACATAAAAGACAAAAAATGGTATACCTGTATAGGGGAATTACCATGAATGGAGCTTGCAGGACTGGAAGTTACTTTGGGTAAGTCAGTGAGTGAGTGGTGAGTGAAAGTGAAGGCCTAGAATATTATGTATACTACTGTAGCTTGAACACTTAGGCTACACTAAATTTATAAAAAAAAATATTTTTTTAATAATAAATTAACCTTAGCTTATGGTAACATTTTACTTTATAAATGTTTAAATTTTTAAATCTTTTAACACTTTTGTAATAATACCTTAAAGCACTAACACATTGTACAGCAGTAAAAAAAATAAAATAAAATAATTTCTTTCTTTATATCCTTGTTCTATAAGCTTTTTTCCTATTTTAAAAAATTTTTTATTTTTTTTCTTTTCAAACTTTTTTTTGTTAAACACCAACACACATATTAGCCTAGGCCTACACAGGGTCAAGATCGTCAATATCACCATCCTCCATTTACACATCTCGTCCCACTGGAAGGTCTTCAGGGGCAGTAACACTCATGGTGCTGTTGTCTCCTAGAATAACAATGCCCTTTTCTAGAATACCCCCTGAATCAAGACCTGCTCTGTGGCTATTTTACGGTTAGCATTTTTTTTTTCTAAGTAGAAGGAATATACTAAAATAAGATTAAAAAGTACAGTAAGTACATAAACCAATAACAGTCATTTATTATCACTATCAAGTATTAGGTACGTCACATAATTGTATGTGCTATACTTTTATGCCACTATCAGTGTAGTAGGTTGTTTACACCAGCAGCACCACAAACAGGTGAGTCATGAATTGTGCTTCAGTGTTACAATGGCTGTGACCGACATCACTAGGCAACAGGAATTTTGCAGCTTTATTATAATCTTACAGGAACGTCGTCATATATGCAGTTTGTCATTGACTGAAATGTCACTATGCACGACATGACTATATTCTCTTAAATAATATTTTGTAGTGGTTTAACAAACTTAATTCTTTCCCAGCAACCATCACAAATCCGTGCCTCATAACGTTGTGCTGTCAGTGAGATTGTTGATGCTGAGCCTCATTGTGTCCGTGAGCTCTCCTTTGGTTGCCTTGGATAGACAGGGCAGTAGTGGCAGCTTAGAAAAGATTAGAACCCAGCATTCACTTACGATAACTCAGAGGGTTGCAAAAGGCCAAATTATCCAAGAACAAAAACAATGTCCCCGATACTGCCAAAGCTCCTCCCACACAATTCCTTTTTTATTACACAACAGAGAAAATAACGATGGGATATTGGGTTTGTGTTATAATACTTCTCTTTTTTGTACCCCCCCAAATATATTCCACACATCTAACCCCACCTATCTGATACCCATTATTCGTTCTTCTGACTTGTGTCTTGTCTATATTCTCATCGTCTACCTTCATCCTACTTAGTAAAGTAAATTTTTTATCTGATCTCTTTTCTTCTTTGCCATGTTTTAATGCAATCCAATTATCACCCATTGAAAATACTTTATTCAAGCTACTTTGTGAAGGTTCAGGGGGATAAAAGAGGCTACAACAGACGAGAACCATTTACTATCCCCAGATAAATAGAATGAGGCTTCTTAAAAAACAAAAACAAACAAAAAACAGCTTTTCTAGACAACTAAGTAGCTAAAACTCTTTTTATTATTGTATTTTTAAATATATTAATGGCTTAATATTTAATATTTGGACAATCTAGGTTAATATAGAGATACAGGTGACCCATGCATCCTTGCTGACTATGCTATCTAGGATATGGGAGATGACAACCTAGCATTGTTGTCAAGGATTGGACAGTTTTTCTCCGCTGAGCTAATAAAGGTTTCAAACCCACACTGTCTGATTTTTTGGCTGTCTGAAAAATTCAGAAACATAACCATGTCATAATGCCTTGGTGATAAACTCTTACAAGCTAAACATTGGGTCCTGCCAACAGAAATCCATATCTCACCAAAGAACTCTGTGTCATTTTAAAGTTGCTTACCAGGAAAATTTTGACCCAGGCTGACCCTTCTGTTATGAGTCTCTGGAAGAATGATGGCTTCTTTCTTTAGAGTCCCCAACGCAGACAGTTTTCTTTTATTCCATTTGATCATTACAGGAAGAGATGTGTCAAATGCAGCTCTGTGTCTCTAACCTGAATAGCGAGAATGTGGCAGGAGATGTGTTTACCCACTCACTGTGATAACAAATGGGGTTGTGAGGGCCTCACCAACTTTACCTAGTTTTATGATTTTTTATAACATTATCTTAAGAGACCTAAACCTCAGAATCATTATCCATTAGCAATGTGTAGGTTCTAATGCTTCCTGGGAAACAACACCTGAACATTAAAGGCAATAAAAATCTAAATTTAAATCTTAATTTTGTGAATATTTTGTGAATAAAAAAGCTCAGCAAAAGAGGATAAAAATGCAACTTTCCCATACTGAATTGGCAGCTGCAAACCGCAAAGCACAGGAGCAAGGAATTGCCAATTGTTAATGAGGGTAGAATGAAAATGGCAATTCTCTGTATAACGAATGATTTTCAGCCCCTGTCCAGGAATCACCATATCTGAAAGGGAAGCTGCTGCCAGGCCCCTATAACACAAAAGAGACTTCTCATAACTGATCTAAGGCCAAGTTAATGCTATCATGCAGATACGGTCAGTGCAAAAGCATAGTGCAGGCTGGGAGCGGTGGCTCACACCTTGTAATCGTAGCATTTTGGGAGGCCGAGGCAGGCAGATCACCTGAAGTCAGGAGTTTTAGACCAGGCTGGCCAACATGGTGAAACCCCATCTCTACTAAAAGTACAAAAATTAGCTGGGTGTGGTGGCACATGCCTGTAATCCCAGCTACTCAGGAGGCTGAGGCAGGAGACTCACTTGAACCCAGGAGGCAGAGTGAGCTGAGATCGTGCCACTGCACTACAGCCTGAGCGACAGAGCAAGACTCTGTCTCAAAAAAAAAAAAAAAAGAAGAAAAAAGCATAGTGCATGAAAATACTTTTTAATTTGTGTGGGAATGTAGATGGATGTAAGAGATAGAAAGAAGTCAAGGATAGTAAGCATGGTAGTTGCTGAAGATGGTTGTAGTTCACCAATATGTTCACCATCAGAGACATGAGACTAAGCAACACTCACGCTGGGGTTATTTCTTTTTTTTTTTTTTTTTTTTTTGAGACGGAGTCTTGCTCTGTCGCCCAGGCTGGAGTGCACTGGCGCGATCTCGGCTCACTGCAAGCTCCGCCTCCCGGGTTCACGCCATTCTCCT
Source organism: Homo sapiens (assembly GCF_000001405.40). NCBI lineage: Eukaryota > Metazoa > Chordata > Mammalia > Primates > Hominidae > Homo > Homo sapiens. The sequence continues at coordinate 106,175,353 of NC_000023.11, forward strand.
GCCTCAGCCTCCCGAGTAGCTGGGACTACAGGCGCCAGCCACCGCCCCCTGCTGATTTTTTGTATTTTTAGTAGAGACGGGGTTTCACCGTGTTAGCCAGGATGGTCTCGATCTCCTGACCTCATGATCTGCCCACCTCGGCCTCCCAAAGTGCTGGTATTACCGGTGTGAGCCACCGTGCCCGGCCACGCTGGTGTTATATTCACCAATTTCCTCACAGTTTGAATGTGAGCGACATCATCTTTGGTTCTACCAAAGAAACATGATTCCAAGCCCAGGAGGGAGTGAATAGTGGTGGAAAGAGGGCATACCTCCTGTTTTGGAGTCAGACTTTGGCTCCGATTTTGTCTCACCCTCTTCCTAGCTTTGTGACCGTGGCATTAGCAAGAGTGCCCTTGTTTCCTGGATCTCTATTAGTTGTATCATTTATTTGCTTCTTAGTCAATTTAAGTAGAAAAATGCCATCTTATTGCTGTTTTATATTTGCATCTCTTTGATTATTAGGGAAGGTGAATATCTTTTATGTATTAGTTTTAATCTTTATTTTGAATATTTGGGTTTTGAGGAGTCCCGATATATAGCACCTCCCTTTCTCCACTGAACAAACTGGATAGATAGATATAAAACAAATGGAGTTGCAGATGGAAGCCAAAATGTCAACATTACAACAGTACAAGAGGAAGAGGAAGTTGCGGGGTATTGATTATTGTGAGAATCAAATGGGCTTATATATTAACTATTATTTTATTTTATTTTTTTGAGATGGAGTCTTATTCTGTTGCCCAGGCTAGAGTGCAGTGGCGCGATCTCAGCTCACTGCAACCTCCACCTCCCGGGTTCAAGTCATTCTCCCACCTCAGCCCTCTGATTAGCTGGGATTACAGGCACCCACCAACACGCCTGGATAATTTTTGTATTTTTAGTAGAGATGGGGTTTCATCATGTTGGCCAGGCTGGTCTCGAACCGCTGGCCTCAAATGATCTGCCCACCTCGGCCTTCCAAAGTGCTGGGATTACAGGCTTGATAACAGAACTCCAAATTTAAGCAAACCTACCAAAATAGCCTAGAGGTTTGTAGCTGTACAGGAAGGGACAGAGATTCCTGTGGTGGCACCATATGAGCTTGCCCTCAAGGAAGTAAATATTAGGAGTGGGGAAAAATTATACTCTCAGAACATTGTGAATTGTCTATTTATGTCTTTTGCCCATTTTTACTCTGCCATTTATTTCTTATTAATATGTAAGAACTACTTTAGTGATATTTTTGCGTTGAAAACAGTTTTGTCAATTTTGTTCTTATATTTTCAAATTTGGTTTATTGTGTTTTTGCCAATAAGAATTTTTTTGTTTCCAATTTCAGGATATTCAGATACCTACATATCTCTTTAAGGATTTTGGTTGATGTTTTATGTTTAGAAATGACTTTAGTTGAAAAAAACGATGAAACTTTCTGAAAGATGAATGAGAAGACCTGAATAAAAAGAGAGATATACATCATGTGCCAGGGCCAGAAGAATTAAAATTTCAGGGAATTGCTTATCCACAAAATAATGTATTAATTCATTGCAGTACAAATAAGGATGTAGAGGGGCTTTTTAATAGAGCTTGACCAGTCGGATCTTGAAATCGTTTTTAGAAATAAGTTGCCAAAGTAGGCAAGAAAAATATGTAAAAGATGTTCTTTACTGAGTCTTTATTATATGGTAAAGGCATTTCTACCTTTGTTTTTCCCAGAAAATCACACACTCTTGTAGTTTGAATGTAAATTAAACAGACACATGTTGCCATTCCGCTTTCAACTGCTTTAAAAATGATGATCTTTTCGCTTTAAGGGAATTGCAGTTTAACTTGGTGATCCTCTTCCCTTTGAGGGAAAGGTCCCCTTGCTATTCCCATCACTGGGAGGGGGCGGAGCCTCGTCGGAGCCGCTCGGAAGGGAGCTGTACCCGGCCAGTATTGGGGGAGGGGCAGCATTTCAAGAGGCTGCAGCTGACAAGAAGCTTCAAGGTAATGGCTGTCTTAAAGCCAGTTATTTTCTGGGAATTTCTTCGGGCCTTGGTGTTAAAGTAAAAAAAAGGAAAGAAAAGAAATAGAGATTGTTGCCTGAGAGAGGTGGGAATGGAATGGTTTTGTTTGAACTGCTGTTATTGGAACGGAATTAATCCTCTGAATTTTTGTTTCGCCCGATATTTTTAAAGTCCTCCGTGTGGGAATGGGCGATCAAATTACAGTTTCTAAATTAAGACTTCGGTGAGACGTGCTGTTCGTGTTAATTTTTTACGTGGCACTACATATTTCTATCTTTGTTACAGATTTTATTATATTTTGACTTAAACACATTATTCTACACAAAAAATGATAGAAAAATGTAAACACACAAAGAGAATGACATATAGGGACACAAATATAAATGTACATGAACATGGAAAGGGATTCAGATATGCCGTCGAGTGGTAACACTTGTAAAGATGTATATTCGTTTTCCTTAGGAAGGGAACTAGACTCCCGAGTTAACAGTCAGCATCTCTGAGTGTTCATCTCTGAGTGTTCAGATTATGGAAGTTTTTTTAAAATCTATTTTTCACTACTTCCAGCATTTTTAGAATTGTTTCTATTTGTGCTTGTTTTCATAATAAGAAGAGCAAAATAAAGCCAAAACAGTATACCCATTTTGTTTCAAATACATAAACACACATAGACACCACAGACACGCTCCCATACTCCCTTGTCTTTTGTGAATAGTGGAATTTTTCCTGGACCTGATCAAGTGGGTAGCCTGGTTGCTGTGTCAACTACAGCCTTGCATGTGTCCTCCCTGCAGCCCGCTCTTTCAGTCCACAGGTACAGCCATGGTCAGCAAGAACCACTTTTCTATATCATCTAAGTGTAAGAGTGAGAAACGGATAGGATTTGGTTTATTTCTATGAACAGTTTTAAACGTATTATGTACTATGGTGCATCCATACAATGGCACGTTATATAGCTGACAAATGAAAGTATGAACTTGTAGTGACTTGAAAAGGTGTCTGAGAAGTAAAAAGAGCAAACTGCAGAATGGTAAGCACCATATTATGTCATTTAAACATAAAAGACTACATTAATACATGTGTAACCAAATCAGAAAAAATATAAACCAGCCTGCTAATGGAATTATTTGTGCAGTTGAAGAGATAGGGCAGGCTTTACTATCACTATTTTTGAAAAATTCTTAATACATATTTAGCCTTTTTTTAAAACAAAATCAGAAAAAAGATTGAGGTAAAATGTTGCAAAGTTGGGGGAAAATTGCATTTGAAGTGATTCACTAAAAAATCACATTGAAAACACTTAGTAGTATGCAAAAATGTTTAAACCATGAGCTTAAGCAGGACAAAAAGCTGATTTGAAATAATATGCATTCATACGTTTATGTAAAGAAAAAATATGGAAAGATATACAGGAAATAGTATCTTTCCAGAATTATACTTTCTTTTTATATATCTTTCTCATATTTTCAATTTTCAGTAACCATGCAATTATTTTTCTGCAATCCGACCATTGGAGGTGAAGAGATTCGGATTCCATTTTTTACGTAATGCATAACAAAACTAAATTTGAGGATGGTATATTCTAGAAGCCTGAGAAAGCTGCTTGCTGGCAGGATGTAGTTCCCACCGTTCTCCCACAAGGATGTTGTAGTAACAGTTCTGTTTCTCGTCACAAGATGGTGCTTGCAAGATATCCTAAATTTTCTCCAGACAACTATTTTTATGAAGTGAGCAAACAAAACAATGAAATGTATTTTATTATCAGACTATCTGACAGCATGTAGAGTGTGATTCAAATTCCACTCAAAAAATTGTATATGTCTAAAAGAAAAACCCCACCCAAGAACTGATGTGAAGCCTCAAACAGAAATCATTAAAAATGCTGCTACATAGTCTGCCCCATAGTAGACACAAGTCAATTGTCCTTTCCCTTCTCTCCTTTCTCCACCTTGTAATTTTCCTGAATGATATTATTTTAGCATGAGCCAAATAACATAACTGACAAAGAGAGCATTTCATATTATAAGAACATGAAGTGAAAATAGATGGCATCTACATCACAGATGAGATTTCCCCTCATTCCTGTGTTTTGGAATGACATGCCTGTTAAAGTTTAGGCAGGGAAATTTATTTACACCTTTTCCATTTCGTTGGTTTGATTCTCTGCCTTTATCAGAGATGCACTTGACATGGGAAATCTGCATGTGATGCCAGGTGAGCCTCTGAGAAACAGTGGAACCACAAAAGTGCCAAGCAGGGTAAGGGCCCTGCCAGACAAGCAGTTGGAGTAAGAATTAACACAGCTGGATCTTAGCGCCAGACCCACTACTATCTGTGTGACAGTGGGTAAGGCTTTTCCCATTTCACAAAGCATTTCATGGTAAAAACATTCTAAGTTGAGAATATGGGATACAACTGATTTCACTCTCGCTCAGTAGCCATAACATTTTAAATTAAAAGCCACAGATTCTAATGTTGGGAAAGAATTATATATGCTAAACTCCTGTAGGAAAAGTATGCAAACAGTCATAATGATGTCTAATTATGGAAGACTTGGATGCCCCAGCCATCTGCCTGACTCTCACGAAACCCTTAAAAACAATCCTTTCCAATGGGTGGCCGTGGCAGCCATTATGAATCTCCGACTTCTAAGTTTTTTCTCTTAAGAAGGTCGTTGTTGTCTGGATTAGTCCAGGGGATGCAGACCCCCAGTATCTGTGTCTGGCTGCCTTGGGTATACAGGGCAGCACCGTTAGCTTAGAAGAGTCTAAAAAGAATTCCCCTAGAATAAGCCTTGAGAGACTCCAAAGTACAAAAATATTCATTAATAGGAATAGTGTCCCCAACATATTCCCCAGCTTTCCCTGGGCATCTCTCACCACCCTCTCATACACACGTATATTCATTCCTTAGATGTAATAACTATAATAAGGGCTACAAACTGGGGCATTATAGAACTACTCCTTTTCTTAGATTTTTAAATATTTCCCCCCCAACCACAATATGTTTATTTGTCTTGTGCCCAGTATTTATTCATCTTTTGTCTTCTCCATTTCCATTGTCCATCTTCCTACTCCTTTGAGAGAAGAAATCCGTTTGCTTATTCTCTTTTTTCTTTGCCTTTCCTTTAAATGTATACCCTCTAGTATTGCCTATTTGAAATTACTTATTCAAGCTTCCTTGTGAGTTTTCAGGGAGGCATGAACAAGCTACAGAAGAAGAAAACTCTTTAGTAGCCCTAAGGCAATAGAGGCCTCTAAAACCACTAGTTTTCTGGTTAAACCAGACAAACGCAGACCAGTGACCTAAGAATTTTTGTTAGATGATTGAAAGTTCACTGACTGATTTCTAACCTATATCCAGATAATAATTCAGATCTATGGTCTATTTGAAACCTTTTTCCTGTCCCCTTCTTTTCTATGTCTATATCGACCTCTTGCTTCACACTTAAATTGTCACTGAACTTTAAAAAATTATTCTAACCTTGTAATATATTTTGATATCTGGTAGCACTAGTTGTTCCTCCAGTCCACTAATAAAGTCAGAACTAGGTCCTAAACCCATGTCTCTATATCTGTTTATGAATTTGGAATACGTAAAAACTTTGCCATAATACTTGCCTGAGGAACTCTGAGGTTTAGATATTGGATCTTCAACAGTGTCTCATATCTCCTTACTAAAGAACTGATAAGTACCTTTATTTAGAGTGGTGGTGTGTCCAGAGTTGGTTCCTTCCGATGGGTTCTTGGTCTCGCTGACTTCAAGAATGAAGCTGTGGACCTTCGCAGTGAGTGTTACAGCTCTTAAAGGTGGCACGGGCCCAAAGAGTGAGCAGCAGCAAGACTTATTGTGAAGAGTGAAAGAATAAAGCTTCCACAGCGTGGAAGGGGACCCGAGTGGGTTGCCACTGCTGGCTGGGGTGGCCAGCTTTTATTCCCTTATTTGTCCCCGCCCACGTCGTGCTGATTGGTCCATTTTACACAGCGCTGATTGGTCCATTTTACAGAGTGCTGATTGGTCCATTTTACAGAGTGCTGATTGGTGCGTTTACAATCCTTTAGCTAGACACAGGGGGCTGATTGGTGCATTTTTATAGAGTGCTGATTGGTGCATTTACAATCCTCTAGCTAGACACAGAACATTGATTTGTGCATTTACAATCCTCTAGCTAGACAGAAAAGTTATCCAAGTCCCCACTAGACCTAGGAAGTCCAGCTGGCTTCACCTCTCAATCCCCGCTCTAAACAGGACACCCGAACTGCTGTTAGGAATTGGGCAATGACCGCTCTAGCTACTTCCTGCTGGATAGGGGTGAAGAAGGGGCCCTGCAGTTGTAGTGTCCTCCAGAGGGGAACTCTTTAGGCCAGTCAAAGGGCCGGCAGGTCGGTCCATGGGTCCTCAGTAGAAGTTGCTAGTTGAGCTCATTTGGGGTTCCATTTGTAAGACCATCTGTAGCTTGATGGCCTTGATCCTAGAAGAAATAAATTTGACAAGGAGGTTAAAAATATAGGGCCCAAAGGCGAGTAATAGCAAGATGGCTGTCACGGGACCTAGAAAGGGGAGAAGCCATGTCGCCCAACTCCAGAGGTTGGTATAAGAGTTTGAAAGTTGTTGTCTGATTTCAGAAGCCTTTTCCTGTAAACACCAGGCAGAATCTCATACTATCCCTGACTGGTCAGTGTAAAAACAACACTCTTCCCCTAAGAAGGTGTAGTCCTCCTTTCTCAGCAGTGAGGAGGTCTAGGCCTTGGCGGTTTTGGAGAGTCACTGCTGCCAAAGAGTCTATTTGGGATTGTAGTGTAAGGATAGATTTCATTATTTCTTGCAAACTATCTGAGAAATCCTTTGAGAGTGTGTGGTAGTAGGATAATTAAGTAGATAAACTGGCTATTCCAGTTCCTGTAGCAGTAGTCATTCCTAACCCTATAAGTAGGGGTATTAGTTGTATGGCTCTGTACTGACGGACTTGAGCTTTGAGGGGCACTGATAGGGTCTGATTTCCTGGGGCAGTGTTAATGTTGGGACTTAGGAAGATTAAAGTGCAGGTGCCTGTCCAGTTAGTGGGGAGGCAGATATAGGTTGATGTTCCACATAAGAAGAATATGTCTTAGCTGGGTAGACAGAACTGGTTGTGTATGTTAAAAAGGTGTGTGAGTCTGTTGTTTTCATTTTCCCATACTAATAGAGTACTTGCCAAGGTAGCTCTGGTGAGTGGCTGGAAAGGGGTGTTGGGAGCAAACTGAGTGGCTCCCTGTGTTCTATTTTCCCATTGGAGAAAAAACTAGGAACCATTCGAGAGGGTGATTGAAAGAGGGGATGAAAAGCCATTCACTAGTGGTGGGGGCACTGCTGCAGGGGGGTCTGGGGTGAATGGTCACGCAGGGAGTATGTTTGCCATTACAAAACCTGGACTGTTTGTTAGTAAAAGGATTCCATTAAAGGGGCAAGGAGCGGTGTTAAAGATAAAGCTTATGTAGGTTTTCACTTATCTTTTTTAAGGAGGAAGGGGTTTTTCCTCAGGATCAGCAGGAGGAGCCTTTTTAGTCTGGGATGTTTCCTTCTGAAATAGGAGACACAAATCCTCCAACGGTTTGCAGGTGTATCAAGGCTGGTCTGGCAGATCCTGGGACTCCTGAGCTGACGGTCCTGCAGGTTCCTCAGGGGATGTCCAAAGTTTAACTCGGGTGTGGTGAATCCAAGATTCCACTCCTGCCACCTAAACTGCAGTGGGGGTAGAGAGGATTACTGAGTATGGTCCTTCCCACAAAGAATCCATAGATGGGGAGGTAGAGGGGAGGGATTTGACCAACAATAGATCTCTTGGTTGAAGCAACTCCATTCCCTTTTCTCTGTGACATCCTTCAGGTAGGTTTTTGTACTCCTAGAATTGGGGTGTTGCAGGGACTACTGCATTTTCTTACTAAGCCTTGAGCTTTTAAATGTCTAACAATATCCTGTAATACTTTATGAGCTTCAGGTCTTAAGGGATATTGCTTTTGATAAGGAAAAGTGGTGGGGTCTTTTAGCCTGATTTGGACTGGGTGGGCATTTTTTGCCCTTCCGAATTGTCCTTCCAATGCCCAGACTTCAAGGTTGATTCCCTCCTCAAATAGGGGACAACAAATGGGTAACTTGTTCCCCATATTCATGTAGATCATAGCTTCAGCTTTGGCTAATATGTCCCTCCCTAATAAGGGTGTGGGACTTTTAGGCATAAGAAAGGCATGTGAAAAGAGCAAAGTCTCCCAGTTACAAATGAGGAGGTGGGAGAAATACCTGGTTACAGGCTGTCCCAGGATTCCTTGGATGGTAACGGGCCTTGAGGACAGCTGTCTAGGATAGGAGATAACACTGAGAAAGACACGCCAGTGTCCAGGAGGAAGTCAATTTCCTGGCCCTCAATGGTTAAACATATCCGGGGCTCAGTGAGGGTGATGACATGAGCTGGCGCTTGTCCTGGTCACCCTCAGTCCTGTTGTTGGATCATCTGTTTGGGGCTTCTGGCCCAGAGAACCTTTGTCCTTTGGGGCAGTGTGCCTTCCAGTGATTGCCTTGGCATAGTGGACATGGGCGAGGAGGCAGCTTGTTTCTTGTTGGACAATCTTTTTTAAGGTGTCTTTGCAAACCTCACTGGTAACAAGCCCTACCGGGTGATTGGCCTGCTCCATTTTCTGTCCTCTCTGAACCACCAAGGTTTGTTTGTCTGAAGGCCATGACTAAGGCTGCAGCCTTTCTCTGATCTCGCTTTTCCTTTTTGGCCTGTTCCTCTTGGTCCCTATTATAGAACACCGAGGTTGCCAGGTTTAATAATGCCTCCAGATTTTATTCAGGGTCCAGGGCTCACTTTTGGAGGTTTCTCCTGATACCTGGGGCTGATTGGGTAATAAAATTATCTTTTTGGATCAGTTGACCCTTGAGGGAGTTGGGTGACAGGGGAGTATATTTTCTTAAGGCCTCCCATAGCCGCTGGAGAAAGGCAGAAGGATTTTCTTCCTTTCCCTGAGTTATGGTGGACATCATTGAGTAATTCATGGGCTTTTTCCTAATTCTCCTTAGTCCTTCTAGAACACAGGTCAACAGATGTTTGCAATTCCAGTCCCCATGATCTGAGTCGAGGTCCCAGTAGGGATCCATTACCGGGGATGGCTTGCTGACCAGTAGGGAATTTGTCCCTTTCTTCAGCTGTCATTCTATCATTTACTTGACTAAGATACCAGATATCTTCAAACTCTTGGGCTGCAGCTAAAACTGCATTGTTTTCATTAAAGGCCAGGGTTTGATCTAACAATAGCATGACATCTCTCCAAGTGAGATCAAAGGTTTGCTCTAGGCTGTGTAGGACATCTATATACCTATCGGGATTGTCTGAAAACTTCCCCAGGTCTGCCTTGATCTGCTTTAAATCAGAGAGGGAGAAGGGGACATGTACCCAGGTTGGGCCAAATTCCCTTCCCCCTACAGCTTGAAGGGGACATAACCGATAGCCCAGGGGTTTTTGTGGTCCCTTGGAGATTTCTTTGCTTGCTTCCTTCTGGGTGGGGGAGATTAGAGGAGGCTTATCATTAATAGGAAGGGGAGCTGTAGAAAGGCTAGTATATGGAGGTAAGCTGAGAGGTTCTGCTGTGGGATGTAAATTGCATGCTTTGCATAGTTGTGGATTCTCCTTCAATGAAAAGAAAGCTTGGGCATAAGGTATTTCACTCCATTTGCCCTCCCTGTTACAGAAAAGGTCAAGCTGCAGGATAGTATTGTAATTTATACTTCCCTCAGGTGGCCATTTTTCCCCATCAGACAGAGAATATTGGGGACAGGCCATAGTGCAGAAAAAACATGAGCTACTTCTTTGTCAGGGTTTGCAGGTCAAATTGGTCCCAATGGCTTAGGATACATTTCAAGTGTGAGCCTGTTGATACCTGAGTGTTTCCCATCTGAAAGACAAAACTGCCCATGGTTTTGGGTTGTTTGTTCCCCCCACAGCCCAAGAACCTGCAACGGTACCTGGACCCTGCTGATCGGAATAGTTGGGCTCACTGACACAGCAGCAGATCCCCCTCTTGCCCAAGAACCTGCAGCAGTCCCTGGAACTTGCTGATCAGAGTAGTTGTGCTCACCAGTGCAGCAGCAGAAATACTAGTTTTCCTCCTAGACCACAAGGAGGACCAAGGAAGGTCAGATTTAGTGGCCCTTACTGACACATTCTCAAAAACCTGCACCCTTGCCTGTCCTCATAGAACACAAAGAGGACAGAGAAAAATCGGATATAGTGGCCCTGACACATTCTCGAAAACCTGTTAGAGTCCTATGCGCTCTCCTGTTAGTATTGGGACCTTACCCCTGTCCTATAAAGATGGTATGCCCCAAAACTGAAGTGGAGGGCCATGCCCTGAGGGAGGGAAGGGATCTCCAGGGTTAGAAGAGTGACACCTTTTGTCCTCACTTCTCATCATATGAATAGGAAGGATATAATTTCTGAGGCTCCCCATATCCTAGCTTCAGGAATAGCTTTTGTTAGGCCTGCTAGTCTGAGGATGGATCCTAAAATTCCAGATAGTCCCCCACCATGGGGCTTTGGGCAAAAATTATGTCTTTCTGATTGGTGAGCCCAGGTGCCTAAAGAAGGGAACAGAGTCCTGAGGTTTATACTAGAAATTATTCTTATAGGAGAAACTAGAAAAGCACCAGAGATAGGAAGTGGTTTTTAGAAGTGGGACTAGCCTTGGAGAAGAGAGGTGAGAGGAAATTTGTCTGACAGGCGTTAGGACCCAAGAGGCAAGGGTCAGTATAGATAGGATAGATGGGTGAGTCTCGCTTGGACGACATGACTTTGAGAGTTCTGCTCATAGCCTCAGGGTCAACCAACTTGTTGTCAGGACCCCAGAGCTGAATGGCTTTCCTCTCTGTTGACCTTTGGCTGAGCCCGGAAGTACAGGAAAAGCAGAAGCTTGTTCCAGGCAAACCAACACTCCCAACTCCGAAGCATTGGGGTTTGTTAGAGAGCCCTTTCCCAAAAATCCTGACACCCATGTCTTTAGTCCGGCAGCCACGCTAGTTGCTTTTAATTGGCCAACAGGTGCCTGGTATTTAGCCCCCAAATTCTAAGGAAAAATAGAACAGAATAGCAAGAGAAAGGGGTCCAATGGTACTCACCGCTTAGTGATAGGTGATAGTCCCTTCGTGTTTGCCAAGATGTGTCCAGAGTTGGTTCCTTCTGGTGGGTTCCTGGTCTCACTGACTTCAAGAATGAAGCCACGGGCCTTCATGGTGAGTGTTACAGCTCTTAAAGGTGGCACGGACCCAAAGAGTCAGCAGAAGCAAGATTTATTGTGAAGAGTGAAAGAACAAAGCTTCCACAGTGTGGAAGGGGACCCAAGCGGGTTGCTGCTGCTGGCTGGGGTGGCCAGCTTTTATTCCCTTATTTGTCCCCATCCACATCCTGCTGATTGGTCCATTTTACAGAGTGCTGACTGGTTCATTTTACAGAGTGCCGATTGGTGCATTTACAATATTTTAGCTAGACACAGAGCACTGATTGGTACATTTTTACAGAGTGCTGATTGGTGCATTTACAATCCTCTAGCTAGACGCAGAGCGTTGATTGGTGCATTTACAATCCTCTAGCTAGACAGAAAAGTTCTCCAAGTCCCCACTCGACCCAGGAAGTCCAGCTGGCTTCATCTCTCAGTGGCAGGAATAATTTTTGTCCTGTCCTGGTTTTTTTTCTATGGGTGTCTCAGAGAATGGTGGGATTAAGGGAGGACTCCTTTTTTCTTTAAATTCCCCAGGGCAAACCCCAGATGGGTCTTCCTTCTTGCTTGTTTATGCCAGGAAGAACTCTGAAGTTTACTCTGTCTACTGGAACATGCAGAGTGCAGTAGAGGTTTATTTGTCTATGCACTGTAATGATGGGGTTGTGAGGTCCTCGTCAAACTTGTTTCCATTTTATTCCTTTAAAAAATGTTTCCCATTCCATCATCCTGTGTCTTGACTCCTAATAGTTTTATTTATTGGCATGTGTAAGTTTTGCCTGGGAATATCTACACATTGCCTGGGAAGTATAAAATCTCCAATGTGGCAGGTTTATCCCTTTGTCCCTCTAAGTCACTAGTTGGTAATTTTTCTTTTTATTCATATACATTTTACCAGGGATTATGGAGTCTCTTTGACCCTGGCAGTGAATCACTAAATCTGGCTTACCTTTTTCTATACTTGGGTTGATCATTATTACTAAGGTTTTCCTGATGTTCTTCCTCTTCAGGTGGGCTGATATTCAGTCAGTTGACATTAATAGGATTGAACTCTTTTTTTGCAGTGAAATTCAGTTGTTACTTGTCTGTGCTTCTGCCTTGGGGGTCATTGAATATTTTGAATATCTATGAAATGTCTAAGATTCCTTGCTTTACCAATGTCTGTGGCCTCCTCATTGTCTTTGGGAGTGTTCTAACTGGACTATTTATAGTTGTTATATGGACCTTATGCACTAAAATAATGACATTTATTTATTCTATGACCACTCTGTTTCCCTGTCATACGTTACTCAGCTTCTGCTTTTAACTGGGTACATATTCTTAACTATATCATTATCTCCAGATTGTAGCATTTTGTTTTCTACTTCTTTCTTCCTCCCCATTTCCTTCCTTCCTTCCCTCCTCTCTTTCCACTCATATGGTTTAGTGGCATGTGAGAACTTCAGTGTGGTTAGAGACTCTGCCAATGGGGATAAATTTCATGTACTGTACAATGCTGATGTCATCTGGTTTCTTGACATATGTCCTGTACTAACTAACTCTCAATGAAAGAGATAATTAATGAAGACATGTGTTTTAACAAAGTTATATAACTGCATCAAAAGTCACGTGTTGTAGGTGCCCCCCCCATGTTTTAAAGCAATTCAGAAGTACAAGTTAATAAAAATTAATAAAAGAGATCAAAATAATTTACATTTTTAACATATTATTTCTACACTACAGAGGGTATTTTTAAACATATCTTGTGGAACCCACAGCCTTCTTTGGCAATCATTGATTCAAAGTACAAATCAAAATCCCTATATGTATGTATCCGGATTACTCTCACAGTAAAATACAAATGTCTTATATTGGTCGTATTCTGATTGAATGACTTTTTAAGACCCGGGTTTAAAGAGGTATAGTTTACATAGAGTTAAATTCACTCTTTTAGATGTACAGTTTGAAGAGCTTTGAGAAAAATGTACCATCATGTAACTACCAATACAGAAAGCTGTATAACCTTTCCTTTACTCCAAAATGTTCCCTCCTGCCCCATTGTAGTCAATCCATATCTCTGTCAGTTCCTGACAACCACTGATTTGATTTCTGTCCCTATAGTTTTTCATTTTCCAGAATGTCATACAAATGGAATCATAAAGTATATAGCCTTTTACTTCTGGCTTCTTTCACTTAGCATATTTTTAAAATATTCACCAATGTTGTTGCATATATCAGTAATTTATTCCTTAATGTAGCTGAGAGGTATTCTAACATATGGATGTTCTGCAATTTGAGTATCCAATTACCAGTAGATTTGTAGTTTTTGGCAATTATGATTAAAGTTGTTAAACATTCTAGAATAGGTCTTTGTGTATACATAAGTTTTCATTTCTCTTGAGTAAATACTTAGGAATGGGATTTCTTGGTTTTATGGTAGGTGTGTGCTTAACTACATTAGAAATTGTCAAACTGTTTTCTAAAGTAGCTGTGACATTTTGCATTTCCACCAGCAATGTATGAGAGTTCCAGTTGATACACATCATTGCTAGAAGTCGATACTGTCTGTATTTTATTTTATTTTTAATATTAGCTATTCCTTTTTTTAACTTTGAACCTTTTTTTAAAATTTTATTATTATTATACTTTTAAGGTTAGAGTACATGTGCACAACGTGCAGGTTTGTTACATATGTATACATGTGCCATGTTGGTGTGCTGCAACCATTAACTCGTCATTTAGCATTAGGTATATCTCCTAATGCTATCCCTCTCCCCTCCCCCCACCACACAACAGTCCCCGATGTGTGATGTTCCCCTTTCTGTGTCCATGTGTTCTCATTGTTCAATTCCCACCTATGAGTGAGAACATGCAGTGTTTGGTTTTTGTCCTTGCGATAGTTTGCTGAGAATGATGGTTTCCAGTTTCATCCATGTCCCTACAAAGGACATGAACTCATCATTTTTTATGGCTGCATAGTATTCCATGGTGTATATGTGCCACATTTTCTTTTTTTTTTTTTTTTTTTTTCTGAGACGGAGTCTCGCTCTGTCGCCCAGGCTGGAGTGCAGTGGCGTGATCTCGGCTCACTGCAAGCTCTGCCTCCCGGGTTCACGCCATTCTCCTGCCTCAGCCTCCCGAGTAGCTGGGACTACAGGCGCCTGCTACCACGCCCGGCTAATTTTTTGTATTTTTAGTAGAGACGGGGTTTCACCGTGTTAGCCAGGATGGTCTCGATCTCCTGACCTCGTGATCCGCCTGCCTCGGCCTCCCAAAGTGCTGGGATTACAGGCGTGAGCCACCGCGCCCGGCGCCACATTTTCTTAATCCAGTCTATCATTGTTGGACATTTAGGTTGGTTCCAAGTCTTTGCTATTGTGAATAGTGCCACTATAAACATACATGTGCATGTGTCTTTATAGCAGCATGATTTATAGTCCTTTGGGTATATACCCAGTAATGGGATGGCTGGGTCAAATGGTATTTCTAGTTCTAGATCCCTGAGGAATCGCCACACTGACTTCCACAATGGTTGAACTAGTTGACAGTCCCACCAACAGTGTAAAAGTGTTCCTATTTCTCCACATCCTCTCCAGCACCTGTTGTTTCCTGACTTTTTAATGATTGCCTTTCTAACTGGTATGAGATGGTATCTCATTGTGGTTTTGATTTGCATTTCTCTGATGGCCAGTAATGATGAGCATTTTTTCATGTGTTTTTTGGCTGCATAAATGTCTTCTTTTGAGAAGTGTCTGTTCATATCATTCGCCGACTTTTTGATGGGGTTGTTTGTTTTTTT
Organism: Homo sapiens; assembly: GCF_000001405.40. Classification (NCBI taxonomy): domain Eukaryota; kingdom Metazoa; phylum Chordata; class Mammalia; order Primates; family Hominidae; genus Homo; species Homo sapiens. The sequence goes on from NC_000023.11 coordinate 106,190,403, forward strand.
CTTGTAAATTTGTTTGAGTTCATTGTAGATTCTGGATATTAGCCCTTTGTCAGATGAGTAGATTGCAAAAATTTTCTCCCATTTTGTAGGTTGCCTGTTCACTCTGATGGTAGTTTCTTTTGCTGTACAGAAGCTCTTTAGTTTAATTAGATCCCATTTGTCAATTTTGGCTTTTGTTGCCATTGCTCTTGGTGTTTTAGATGTGAAGTCCTTGCCCATGCCTATGTCCTGAATGATATTGCCTAAGTTTTCTTCTAGGGTTTTTATGGTTTTAGGTCTAACATGTAAGTCTTTAATCCATCTTGAATTAATTTTAGTATAAGGTGTAAGGAAGGGATCCAGTTTCAGCTTTCTACATATGGCTAGCCAGTTTTCCCAGCACTGTTTATTAAATAGGGAATCGTTTCCCCATTGCTTGTTTTTCTCAGGTTTGTCAAAGATCAGATAGTTGTAGATATGCGGCATTATTTCTGAGGGCTCTGTTCTGTTCCATTGGTCTATATCTCTGTTTTGGTACCAGTACCATGCTGTTTTGGTTACCGTAGCCTTGTAGTATAGTTTGAAGTCAGGTGGCGTGATGCCTCCAGCTTTGTTCTTTTGGCTTAGGATTGACTTGGCGATGCGGGCTCTTTTTTGGTTCCATATGAACTTTAAAGTAGTTTTTTCCAATTCTGTGAAGAAAGTCATTGGTAGCTTGATGGGGATGGCATTGAATCTATAAATTACCTTGGGCAGTATGGCCATTTTCACGATATTGATTCTTCCTACCCATGAGCATGGAATGTTCTTCCATTTATTTGTGTCCTCTTTTATTTCATTGAGCAGTGGTTTGTAGTTCTCCTTGAAGAGGTCCTTCACATCCCTTGTAAGTTGGATTCCTAGGTATTTTATTCTCTTTGAAGCAATTGTGAATGGGAGTTCACTCATGATTTGGCTCTCTGTCTGTTATTGGTGTATAAGAATGCTTGTGATTTTTGTACATTGATTTTGTATCCTGAGATTTGCTGAAGTTGCTTATCAGCTTGAGGAGATTTTGGGCTGAGACGATGGGGTTTTCTAGATATACAATCATGTCATCTGCAAACAGGGACAATTTGACTTCCTCTTTTCCTAATTGAATACTCTTTATTTCCTTCTCCTGCCTGATTGCCCTGGCCAGAACTTCCAACACTATGTTGAATAAGAGTGGTGAGAGAGGGCATCCCTGTCTTGTGCCTGTTTTCAAAGGGAATGCTTCCAGTTTTTGCCCATTCAGTATGATATTGGCTGTGGGTTTGTCATAAATAGCTCTTATTATTTTGAGATACGTCCCATCAGTACCTAATTTATTGAGAGTTTTTAGCATGAAGGGTTGTTGAATTTTGTCAAAGGCCTTTTCTGCATCTATTGAGATAATCATGTGGTTTTTGTCTTTGGTTCTGTTTATATGTTGGATTACATTTATTGATTTGTGTATGTTGAACCATTCTTGCATCCCAGAGATGAAGCCCACTCTATCATGGTGGATAAGCTTTTTCATGGGCTGCTGGATCCGATTTGCCAGTATTTTTTTGAGGATTTTTGCATCAATGTTCATCAAGGATATTGGTCTAAAATTGTCTTTTTTGGTTGTGTCTCTGCCAGTCTTTGGTATCAGGATGATGCTGGCCTCATAAAATGAGTTAGGGAGGATTCCCTCTTTTTCTATTGATTGGAATAGTTTCAGAAGGAATGGTACCACCTACTTTTTGTACCTCTGTTAGAATTTGGCTGTGAATCCATCAGGTCCTGGACTTTTTTTGGTTGGTAAACTATTGATTATTGCCTCAATTTCAGCTCCTGTTATTGGTCTATTCAGAGATTCAACTTCTTCCTGGTTTACTCTTGGGGGGATGTATGTGTCGAGGAATTTATCCATTTCTTCTAGATTTTCTAGTTTATTTGCATAGAGGTGTTTATAGTATTCTCTGATGGTAGTTTGTATTTCTGTGGGATGGGTGGTGATATCCCCTTTATCATTTTTTATTGCATCTATTTGATTCTTCTCTCTTTTCTTCTTTATTAGTCTTGGTAGCGGTCTATCAATTTTGTTGATCTTTTCAAAAAACCAGCTCCTGGATTCATTGATTTTTTGAAGGGTTTTTTGTGTCTCTATTTCCTTCAGTTCTGCTCTGATCTTAGTTATTTCTTGCCTTCTGCTAGCTTTTGAATGTGTTTGCTCTTGCTTTTCTAGTTCTTTTAATTGTGATGTTAGGTTGTCAATTTTAGATCTTTCCTGCTTTCTCTTGTGGGCATTTAGTGCTATAAATTTCCCTCTACACCCTGCTTTGAATGTGTCCCAGAGATTCTGGTATGTTGTGTCTTTGTTCTCGTTGGTTTCAAAGAACATCTTTATTTCTGCCTTCATTTCATTATGTACCCAGTAGTCATTCAGGAGCAGGTTGTTCAGTTTCCATGTAGTTGAGTGGTTTTGAGTGAGTTTCTTAATCCTGAGTTCTAGTTTGATTGCACTGTGGTCTGAGAGACAGTTTGTTATAATTTCTGTTCTTTTCCATTTGCTGAGGAGTGCTTTACTTCCAACTATGTGGTCAATTTTGGAGTGGGTGTGATGTGGTGCTGAATAGAATGTATATTTTGTTGATTTAGGGTGGAGAGTTCTGTAGATGTCTATTAGGTCCGCTTGGTGCAGAGCTGAGTTCAATTCCTGGGTATTGTTAACTTTCTGTCTCATTGATCTGTCTAATGTTGAGAGTGGGGTGTTAAAGTCTCCCATTATTATTGTGTGGGAGTCTAAGTCTCTTCGTAGGTCACTAAGGACTTGCTTTATGAATCTGGGTGCTCCTGTATTGGGTGCATATATATTTAGGATAGTTAGCTCTTCTTGTTGAATTGATCCCTTTACCATTATGTAATGGCCTTCTTTGTCTCTTTTGATCTTTGTTGGTTTAAAGTCTGTTTTATCCGAGACTAGGATTGCAATCCCTGCCTTTTTTTGTTTTCCATTTGCTTTGTAGATCTTCCTCCATCCCTTTATTTTGAGCCTATGTGTGTCTCTGCACGTGAGATGGGCTTCCTGAATACAGCACACTGATGGATCTTGACTCTTTATCCAATTTGCCAGTCTGTGTCTTTTAATTGGAGCATTTAGCCCATTTACATTTAAAGTTAATATTGTTATGTGTGAATTTGATCCTGTCATTATGATGTTAGCTGGTTATTTTGCTCGTTAGTTGATGTAGTTTCTTCCTAGCCTTGATGTTCTTTACAATTTGGCATGTTTTTGCAGTGCCTGGTACTGGTTGTTCCTTTCCATGTTTAGTGCTTCCTTTAGGAGCTCTTTTACGGCAGGCCTGGTGGTGACAAAATCTCCCAGCATTTGCTTATCTGTAAAGTATTTTATTTCTACTTCACTTGTGAAGCTTAGTTTGGCTGGATATGAGATTCTGGGTTGAAAATTCTTTTCTTTAAGAATGTTGAATATTCGCCCCCACTCTCTTCTGGCTTGTAGAGTTTCTGCCAAGAGATCAGCTGTTAGTCTGATGGGCTTCCCTTTGTGGGTAACCTCACCTTTCTTTCTGGCTGCCCTTAACATTTTTTTCCTTCATTTCAACTTTGGTTAATCTGACAATTATGTGTCTTGGAGTTGCTCTTCTTGAGGAGTATCTTTGTGGCATTCTCTGTATTTCCTGAATTTGAATGTTGGCCTGCCTTGCTAGATTGGGGAAGTTCTCCTGGATAATATCCTGCAGAGTGTTTTCCAACTTGGTTCCATTCTCCCCGTCACTTTCAGGTACACCAATCAGACATAGATTTGGTCTTTTCACATAGTCCCATATTTCTTGCAGTCTTTGTTCATTTCTTTTCATTCTTTTTTCTCTAAATTTCTGTTCTCGCTTCATTTCATTCATTTCGTCTTCCATCGCTGATACCCTTTCTTCCAGTTGATCACATCGGTTACTGAGGCTTCTGCATTTGTCATGTAGCTCTCGTGCCTTGGTTTTCCGCTCCATCAGGTCCTTTAAGGACTTCTCTGCATTGGTTATTCTAGTTATACATTCGTCTAATTTTTTTTCAAAGCTTTTAACTTCTTTGCCATCGGTTTGAATTTCCTCCTGTAGCTCGGAGTAGTTTGATCATCTGAAGCCTTCTTCTCTCAGCTTGTCAAAGTCATTCTCCGTCCAGCTTTGTTCCATTGCTGTTGAGGAGCTGTGTTCCTTCGGAGGAGGAGAGGCACTCTGATTTTTAGAGTTTCCAGTTTTTCTGCTCTTTTTTTTCCCCATCTTTGTGGTTTTATCTACCTTTGGTCTTTGATGATGGTGACGTACAGATGGATTTTTGGTGTGGATGTCCTTTCTCTTTGTTAGTTTTCCTTCTAACAGACAGGACCCTCAGCTGCAGGTCTGTTGGAGTTTGCTAGAGGTCCACTCCAGACCCTGTTTGCCTGGGTATCAGCAGCGGTGGCTGCAGAACAGCGGATATTGGTGAACTGCAGATGCTGCTGCCTGATTGTTCCTCTGGAAGTTTTATCTCAGAGCAGTACCCGGCCGTATGAGGTGTCAGTCTGCCCCTACTGGGGGGTGCCTCCCAATTAGGCTACTCGGGGGTCAGGGACCCACTTGAGGAGGAAGTCTGCCCGTTCTCAGATCTCATGCTGGGAGAACCACTACTCTCTTCAAAGCTGTCAGAGAGGGGCATTTGTCTCATTCTGGTTTTACTTGCATATCCTCAATTACTAATGCTGTTGAGCATATTTTCATGTGTTCACTTGCTATTCATATGTCTTTTCTGATGAGGTGTCTGTTTAAATTCACTATTTTTATTTGGTTATTCAATAATAATCTTATTATTGAATTTTGAGAGTTCTTTATATATTTTGGATAAAAGTCCTTCATCACATAGGTGTTTTGCAAGTATTGTCTCCCAATCTGGGTTTTCTTTTCATGTTATTTTTTGAAAAGAACTTGTTTTCAAGTCCAATTTATTAATTTTTTATGGTCCATGCTTTTTAAATCCTAATAAATCTTTGCCTAGACCAAAATCTTAAAGATTTTCTACTTTTTTTTACAAGTTATAATTTTTGGTTTTATATTTAGGTCGCTAACCCATTTTGAGTAATTTTGTATATCTTCTTAGCTGAGGGGTCAAGAAGAATATTTTGGTGTGTGATGTCCAGTTGTTCCGTACCATTTGTTGAAAAGACCGCCATTTCTTCATTTAATTACCTTTGTCCAAAATCTGTTGGCTATATTTGATGGTCTCTTTGCATTCTATTGATCTATAGGTCAATCCTATGTCAATAAGAAACTGTCTTAATTACCATAGCCTTGAAATCAGGTAGTATGAATCTTCTAACTTTTGTATTTTTTTCTCAAAATTTGTCTGGCTGTTCTGGTTCCTTTGCTCTTTCCACATACATTTTGGAATTAGCTTCTCAATTTCTATGAAAAACCTACTGGGATTTTGATTGAGATTGCAATAATTCTACAGAAATGTTGGGGAGATATAACATCCTAAAAATTAGTATTTCAGTTATTCAGTCAAAGAACATGGTATATTTCTCTATTTATTTAGGTCTTATTTAATTTATCTCATCAGTGTGTTGAAGTCTTCAGCATTCAAATCTTGTACATAGTTATCCTCCCTTAGTATTTCCCAGTTTTTGATGATATTACAAATGGTACTCTTTAAAACTTGAAATTCCAAATTTTATTGTGTAGAAATAAAATAAATTATTTTATATTGACTTTGTGTCTGGCATTATTATTAAACTTACTTATTAGGTCTCATAGCTTCATAGCTTTTTTTTGGTAGCTCCATTGGGATTTTCTACATACATCATCTTGTCTGTAAATGCAATTTTACTTCTTCCCTTCCAATCCGTACATAATTTATTTATTTTTCAGGCCTTATTGTAATTGGCTGGGATCGCCAATGTAATGCTAAATAAAAGTGGTGAAAGCAAACATCCTTGCCTTGTTTCTGATTTTAGGGGAAAAGCATTCTATGTTTTACCATATGATGTTAATCATAGGCTTTTTATTTTTTGTTTTTTTGTAGATGTCTTTAATCAGGTTGAGGAAGATCCATTAAACTCTTACTATGCTAAATGTCTTTTATCATTATTTGTGGAATGTTGTTAATGCTTTTTCTGTAAAAATTGAGATGATTTTTTTTCTCCATTTTAGTCTGTTGATATGGTGAATAATATTGATTGATTGATTTGCAAATGTTGAACCATCCATACATTCCCAGGATAAACTCCATTTGGTCATAATGTATTATTCTTTTTCCTTATCATCAGCTTTGATTAATAGCATTTCGTTAAGGACTTCTTTGTCTATGTTTATGAGAGATATTGATCTGAAGTTTTCTTTATTTGTTATTTTCTAGTTTGGGTATCAGGTTAATGCTGGTATTATAAAATATGTTGAAGAGTTTTTCCTCCTTTCCTCACATAATTGTCATCTGGCTTGCATAACTTATATTATTTGTGCTTCAGTTGGAGCCTGGAGTGCTACAAGATTTTTTTCAACGATTTTCCACTCTAAATTTTCAGTAGTCTCTTCATACTTGTGCCACCAGCAGAGAGTCTCTCTTCTTACTCTTGTTCACATGACAGCAGTTGACTGCTGTTATTATCAGGTGCTAGGCTCATGGTGAGGTAGGAAGTACTGTCTGTTGTCCTGTCTAGCCACAGCCTTAGCGGGGCTCTATGAACATGAACCTTTAGGGCAAGGCTTTCTCATCATTCTTTCCTCTCCCCATGGCAGCTAACCTCTGATTTGTATATGTAGTTGGTCTTTGGTCAGATATATTTTCTTGCCTCTTTCTCAGGCTGCTTTTCATTCATGTAAGAACTGGGTTAGAGAGGGTTCCCTCCAGGGCAGAGGTTTTTCCCTTCTACTTCTCCCTGAGCAGCAATGGATCTCTGCCTTTGTCCTGGAAATTAGGGGGTTTCCTATCTCTCCCTCCCAGGCAAGTAAGTTTTGCTTCTACCCTTCCACCAGAAGCAAGGGATTTTTGCCTGGGTTCAGGAGAGGGTTTGCTGCTTCTCCTCTAGTGTCTTAAGGCTTTGCTTCTCATGACAGAAAGGTTCTGTGGGGTTGTATGTCTGTCCCCCAGCAACAGCTGATTACCTTCTGCATACCAGAACCAGTGACATGGACTCTTTTAGGTCTCCTGCTTTGTCCTGAGTCATTTTTCTGAGCTTCTGGTTAAAGACTGTGAAAAAGAACTTGGCATTAAGTGTGTACGTGTTGGGGTTCCAGATATTCCAAACTGACAAAGCTAACGCATGCTTTACTTTTAAAAGTTCATTAAAATTTCAGCTTGTATGACAGTCACTTCTGTCTCCATGCTTGGACAGAGGTTCATATGTTTTGTCTTTCTTTAAAGGGGCTGATTACCCTTTGGAATTCACTTTAACTCAGTTCCCTGATAGGCTCAAGGAAAGTTATGATTTCATATGTTATCTAGAGATTTATCATTATTAAGTTATGAATGACATTCTCTTACAGCTTTTTATATCCTAAGTGGAAGTGTAACTGGTGCTTTTGAAAAAATATACGTATGGGTCTTATTTGGGGAATTTTTGTTATTAAGTATGCTTTAGGAAGAAGCAGATGCTTTCTAAGGCATACTTGCAAAGACTTGCTTTTTATATAATGGTTATTACTACATTTTTTCATTTAAATTTTTATTATTTGAATTGCTATACATTAAAATCATACTTTAAAGTATAATACACTATACTTGACCATTTTTTGTATACGGTTCTCTGGATTTTAACATATATAAAGATTCATATAACCACCACCACAGTCAGAAAAGTTTCATCACCCTCACAACTTCCTTGGTTTGTCCTTTTATAGCCACACCCTTCCCCACCTGTAACACCTGGCAACACTGATCTTTTCACCACAGCTATACTTTTGTCTTTTTGAAAATGTCATATAAATGAAATCACAAGGTATTGTAAACACACCCTAGATGACCCACCCCTTATATAATCCCCATGGTAAGAAAACACTTTTGGCTTCTATCATCATTGTCATTATTAATAATAATACTAATGTTGTTATACAGAGTGAGTTGGTTATGGCCCTCTCTTCCAGGAAATAACCATCTAATTATTAAATAAGATCATATGTCAAGTGCTTGAGAACATTGCCTGGCACATAGAAAACTTGTGTAGGTATTAGATATTATTATATCTGTAATGTTATCTATCTTTATCATAAAAATATTAATATTGCAGTATTAGCATTTGCTATTATTAGTTATCCTTTTTGTCCACCTCCTTCTACAAATTGGTGAAATAGAAAATATTGTTCATGGAATTAATCTTTTCCTTTGCATTTCATTTTGAAAATGGTGCCATAGTATAGCATTTCCTGATTTATGTGCAATCTAGAAAATATCCAAAATAAAGCAAAAAAAATTTTAACATAATTATCATACTCTGTGGGCATTTGTTTTTTTCCAAACATGTGAAATGAAGGCAGAATGAAAAATACTGCATTATAAAATATATAATAAAATAAATCTCTTCATTTAAATAAAGCCATATATATATTGGCCTGATAATCCTCTTTAGATTATGTATTAATACCTTGAAAGCATTGAAAGGATTAATTGTATAATAAGAATTTTGTTATTTTCATTGTAATTTTTTTTTTTTTTTTTGAGACAGAGTCTCGCTTTGTCGCCCAGGCTGGAGTGCAGTGGTGCTATCTTGGCTCACTGCAAGCTCTGCCTCCTGGGTTCATGCCATTCTCCTGCCTCAGCCTCCCAAGTAGCTGGGACTACAGGCACCCGCCACCAAGCCTGGCTAATTTTTTCTTTTTTTGTATTTTTAGTAGAGACGGGGTTTCACCGTGTTAGCCAGAATGGTCTTGATCTCCTGACCTCGTGATCCACCTGTCTCGGCCTCCCAAAGTGCTGGGATTACAGGCGTGAGCCACTGAGCCCATCCTTTTCATTGTAATTTGTATAAGATCAACTATTTTGTTCTAGTACTAGAAAAAAAGACTGGAAAACAGAGAGGCTTTGGTAAGATAGAAGTTTAATGTTCCACTAACTTAAAGAGATTGGAATGAGGTGATCCCCATTATTGAGTGGTTTAGGGTCACACGTCCCTAGTGAGTTGCATCCTTTTCCGAAGTCACTTTGTGGTCCAGAAAGGCTGCCTGAACTCTCTATCATGATCAAATTCTGGAAAGCAAGAGAAAGGGGGAAAGTGGAAAAAAAAAGCCCAAGCTGGTTATTTATCCCCCTTTAGAGATGCCTTCTCTAGAATCTTCACAGCAATTTCTGCTTGCATTCTTTGGCAAGAAATTCCATCACATGACCATGGCTTGCAGTGAGGGAGTCTGGGAAAGACAATATTTTAGGAGATTAAACTGCCACCTTCAATACAACTGGTGTTCTGCTAATGAGGAAGAATGCAAAGAGTGGATCTTGGGTGAGCAACTAGAAGTTTCTGTCTCATTCATTACAAATATGATATACGATTGTAAAAAAAAATTAAACCAGTAACAGAAGTCTATAAAAGATTGTAAGGGAAAATTTCCTGTGACAGAGAGAACGCTACATGTTTGTCAACCTCTGTCTCATTTTTCTCCTGGGGTCACAGGGAGATTACATTACCCAGCCTCTATGCCAGTTGGGGATCCATGCCTAAATTCTGGTTAGTGGACTGTTAACTAGCAGTGATGTTTGCCAGACCTGACCACTAAAACCTTCCATATGGCTCTCCATCCTCCCTCTTGTTTAGGCTGTTAGCTAGATGCAAAGAATGTAATGAAGGTCTTTAAGACCCAAGTAGATGGTAGAGCCACAGGATGGAAGAAGATTGGGTCTCTTAATGACTGCTTAGAACAGAGAAACTTGCCCCTATTTGGCCACGTGATGCCTTACGTTGAACCTTGACATCAGCAAAATAAACTTTTGGGGGATTGAACCTCTGAGATTTAGGGGTTGTTTATAGCACACAGCATTATATACTCTAATTATTAGAGTCCCCAGTAATACACCAGCCTAGAGATGGCTTTCATTGATTTATTGGTATTTTTATTTTAATATTAATGCTTATATAAAGGTGAATGTTAAAATTGTAATTATATATATATGAGTAATACTACATATTATATGATACAGAAGCCAAATAAAATACTTTATTCCCCAAATCATCACTAGTGATAATTACAATTGACTTTCTGAGTTAAATCAGAAATCTATACTTAAATTTAACATAGAATTTTGATGAACAGAATGTACAAAGTATATTTCGGACCTGTAAATAAAGACATAAATTTTTAAAAATTAATTCCCCTCACATTGAATCACCCAAGTGAAAACAACAAAACATAAGAAACAGAATTGCCGGCCGGGCGCGGTGGCTCACGCCTGTAATCCCAGCACTTTGGAAGGCCGAGGCAGGCGGATCATGAGGTCAGGAGATCGAGATCATCCTGGCTAACACGGTGAAACCCCTTCTCTACTAAAAATGCAAAAAATTAGCCAGGCATGGTGGCGGGCGCCTGTAGTCCCAGCTACTCGGAAGGCTGAGGCAGGAGAATGGCGTGAACCCGGGAGGCGGAGCTTGCAGTGAGCCGAGATCACGCCACTGCACTCCAGCCTGGGCGACAGAGTAAGACTCCGTCTCAAAAAAAAAAATAAAATAAAATAAAAAATAAAAATAAAAAAAGAAACAATTGTTAATTATCGATGAGGGCATATGAAATGAGTGCTTTCCTGGTAAGCCAATGATTTTAACATCTAGCAAGAAATAATCACATATGTGAAGAAATCTGTGAAACTTTCCTGAAGGGTTTTAGAGAAGAACTGAATAAAAGTAGAGACGTACCATGTCCTGGAAACAGAAAGAAAAACAAAAGAATTATAAAGAAATAAAGTCTCCCTCAAATAATGTACAGTTTTTGTGTAATCCAAATCAATATCCTTAGCGGTCTATTTTAATGGACTTGACCAGCTGGGTTTAAAATTCACCTATGGGGTTAAGATGCCAGAGATGGCAAGAAAAAAATATGTAAGGAATATTAGTAACTGTGTTTTGATTGAAATATGATAAAGTGATTTGCTACCTCTTTTCTTCAAGAAATCACACACCCTAAGGTTTTGAATAGAAATTAAGCACACTTGTTGACATTTCACTTAAAAGTTTTTTAAAAAGGAACATTACTGCAGTTCAACACTTCAGCGGTTTCTCTTGGCAATTCCCCCTCCCCTGATCCAGGCAGGGGCTTTCTGTTCTTCATACAGCCAGGGGGCGGACCCTCCTCTGAGCCTCTAGGAAAGGACTGTGCCTGGCCAGTCTTGGGGGAGGAGCTGCATTTCACCAGGCTGCAGCTGACAAGAAGCTTCAAGGTAATGGCTGTCTCAAAGCTACTTATTTTCTAGTGACTTCTCAGGTTCTTAGAGTAAAGATAGGAAAAATAGGGATGGCAGTCTTGCAGTGGTGGGAAAGGTGTGTGGTTTTGAGAATTGCTGGCATTTTGAAGGAGTTAATCCTCTGGAATTTTTGTATCTTCCAATGCTTTAGAAGTCCACAGTGGGAGAAGGGGTGATCAGATTACAGCCTCTAAATTAAGGCTTCAGTGCAGCATGACTGTTCCTGCTAATTTATTGAGTTGGCATCCCCTGTTTATATTGTTAGACACTCCGTTATTGTTTGAATATTTAGGCATTTATTAATTTGCACAGAAAAATAACTTAGAAGTATTTGACAGTATGGGGGGAAATACACCTATAAGTTGATTGATACATAAAAAGACTGTATGTGTCACATGTACATGAGCATGGAAAAGGGATCAAATATGTAGTTGAGTGAAGATACTTGCACATAATATATGCATGTATATATGTGATTTTTAAAATCTGGAGGAAAATAATCTCTCATGTTAACAGCATTTCTATGTGGCCAGGTCACCATTTTAATATTATTTTTTAAACTATTTCAGCATCTTTAGAGTAGATTACTCAGTGATTATTTTTATAATCATGAAATAAAAAGGAAGCTGAAACAGCATACCCATTTTGTTTCAAATACATAAACACACATAGACACACAAAGACATGCTCCCATATCCCCCCTGTCTTCTGCCAATAGTGGAAATTTTCCTGGACTTGATCAAGTGGGTAGCATAGTTGCCGTGTCAACTACAGGCCTGCATGTGTCCTCCCTGCAGTTTATTCTTTCAGATCACAGATACCAGCATGGTCAGGAAGAGCCATGTTTCTGTATCATCTAAGTTTAAGAGTGAGAAACAGAGGATTTGGTTTATTTCTATACGCAGTTTTCAAAATATTATATGGCATGGTACATCTGTACAATGAAATACTATGCATTTGGCAAATGCCTGAGAAACAGTATAAGGTGAAAAAAATTATATAATAGAACATACTATATGTTCTCACTTAAGAATAAATATGTATGTTAGTATACCTATGTATGTTACTACATACAAATCAGGAAAAACATATCTATGAAAGTTTTAACAGGATTACTTGCATAGTTGTAGAGACAGGGATAGCTTTACCATTTTCTACTTTTTAAAATTATTAATATATATTTATCTGGGGTTTGTTACATCTTCGGGGAAATATTGAGATAAATGCTACAGGCTTGGGGGAAAACCTCATTTAAAGTAATTTATATCAAATTATGTGGAAAATATTTAGGTGAATGATGTTCAAGCTATGCTCTTGAGTGGAATCTGAAGCTGGTTTCAAATTTTCAAATGAGATACATTTATCTTTATATGTAAAAAAACTTCTAGAAATACATATAGTAAATATTGATAGTGGTTATTTGTCTAGAGTTGTACTTTATTTTACATATACCTTTTTGCATCTTCTCAATTTTTAATAAGCTTCTGGATGTTTTCATAATCAGAAACACTGTAGTTGAAGACATTATGATCTGGTTAGAATCCCACACAACAAAACCTTTAAATTTAACATAGAAAATTCTAGAAGCCTGAGAAGACTCCTGGCTAGCTGTATGTAGTCCTTATGGAATAAGGATGGAAACTACATCTGATAGTGAGTGAAGTCCCCTTCAACTCATGAGCAGTTCTGGTTGTCATCATAAGAGGGCACTAGACAGATTTTCTAAATTTTTTCCAGCCAACCATTGTTATGAAGTAGACAAACAAAGCAATGAATCTATTTTGTATTAGTAAACTATGAGACAGCATGTAATTGCAATTCCATTGAAAAAAAATTGTATGTGTAAAGAAGAAAAATTCCACATGATAACTGATGTGAGCATTCAAACAAAATCTACATTCTGACTCATAGTATACACAAGACAATTGTTACTTCTTTTTTGCCTATCTCCACTCCACCATACTTTTTTTCAGAGATGATTTCAACATAAACAAAATAGCATAAATTTATCCCAGAGAGCATTTCAAATTATAAAAATAAGAAGGAAAATAAACATGGCATCTACATCACGGATGAAATTTTGCCTCATTCCTATGTTTTAGAATGACATGCCTGTTAAAGTTTAGGTAGGGAAAATTCTTGACACTTTTCCCATTTCGTTGGTTTTATTCCCTGCCTTCCTTTTGAACAGCATAGGTTAATATCAGAGAAGCACATGACCTGGGCAATCTGCATGTGATGCCAACCAAGCCTTGGAAAGACAGTGCAACCACAGAAGTGCCGAGCTGGGTAAAGGCCCTGCTGGACAAGCAGTTGGAGTGAGAATCAAGACAGCCGGACCACAGGACCAGACCCACCAGGATCCACATGACAGTGGGTAAGACTCTTCCCATTTCATAAAACATTTCACGGTAGAAACATGTTGAGAACTTGGAGAATAATGTATTTTGCCTCCTGCTCTATAGCCATCCTAGCATTTTAAATTAAAAGCCATATTTCATGTTAGAATCATGTTAGGTTGATGATTTGGGGTACAATTCATTTTGCCCCCTGTTCTGCAGCCATGACACTTTATAATTAAAAGTCGTAACTTCTAGTTTGGAGAAGAATCTCACTTTTTAAACGATTATAAAGAAATCATGCAAGAGGCTATTCAGGTGTCTCCCTGAGGTTCAGGCCAATGGCCTGACTCTCCAATCCTTTATAATGATCCTATCCAAGAAGTTGTCATAGCAGTAATTCTGAATCTCTGCCTTCTAAAATTATGCTTTTAGAAGAGTCATTGTATTTTTGTTTGGGTCCAGGAGATACAGACCCTATTGTCTTTGTCTGCCTGCTCCAGGTGAACAGTGGAGCACTTGCAGCTTAAAAAATACAAAGCTGTGTTTTCAACTAGAACATTGCTCCTCAAAGAGTTCTTTTTAAACATGTAGCATTAGAGGCACTTGAGAACTTTTTAGAAATACAAACTTTTGAGCACAAGCCAAACCTTCTGAATAAAACTCTCATGATGGGGCCTAGAAATATAAGTCCTTCAGATGATTCTGACACATGTTAAGTTTGGAGACCCACTGCTATAAGTATGACATTAGGGACACAAAAGTACCAAAGTATGTAATTACATAGAGTTCCTGACATCCCATCACAAGCTCTCCCGCCTCTGCTGCCATGTACATACATTCACTCCTTAGTAAGCATGTTCAATAATGAGGGCAAGTTCTTCAATCTGAGGTATTATAAAACAACTTTTCTGGTTTTTTTCCACCCCTCCCCCCCGCAATCTTATATTATGCTGCCTCCTCTGTCTCATGCCCCACTGCACATTGTTCTTTTATCCCTTCTCCATTTGTAATTGCTCACCTCCCGTTTTGGCGAAATAATCGTATTTGCTGATACTTTTCTTCTTTTCCTTTTCCCTGTTTCAGTATCTTCCGGTATCATCCTATTCAAACAACGTGTTCAAGCATCCTTGGAAAATTGAGGTGGAGAACAGGCCACACAAGCTGTAAACCCTTTGTAGTCATAAGACGAAAGAGGATTTGTTAAGAGTATTGTTTTGGGTAGAACTTGCATTAGCAGTGACAAAGATAGCCACCTCAACCTTTGGTAATAACCCTTGGCACACAAATATAAACCATAATGGAGTCTGAGTATGTCCTATGCAACTGGAAAGACCAGTTGTGGCCAGCAAAAGTTTTGTCCAGATCTGAAACTTCATCAAACAGTAAGAGGAAAAAGGCATTTTCTCTAGAAGTTCAAATACTCTCACTAGATGAAAAAATTAAATTGGACAGCACAGAAACAAAGATCCTAAATAAATCTCAAATTGAAGCCATTGCTGCCTCATTAGGACTACAGTCAGAGGACAGTGCTCCACCTACAGAGGAAACTGCCTATGGAAGATCACTAAAAGTGGCACTGGGTATTCTGAATGAGAGAACAAATTTGAGTCAAGCAAGCACTTCAGATGAAGAGGAGATCACTATGCTGTCTCAAAATGTACCACAAAAACAGTCCGATTCACCCCCTCATAAAAAATACCGGAAGGATGAAGGTGACTTACCAGGGTGTCTTGAGGAAAGGGAAAACTCAGCATGCTTGTTAGCATCTTCAGAGAGTGATGATTCCCTGTATGATGATAAATCACAAGCACCCACAATGGTCGATACTATTCCAAGTGAAGTGGAAACAAAGTCATTACAAAACTCTAGCTGGTGCGAGACTTTCCCTTCACTTTCGGAAGATAATGATGAAAAAGAGAACAAGAATAAGATTGATATCTCAGCAGTTATGTCTGTGCATTCTGCAGTCAAAGAGGAAAGTGCATGTGTTAAAGATGAAAAGTTTGCTCCACCTTTGTCACCTTTGTCATCAGATATGCTCATTATGCCCAAAGCTTTGAAAGAAGAGAGCGAGGATACCTGCCTAGAGACCCTGGCTGTTCCCTCTGAATGCTCTGCTTTCTCAGAGAATATTGAGGATCCTGGAGAGGGTCCCTCAAATCCATGCTTAGATACCAGCCAGAATCAACCTTCCATGGAATCAGAGATGGGGGCTGCAGCATGCCCTGGGAGTTGTTCAAGGGAATGCGAGGTTTCATTTAGTGCCTCTAACCCTGTCTGGGATTATTCACATCTTATGAGTAGTGAAAGAAATTTTCAGAGACTGGATTTTGAAGAACTTGAGGAAGAAGGTCAAGCCTCTGACAAGTCATTGCTTCCAAGTCGCATTAATCTTTCTCTATTAGATGATGATGAGGAAGACGAAGAACTTCCACGCTTCATTTTACATTATGAGACACATCCGTTTGAAACAGGAATGATAGTCTGGTTTAAATATCAGAAATATCCATTTTGGCCAGCAGTGATAAAAAGTATCAGACGAAAAGAGAGGAAAGCAAGTGTGCTTTTTGTTGAGGCAAACATGAATTCTGAAAAGAAGGGCATTAGAGTAAATTTTAGAAGATTAAAGAAATTTGATTGTAAAGAGAAACAAATGCTAGTGGACAAAGCCAGGGAGGATTATAGTGAGAGTATTGACTGGTGCATCTCACTAATTTGTGACTACAGAGTTAGAATAGGTTGTGGTTCTTTCACGGGCTCTTTGCTTGAGTATTATGCTGCTGATATTAGTTACCCAGTTAGGAAAGAAACAAAACAGGATACTTTCAGGAACAAATTTCCAAAGCTGCATAATGAAGATGCCAGGGAACCGATGGCTGTAACTTCCCAGACCAAGAAAATGTCCTTCCAAAAAATTCTCCCTGACCGGATGAAGGCTGCTCGGGACCGAGCCAACAAGAACCTGGTGGACTTCATTGTGAATGCAAAGGGAACAGAGAACCATCTTCTGGCCATTGTAAATGGCACAAAAGGATCCAGATGGCTGAAATCATTTTTGAATGCAAATAGGTTCACACCCTGTATTGAAACATACTTTGAGGATGAAGATCAGTTGGATGAAGTGGTGAAATATTTACAAGAAGTCTGCAATCAAATAGATCAAATAATGCCAACTTGGATAAAAGATGATAAAATTAAATTTATCCTAGAAGTTCTTCTGCCAGAAGCAATTATTTGTTCAATTTCTGCTGTTGATGGGTTAGATTACGAGGCAGCTGAAGCAAAGTATCTAAAAGGACCATGTCTAGGCTACAGGGAAAGAGAATTATTTGATGCAAAAATAATATATGAAAAGAGACGAAAAGCACCAACAAATGAAGCTCACTAAATGTGCTGAAAGTTGAAACCATGACAGGGAGCTCTCATAGATACTAGTTGAAAAAAGTCTCTGAACAATTCTCTCTAATACATATTTTCTGCAAATGGGAGCATGGATAATGTGTTCACTTTTTTTTGAGATCTCTAGGATCTGTGGTTATAATTACATCTTTATTTCCTTTTCTTGCGCTTCTTCAAAGTTAATTTTGTCAACATATTTCAGCAGTTCTACTTTCCCGTACATTTTTTAGAAAGCATAATTCCTAAATGATTTTGAAGGGAAAGTACTATTTTGTTTTATGACACTTTTGAGTCTATGCTGTATTGTTAAATATATTGTGCACAATTATTTTAATGTTAAAATTGCACTGGTGTTAGATATTAACGAAGATGATTGGAAAAAAGTCTGAAAGATACATCATTTCTATATTCCTTGCTTAATTTTTATAAAATATTGGGTTTTCCCTTAAGATAGTTGAAGTATTTTTCTTGCCATGCCTATTTATTTTTGCAAAAAAATTATCTGCTATATAGAACCAAAGATAGATTCGCTTTGCTATATATTATAACTATACTTGCTTTTGCAATAAAACAACTTGTAATTCAAAAATGAAGATTATCTGCATATAGTATTTATGTGTGTGAATAACATCTTGGCATGCAGAAAATAATTTTGGCTGCTTTGAACAGGATTGTTCATTCTACACTTCCCTGAAATTCCATTTTTGGGAGTGTCTATCCTTCAATGGCTGAATAGTTCCTTAAATCAGACAAGCTCCTGGCTATCTTCATAACCAGCAGTGAGTAGATCTTCTTAATATAGCTGTCTGACCACATGTGGAAGGCAGCTAGACTTATTGTATTTACAGCCTGGCCACTCTAGACATATGAATCCAGGCTGACTGCTTAAGTGCCCATCTCGTTTGATATAAACTGTAGAAAAGGCAAGCACTTTGTTCTGAGTCTTTTATCTCCAAATACATAGTTGTCTCAAACCAAGCAAGCTTTATCAAAATGGCTTATTTGCAGAATAGTTCCAATGATATAAATGCCAACTGGCAAGTCATTCCAAACTGCTTGAAGGAGTAGATGAACCAGAATCTGAGAATTTGGAAATAGGTCACAGAAAAAGCCTCCATTTGGCTAAATATGACAATTATCTGAGTATGGTTAAATACATACAATTAAATGTCTGAAGCCAATGAGTTGTTTATTCTAACTTGAAATATATTTTTGTGAGAATAAATGTTAGAAAAGTTAGTTTATTTTGGAAACCTGCCGTGAAAGGAAATTCTAAAGGCTTAACATGAAACTGTCTGCATTTCTACCTGTTAGACAATGGTTGCTCTTGGGCTCTTGTTATACAGTCATATGGCTACACGTTTATGTAAAGTTTGCAAAAGTTTGGTGTTTTGATTTATAATAAAACTGTTATATTATTCACCTTGGATTTTTACTTCATCCTACTTGAAATTGTGCAGCTACATAAGTGGTGTTTCTCCAAATTTAATACACACACACACACACACACACACAATGTATATATATGATTTGTTTGGAATTTTTGGTTCTTGTAGTTACCATCATTTTAACACCTGCTATAAGTTGTCATTCTAAATAAGTATTCCCTTTCATGTTGATTTTGTATTACTTTAATAGAAAGCCTACCGAATTTTATAAGCTGCATGTCCCACAAAACCTTCTTTGGACCCTGACTAAAAAAGACCAAGACTTCTTGGACATACAGCCTCTATCAATCCACATACCTTCCCCATTGCCCTAAGAAGTAATTTACAACAAACCATCATCACACTGTATGTGGATTTTATACCCTCGATAAAACACACTTTATTTGCTCTATAATTAGTCCATTTTCACACTGCTGATAAAGACATACCAGAGACTGGGCATTTTACAAAAGAAAGAGGTTTAACGGACTTATAGTTCCACATGGCTGGGTGGGGCCTCACAATCATGGCCGAAGGCAAGGAGGAGCAAGTCACATCTTCTTACATGGATGGCAGCAGGCAAAGAGAGAGAGAACTCATGCAGGGGAGTTCCTCTTTATAAAACAATCAGAATTCATGAGACTTATTCACTATCACAAGAACAGCATGGGAAAGACATACCCCCATGATTCAATTATTTGCCACTGGGTCCCTCCCATAACGTGGGAATTCAAGATGAGATTTGGGTTTGGACAAAGCCAATCCATATCATTCCACCCCTGGCCCATCCCAAATCTCATGTCCTCACATTTCAAAACCAATCTTGCCTTCCCAACAGTCCTCCAAAGTCTTAAATCATTTCAGCATTAACTCAAAAGTCCACAGTCCAGTGTCTCATCTGAGACAAGGCAAGTCCCTTCTGCATATGAGCCTGTAAAATCAAAAGCAAGTTAGTTACTTCCTAGATACAATGAGGGTATAGGCATTGAGTAAATACAGCCATCCCAAATGGGAGAATTTGGCCAAAACAAAGGGGCTATAAGCCCCATGCAAGTCTGAAATCCATCAGGGCAGTCAAATCTTAAATCTCCAAAATGATTTCCTTTGACTCCATGCCTCATATCCAGGTCACACTGATGCAAGAGGTTTGTTCCCATGGTTTGGGCAGCTTCGCTTCTGTGGCTTTGCAGGGTATAACCTCCCTCCTGGCAGTTTTTATGGGCTGGCATTGAGGGTCTGCGGCTTTTCCAGGTGCATGATGCAAGCTGTTGGTGGATCTACCATTCTGGGGTCTGGAGGACAGTGGCCCTCTTCTCACAGCTCTACTAGGTGGTGCCCCAGTAGGGACTCTGTGTTGGGGCTCCGACCCCATATTTCTCTTCTACACTGTCCTAGCAGAAGTTCTTCATGAGAGCCCCACCCCTGCAGCAAACTTGTGCCTGGGCATCCAGGCATTTCCATACATCCTCTGAAATCTAGGCAATGGTTCCCAAACCCCAATTCTTGACTTCTGTGCACTGGCATGCCCAACACCACATGGAAGCTGCCAAGGCATGAGGTTTGCACCTTCTCAAGCCATGGCCCAAGTGCTACATTGACCCCCTTCAGCAATAGCTGGAGTGGCTTGCACGCAGGGCACCAGCACTGCACACCTCATGGGGATCCTGGGCTGCACACAGCACGGAGACCCTGGGCCTGGCCCCTGAAACCACTTTTTTCTCCTAAGCCTTTGAGCCTGTGATGGGAGGGGCTGCTGTGAAGACCTCTGACATGTCCTGGAGACATTGTCCCCATTGTCTTGGGGATTAACATTCTGCTCCTCGTTACGCAAATTTCTGCAGCTGTCTTGGATTTCTCCTCAGAAAATGGAATTTTTTTTTCTATCGCATTGTCTGGCTGCAAATTTTATGAATTTTTGTGCTCTGCTTCCCTTATGAAACTGAATGCCTTCAACAGCACCCAAGTCACCTCTTGAATGCTTTGCTGGTTAGAAATTTCTTCCACCAGATACCCTAAATCATCCCTCTCAAGTTCAAGATTCCACAAATCTCTAGGGCAGGAGCAAATTGCCACCAGTCTCTTTGCTAAAACATAACAAGAGTCACCTTTGCTCCAGTTCCAAACAAGTTTCTTATCTCCATCTGAGACCACAGCCTGGATTTCATTGTTTATATCATTATCAGCATTTTGGTCAAAGCCATTCAACAAGTCTAGGGAGTTTCAAAGTTTTCCACATTTTCCTGTCTTCTTATGAGCCCTCCAA
Organism: Homo sapiens; assembly: GCF_000001405.40. Classification (NCBI taxonomy): domain Eukaryota; kingdom Metazoa; phylum Chordata; class Mammalia; order Primates; family Hominidae; genus Homo; species Homo sapiens. The sequence goes on from NC_000023.11 coordinate 106,211,225, forward strand.
ACTGTTCCAACATATGCCTGTTACCCAGTTCCAAAGTTGCTTCCACATTTTCAGGTATCTACAGCAGCACCCCACTCTACTGGTGCCAATTTACTGTATTAGTCTGTTTTCACACTGCTGATAAAGACATACCAGAGACTGGGCAATTTACAAAAGAAAGAAGTTTAATGGACTTCCTGTTCCACATGGCTGTGGGGGACCTCACAATCATGGCAGAAGGCAAAGAGGAGCAAGTCACATCTTACATGGATGGCAGCAGGCAAAGAGAGAACTCTTTGCTGGGGAGTTTCTCTTTATAAAATGATCAGATCTCATGAGACTTCACTATCACAAGAACAACATGGAAAAGACGTCCCCCCATGATTCAGTTATCTCCCACTGGGTCCCTCCCACAACACATGGGAATTAAAAATGAGATTTGGGTGGGGACACAGCCAAACCATATCAATAATATTGTGTCCCTCTGATTCCAATATAATACCCACCTTTAGTTCTCTCAGTGGAGCTATCTCTGTCTCCTGGTTCTAATATTTTCATTATTACCTTATTCATTCATTTATAGCATTGTGAGTCAGGAGAGCAAGTGATCTGTAGCTAAAGCTCTGCTCTGAGGGTAGATTTCAGGCTCCAAAGAAAGGAGATGTTACTTCTGTGATCCAGATGAAAATCTAATTTCTAAGATGAGTAGGATGCACTACATCATCATAGTGAGAAATATTGATTAACTTTTTGCACAGACTGCCTGTACTTGAAAACCAGAGCCCAAGTTTCCTCATATTTGGGAATTCCCAAGTGTCTGTTTGGTTTGTAGTAAAGATTGGACACCTGATCCCTCTTAAGATGTCATTTATCTTGAGGCATAGTGAAGTAAGGGAGGAATGCCTCAAACATGCATCCATTCTCCTCTTTGAATGAATCATTGAATGGCATTTGAGATGTGAAAATGGATGAATTTGGCTTCCAACACATTGTGGACTCAGATCCCTTGCAGCCTGAGTAGCTGTTAAGGCAACTCTAAGATTGCCCTAAGCTGGATCCCTAATGTAGGTTTGTGTGTCTGATCGGAGAGCCTGACTTGTTATCCACCCTAACCCACTGGGTTAAGGAAACCCTCATCTTTTCTAGTCATAAGGCAGACTTCTGAATATCAGGCCCAGATTCTAATCTGGCCCAGGTCTACAGAGCTGCAAGAACACCACATACATAATGCTTACAGATTTAGATAGATCGATCGATAGATAGATGATAGATGATAGATAGATAGATAGATAGATAGATAGATAGATAGATAGATAGATATAGATAGATACATACATAC